>NC_000009.12:70095552-70720552 GCF_000001405.40 Homo sapiens
CATTCTCTCAGATTTGGGAGAGTAGGATTTGGGAGAAAGAGAATGAGTTTAAGTGCCTATGGCATGTCCATGTGGAGATGCCCAACAGAAAGATACATGAGTCTGGAAGTGATAGGGGATCAGGCCAGAGTGAGAGACTTGGGAATTACCTCTGTATAAACGAAGCTGGAAGGCATGGGAGAAGTCAGTTAAGTAATTTGGATGCCTATAGCAGAAAAAAACTAAATAATGGTTTAAATTGGGATTTGTTGTTTTTCTTTCCTAGTGAAAAGTGCAGACATAGGAAGTCCAGACTGGTTAGAAGACTCAACAATATGATCAGGAACCCAGCTCCTGCTATTTTTACATCCCACTCACAGTGATAATGTCCATTTTCAGGGTTGCCTGCTAGGATGAACAACACTGTCAGTTTCCCCAGAAAACATGTCCTGTTCCCAGGACATAGGACTTTAAATTTAATTTAATTTAAGTTTTTTTTTTCTTTTTTTTGAGACACAATCTTGCTCTCTTGCCTGGGCTGGACTGCACTGGTGCAATCACAGCTTTCTGCAGCCTCGACCTCCCCAGGCTCAGGTGATTCTCCCACCTCAGTCTGCTGAGTAGCTGGGACCACAGGTGCCATGCCTGGCTAATTTTTCTATGTACTGTAGAGATGGGGTTTTGCCATGTTCCTCAGGCTGGTCTTGAACTCTTGGGCCCAAACGATTCTCCCACCTCAGCCTCCCAAAGTGCTGGGATTACAGCTGTGAGCCACTGCACCAGTCTGGGACTTTAAATTTTAAAACTAAGAAAGGCCCAGGCTAACTAAGATGAATTCTTCACCCTAGTCACCTCCTGTTCTTAAAGTGGCCATTGCAACTCCAGTCCATCGCATGCACACTTCAGACAGAAAGAGGGAGGAAAGGAGAGGACAAAAGAAACCTACTAGCTGAGTCAGCCCCCCCTTTGAGGAGCTTTCCTGAAAGCCCCATTCAACAACTTTCTCCATCTAGAACTTAGTCACTGGCTATCCCAAAGGCAAAGGTGGCACAGCAATGTCATTCTCTTGGCTGGGCATATTGCCAGCCCCAATCAAATTGGGGTTCTGTAATGAGGAAGCAGGAGAGAATGGATATTAGGGAGGCAATTAGTTACTGCTATGGTAAGGAAGAGTCATCAAAGTAGAGAAGCTAGACCCAGACCCAATGAAATACTAACAAGTAAGAGACTAACAAAGGTAGAGAATACCATGGAGAAGATAGAGGAGTAGCAGATAGAAGGTAGGGGCAAAACTATTAAAGGGGGGGATCAAGGAATCCAGAGGAAAAGAACATTTCAAGATCACGATGTTGATGCTGCTGCCATGCGATTTTATAAATAAGGGCCACCTCTAAGGTGAAAAATGTCACAACCTTCCTGTAGAAATTCCCCTTACTCCCCAAAAGCCAAACACCCCAGATGTGGGAGAAGTTTCTGAGTCAACTAGGAAGGAAGAAGTCGGACATGATCTGTCCCATGTGGTCTTCTCCCAGGACCAGGCAGATATTGCTAATCAATAGTGACACTCTATTCAGGGCATCTCCCCAGGCCTCACTGTTTTCTTCCATTTCCATCCTAAGTGGCACTAGAGAAAAAAAAATCTTCATCAAGATCCCTTTATTAGACATCAAGGTCTCATCCAGCTTCACCCTATTAAGGTTCTCTGGAGGTTCTGTAGTTGTCGGCCAAGCTTTGTCTTTATTTGTGAGAGGAGCAAATTTTTTCTTATAAATGAATTTGAAAAGGAAGAGATTTTTCTTTTTGGAGATAAGTATTGTATAATAATGACAGATTGCGTAATGAATTTCCTGAGGCAAATGATATTGACAAGGAATACTGAGAACACCGAAAATTCAATTTCCACATCAGGAAGAAAGGACTTACCCCACCCATGACCCTGTGTGTTGGGATAGCTTGGAAGTTTGTACGTGGTAATTTTGTGCTGCTCTATAAATGCAGGCTTTCCTATTTCTTTAAGCAAACCTATATTTCCCCAGTGCAAGAGCCTCTTTGCTGGTCTAGAGAAGGTTTCATTCTGGGAGGGGTTTCTTACCGCTTGGGACCAAAATAGGATGACAGTATCTAGTTGTTCCTTTTCAATTACAGATAATTTTGCCCACCACACTTTAGAAGTGGGACCTGCCTATAAAGTTGCATTGCAAATCAACCATCCTCAGTATGCTGGCTTCTGGGGAGATTTAGATGTAAGCTTATACCTCTTGGGTCTCATTCATCCTCTTATCCATGGAAACTAACCAAAAGCCAGGAGTTTCATGTACTTTCATTGAATGAAAATGAAAAATTTCTTGAATCTGTGTCATATTAGGGGCTTCACATGGCAAGGAGAGGGGTGAAGAGAAGCCATTCCCATAAAAAACATGCACTGAAAAGACATATGCCTTGCGAAACTCCATGGGGAAACCCTTTCTAATTCAGCAGGAAGATTTGGAAGCCCGATGGACTTGTTTATGTTACATGATATGAAGTACCTTGTTGTCTGGCAACTGGGGGCCCATATACTTTATGGAAATGGATTGTTCATGACATGTACACATTGCAAGTTAGTAAATACTTATTAAGACATTGGACTGAAACTGTGGACTGTGCCTTGTACAAGCTGGTAACTAGAGGTCTCTGGACCACCAGTGCTGCCCTTCTGCAGGTGGCTCTGTAACCCTTTATCTTCATGTTGCCCCACTTACCACCCTTTGGCAGGATTTACCAGTAATATTTGATAGCATCCTCTGAGCCCAAGCCTGTGGGGTCTCTGACAGCAGTCAGTAACCAAAGTGCAGGTGAAATAATCTTATTTTGTATTCCTTGATTCTAAGTTGCACCATAGATTTGCTAACATCCTTTTAGGGAGTGGGGAGGTGCACTATAGATCAATTGTAAGACATGCCCTAATTTTAGAAATCTTGACATGTTTAAAAGTCTTTTAGATTTGAGGCACTGCAGTAGAAAAATTAATCAGATTATTGTGTTATCAGTAGAAATAATATTTGTGGAGAAGCCCAAATGAAAGTCCATATAGATTTATCCATACCTTCAGGATCCCACTATAAGGAAAAGGAAGAAAAGGTTGTTTTCCTGCTGTAAGAAAATGATATTATGAAAAGATAAATTAATAAAGGAGGCAGAAAAGGAAATATTTGGAGACAGCCTGGTGCAGGGGAAAAGGCATGGACTTTGTGCCTCAGCTTGGTTTACTAGCTGTTTCCTTGAACTGGTGAATTAATTTTTGTCAATCTCTGTTTCCTTATTTGTAAAGTGGCAATTTCTACATCATAGGATCATTTGACAGGCTTAAGGGAGAAGAACATGTGTGAAGAATCTAGTACCCAGAGTACAACAAATGTTAGTCATTTTTGAATCTTTGTTTCTTACCAGATGACTTGAGCTGAAGTCTTAAAAGTTATGTTCATCATTTTATTAAAATTATGATTAATATAATTAGCGATTTATTAAACAACACAAAATAATAGTAAAATTGGAAACTTCAAACAGAAGATGAGAATACTTTATGTGAGTCATAAATATTTGTGATTTTTTTCTTACATAGTTTCAGATCAGACCATTCTCTGCCAGAAGTAATCAGTAGATTTATAAATCATTGTGAATCTGATTAATTGAGAAAAAAACTCAGATATTAATAGTCCCAAAGATTAAAAAATCATTTTACATTTAAGGAGTGCTATATTATTTATTTTCTAATAACACGATCAACTTTGAGAACCCCATACCCATTGTATTTTCTATACATTTTGAGAAATTTGACTTTTTCATTTTTTTGAAAGTCTTTGATATGCAAAGAAAATAACACTCCTTCAAAATGTAAGCTGATGGCTTATACATAATTGAGGATGCAGTTCCACAGAGGCATCTTCTCTCCACGATAGAAATCTGTTCTTTGCAGAAACTTCATGAACATTTGCTGGATGCTTTGCATGTATTATTGTCCAGGCTGCTTTGATTATCTAGTAGATCCCAGAGATGACTGTCATAGCATAAAAAGACATGCCCATAGCAGTAGAGCAGGCACTAGGGAGAATAGATCCAGTCACAGATACTTGGAAGATCTTCTACATAGGGGGCAGAAGTTGGTGTCAGAAAGGTAGGGCAGGCCAGGCGCGGTGGTTCACGCCTGTAATCCCAGCACTTTGGGAGGCCGAGGCGGGTGGATCACCTGAGGTCAGTAGTTCGAGACCAGCCTGGCCAACATGGTGAAACCTCATCTCTACTAAAAACACAAAAATTAGCTGGGCGTGGTGCCGGGTGCCTGTAATTCCAGCTACTTGGGAGGCTGAGGCAGGAGAATCGCTTGAACCTGGGAGGTGGAGGTTGCAGTGAGCTGAGGTTACGCCACTGCACTCCCGTCTGGGTGACAGAGCAAGACTCTGCCAAAAAGAAAGAGAGAGAGAGAGAGAGAGAGAGAGAGAGAGAGAGAGAGAGAGCACAAGCACAATGGGCAGCAGGTAGAACAATAGCAACTGGTATCAAGGAGGTCCAAAGTGAGATGACGAGGTGGGGTAACCATCAGAAGAGGATGCTGATCATCTAACTGGACATAGGAGCACTAACATTTATTAAGAACTTGGCTCTGTGCTAAGTACTTACATTATCTTATTTAATCTTAAAAGACTACAAAATTGGTATTTTAACATCCTCACTTTACCAAAGAAGAAAGTGAGTTTCAGATAATATAATTAACTTGCCCAAAGTGACATTGTTTCTAAGTGGCGTGGCCAAGATTTGAACCAACATCAAGTTGATGTGATAGCCACATTCAACCACTCTACCATACTGTGTCCACAGCAGGACCTGATCCAGGGAGGCAGACAGTTAAGGCATTCAGAAAATTGAGTGGGAAGATCCTCGTTTGAGTTCAGGGACTAGACTTCAGCCCTGGGAAGGAAGCTGCCAAAAAGAAGCAGTGTCCTTGTCTTAGATATGCAAGGCACTAAGCTCTAAACAAAAGACAGACGTAGGCATTGCTGTCAGACCTGCGTCATCAGATTTCAGCCAGAATCACATCAGGAGTAAATATGCCAGATTCCACTTGAAATGATGATTAGCCTTGGGTAAGAACCAGAGGAGCTTAGCTGTGAGGAGGGAGACTGCTTAGCATGGCTAGCCAGGATGGGCCCAGCACTAAAAGCACAAAGTTGTAGACTTTAACGTCAAAGGGCCAATTAAAGTGAAACGAATGAGGCCTGTTCTCATATCAGCACTGAAAACGTGCTGCTGGTCTGTTACCTGAACAAATATCTTCTCTGATCCATATTGGAAAAAAGTAAGAAGGCAATATACATTTCTCTCTGTCTCTGCAATAACTAAAAACTCCTGCCTTTGATGATGAGAACAGAAATTAGCAATTAACATGACCATTTACAAAGCATCTTTATATATAGTCATGCACTGCATAATGTTTTGATCAACGATGGGCATATATGATGGTAGTCCCATAACATAATAAAACTGAAAATTCCCTATAGCCTAGTGACGTTGTGATGATTCTGATCCTGTATAGGCCCTAGGCTAATGTGAATGTTTGTGTCTTTGTTTTTAACAAAAAGTTTGAAAAGTAAAAAATGTTACAATATTTAAATCATAAAAAACCTCATTAATAATAAGGATATAAGGAAAGAAAATATTTTATACAGTACCGTACAGTGTGTTTGTGTTTTAAGCTAACAGTTGTTACATAAGAGTCAAATGTTAAAATTTTTTTTAATTTATAAAGTAAAAAGGTTATAGTAAACGAAGGTTAATTCATTATTGAAAAAAGAAAAATATTTTATATAAATTCAGAATAGCCTAAGTATACAGTGTTTGTAAGTCTACAGTAGTGTACAGTAATAGCCTAGTCCTTCACATTCCCTCCCTGCTGACTCACTGACTCACCCACACCACTTGCAAGTTAGTGCCCTATACAGATGTACTATTTCTTATCTTTTATGCTGTATTTTTACTATATCTTGTCTATGTTTAGGTGTGTTTAGATACACAAGTACTTATCATTGTGTTTCAATTGCCTACAGTATTCAGTACAGTAACATACTGTTACAGGTTTGTAGCCTAGGAGTAATAGGCTGTCTCATATAGCTTACATGTGTAGTAGGCTCTCCATCTAGGTTCATGAAGTACACTCTATAATACCTGCATAATGACAAAATCACCCAATGATGATTTCTCAGAACCTATCTTCATCGTTTAGTGATGCATGACTGTACATCATTTTATCAGGTTCTCACAACAGCCCTATAGATATGAAGTCATATCTCACTTCAGTTTTACAGTCTAAAGTCAGCACAAAACGTGAAAATTATACATTGTCAAAATTGCTCTTAAGAGTTCCTTAAATTACAGAGTACAGTGTACATGGTTTTATACGTATTATGCCATTTTTATGTACAACACGGCCAATTTTTCTTTCTGCATGGAAGTATATACTTATTTAAACATTAGATGAAATAGACTCCATTTAGTGGCTATTCATATGAAAAACATATTTCGTATGTGTGTGTGTTGTACTAGTGGTTGGGTTGTTTTTAGTTGGTTTGTTTTTTTCTAAGTACATTGATTTTCCACATATTGAATGTATATGTAAAGTGGCTCTCTTCTTTTATTAGTCTCATTTTGAAAATAAAGAAGCCAGTGATTCAGTTTATGTGTGTGTCATAAGGTTTTAAACCTAGGTTATAATTTACAAATCCTGAGTAGGGTCCACTGTACCACACAGTCACCCCAGCATGATTATCACACCTGAAGGACGGGGCATTCGGCATTCATTAGCTAACAGAATTCCATGGGTGCCAAGAAGCCCCTTGTGACTTGTGCCCTGACCATGCTGCCACAGTGATGGTGTGGGACTTAGACCTACCATGCTGTGCCATGGCTATTGGAAGTTATCGATACATTGAGTTCTGGCCATGCAGATGTGTCCAGCGATTGAACATGACTTCAAGACTCAGTTATTTATGGCTTGGCTTCACTTAAACAGAAAAGCTTTTTCTGTTGTTTTCTGATGCCTGCATGTGACAAGGAGACATGTTCAGACCCCAGGGCACGTGGAGTCTGTACTTTTTGGCAAGATGGCTTAATGATTGTTTTTGATTGCTGACTTACTTTTTAAAAAAATCTATTTGGAAGTTTATGGCCCTTTTCTGACCCTTTATAAAGATTTTATCATCTCTAATAAATGTCTAGTAAATCAGTTCCAATTGCCTAGGCAGCCATATTTGAAGTGGATCCTTCCCTCTCCTCCTGATGCCATTTCTCCAACACTGCGGTTGGTAAATCTCCCCCAGATCCCTGGCCTGATGCATCACAGTCAACCTCCCAATCCCCCTGTGATTTCTGCCCTTCTTTGCCTTTTTCTCATTTGTTTTGTTTACTCTAACATCTCTGAAGCACTGCTTGGTATTCTTATTGGTTTTAAAAGATGAGAAAAGGGAGTATGTCAGCAAGAGTGGTGGAGTAAGGACCTCAGAGAATCCTCTCCCCATAAAAGCAATGAGAACAGCAAAAGAAATGGTCAAAATCAACTTTTTAAGAGCTCTGGAAATTAACCAAAGGCTTATAACATTCAGGAGCATGTATTCAAGAAAAATGAAGGAATACTGTTAAAACACTGAACTTTATGGTGTTCTGCATTATTCCCATTTTGATATTTAAATATATATGGAAATACAAGGGACCCAGAATAGTTAAAATGATCTTGAAAATGAGTATAGGTCGGAGGTCTCATACTTCCCAATTTCAAAACTTACTACACAGCTACAGTAAGGAGGACTCTGTGGTACTGGCATAAGAATAAACATAGATCAATAGAATCGAATTGAGAAGTCCAGAAATAAACCCCACATCTATCCTCAACTGATTTCAACAATGGTGGCAAGAAAATTCAACGGGCAAAAATTAGATCAAAGATCTAAACGTAAAAGCTGAAACAATAAAACTCTGAGAAAAAAAACATAGCTGTAAATCTTCGTGACCTTAAATTTGAGAATGGCTTCTTAGCTACGATGCCAAAGGCAGAAAAAAAAAAACTAAAAATAGAAAATTAAACTTCATCAAAATTTAAAAATTTTATACTTCAAAGGATACCATAAAAAAGGTGAAAAGACGGCCAGGAGTGGTGGCTCACTCCTGTAATCCTAGCACTTTGGGAGGCCGAGGCGGGCAGACTGCCTGAGCTCAGGAGTTCGAGACCAGTCTGGGCAACATGGTGAAACCCCGTCTGTACTAAAATACAAAAAATTAGCAGGGCGTGGCAGCGTACACCTGTAGTCCCAGCTAATCAGGAGACTGAGGTAGGAGAATTGCTTGAGCCCAGGAGGTGGAGGTTGCAGTGAGCCGAGATCACGCCACTGCATTCCAGCCTGGGCGGCACAGCAAGACTCCGTCTCCATTTAAAAAAAAAAAAAGGTGAAAAGACAAAGCACAGAATGGGAAAAAGTATTTGCAAATTTTCTATTCGATAAGATCTATTATCCAGAATGTATAAAACCTCTTATAACTCAACAATAAAAAGACAACCCAATTTTTAAAATGGACAAACGATTTGAACAGACATTTTTCCAAAGTAGATGTACATTAATGGCCAATAAGCATATGAAAGATGCTCTACATAATTAGTCACTTGAGAAATGCAAATCAAAAGCATAATCAGAGATCAATTCACATCAATTCACTAAAATTAAAAAAAAGATGGGCAATAACAAGTGTTGGTGAGGATGTGGAGAAATTGGAACTCTCATACATTGCTGGTGGAAATGTAAATGATGCAACCACTTGAGAAAGCAGTTTGGCAGTTCTTCAAAAAGTTAAACATAGAATTTCCATGTGGCCTAACAATTCCACTCCTAGGCATACACCTAGGAGAAGTGAAATTTTTATATACAAAAACACTTGCATAAAAATGTTAATGGCAGGATTATTCATAATAGTCAAAAAGGAGAGGCAATCCAAATGTCCATCAACTAATGAATGAATAAATAAAATGTGGTAATCCATAAAATAGAATATTAGCCCCCAAAAAGAATGAAATTCTAATATATGCTACAACATGGATGAACCTTGAAAATATGCCAGGTGAAAGAAGCTAGTCACAAAGGGACACATATTATATAATTCTATTTATATAAAGTTTCCAGAATAGGCAAGTTCAGGCAGACAGAAAGTAGATTTGTAGTTTCCAGATGCTAGGGGTGGGGAGAATGAGGGATGACTGCTAATGGATACAGGGTTTCCTTTTGGGGTTATGGTGAAAATGTTCTGGAATTAGATAGTGGTGATGGTGCACAAATTTATGAACATGCTAAAAACCTCTGAATTGTATTAAAAGGGTGAATTCTATGGAATGCGAATTATGTCTAAAGTTAACTTCCAAATATCAATTTGATTAAGATGGAATAAATAAAACATTTTTTTACACCCAAAGAAAACTTCGTTAATTCACTCGGTGGTAAAATGATTCTTTTTAAGTAAAAAGAACTCACAGATTTATTCTAGAATAGCAATTTTCTTAGTGACAAGGCAGGGAAAGGCAACATCCTTGACATTAATATCTTCCTCATCCTATATTTTCTAAAACTTCTTCAAAATATACCGTGTTCCTTCTAGTTCAATTTAGCTATAACGTGACCACAAAATATACCCCTACACTGAAGCCACAAGCAGAGATAACAAGTAGTTTCAACTCAAGTGCCAACTCAGATTGATTGGTAGTGGTTACATGCAGCACTATGTTTAGAAGGATTCTAAGGCTGTATCCAGAGCAGGCCTGGAAAACGTAGTGATTAATTTAGAAAATTAGTCTTGAAGTTGGCAGTGATAGTGGAGGTGGGCGGTGCTTGGGCTAATGATTAGGTCTAGGAAAATGCATCATTCTGCTGAGTGGATTGCATCCAATCAGCTGGGTAGATACATCTTTGCATGGACTGTAATGCTGCTAAGAGGCACGTTCACATGGCGTGACCTAAAAACAAATATGAGATCTTTAATTTAAATGCAAAATTCCAATATTTTAAAATAACCCACATTTATGGCTAAGATGTCAAAATCACTCAATGAATAGCACCGACTTTCATCACACAGAATAAAATCTAGGTATTTTAAATAGTACATTTTATATAGTGTGTGCTCTCAAAGGTTCTTGACAAGAGAACATTAGCATAAGCTTATAGTAAAATCTGATCAGGTGAGAGAGAATGTCAAGAGAATTTTTTTATGGCACTCACTGAAAAGCCAAGATAATCACCAGCAGATGGACTCTGTGCACCTGCTTTAACACACATTCACTTAAATTCGAGTTGTACCTTCCAGCAGAACCGTTGCCTACCTCCTTTACATGCTACAGGAGCCTGCACTTTCTTTGGTAGATGAGAGGTGGCTGGAGAATGAACCCTATTTACCTGTCCATACATTGTAAGTCAGCAGTTCTCAAAGACCAGTAGCAACAGTATCACCTGGAACATCCAAGAAATGCAATCTGTTAGAAATGCAGCATCACCCCAGCTCTACTGGATTGGAAACTCAAGGGGTGGGCCTGGGGATGTGTATTTGAACAAGATATCCAGGTGACTCTGGGCTCAACTTTAAGAGCATTGCTTTGAGTTGTCCCTTTCTGGAGTGGGGAAAGGAAAAGGGGAGGGAGAGAAAAGGGGAGGCTGGGGAAGTACCCAGGGAAAATTGAGCCTCCCATGGCAGCAAAGTTGGTATTTGATATGAATGTTGATAGGACATAGCAAGGTCTTTATTTGTTTCTTTCCTCTTTTATACTCCATGTCCAACTCTCTACTTCTTCGGAAAAGGTTTGAGGTACTCACGTGATCTCCCCCAATCCAGCCTGCTTGAAGTCCCTTCTTTTGGGGCAGTAGCAAAGAGTGGGGAAAGAGGATGGTGCTAATACATTCCTCATGCCACAAGAAGCAGCACTTTTTATCCAAAAAGGGTTGGCCTCAAGAGCCCCAGCTTAGAATAGTCAAACCCAACAAGGCCTTCACCTTGGAAATGCACGTGAAGCACTTAGAACAGCACTTGGGCCTGAGTTGCAGTGAGTGTCGCCTGTACGTGGGAGGTATGATGGTGTCAGCAATTGCTGCAAGGGCCAGATTTCTCCACAAGGGTGCCTGGGTTGGCATCTAGAAGCAATTGCTATCTGCACCCAGTGGGCGGTTGCTATGTTAAGAAGATTGCCAGGAAGAGTTAGATCTTGATCTTGAAATCCTTCAGTCGGCAAGAAAGGATCCCTGAAGACAATGCCCTAACTGTGTCCCTCATGTGAGGATGGCCGTCATCTGAGCTCCAGTTAGCCTGTCGGTACTCGCCACGGATATAAGGATCCAGGCTGGGATGGGCATTTGAGACAACAAGCGTGGGAGGACAGGCTGAAGAACATCAAGCAAAACAAAGAGGCTTTTCAGATCCTTTCTCGTAAGAGTTTAGGGTTAGGGAGACCGAAGTGCAGACACAGGGTGGTGGAAGCCACAGGACGAAAGACAGCAGGTTAAATGACAGCCATGAATGTGGGGCCCTCCGAGAAAGCATGAGAATCTGCAGGCCAGAAAGGCCCAGGAGGTCCCCAAAGACCCACAGGCAATTGGATCATTGACATAGGAAACCAGATGGCCAGAGGTGGGTTTGGAAGGCTCGAGTTAAGGTTCTTGGCTTCAATGCCCCACCAACTTTTATAGAAATGCTTTTCATATCTTGTACAGCCAGCAGAAAGCACTTGTCGATATTAGGAGGGTAGAGGGAGAAGGGAAGGAGAATGAACAGAGGAAAAGGAAAGGAGGAGGAGAAGGACGGGGAAAGGGGAATAAGAAGACAGAAGAGAGGAGGAAAAGGAGAAAGGAGGAAACAGGGAATCCGAAAGGAGAAGTGAGGATAGAGGAGAAGGAAGGACAATTGCTAGTCCCAGAGTGTCCAGTGCTTTCCCAGCCCTGTGCTACATGTTTTGCAAGTGTTTCCTCATTTATTTCTCAGAACTATGAAATTTGGTCATGGAAGAGTCAAGGGAAGGAAGTCTTATTCCTAATTTAATAAAAAATAGCTTACAATGTACTTTTTCTGCCTAGGTCCCAAGATCCAGGCTTAGGTAACCAAATCAATTCAGTCTACATAATGATGCAAGTTAAATGCAGATTGAAACATTAGGTAATGGGGAGAGCTATGTAAGGAGAAGGTTGAGTCCACCCAGTTATTCTGACTTCAGTCATGCCGCTCTTCTGATTCTGATGTCCCTCAGCCTGCAGAAACATATGCCTATGGGGACCAGGGAGATGAATGCAATGTGCTAAATGGGCCTGGTGTAAAAGAATAAAAAGCAGAGACACTCAGTGTGAGGAGTGAAGAGGGACTGATGGCAATTATGGCAAAGTGGAGACCACATGCCACCCTCTGAAGAGGCAGCACCACTCAGCTCCAGCCTGTTGTCATCATCTGGTAACATGGTCTCAGTGCTTTGTAATTTTTTCAAAAGAGGCCAGTGATCCAGTGTTCAGGCAACTTTCAGTGGGTTGACAAAATATATCTGCAGGTTTATCTGCCCAGAGATTTACTTAACTGCAGTTACGTATTTTTCCAGGTTGCAAACAAAAATTGATCCTTTTCCTATGTTCCTTTCTCTTTCCAGGCCATTACATTTATGTGGATACCTCCTTTGGCAAGCAGGGGGAGAAAGCTGTGCTGCTAAGTCCTGACTTACAGGCTGAGGAATGGAGCTGCCTCCGTTTGGTCTACCAGATAACCACATCTTCGGAGTCTCTGTCAGATCCCAGCCAGCTGAACCTCTACATGAGATTTGAAGATGAAAGCTTTGATCGCTTGCTTTGGTCAGCTAAGGAACCTTCAGACAGCTGGCTCATAGCCAGCTTGGATTTGCAAAACAGTTCCAAGAAATTCAAGGTAGGTGGAGTTTAGGAGAAAGATATAAGGCCTATTATCTTTGCTTTATACTATTCTAAAATCTTATGAAAACTTCTGACATGGAGGTTAGTTATCTCCTGGATTATGACGTGATGTTTCATAAGATACATACCATAGAAGAATATTAGCAATGGAAATTAACATTTTGTTTATTCCTTAAAAGAGCTTCTTCCCAGATTTCTTTCCCATCTATTTAAATGAGCCTTCTGTAAAAATCTAAATGGGGCTTAAATCAACCTCTTCAATGAAAATAGATTTTCTATGGCTTTAGGGAGTATTCTCATTTCTATAATTTTATTTCATCCTTCTAAATTGTGTGTGCTATGTGTTTGTTTATCTTCTTAATCATTTCTTTGCTACAAATTTTGAACAAAAGATTATAATAAAAGGAAAGTGAAAATACTTTAAAAGAGAAAAGATACTTAAAGGACATGTTCCATTTCCTTTTCAAAGAGGGAAGTTGTTCCTTTGGGAGTCCTGGAAAAGGAAGGTAGCGAATGTAAGGTGAAGCTGGGTGTGGACTGGATAAGGAAGGAGGATGGGATCCAGACACACCTGGCCATGAAGTGTGATGTTTATTGAAAATATTTCATCGGGGACACAATGGAGCCATCATGAAAATATTCCCCATTCCTAATCCGTCTTTCAATTTCCTATCCCATCCCACTTCTTTGAAAGGCTTGAAATGCTTTACTCTCCAATACCCACTGTCTGCTTGGAGTCCTTCCCTGTCAGCCAGTGGTTGAGGATGGAGCATGGGGGCTCTGAGTTCTCTCTTTAACAACTTCTTCCCAGCAGTTATCACCTCCTAAATCTGCCAGCATAGTTGCAGAATATAGGGCTAAAACCACAGGAGAAAAAGTGATTACTTTCAGAAACAGGACCACAAGTGCTACCACAAGCACTGAAGGTGGTGGTGGTTGGGATAGCAAGAGAAGAAAAGACAGCTGACTCTGAGCTTCTATCAGATGCCTTATTTACCTTGAAGTTTTGATGTATGAGTTTATGTGCACATGCGCATGCACACACATATATACACACACATTCTTCTAGTAAAGTCCGTAGTGAAATTGGTATCCAATAGCAATTAGCTGAGACTAACAATCCTGTTTTGCCTTAAGTGGCTGAACAGCTCCAGACTAATAGCTGAAATACTGAACCAAGGAAACATGATGTTTTGAAGTCTAACTCCCCTTCTTCCCCATATGTTGTGCAGATTTTAATAGAAGGTGTACTAGGACAGGGAAACACAGCCAGCATCGCACTATTTGAAATCAAGATGACAACCGGCTACTGTATTGGTAAGTGGGCTTCATTTTCATTAAATCAAATTGTGAATCTTTTTCTAAAAGTTACTGTTGCCAGAGGGAACTGAATCAATCCTAAAGACCAACTATTTTATAGAATGCACTGCATAATGCATACTGGTTTAAATTCTTTGCTAGATTCATTTGAATACTGTATGTTTTTTGTCTTTAGTGTGGGAAGGCTCATTAGAATCTGCCTGTACAGTCTGGATTAATGAAAGAAATATAGATGCAGGAACTGTAACTTCAGAGCTGCCACCTTAACCTCAACACATTCTGATTAAAATAATTTACAAATTGCTGGAAACTCAGCTTTTTGTAGCATGTGCCAGAAAAGCAGACATTGTATTACCTCCTTTCCCTTATTTCTCTCTTGGCACACCACGGCTCTCCTCTTAATAATCACAGTTGTCACTTAGATTTCACTTGAGCAGAGTTGGTTGGCTGTCTCTTATCTGCCAGCTTCCAAGAGGGCATAAAGAAAGGATAAACCCTGTCCTATGGTGGTTCAGTTCCTATTTGTCTACATTGAAGCTAGTTCTGCATATGGCAAATACTGCTGAGGAAGGACAAGCTGTGCAGTGGAGAGGCGCAGGGAGGAGGAGAGGAAATTGGAGAGGACTGAATAGGGACAGTGCACTGGAGCAGGAGTTTCAAGAAGGAGAAGAATTTAGTTAAGTGGAGGTGCAGGGTAGGAAGGCAAGGGTTCTCCATGGCCAGACCCCTGTGGGGAGAAAGAAACAGGGCAGGTTCAGGCAAAGGCAAGAGGCTGAGTAGGGTGTTTGAAGTGAGACCAGGACTGCTAAGGGAGTTTGTGATGGAAGAGTGTGGATGCAGGATGTGGAGCTTGGACCTGCTGAATCATGTGGGTCAGCCAGCAGGGGAGAAGTGTGCAGCTGCACTTTCAGATGACTCCAGCTGCCACGTGGAAAATGAGTTGGGTACAAAGAAAATGCATAGCAGGTGGGAAAACCCCTAGGAAGCAGCTGTGACATTACAGAGGGGGCATAATGAGGGTAATACTGAATTAGCAGTGGAATTGGAAAAAGGCAGTAGAATTGAGAGATTTTTCAGCACTGACAACTCTTGAAGGCTAAATGAATGTGACGGGGAAGAGAAAGGAGAGTCAAAGAATATTCTGAACGACAACAACAACAAAAAAGCCTTTGCTAATTCCCTTACGTTTCACTTGTCTGTTTTGACCTCAATGATATCTCTAGGGCAAGTGAAAGAAAACAGACCATTTTCTGAAGATACAGTGAGGCTCAGGCTCTTTTCCTTGAGCCTCCCGCTGGGCTTCCACCTGGCATCTGCACAGCTTGTGAACGACAGGGAAGTCAGACACCTCTGGTGGAGCGCCACCTGCTGGCTCAGTCAGCTTACTGAGCCTCAGCCTCTTGGCATCCGTAAAATGGGAATAAAAAGCTTCCCTCCTAGGATTCTTAGGAGGAGGAATATCCTGGTTATGAAAATAATTGGTATATACAGTGCTGGACATCCAAAACATGTTAATTGCCTTTCTTCAAATGATGTGGTGACTTCTGATTTGTTTAAAACAAAAGGATGCCAACACTTTTATCTTGTTAAACTCTATGATCACACTCTGACTTCTTTCTTTCTGGGTACTTTATCTGCCTCTCTCCATTGCTCATCTGTAAAATGAGGTTAGTAACAGTGCCTATGTCATGGGGCTGCTTTGAAGATTGAATAAGTTAATTTATGTAAAGTGCTCAGAATGGAGCCTGGCATATTGAGGAATATTTTGCTTTTTATTTTACTCTTAGGCAGCATTTGGCACTGAATGTTAGGGCATTGGCTAGCAGACACTGTGGTGGAAACATTGAAAATGAAAATCTTAGAAATGTTCAGTGCTTGCTAATGTAAAAACACATTGCTGACTACACCAGTCAAGATCCTGGCAGGAAGGAGGAAACAGAGGGTACAGTCAACCTGAGTAATTTGAGGGAAGCTCACTGAAGAGACCACAAAGGTGTGAGTGGTAAAGGAAGCCAGCAAGGAATAGCTCTGTGACCCAGGACTAGTAACAGTGATGATTCAGGAGCTGTTATCTTCTTTTGGTCTGAAAGGACAAGGGAGGAGGAGTTTCCAGTACCTGTAAACAATAGCTATTTGTCAAACAAGGGCTGCTTGACAAGACTTGCCAACTCATGGCGACCTGGCTGGGAGACTGCTGGGCAAGTAAACCCCTGATTTCATTCTCCTTCCACCCTCCATTGGTCGAATCCAACAGGGAGATGGAAGGCAGGGTAGCCCATTGATACAGTCCGGATAGGTCAACCTCTGCAGGACCTATCAGGTGGAGAAGAGCAACGTGGATCCGCAGGGGGCCAGTGGCCAGCACAATTATACTTCCTAGTTTAACTGTGTGATTATAAGGGTCAATGGAGGCATTAGCTTGTGGGTTTCTTGCTCCCTTTTAAGGAACAATTGTTGATGGAGACCAATATATCCATGCAAACATGCCAATGACACTAAGGGTAGAAGAGGGGGATCTGATTATCTTCTCTCTCTTCTCTACTCAGTAGCTGCAAAAGGGACCAGAACCTAGGATATATCTGCCCCACCTATTTTACCTGGGTTCTGATTTATAAGAAAAACAGGGAATTTTAGCATCTCAGACACATGTCCCTCAGCTCTGGGCAACTTGTTCATCATGAGAAGAGAAAGGAATGGAGGACTGGGCCAGTAGATTCAAGAAAGGGTTGTGGAAAAAATTTTCTAGAGCTACGAGCATAACCCTGAACAGCTCTTTGAGACAGAGGTGACTGATAAAAATAGCTGACTTGTACCAAGCACTGACCACATGCCTGGCACTATGCTGGGAGCTCTCCACACTTACAATAGCTCTGTGAAGTGGGAACATTGTCCCCATTTCACATATGGAGACACAGAGGCTACAAAAAGTGGTAAGTCATGCTCCAAGTGACATGGCTAATAAGTGGAAGGGCCATAATCCAAAGGGCCAATGATGAATTAGAATCTTGATTCATTACAGGATCTGTCTCTCTTCTTGGCCAAAATTGTGCAGGGGTCCTGGTAGAAAGGTTGCAGTGGGCAAAGGAAGAGAGAAACTTCTGAATATCTAAGAGCAAACTCTGTAGTAGGATGCGTGTACCCAGGTGTGACTGTGTCTCCATGAAGTGTTTTTGTTTCCCTTCCCCAGAATGTGACTTTGAAGAAAATCATCTCTGTGGCTTTGTGAACCGCTGGAATCCCAATGTGAACTGGTTTGTTGGAGGAGGAAGTATTCGGAATGTCCACTCCATTCTCCCACAGGATCACACCTTCAAGAGTGAACTGGGTGAGCTGGGATCAAATAGAGTCCTTTTCCCAGGATAAATTTTTCTGCTGTCTCCTCCCACTTCCTGCACTGACCTAGCTGTGGCTTCTGTCAACAGGGAAGAGAGGAGGGAGGAGGGTGAGTAGGAACTAAGTAGGAACCAGGAGGTGTGACAGAAGAGTAGGGAAGGATCTACAGTGAGGTAGAGACAAACTGCAGCTGTGAGCTCTGTAGCTAAGGGGAAGGCCATTCCATTAAAAGTTCTCCTTCACCTGTGGCCTAGTCTTGCATTTTCATATTTCCATATTATGCTTTACTTTCTTGTATATTTGTTGTTTAATATTTCTCATTTCTAAAGACAAGGCTGGAAAAATCCTAGGTTACTTTTCACTGAAGATAGATCAAAGGATGGGAATGGGTCCTAAGAACTTCCCAAGTGACAGTGAGGTGAGCCAATACTGATGATTAGCTCTGAATGTGGTGTGCAACAGGCCCCCCTAGTGGCCAAGAAGGCTGCTTCTCTGCAAGGAAAATGGGAGGTGAGGTTGTGTTACCAGCGAGAAGTCAGCTTTGAGGAGAAGTCCTCCACAGAAGAGAGACAAGGGCAAGGGCTTACTTACTTGTGGGTTACCACTGCTCTCACCTGGACCCTGGTAGGCTTTGGAAAAGCCAAGGTCTCCCCACAGTTGTAAGACATTTCATCCTCGACTCCAAGGTCTCCACGGAGTGAGAAGCTTCTGGCAGCTGGCCTTTCAACAAGAACAAGAACAGGAATTTTTATTCTGTTGCAAACAGTTAACTTTTTCTCTTTTGATCCTTTACGCATAGATATTGAGGTAATATACTCATCCTAATAATTTGTTGATGGTGACAGTGTGTCCCCATGCCTGAAGACATAATGACCTTTTATGGTTCTTACCATTTTTCTTCATTCAGTATTGCTTCTCTTCATCTGAATATATTTAACCATGTCTCCAACTCTTTTTTTCAAAAGTGCTCATCCTTCAGCTTATCTTGACTCTGGACAGTCTTCATCCTAACCTTACTGTTCTCTTTGCTCCTATTCTAACTTCTCCTTTATATCCAGAGTCTCAGGTTCAATTCCCTGTAACAGCCAGGCAGACAGTATAAGCAAATGACATGTGGGCTGGGTGAGGACTGCGGCAAACTAGATGGCAGAGACCCTGTGCAAAGGTTACTTGGCTCCAATGAGTTGCTGCTGTGTGAGAATGTAAGCCCGGGTTGCCAGATCTTTTGATGTTTCAAGATCATTAGGAAGGCAGGGGATTTTTTTGTGTGTGTGAAATTTCCCAAATTTTTAAAAGTTGGTGAATATTTTCTAAAATCACAGTGTGGGCCAATAAAACACACTTGCCGGTCAGGCCCTGTTGGCCAACTTCTATTTTGCAACCTTCATTTGACAAGTTTCTTTTACAATACATTCAGGCTTCTTAGAATAAGCTCTTTATAAGTAACCACAAATAAAAAGACTGGAGTCTCATGGAGTTGCCTGTTTAAAACAAACGCAACTTTAAATCTAGCATTTTCATTAATTTGACCCAGCATTAGATATGATGGGGTAAATGACAGTTAAAATGACAGATCCTCTATGGCCCCTTCCCAGCTTCAAGGAAGACGCTTTCAAGAAAGGAAAAGGGATTTCTACCACAAATGGATGTTAACAAAGGGTGGTATGTGTCAAGTGCAATAAGAGTGGTCTCCTTCCTCCATCAAAAAAGAAAGGTGTTGGGAATTCAGAGACAAAAGAGGTCCCTCACTGCTTGGATGTCCTAGAAGACATGATAAAAGAAGTAAACTGTATTTCGGGGATGGGTATGATTTTGACAAAGATGAGAAAAAGCTAAGAGCAATGATACAGTGGTTGTGCTACAAGGGGTGGATGGTGGGAGAGATGTGGCTGAGAAAGCAGTGCAGGGGCAAATTCTAAAATGCCTGGAATGCCAGGAAAGAGATTTTAACTTTATTTCATTGACAATGGGAGGCCACACAGGTGTTTGGGCAGGGGAGAGACACCATCACAGCAGTGTATTTAGATGGATTAACATGACAGAGATTATTTCAATAGATGGAGAGTAAAAAGGTGGAGCAAGAGTACAGAAGAATCCCCCAGAAACTGTTTCTTCAGATGCATCTGGGGTCACTTACATAAGAAATTGAGATAAGACAAAAAAAAAAGCATGTTTATGTACTTCCTACCTTTAAAAGCAAAGCAAGTTTCAGCCCTTTTTTTTTTCTTTTTTGAGACAGAGTCTTGCTCTGTTGCACAGGCTGGAGTGCAGTGGTGCAATCTCAGCTCAGTGCAACCTCCACCTCCCAGGTTCAAGCAATTCTCCCTGCCTCAGCCTCCCAAGTAGCTGGGATTACAGACACCCACCACTTTGTCCAGCTAATTTTTGTATTTTTAGTAAAGATGGGGTTTCCCCATGTTGGCCAGGCTGGTCTCGAACTCCTGACCTTAGGTGATCCGCCTGCCTCGGCCTCCCAAAGTGCTGTTTAGCACTTTTGACAGTGACAAAGGATTGGAGTTTTTCTACGGATAGCCCATATTTTTACCTTATAAATAAGTGGCCCGTCCTCATTTGGGGCCCTTTGTAGGAACCACACTATAAATAAGTGCTCTGTGTAGAGTGAATGATAACCAGTCATGGCAAAGTAATCCATGAATCTGCATGAGTATTTTAAAAGACAGTTGGGTTAACTCAAAATAATAAAATGTCACTAACTCTGGAGAGCTTTATGTAAATGAGTAAAGCAACTAACAATCTCTTGGGGTTTCAGGAAAGAAAAGCCAGATGACTTTTTCTTCATGTGTGACAATAGGCTAGTTTTGCGATTGTTTTTCTGTCATATCTTAAGAATCTAATACAAGGAACAGAAAGGATCTTGAAAGGCTGATGCATCAAAATGACGATTATTTCTTGTGTCATTATCACAGTTGCACAGAGAGGCAAATTTAACAATGGGGAAGTGTTAAAGAACTTTTCCCAAATCATTTAAAAATTCGTTCCAAAGTCAAACCCTGTGGGTAACCAATGTTATGATTCAGTGATTATTCAGTGTTTCATTTTTCATCCTCGATGGCAAGAGGTAGCTGGCTGGGGAGAACATATATTTCTTGGAAGAGGCAACAGAGCAGTGGACTAGTGTCAAATCATCCATTTGCTTGTGTTACCTGAGTGCAATTCATCCTTTGAAGAGTGTAATTCTCCTAGTCCTTCCTCATGCCCATCTGAATCATAGAATATTCTGACTATATTTGTGTCCCTAGGGATAGAGAAAGAGCCCCAGGCTAGGAGTCCAAATACTTGTGCTCCAGGCCCAGTTATCAGAGTACTTTATTACCTTGACTAAACCCTTAATTTCTTAGTGTCTCCATTGATGCATCTGCAAATGAGCAATTTGAATTCAATGATCTCTAAGATGCGTTTGAGTTCCAATATTTTACTTTTCTCTCCTTGCCTAATGCTATTTACCAAAATCTCCAAGTTCACCATTCAGTGAGATCTATTTCAAAATGGCTTGAGTCCCTCCTGGATACTTATAAGCACATAGCATTTGGCATTAGAAAAAAAAAAAAAAAAAGAGGACTAAAGGGACCAAGGGGTGAGAAAAAGAGGCCCTGGATTTTCTAATGTCTTGACCAGAAGGGTCAAGACGTAAGCATAGTGGTGTGGTCATCCTTGAGAAGCACTAAGACTTGCTGGTAGGGTGCTGTCACCCCTGACATAAGTACTTGCCTCTCTTCCCTCTTCCCCTCCCATCTCCCTCTCTCTATTTTCCCATTCTTCCTCTTCTTCCTTGGCTATTCTAGAATACTTCCCCAAGGCAGGCAGCTTTTCCTACTAGCATTGCTTAGTCCCCATATGTCAATACTGTGGGCTGAAAAAGAAGCTGACCTGAGGGCTGAAGGGAGGAAGTCTAAGAAGACTACGCACCTTCCAGCCATCCAGGGGATTATATAGTAAGTCCAGTCAGAGCCTCAACACCAGAATGACGCTTCTTCATTGATCATTATTCATTCCTTCACTCATTCAACAAACACATAATAAGCACTTTTTACATGTATTTATATTTACATTCTTGCATACCCTGGTGACATAAAAAAAGTCATTCTGGATAGAGAAAATATGGCACATATACACCATG
Source organism: Homo sapiens (assembly GCF_000001405.40). Taxonomy (NCBI): domain Eukaryota; kingdom Metazoa; phylum Chordata; class Mammalia; order Primates; family Hominidae; genus Homo; species Homo sapiens. Next base: position 70,117,279 of record NC_000009.12, read on the forward strand.
GAATACTATGCAGCTATAAAGAAGGATGAGTTCATGTCCTTTGCAGGGACATGGATGAAACTGGAAACCATCATTCTCAGCAAACTAACACAGGAACAGAAAAACACCACACATTCTCACTCATAAGTGGGAGCTGAACAATGAGAACACATGGACACAGGGAGGGAAACATCACACACCAGGGTCTGTCAGGGGATGGAGATAGCATTAGAAGAAATACCTAATGTAGATGATGGGTTGATGGGTGCAGCAAACCACCATGGCACATGTATATCTATGTAACAAACCTGCACAGTCTGCACATGTATCCCAGAATTTAAAGTATAATTTTAAAAAAATGATGCTTTAAAAAAAAAAACAGTCATTAACCTCAAAGAGTTTACAGGAACCAACTTTTCCCAAAATGTCCTTCCCTATAATACCAGTTTTTAGTAAACTAATCCTTGTATGGGACACAAAGGTGATATGTGGTCAAATAAACTGGGGAAACTCTGCATTAAAGAAAGCTAAACAGATTTCTTTATTTCAGGATTTCTCACCACCTGTAATATAGTTCTGTGCTCATGTACATTATGGCATTTCTCAGATTATCTGAATACCAAAATGCTACATAAACTTGCAAGCATGCACAGTAATGTATGACTAATAGAGGTATGAAATAAATGATATGAAACCACAGACAAAAGATTACCTTGGTTTTGGGGTACAGAGAAGGCCCTCTTAAGGAAGTAATAGTAGAACTGGAATTTGGCCAGATGCATAAGGGGGAGACAAATGTAGCATGTGCAAAAGTGTAGAGGCATGAGAGTGGATGGTTTATTTTATATTTGGAGAGCATTTGAGAATCCCAAGGTATGTGATCATGGCAGAGGAACCCCTGAGTTCCAGGCTACATTCCTACTTATGATTAGCAGGAAGCCTGACTGCCTGCATTCCACTCTTTCCTGCTATTTCACTCCAAGTTCTCTTCAACCTTTGGACTAATATTTTGTCCATTCATTAGCCAACATCCCCACTCAACACACACACACACACACACACACACACACACACACACACACACACACACAGTCCTCATGCCTGGAGTCCTCTGTAAGTCTTTCCCCTATAGAGGATAGGGCCAAAAATGATGAGTTCAAAAGACTCTAAAATATTTTATTTGAAAAGCTCTGCCCATAGGACTCAAAGATTTGATCCGTATCATTCTTTAAAACAAAACAAAATAAACCCTCCAATGCTCTAAAAAGGAAAGAGGTTCCCTCTCTTATCATATTTGCTTTCTACCGCATATATTGATTTCCCCGGAGTTCTATCAATTTGGGTGGCAAAGTAAAGATTAAATGGTTCAGATGTCTGCCCGCAACAGCAGATTTTGCTCTATGTGAGTTCATCTTGTGTTCATTCATATACCGGACGCAGCTTTTGCCTTTGCTTTCAGGTAAAAACTGGAGAAACAGCACGTAGAAGGGAAGCTCATTGTCTACTTAGGAATTTCAGAACTGCAGAGAAGGTTGAGGGAAGTCTTCCCAGGAGAGTGCTAGTCTTTGTGTTGTAGAAAAGCAAAGAGTGAATGTAATTTCTGAAAACTACAATGTGATATGAGTTTTCCTTCATTTCCTTGTATGTTCCTAACAATCTGCCCCAAACATTGAGTCAAGGTTTTTAATGAGCATTGTTCCCCCAAATTAGTGTCTGATGATGGAAATGACTAAAATAATGTAGTAAGAATTGTGATAGGACATCTTTGGAATACTGGAGGGGATGTGATTTTTATCCTGTATTTTCTTAATTCTGATTCATCACATATGGGTTTCTTTCTTTATTCATATTTTATGAAGTGAAACAAAATCTTTCAGGAGGTAACCTACTGACAGCTCAGATCATTACTGTTTTCTACATACCTTAGCAAAAAAAAAAAAAAAGATGATTGCTGGAAAAATAATGAGGGATGCATCTCTTTGCTAAGATTTAAAAAACCAAGCCTGCTTGTGGTGCTATTATGGAAGAAGCTGGACAAGGTTTCAAAATCTAAAATAAGGTTAGAGTTATTTAATTCCATCAAACATCATGAGATGGTTGGATCATCTCTCCATGACTCGTGACACTCTTTTCTCATTTCAGTTTGGAATGAGCAAGAGTCATTTTAACAGGACTTATTTATTTACTCTCTGCATTGATCCATTTGGTGCGTGGTGTAAGTACTCGGTAGGGAAGCAGCTTTCTTAATTTTCTTACCATTTTCTTTGTGCAAGGTCTGCTGGATTTCCTTTCTCTGCCCTTGGATGACTTACTGTGGCTTTCCAGTTACTTTCAGGTATTAATAAACACCTTCATTTTCAAGGATTAGATGCAGTCAAGTCACAACTGCAATGTCTCATCTAGTTCAGATCTTCCCAGAGACTGGGCCACACAACAGCAGTAGAGAGAAAGGTTTGTGCTTTGTCTCTTCATACTTCACCTTTTTCTTCCCTACTTCTCCCTCTTACTGTACTGCTTCTGGCTGCTTCAGAGTTGGGAGGCAATGGGCAGGGTGGGGATGGAACAGAAAGGCAAAGGCTAGGGACAAAAGGTTTCACTTGCCTCTTGCTATTTAATCTAGAGTTGATGACCTTCATACAGCACATGGCCAAATTCTGGCATTCCTGTCATGGCCAATGGGGGATCCCACTTTAGTGTTGACAGACAGGGATGAGCAACTCTCTGGCTGACCATCTGTGAATCCTGCTTAGCTCATATAAGTCACGGTATGCCCTACCAGCTCCCTTCTAATGGAATTACCGCACTGGTAGGCAGTTCTCTTGAGAAGAGTCCTTTTAAGGTACTGTAGCCCAGCTGCCTTCTAAATTGCCCCCTCAAACTCTGGAAGTGCATTTCACTGGCAACAAACTCCTTTTTCTCTACTCTTCCCCTACGGGTCCCTATAGTCAGTTTTTTGCCTTTAGATGTATGCACCAGTGCCAGGCTCCATCTCTGCATCACACACACACACTCCAGTATCACTGATCAACCTTTTTCAAGAACTCTGATTACTTTCATCTCAAGGTCCAGAGCAACTGCAGAGCTCAGAAATTTCTGCTCAAAAGGGAGGGGATGAGGTTACATGGCAGTTTCCTTCCTCTACCTCTTCCATGAGTGGTTCGCTTAAGCCCCCTCCTTTAGATCAAGGTAAGAAAAGGGAAGCAATCCCCTTGCCTTCCCTGGAGAGGTCAAAAGGAAACACATAGCAGGGCAGCTCTAACCCAACTCTTTATAGAAACCCCATCTCCAATCTCTCTGATTCATCTCGAGCCTTCTCATATGCACAGGCTACAAGGGAGAGATGGGCTAACACTTGTAGAGCTGGGGTAGGTGCCAGGGGCTGCCACTTAACATATTGACAGTCTAGCACCACTCTTTAGAAAATAGAGGTTGTTGTCACTTATTGTTTGGGGCTTTGAGGTCTTAGCACAGATAGGAGAAGTCTCACGTAATATTCATTCATGCTTACGTCATCCTTGAAAGCTGTATAAAAAGACTAGAGTCTGACTTTATCATAGTAAGGGCCACCAAAACCCTTACAACTAAAGGCTTGTGAAGATAACTGTCAGACTCATAGGGTGGAAAAACATGCATCATAACTCATTATCTTTGGGTGCCGTCTGCTCACCATGGCAGCAGACCAGTGGGTATTTCCCTCTGGCATACATCTCTTCAGACCAGGTTGTCTGCCCTACTGGGGAGACAGCTTGTCCAGACAACCAGCAACACTGGAGCAGACAACACAACTGGAGTGCAAATGTGGCCAGCAGGGCGCATCACAGCTGAGTCAGAGGATGCCTCTGGCACCGCGGCCAAGCCAAGGGCAGTCTTAGGGGAATGCTGGTGAGCCAGACTGCTTGAAAATAAACATTCAGGAACCGCCTTTAAAGTTCTTTCCCTAATGCAAGGGGAAATGGCTGACTACCAGGGGCCACTGGTTCCACATGAAAAGTTCAGCTAATACAGAGGGCTGCTGCAAGAAAGGAACAGACAGCCTCTTCAGGAGCAAGTGTGCATACACCAGCACTGCAGGCTCCATCCCAGAAGGGGCCTGAGCACTGGCAGCATGACTGAGAACTGTGATCTTTCTTTCAACTGAATTTGAATTTTTTTTTTGCCTAGAAACCTCAGGCTCTTTGTGTATAATCCAGAATTAGGTAATAATAGATTGATTTTCACTCTGTGTATGGCAAAGCAGAACAGATTGTAGAGGAATGGCAATAAGCTTCTCAATTCTTAATCTTATGGGGGAACCCATTTCCCCCATATAACCTCTTTCGTTTTCAGTTCAAGTTGTAATACTTTAGAATCTCTGTGGCCTGCAGGGTATCCAGTGATTTGGCAGATTAAAGGATTCTGTCTACTTAAAGTCCATCTATACCTAGTTTCATCCTACTTGAATCTTAACGATCTGACAAAGGAAAAAAAAAAAAAAGCCTTTTCCAGAGGTTCTGGAAGCTCTAGAGCCCTATGCCAGATAGGAGTGTTGGGTTCATTGAACTAGGCAGGAAGATTCTCCTAATATCAGACACTGGACAAAATTTTCCAAGAACTCCAGGCTACCATCATTGTTTTTAGAAAGGAGAATACAATGGCACCTGCAGCCACCTACCCATTGACTCCTCTTCCTCAGAACAGATTGTATCTGATGACACACTCAGCCTGGTTTGGCTGTCATTCCTCCAGCCTCTTCTCCTGGGGCAGACACCTGAATGACAATTTCTGAATCACCCCTAACAGTTCAACTGAGATAGTAAACTCATGATGAGCTACCTTTTGTTCCCCAATGAGAAGCTTAATGTTGCTCAAATTGTCAGTAAATAGAACCCAGCTTTGGCAACAAATGAATGATGGAAAGAAAAAGGGTACAAGAGCATGCGGTCTAGTCTGGTGGTTCTGTATGAGACTTAGTGTCAGCAGTCTTGGTCTTATTCCCAGCAGCCTCTCTGACTCACTTTGGGCAGATCATGTTGTGTTTTCTGGATGCTTTTTGGATCAGAAATGTGACTGTGGTTCACTTGGCCTAGCATCCTGAGCACAAGTTGCTAGTGAGGCACTTTGGCTGCAAATGCACAAAATATTGTCCACACAGCAGGTGAGTTACTACCCTTTAAAGACAACTCTCAGATGTCCGTCATCTGCAAGGAAGATGAATTTACAACAAGGCTGGCTGTGGAAGCTGACACTAAGCTGGGACTAGGTGGGAAAGAGATTTCCTGGGAGAGATGGCTATGAAGGCTCTGAGGAGAAAGGAGCCAGAGTAGCTGGGGACAGGCCCAGTGTCCTTATGGGGCACAGCAGCCATAGTGCCTAGGAGCCATGGCATTTTTAGGGGTCCATGACAATATTTTAATTTTATTTATTTGAAAATTGGAAGGGTAAAATGAATATAATAATTTCTAGCCTACATCATATACCTCTTTATGCCAATGTAGTAATAAACTAAAATGTTAAGATTATTTTATTTATTTTTATTTTTTTTATGGAGGAATGAGCCCACAAAAGTCATAAAGATGCCCTGGGTAGGGAAAACTTTCAGCTCAGGACGCAAACCTGACCCCTGAGGAAGAGGAGAACCTGGGCCGATGGGAGCTGCTGAAGGGCCCCATGGCAGACAGAATGGCCTGCCCCTCTGCTATGCTTGGTCACTGCCTGGGAGCAGCCCAGAGTGGTGTGGTCTTGGTACAAACTCTCCTGCAGGTCCAAAGGTGAGGTGGCTGGAGACCCAGTCAATGATGGTTCCTTCAGCAAGTTCTCTTAAAGGGGATCTCTGTGGCCCCTGCAATTAGGTATCCAGGAAACAAAGTATTACACATACATTATAATACAAAGAATTGTAGCTCTCCTCCACTCAGTTCTCCCTGCTCATATCTCACAAAAAGATTCTGTTTCATTGGTAAGTCATGTTACAAAGAGCAATGAAGACTTCATCTCTGTCTTTGATATTCACATGAGTTCTTAGAGAACAGAAGCAGATTACAGAAGCTAACTGGTCATAGGCATTCTCCACTACTAGAATGTTCTCGTCAAGGCTTGCTGGCCACCAGGAGTGCTTTAGAGGGTTTCCAAGCTTGGGATATGGAGGAGTGACCTTCCCTCCATATCAGAGGTTCTTTGATTCTATCCAGTCTGTCATTCCGATTCTTCCTTTAAAATTCCTGCCCAGAGGTGGCAAAGTGGAGCCAACAGTGGTTTCCAGCCTGCAGATATGTTTATTTGGCGCATACAAAGTTTAAAAAAATATGGTGGGGAGTGTTAGGCGTTGAATTGTGCACAGTCAAAATTCAAATGTTGAAGTCCTAACCCCCAGGACTTAGAATGTGACCTTGCTTGGACATAGATGGGTGCAGAGGTCATTAGCTAAGATGAGGTCATGCTGGAGTAGGGTGGGCCTCCAATCCAATATGACCGCAGTCCTTATTAAAAGGGGAACTTTGGGCACAGAGAGAAATGTACACAGGGAGAATGCCATGTAAAGATAAAGGCAGAGGCCTTCAAGCCAAGGAATGCCAAAGATTGCCAGCACACCACCAGAAGCCGGGAGAGAGGCCCAGAACAAATCCTTCCCTCACGGCCCTGAGAAGGAACAATCCCTGCTGACACCTTGATCCTTGACTTCTGGACTCCAGAACTGTGAGGCAATACATGTGTGTTGCTGAAGCCTCCCACTTTGCAGTATTTTGTGACAGCAGCCCTAGCAAACCACACAGGAAGCATCCCTTAAAAATGGATAGATTTGCCGTGAAAACCTGAATTCCAGGCTAGGATGGGGAAAGCCTGCAGCATGGGGCTGGGTGCCGGGCATCCGCTGCAGTAGACCCTGCTCTCTCAGGGAGGCTGGAGAACATGGGGGTGAGGGGCCAGGCTTCTCACCCCAAGCCGGTTATTGCCGCATAAGAATATGGGCCTAGGACTATCAGATGTTTTTATTTTTCCAGATAAGCTTGATTTCTGTTTCTCGATGTGGGGGAAATATGATTTCAAATACTGGCTACTAATTTACCACTCTCTATTTTCTCCCTGACTCAATCAACTTCACTCATACACTTAATCTGGCTGCCTCCTCTGAGAATTTGAGTTTGTAATCTCTGTTTATTCACTGTTGTGTGGTTTGGCAAAACGATAAGGTAAACTATATTCAAAGAAGATTATTCAGGGGATTCAGGATGTTGAACAACTTGCCACCAGGAGAAAGTGAGCTTTGACCTGTCCATTTTTCCCTTCTGCCATGTTGAGATGAGGACCTTTCTGAGACCATGTCTGTACATTAAATAACCATGTGTTGAGAGCCCACCACATACCGGGCTATGTACTAGATACACAGTAAATGTCCAGTGTATAAATGCATATGCTCCTCCTAATATTTGTTTCTGCTCTGCTCTTCATAATGGAGAAAAGGTATTCTTTATTTCCTTATTTTATTTTTTGGAGACAGGGTCTTGCTTATCACCCAGGCTGGAGTACAGTGGTGTGATCATAGCTTACTGCAACCTTGAACTCATAGGCTCAAGTGATTCTCCTGCCTCAGCCTCCCTAATAGCTAAGACCAGAGGTGCATGCTACCATGCCCAGCTAATTTTAAGAAAGCTTTTCTGTAGAGACAGGGGTCTCACTATGTTGCCCAGGCTGGTCTCAAGTTCCTGGCCTCAAGCAATGCTCCCGCCTCAGCCTCCCAAAGTGTTGGGATTACAGGCATGAGTCACTGCACCTGGCCAGGAATTCTTATTAACCAGAAATTATGTCATGGAAATGAAGATATTAAGCTGTAATTATTCTGAGCTTGTAAACAGAAAGGGCATTCTGTTGAAGCTGCATTGAATAGCACTTCTTTGTCATCACTCAAATGAATTCAGAAAAAATTGCTAACAATGATAGCTTACCCTTTATACAAAACAGGCTATAGGGCAAGCATGGTTCTAGAATTGTGAATGGCGTTGTAATTGTTAGACAGCTACAATGTACCAGGCACACGCTAAGCACTTTACATACATGACTCCATGTAATATTCATTGCCTCTATGAGGAAAGTATTTGATTGTCATTCTAGAGATCAGGAAATTGAGACCCAGACATACTCAGAAACTTGTTCAAGGTCACAGGGCTAGTAAGAAGTGGAGCAGGATTCAACCTCATTTCTCTTCAATGCTAAGTCAAGGCTGTCTCCATTCTGCCACATGGTTTCTGTGTTTCACCAAGATGCCCCTAATGGAGGCCAGCCTCTGGGTCCAGAGCCCACAAAGACCTGCCAAGAGTGGTACCACACATTCACTCCTCCAAATTTCAGTGTCGATTGACTTGCATGCTATTAACAACACACAAATTGCCATATAGTTGGAATTCAAAATCTTAGTTTCACTCAAAAAACACATGGTGACATCTTGCATTAATTGTAAACATGTGCAGGAGGGTCTCTCCATGCCCTTTTAAGAATAGATGGTAAGCTTTGTCTTTGTGTGCTCTTCAGAGTCTTATGACTCAAATAAGGATTGGGAGGGAGTGGCTTCTCAGGTAATGTTCTATTTCTCTCCATGGGTGTGTTCAGCTTGTGAAAACTTAAGCACTTGACAGATGACACATCTACCTTTCTCTGTGTATATTTTACTTGAATCAAAAGTAAGGAAAGTAAAAGGAATGGTCTCATCCTGTATTTAGCAGAGTGCAATGAACCCCATGGACCCATCTCTCAGCTGCAACATTTCTCCATCCACTCATGGCCAAACCTCTGTCAGCTGTAACTCATCCACTTCCTCCTCACCATTCCCACTGGATTATTTAGAATGCAGAATCACACCATTTCGCCTGAACCTCTTCCCCTCCCCCACCCCCAACTCTTAACACTGTGCTCTGTCTGTGTGATTTTCAGGCCACTACATGTACGTGGACTCAGTTTATGTGAAGCACTTCCAGGAGGTGGCACAGCTCATCTCCCCGTTGACCACGGCCCCCATGGCTGGCTGCCTGTCATTTTATTACCAGATCCAGCAGGGGAATGACAATGTCTTTTCCCTTTACACTCGGGATGTGGCTGGCCTTTACGAGGAAATCTGGAAAGCAGACAGGCCAGGGAATGCTGCCTGGAACCTTGCGGAGGTCGAGTTCAGTGCTCCTTACCCCATGGAGGTAGGTGTACTGGTGCGCACCAGCTGTTCACTGGCACTCTTTAGACATGCCACCCACACACAGGGCTGGAGATGGAGAGGCTGTGCAGCCTCACACTCAGTCTGTCTTTTCTGCTGTGCCTCAACTGTATTCTTTCTCATCCTCAGCCCCTCTCCTGCTCTCCCTTCCTCTGTGTCCCCTTTGCCTGCCTCCTTTATCACCTTCATTTCCTAGCAAGAGTCATTTTTATGAGAACAAATATGGCTAAAGCCAGTTAACCAACTAGACTTCTTGGCGACCCTCTCCTTCTGAACCTTGCACTGTGGTCACAGAGGGTTCAAAAGAGGAGATCAGAACCCTCCAAGTAAAACTCAGTCTTGAGCTACCCTTCCTGAGAGCAGTTTTGAAGGTTTTCCTTACTTGAGTGAACTGTTTTTTTTTTTTTTTTAGAAAAAGTGACTCATTTCTTTTTTTGCAGCATAAATAATGTCGTAAAATCAGAAACAAACTTGCTATTATGGCCCTAGTTTGAAACAAGGCTTGATGCCTTCATTTTAAAACTTTTTCCAGTTATATAAGTGACGTGTTCAATGCAGAAGAATTAGAAAATTCAGAGAAATGAAATGAATTAAAATGCCCTCAGCCAACTTCACAAAGGGGAGGACTACTAACATTAAAGTTCTACTATCTTTTCGACCTTTTTCTAAGCCCGTACATGAATACATGTCTGTATCTATGTATGTATTTCAGAAGCTACAAGTACTTTCAGTACTGACTATCCAGCCAAGTAGATAAAATTATCTCCGTATTTACACACAAGAAGGAAGAAAACAGAGTGTCCAAGAAATTGGACATTTTTTTCTAGGTCACACAGCTGGTGAATGCCAGAGAACTCCGTAACTAAGTTCGTGGACTAAAATCTGACCGAAAGCTGAGGAAGGAGGCCCAGCTCTGTCTGAGGACCCCTTAGGACCTCTAGAATCAGTGGGTGCAGCAATATGGTTGCTATAAGATTGCTATAAAGATTTGGAGCTATAAGTAGAGTCTTGGTTACCCCAAGTTATTAATATCCTCCACTTTTCACTTTGTGCTTTTTGCAATATCTTCTCCAGTTCCCTTTAAAGTGCCAGAGAAACAGATTATTCCTCTGGATGGGTTTCGGTGGTGCCATCTGCTAGCCTGATGTAGAGCTGCAGAGAACAGGGTTAGGTCTTAGTTTCTGATGTGTTTCATCTACTGATGGCGTGCCTGCCTCTCCCCACACCCCCTTCCTATTTACCTCCCTACCTCCCCCCACAAAAAAAAAACACTCTAGAGAGAGCACAGTGTCTCTTGCAGAATGTGTGCTATTTCCTATCCCAAAGTCCAACCAGGTCTCGATTTGTTCTTGCAGCCCAGTGGAAAATTTTCTGTGAGTTTGGGTTACGAGGAGGAAAAGAAATGCATGTACTGCTTCAAAAGTTTCCCGTCAAAGTCAGATGAGTCCCACACACACACTGACAGCGTTCTCTTTACCAACTCCTTCCATCCAACCATAAACTCCTTGGGCAACATTTGTCTGAATCAAATGTTGCTGAATTTTTAAAAATCAATACTTGAAAAGTTACAACTCTGGACACTACTAAACCTCAATACACATCCTTTGGGTCAACACATGTGATTTTGCTCTACTAGTCTGAACTATTCACTGGTGTTATTTGCTCTCACTCATCAGGAAAAGAAAGTTGTCCTGAAGAAATCAGTGAGTTTAATGTCATCACATTCTCAAGTGAATTTTGAGAAGGAAAACAAACATTGGAGACTGTCTGAACAAGAGAACACATTGGCACAGAGGCTGTGATTAGCACATGCTGATCAGGAATAGCATTCTTTCCCCACCGGCTCAGTGTAAATTTTGCCATTCACTTTCTTTACCAGCTAGTGCCTTGAGAGCTAAATGTCATGGACCTGTGTTAAGTTTGTAATGTTAATTTGCCCCCTTCTCATAAGTCCACATCTTTTCCTTCATTCATAGCCCTTCCCCCTTGGCAAAGACAAACTTCTAGGCTTCCCCGTGGATTTTGGAGAGTTTAGGTACCAGGTCCTTATGGGACCATTACTGTTAAGGTGAAAGGTACTTTAAGAACTATTTTGTCCAAACTCTTTTTCTTTTCAAAAAATGAAGAAACCGAGGGCTGGAGAAGAATGGGCCTGCTCAAGCTAATTAGTGGCTAGCTAGGCTGGAACCTGAATAGAAGTTCAAGAGGGAGTCAACCTGCAGAAAAAAAAAAAATTATTTTTGAAACAGGGTCTCACTCTGTCACCCAGGCTGGAGTGCAGTGGAGTGATCTTGGCTCACTGCAACCTCTGCCTCCCAGGTTCAAGCAGTCCTCTCACCTCAGCCTCCCAAGTAGTTGGGACTACAGGCATGTGCCACCACACCCAGCTAATTTTTGTATTTTTTGTAAAGATGAGGTTTCGCCATGTTGCCCAGGCTGGTCTCAAACTCCTGAGCTCAAATGATCCGCCCACCTCAGGCTCTCAAAGTGCTGGAATTACAGGCATGAACCACTGCGGCCAACCAACCTTCAGAAAAAGATAGAAAATTAGTTCAGAGCTTGTTATGTGCCTGACTCTGTGCTCGGATATTTGTATACATTATCTCATTTAATCTCCTCAACAGTCCTACAAGACAGGTGTTTTATAGATAAGAAAACTGAGACCCTGGGAGGTTAACTGATTGATATGGTTTGGCTGTGTCCCCACCAAAATCTCATCTTGAATTCCCACGTGTTGTAGGAGGGACCCAGTGGGAGGTAATTAAATTATGGGGGCAGTTCTTTCTCATGCCTTTCTCGTGATAGTGAATAAGTCTCATAAGATCTGACAGTTTTATAAGGATGAGTTTCCCTGCACAAGCTCTCTTCTCTTCTCTTTGCCTGCTTCCATCCACATAAGATGTGACTTGCTCCTCTTTGCCTTCTGCCATGATTGTGAGGCCTCCCCAGCCACATGGAACTGTAAGTCCATTAAACTCTTTTTCCAGTATAAATTACCCAGTCTCGGTATGTCTTTATCAGCAGCATTGAAACAGACTAATACAGTGATATATCCAGGCCCACCTAGCTAATAAGTGATGAAAATGGGATTTGAACTCTGGTCTGTCTGCTTCCAAGAAACTATTCTATTCAGAAGAAGCTGCAAACTAGAAGCCTAGAGGTCAAATCTAGTCCACAGTGGTGATCTGTCTGGCTGTGGAGTGGGGTTTTTCATTTTATTTTTGTTTTAATTTTTTAATTAATTGCCAGCATTGACAAACTCAAAGATTTCAGATAAAATCTAGAGTCAGATCCTCTTGATAATTTGCTAGATACAGAGACATTAGGCCTCGTATTTGTTTGCTAGGACTGCCCATAACAAAGTAGCACAAAACAGGTCGCTTAAGAAACAGAAATTTTGTATGTCATTGTTCTGGAGGCCAGAAGTTCATGATCAAGGTGCTGGCAGGGCTTGTTCCTTCTGAGGGCCATGAGAGAAAATCTGCCCTATGCCTCTCTCCCATTTCTGGTGGTGTGCTGGCAATCTTTGGCATTCCTTGGCTTGTAGCTCTCTGCCTTCATTTTCACATGGCATTCTGTGTGTGTGTGTGTGTGTGTGTGTGTGTGTGTGTGTGAGAGTGTCTGCATCCAAATTTCTCCTTTTTATAAGGACACCAGTCGTTTAAATTAGAGGCTCACTCTACTTCAGCATGACCTTATCTTAACTAATTACATTTGCGGTGACCCTATTCCCAAATAAGGTCACATACTGAGATACTAGAGGTTGGCACTTCAACACAGGAATTGTGTGTGAGGGATGCAGGGGGACGCAGGTCAACCCATAACAGGCCTGACTTCCCACATATCAGCAATTGATGAGGCTGAGTGACAGCTGCCCTTTTAGACAGGGTTTCTGTCTCTATTTCACAAGAGGCTGCACCATACCAAGCCCACTTCTGCATTTCTACTACTTGCCTGGACTTTGTAGGCACTGAAGTTTCAAGCCCTGTTCCATGCTGCGTCTTCTCAGGTTATTAACTCACACAAGAGGAATGCATACCTGGGTGGTTTTTCCAGCACAGGTGAAGGCTGTGCTGACATCTGATTCCCCCATGGTCACAGGCAGAAGGTGGTTGACTGAGCTCACAGTTAAAGTTGCTGGTAGAGAAGAAAGCAAAACTAAAGGGGTTGAAGTCATTGGCCCATGTTCTTTCTAACCATTGGAACATACCTGGACATGCTGAGATCGGGGTTCTCACCTCTGACTGCTGCATCTTTGTCCAGGCCTTGATGTAGAGTTCATATAGGAAGAAGTAAAGGAACTTAGAGGGTGTTTGCTCCTGAGGGATGGCAGGGAGGTAAAAAAACAAAACAAAACAAAACAAAACAAAAAAACAAAAAAAAACCTGGCCTACTTTCTTAGCTGATTTTTCCTTTAATTGAAGTTCATAATGCTAATTAGTTCTGTAGTTCTAGCAGAAATGACATAGGCACTTCAGCTGACATTCAAGGAAGAGGGGCATATCCATCAATAAAAGGCAACTTTAGAGACTCTGTCTTGGTTCATTCAGGCTGCTATAACAAAATACCATAAACTAGGTAATTTATAAACAACAGAAATGTATTTCTTACAGTCCTGAAGTCTGGGAAGTCCTAGATCAAAGTATTGGCAGATCTGGCGTCTGCTGAGGGCCTGTTTCCTGGTCCATATGGCACCTACTCATTGTGTCCGCAAATTCCAGAAGGGGCAAATGAGCTCCCTTGGACCTCACTTATAAGGGTACCAATCCCATTCCAAAACCTAATCACCTCCCAAAAAGCCCCACCTTCTATTACCATTCCCTTAGGGGTTCATATGTCAACGTATGACTTTTGAGAATTTGTGAGTGTCCCACAGACACTCAGATCATAGCAGTTTCATTCTCCCAAAAAGAGACTGTAGGTTGAGGAGGGTGCTGCCCAAACTCATATTTGGAAATCTGATTCCATGAGTCCTTGTAACTTGGCTTCATCTGGTTTGATTGACATGTCATTTTAAATCATTAAGAGCACTTAAGCCAAACCGAAAATATGTGAACATGTGACAGCATGCCATTTTCCTCTGCAGGTTATTTTTGAAGTTGCTTTCAATGGTCCCAAGGGAGGTTATGTTGCCCTGGATGATATTTCATTCTCTCCTGTTCACTGCCAGAATCAGACAGGTGAGCATTCTCTATTTGTCATTGCATTTTGGGATGTTCCTGTTTCAATAGATGTTTGTGGTCAGAACTTGTTTTAATTGCTTTTAATTTTCATATCTTTCCCCTTCTGTCATCCTTAAAAAATTATTTAATCAAAGGTCATTTTTCTGGAATATTACTCTCTTTTCCTCCCTCACAGAGGGAATCTAATGTTTCTGACACCATCAGCCAGTTGTCCTATCTTAGGAAGGTTTCATCTTTCCTTTCCAGGAAAAGAAAATTAAATAATACTAACTTATTCTCACACACTCACTCCATCTTTCTCTTTAGAGGATATCTTGGGCCCATAAATGGGTGGCTGGGTAGATGGACAAAGCTCTCACAATCTACTGAATAGAATAATATATTTTAAAAACGCTTTCCAACTGTATGTATCCAAAATTTATAAATGGCCTCATGTTTAAAGACGTTAGTATTTGGTAGACATCTCTAGATAGTTTTAGCTAAATAGCATGTGCTCTTAATTAAATTACTTTCCACTTCCAGGATGAACCCTCAAATTATTTTATCATGATCAGTTTTGAGATTTCATAAATTTGATGTTTAAAATGAGAGGATTATTTTTACTCTCTGGAAAAATAGGTAAGCAAATTGATTCAAAGTGAATTAGAAAGCAAATGTTTTATAATAAGAAGGATAATAATATAGTAATGATAACCCAGATAAATAAAATTGACCTTACTGTTTAGTGAATTTGTTTCCTTGAGAGACCAAGGGAGACATTATGGTCACCCCGCCTTATTAGTGAGCCCTTATTCTTGGTTATGTAGCATGGAAAGTAATTTATGAACTTGGCGTTTGAGGTCTTTCACTCAAGATAGAGTTGGTTTGTAATTTAATATGATTTCAGATACATTCTGCAAATCGGGGGACTAAGAAATTTTTTTTTTTTTTTTGGGAAGGGGAATTGGGGGGTCTCGCTCTGTCACCCAGGCTAGAGTGCAGTGGTGCAGTCACAGCTCACCACAGCCTCAAACTCGTGGCCTCAAGTGATATTCCTGTCTCAGCCTTCTGGGCAGCTGAGACTGGCTAGTTTTTTTGGTTTTTATTTTAGTAGAGATGAGGTCTCACTATGTTGTCCAGGCTGGTCTTGAACTCTTGAGCTCAAGGGATCCTCCCACTTTGTCCTCCCAAAGTGCTGGCATTACAGGTGTGAGCCACAGTTTACATGGAAAAATATTTTCAACTTGAGCTAAACTGTTACCCCAAAACTAGACAGCAATCTACTAATTTGCTGAAATTGAATACTATTTTTCCTAATTCTAATCTTTTAAAAGGTTGTAAAACAGATAGAACCAGATTAGATTTACATACTTTTTAATGATTTAATCCAAACAATAATCAAAGATTAAAAGAGTCTCTAAATTTGACAGAACACAGAAACCAACATTGTTTTACTTCTCTACATTTGATTCCTCCCTAATCCTATCAGTTGATATTTCAATTACATTCATAGTAATTTTATAATCTCTTTATCATTATTTTTAGACAAAATCTTTTTTCTATCACTAGGCAGTGACGCTGAAATTTATATTCCCTTGTTTTGTCTATGGTAGAAGAGGTGTTTATCTAATATCTGCGCTGGGCAGAGGGTGGGTGAAGAGGCAGCTGGAAGTAACAGAACCAACTGAATCACCCACAAGTAATGTTCAGAAATGCTCCTCCTTTTGAAAAAAAGAGAATTTGTGTGAGCTCTTTCCTACTACACAGGTGGTCTGTCTGGTGAAAGGAAAAGAAACGTTCCAGCAAAACAAGGACCATGTGTTAAGAGGGCTGTTGATCCCTCAGTCTGCAAAGCACAGACTCCTTCTGTGCAGGAACTTCCGCAGATATGAGTTCTTATACAGTTCGGTTAACCAAGTCTCCATACTGATCTTCAGAACTTCCCACTATGCCAGCTTGGCTTTAAATGGTTTAATTGCATCATCGTAGTGTTATGCTCAATCCACCAG
This sequence comes from Homo sapiens, assembly GCF_000001405.40. Taxonomy (NCBI): domain Eukaryota; kingdom Metazoa; phylum Chordata; class Mammalia; order Primates; family Hominidae; genus Homo; species Homo sapiens. Next base: position 70,133,604 of record NC_000009.12, read on the forward strand.
GAATGTGGATTCACATCCCTATTCTGCCACTTCCAAGCTATCTGGCATGGGTCATGTTATTTAACTTCTTTGAGACTCTTTCCACATCTATAGCAAAGACGGAAGAAGCTGTTTCATAGACTTGTTGGGAAAGTTAATGAGTTAATGTCTGTGAAGGCCTTAGCACAGAGTATGGTACACAGAAAATGCTTCATCATGAGACAGTATTATTTACTTTATTTTCAAAATATGACCACCCATCCCTGGAGAACAGTGGGTCAGATTGCAACTAAAGAGAACCAGCAAAGGGCACTAGCTTGATGATTGTGTCAGCTGGAGCCTGCTTTATGTCTTTCATTGAGCAGCTGTGGGCCAGACTGAGTCTTTAGAAGCTGAGCCTTTTAATTTTCATACTTCATCTTACATTTCACAAATAGTTTATGCCCTTCTGTTTCATAACAGGTGCCAACATTTTTTCCTTAACTTGGTTAACTCCAGACTTCTTGTCTCTGCTTTTCCCAGCTGGACCTAGCATTTTCTTCCCTCATCTCCCTAATAGGCTAAGACAGGAATCATATCAACATACACAGCATCTTGTTCCCACCATCTGGTTGCGTTTAGAGTTAATCCAGTCTCCCGGACCTGAGACCCATCTCATAGTCACAGGTACTCAACAGCAATGTCATGTGGCCCTCCAATGAACTGCCCCCCACACCCGGTGCTTCCAGAGGACCGTGAGACCATCCCCCACTTCCTTCTCCATCCCTTTGCCCCCTCACTCTCCCCCTGCACAACCACATCTGTCCCAAAGTTTAGAAGATGGGAGCAAGCCTTCCTTTTGGTCTGTAAATCTTTGAATGCCTAAGAGGTGATCCCATTCACTTCTAGAATCCTGCCATAAAGCCCAGCCTCAAACTGAGAGCTCTACTGCTCTGCCATATGCAGACCCAATCTCCTTTCTGGGCTTGGGTCCACCCCACACCCAGTGACTGGGTATATCCTAACACTCATGGGAACGCCTCTCAGAGAATCACTACCTAAATCCCAATATTGGCCATTCACTGACAACACATTGCCCCAACCTCCTGTCTGTTTGGAAACCCAGGCCCAATTACTGCCTAGGCTACAGCTAAGGTTGCCCCAGCCTTTCTTATCTTAAGTGCCCCCAAGGGTCTCCACAGCCTAGTCGGTGACTCTGGCCCTTGTTTCCCCATTGGTCTTCAGTGTGGTGCCAGGTCCCACTGCCTCTCCTACCCAAGCCAGCTTTGAGCTGTCTCAGCCTGCTTTTGGGCTGGCACATGCTAGAGTAAAACTACCCTGCAAGGTTAGCAGTGTAGAGAACACACTGCCCCCAGTATCTATCTTTTAGTACTCTAGGGGCTGATGAGCCTTTTAGTCTGTGGGACCGATGTTGAGTTTCTCTCCGTGAACTCCAGGGAGCAGAGGAAACGATGAGAAATGTTTCCAACTACTCTCAAACTGCAACACACTCCCGCTAATTAGATTATCTTCAAAGCTTCTCATTTCTTAAAAGTTCAAATGTCAGAAAGCAAGTAATTAACTAAACCTTACATTATGATGCTTTTTGGTAAGTTGCTTAAAGGGGCTTTAGTTCTTTTTTCTTTTTTTCTTGATCATCAACAGATGCTCAGAGGCTTCCAACTGCCTCTGATTCCTCCCTATGCTTCAAATACATCATTGCACTTCCCAGCAGCTAAATTTGTGATCTGCCCTTTACTAACACCTCTGAAACAAGCTTGAAGCAAAGCCTCTGCACCCACTCAGGTCACAGACAGGCCTCTGGCCCCATCTTCAGGAATCAGACACTGTCTCAGGGTAGAAGCAGCACTCTAGGTGAAAAAGATTTAGCCCCTGAGTTATGCTTTTGAGATTTTTTTTTATCAGACCTCCTCAAGACCCCAGGAAAATCCATTTCAAATCTATTCATTAGCAAAATATTATAATCCCATCATCAGAAAAATATTTTCTGTATGACTCAGTCTATCACCATGGAGAGAAGTGATCCTGGCTTACTTTTAAGCTTTTTTTGATAGGCATTATTTTTTAGTGTAGTTTTAGGTTCACAGCAAAATTGAGAGGAAGATACAGAGGTCTCTCATAGTCCCTGTGCCTTCATATACATCACTGTCCCCAGAGTCCATAGTTTAGATTAAGGTTCACTCGTGGTATTGTATACTGTATGGATTTGGACAAATGTATAATGACATGTATCCACCATTGTAGTATCATACATTTTCATTGCCCTAAAAACCCCCTCTATATCCAGGCCAGGCATGGTAGTGCACACCTGTAATCCCAGCACTTTGGGAGGCAAAGGAGGGTGGATTGCTTGAGCCTAGGAGTTGTAGACCAGCCTGGGCAACATGGTGAAACCCTGTCTCTACAAAAAATACAAAAATTAGCCAGGCATGGTGGTGCATGCCTATGGTCCCAGCTTCTTAGGAGGCTAAAGGAGGAGGATAGGTTGAACCCAGGAGGCAGAGGCTACAGTGAGCCAAGATTGCACCAGTGCACTCCAGCCTGGACCACAAAGTGGGACCCTTTCTCAAAAACAAAAAGCAAACAAAAAACTCTCTATGTTTTGCCTATTCACCTCTCCTTCCCCCAAACCCGTGGCAATTACTGTTCTTTTTACTGTCCCCATAGTTTTGCCTTTTCAAGAATGTCACATAGTTGGAATCATAGAGTATGTAGCCTTTTCAGACTGGCTTCCTGCACTTTGTAATATGTATTTAAGTTTACTCCGTATCATTTTGCGGCTTGATAGCTCATTTCTTCTTAGCGCTGAGTGATATTTAGTTGTCTGGATGTACCACAGTTTATGTATCTACTCACCTACTGAAGGACATAGCTTGGTTGCTTTCAAGTTTTGGTGCTTATGAATAAAACTTCTGTAAACTTTCACGTTTTTATGCCACCTTCCACCCCCTCCCACACATCTAATAACTGAGTTAAGATTCTCTTGCAGTCGCCCAAGAGCACTGCTTTAAGATTCATTTCTTCTTCTCCCCTCTCTAGCTGGGACAAAGAATGAAAAAAAAGGAGGAAGGGGGAAGATTCATTCCTGATGAGGAATTCACTGACCTACTGTTTTCGTGCATGGCACTTGGCAGTGCCACCCCATTTCCTGAGTTAGATGGCCCTCTGTAGATTTGGGATTTTTATTTGTTTTTTTATTACCCAGTAGCAGAGGGGTGACTAATACTGAATACTTTAATGGGGTTTCCTGTGGTCTCAAATATCCATGGGAGAATGTCAAAGGATCCTTGTTCATGTAACATCTTGTTCATTTTTCACAGACTTTATCTTCAGGGCTTAAAGATATACCCTGGTGCTGACAGAATCAGGCAGACCAGGGTGTGGGCTAATCTACCCATCTTAGAGCATTGAGAATTCTCTTCATTTCCTCTTCTCCAGTCTGGCTCATCTGGGTTTGCTCCTGGTGCACTTCCTAGGGTATATCCCCTGAGATACAATCAGGTTCTAGTTATATAGGAACACTTTTTACCTAATCTTTTTTTTTGTAATGTGTTGTTAATCAGTTACTTTTTAAAATTTAATTTTCTTGGAGCTCTTTAATTTTCTATCATTTCAAACTCAGACAAAATCTGCAGGAAAACTACAAAGAACTCCTATATACTTTTCACCCAGCTCTACAAATTAAGATTTTGCCATGTTTGCTTTATCTACCATTTAAGAATAGGTTGCAAACATCATGCCCCTTTACCATTAAATATTTTAGTGTGTATTTTATAATCAAACACATTCTTCAGCATAACTATAGGATAATTACGGAGTTCAGGAAATTTAATACTGATACAACATTATCAACTTACTTTCGGTCCATACACCAATGTTTCCAATTGCCCCAATAACAACCTTTATAGATATGTGTTCTTCTGGACCAAGATTGAATCTTGCATCCCTGGTAGCATTTGATTGTCATGCCTCTTTCATCCACTTTAATCTGGGTCAGTTCCTCAACCCACCTGAATGTTTTCTTGCTTTGGAAATTGACAAATTGAGAATATAGTAAGTTTTTATAGTGAGCTGTTTCATCGGCTCACTGCTCCTAGAGCCCAAATGTTTCCCTAGAGATAATTTTCCAGTTATTCAACACATGTCCTCTCTCCCTAGATTGTTAGACGTGTATGTCAGCATTCAGACAAGAATCACACTTGGCTGCACCGACTGTATCCCAACTGCTACAGTCACATCCCCTCTGTTCTAAGAGGGCAATCTGAACAGTGTGATTTACAAGCCAATTGTTGATAGGATTAAAAGTTATTCTCAAAAGAGCAGAAGCATTTTATTTGTATAAATGTATGTGGTACAAATACAGTTTTGTTACAGGCATAGATTGCATAGTGTTAAGTGAGGATTTTAGGGTATCCATCCTGGCGTAACATACATTGTACCCATTAAGTAATTTCTTACCTTCCATACCCCCTCCTACTCCCTCACCCTTCTAAGTCTCCACCGCCTATCATTCCACTCTCTGTATCAGTGTGTACACATTATTTAGCTCCCACTTATGAGTGAGAGCATGTAGTATTTGTGTTTCTGTGTCTGACTTGTTTCACCTAAGATAATGACCTCCAATTCCAACCATGTTGCTGCAAAAGACATAATTTCATTGTTTTTATGGATGAATAGTATTCCAGTTTGTATGTACATATGATACTTTCTTTATTCAGTCATCCGCTGATGGGCACTGAGGTTGTTTCCTTATCTTTGCTACTGTTAATAGTGCTAAGATAAACATACAAGTGCATCATCTTTTTGATATATTGATTTCTTTGCCTTTGACTAGATACCCAGTAATGGGATTGCTGGATCAAATGGCAGTTCTATTTTCATTTTTTTGAGAAATCTCCACACTGTTTTCCATAGTGGCTGTGCTAGTTTACATTCTCACTAACATTGTATAAGAGTTCCCTTTTCTCCACATCCTCACCAACATCTGTTAATTTTTGTCTTTTTAATAATAGCCATTCTGACTAAGATGATATCGTGTAGTTTTAATTTGCATTTCTCTGCTGATTAGTGATGTTGAACATTTTTTTTATATACCTGTTGGCCATTTGTATGTCTTCTCAAAGAGCAGAAATCTTTTATGTTACCTCCAGGCCATCTGGGGTGAGGTATTTATAGAACAGGGTAAATAATACCAGAACTCGGCAAAGTCAAAGCAATAGCAGTACCCATGACAGAACTGTGACTCTTTGACCTGCACAATTTAAACTGAGTGATGACTTTCTTCAAGCAGATCAGCTCCTACTACTGATGTCAAAGTAGACATCAGCTGTGCTTCTGACACAGAGATTGAGCAACAAAGGAAAATTGTTTCTATAAAATATTATATCTAAAATCTTCATCTTAGAGACAGATTGAGTCCCATAAAATCTCTTCCTTTTCTCTTTTTTCTTTTAAAATTTTTATGAATGAATTGTGAATTGTGAAGAAGTATATGAATAAACATTCACAGTCATGACAGGAAATTTCTTTTTATTTATTTATTATTATTATTATTATACTTTAAGTTTTAGGGTACATGTGCACAATGTGCAGGTTAGTTACATATGTATACATGTGCCATGCTGGTGTGCTGCACCCATTAACTCGTCATTTAGCATTAGGTATATCTCCTAATGCTATCCCTCCCCCCTCCCCCCACCCCACAACAGTCCCCAGAGTGTGATGTTCCCCTTCCTGTGTCCATGTGTTCTCATTGTTCAATTCCCACCTATGAGTGAGAACATGCGGTGTTTGGTTTTTGTCCTTGCGATAGTTTACTGAGAATGATGATTTCCAATTTCATCCATGTCCCTACAAAGGACATGAACTCATCATTTTTTATGGCTGCATAGTATTCCATGGTGTATATGTGCCACATTTTCTTAATCCAGTCTATCATTGTTGGACATTTGGGGTTGGTTCCAAGTCTTTGCTATTGTGAATAGTGCCGCAATAAACATACGTGTGATGTGTCTTTATAGCAGCATGATTTATAGTCCTTTGGGTATATACCCAGTAATGGGATGGCTGAGTCAATTGGTAATTCTAGTTCTAGATCCCTGAGGAATCGCCACACTGACTTCCACAATGGTTGAACTAGTTTACAGTCCTACCAACAGTGTAAAAGTGTTCCTGTTTCTCCACATCCTCTCCAGCACCTGTTGTTTCCTGACTTTTTAATGATCGCCATTCTAACTGGTGTGAGATGGTATCTCATTGTGGTTTTGATTTGCATTTCCATGGGAGGAAATTTCTTTTGAAGTCGGGTACTTCATTTTTATAATGTGAACAGTGCTCCTTTCTCCCCTCCCTTTAGAAAGGAAAAGAACAATTTTCCTGTCATGTTGAAATGTTGGTTTGATTCTAACCTGTCAGCATGCCCTTTGGATAAAGATATTTAGTTGTGTTTTACTTCTTCGGTCTCCCCTGGTACAAATGTGTATATATAAATATCTGTCAACCAGTTGATGTAGTCCTTTGAGATCTTTGGGACTGTCATTAACTTTGCTTGTCCTTTGCTCAGAACTTCTGTTCAGTGCCGTGGAAGCCAGCTGCAATTTTGAGCAAGATCTCTGCAACTTTTACCAAGATAAAGAAGGTCCAGGTTGGACCCGAGTGAAAGTAAAACCAAACATGTATCGGGCTGGAGACCACACTACAGGCTTAGGTAAATCAGAGATCTGTCTATGTGGGGACATCTTGGGTAGTCGTGAGCTTTATTGGCCATTCCTACTTCACACCTGCAAAGACATCGACTTAAAGAAAAAAGGCAGCTGTGAAGAAGCAAAGACAATCAGTAGTCTTGTGTTTGACCATTTTTAAAAATTGGAATTCAAGTTGCCGTGTTAACAAACATATTTGCTAGTTAATTAAACAGGCAAATCCTTGTAAAATATTTTGGAACTCACTTTAGATGCAATACCTTTAAGGAAAAAAAATCTGTTGAATTGTATTTATACGAAATCTCCAGAAGAGACATATTCCTACAGATAAAAAGCAGATTTCAGTGGTTGCCAGGGGCCGTGGCAGAGGGAATAAGAGTGTTTAAGTATGGGGTTGCCTTTGGGTGATGAAAATGATCTGGAACTACATAGTGGTGATGGCTGCACAGCATTGTGAATGCTCAAAATGCCGCTGAATTGTGCACTTTCAAATGGATAAATGGTAAATTTTATACCATGTATATTTTACTATAATTTAAAAAATCTATTCTGAGGGGAAAAGCTATTAAAAAATGTTGAGTGGACACTTGATGGATATATTTACAAGGAGCTTTTTGAAACAGGAGTCTGAGTGCTCCTTGTGTAGGGATTACCTATTAATTCAATGACAGCCTTTGTGGAGCCCAACCCAGTGGAGACAAGTGTGAAGAGCTTGATCTCTAGGAGTTCAGTGTCTCATTCACTTACTCAACACATATTTATATACTGGAGACTGAGGTGAGTTTACCGTGGAGCTGGTGAAGCTTAGGTTCCAGGGCCCCTGCCTTCTACCAGCCTGAGAAAGGCCTTGAAAGAGCCCTCACAATTTTGTGCTTGTAATTTTGTATTCTTTTCTTAGAGGTTGCCTAACCTGTAGAAATAAAGGCCCTACCAAATCTATTCTGACCTTGGGCTGATTAACTGGAAAATCATCTCTAGAGAACCATTTGAATTCTGGGAGCAGTGAACTGATGAAACGGGGAACTGTTTAGGGACAAAAAGACTCACCATACTCTCAGTTTGTCAATTTTCAAAGTAATAAAACATTCAAGCAGATTAACTCCTGGGGAATACAATAGTGAACGAATCTGAAATGAATCCCACCTTCACTGGCAGACAATCTTTTCAAAGGGCAAGAGAAACATTAGACAAATATATACGCAAACAAACTTATAAGCACAGGTTGTGGTAAGTGCTGTCAGGGAGGAAAAACTTTTCCTCTACCCTCTTGGGGTCCATGTTTGGACCTGAGAATTAAAGTGATGTAAGACAGATTAACAAGAAAAAAATACAAATTTTATTTAATATTTTGACTTGCACTTGGGAGCCTTCATAAAAACAATGAAGACCCAAAGAAGCAGATAGGCCTGAGAGCTTCAACACCATTTTAAACAAAGGATGATAAAATTGCGGAGAAGTAGCAAGACAAAAAAGGGTCAGGGGGCTTAAGTTTCCAGGGGCAGTAAATTGTGGGAAAGTGACTAGGAAATATATGGAGGAAACAATGGAAGATGAGGGTTATGTTAGTAGGTTTGTTTGTACAGATCCATTTTGGTGTCAACTCCCAGTCTTTAGGGACAGAATGTTCCTCCCTTTCTGGGACAGGGAGAACACCTTGTTCACAGGAAATTTTATGACCTGCTTTTAAGTATAATAGAAAAGGGGAGGTCAAAGGATCCTTCCTGCCTCTGCTATTTCTCAAGTGACTTTACCTCAAAATAATCAAAATGCCAAAGTGACATAGTTTGGGGTGGCATGTTCTGATCCCCTTCTTTCACAGTAGAAAGAAATGAAGAGTGAGCTCTGAGACAGAATAGAGGGAAGAATCTAATTTGGGTTCAGGATTCAGGGAAATTTTCTCTGAGGGAAGCTGCCATTAGCTGGGAGAGTGGGAGTGACCCAGGCAGAGGGAACAACATCTGTGAAGGCCTCGAATTTGGAAAGAGCTGGTCACACCACAGAATAGGAAGGTCTGTATGGCTGCACCGTGGGGAGGAATGGTGACGAGGAGAATGGAGGAAAATGATGTCAGAGAGGGAGATAGATTCTGGGTGTGGCAGGCCACAGGAAGCATTTGGAATTTTATTATAGAGGACATGAGAAGCCACTGAGAGGTTTTAAGCAGAAAAAACACAGATGAAACTGAGGTTTCAAAAAGGTTTTTCTGGCTGTTGTATGGCCATCCATAATAGTCTGCTCAGGCAGCCATAAGAAAATACCACAGACTGGGTGGCTTAAACAACAGACATTATTTCCTCACAGTTCTGGAGGCTGTGAGTTCAAAATCAAGGTGCCATCAGGGTGGTTTCTGGTGAGGGGTCTTTTCCTGGCTTGCAGATGGCCACCTTATCCTGTGTCCTCATATGTCCTCTTGGTGTATGGAGGCATAGAGAGCTCTGGCATGTCTTTCTCTTCTTTTGAGTTAAATAACTGGGTAAAACTAAACTGTATACAAAGACTGAGGCACCCAAAAGAAAACTGACAGGAGGAGGAGCAGAAAAAAGAAAGAGAAAAAATAAGGTGTTATTATTTTTTTCTTTTCTGCCCAGGCTTTCCAGGATACACAAACTCATTTTAAATTGACCATGGGGATGGTGGGAGGGGGAGGTTCCTGATCTTATTTTTCTTTATGTTGTTTAGGAGGAATAAAGGAAGAACATAGATCTTTAGCACCTGGGAGGATCCATCTGATGAAAAACCTGCTCTTCAAGGGCAGGTTTAACATTTGACCAAGAGAGGAGTAGGCTCTGCCCAGACACACAAACTTCCACAAAGACTGCCAGGCCAGCCTGAAATCCCACCATCTCTATCGGTCACTAAGGAGATAATAAGGAAGAATCTGCTCTGGGCCTTCCATTCACTATGGTTCAGTCCTCGGAATGTACAATCTAAGTCAGATGGTTGACCCAGGCAGCTGGTATCTCCAAGATGACTTCATCCTTTTTGTTTCATGAAAAGTGTAAATCCTAATTAATGACTGGAATCTGGGCATATTCTATAGAAAATCTGTACTGGTTTATAAAGTTTACTTAGAATTGAATGAGGTATCATTTCAATAGAGGCACATGGATATTTTCTGTCACTTAAGCCACAGACATTAGAAAATGCTTTCTATCATTTAAAGCATAGCTGATAGTCTTTGCTGTCTAGTTCTACTTTAATCATATTTTACCACTTGCTAATCTAGATTAGATTATTTTGCATTGCTGATATGCTTTATCTTCTTTGCAGGGTATTACCTGCTAGCCAACACAAAGTTCACATCTCAGCCTGGCTACATTGGAAGGCTCTATGGGCCCTCCCTACCAGGAAACTTGCAGTATTGTCTGCGTTTTCATTATGCCATCTATGGATTTTTAAAAATGAGTGACACCCTAGCAGTTTACATCTTTGAAGAGAACCATGTGGTTCAAGAGAAGATCTGGTCTGTGTTGGAGTCCCCAAGGGGTGTTTGGATGCAAGCTGAAATCACCTTTAAGAAGCCCATGCCTACCAAGGTACAGCAGAGCCAATTTCTCCTGTGTCCATGTTCAGTTGCTGGACTAGTTTTGTGAATGTCCGTCTAGCTACTGTCAACTGGTGATGTATTATTTTCCTTCTGTTCAGGCCTACGGCCTCACCCTTACACCCTACTCCCAGCCACATACAGGTTAATCCTTCAGTTATTTTCTGTTTTCTGGGTCTCTGAATCACAGCCACCTAGAGAGTTTGCTTTTTGTTTATCTCTTAAATTCCCTAAGACTAATTCAAAGACTGAGAGTACATGAATTGTCCAAGTTCAACAGCTGAACTTTAGTTTGAAACTTTAGTCATAATTCTCTCTCTCTCTTTTTCTTTCCCTCCCTCTTTCTCAAACACACATACACACACTAGTGGGAATGCTAGTATTTTAAAAAGGTGAAATCAGTGAGCCTGGTTCTGCATTGAGGCTTTAAGGTTAACAACCTAAGGCTCTAGCTGAACACAGGATGAGGAAGCTCATTAAAAAATATAGAACCAACACCACCCTAGCCAGAGAGAATTTACATAAGGGAACCGTCAGCATCTGATTTTGATATAAATGAGAATATAAAAAGAGATCTTTATTGCAAGGGGAATGGAAAAGAAAGCTGAAATCTCTCAAGCTTAGCAACTCATAAACTTAAAGAAGTTTTACAGATGCAATAAATTCTGTCAACTGCAACTCAGAATGAAACCAGTGTGGGAAAAATCCATTTTGCTTCAGCCTGTGTCAGTCAATCAGCAAATATCTCTTGAGTATCCTGTCGTGTAAGAAAGGGTCCCAAAGAAAAATAAGAAAGTGCTATCCTTCAAACAGATAACTCACACAGTGGTAGTTCAATAAACATTGTTGAATGAAGGAAGGAAGGAATGAATGAATGAGTCTATCACATTCAAATCCAGGAGTCACCCAAAGTGCAGGCTCCCCTGGGGAAGGTGCAAACTTGGGGGAACAGTAGAACCTGCACAGACATTCATAGCCCGAACTTCTCTTGGTTACAACCATCTGGATAGAATCATAGCTGTGTCCATCTATAACTTCCTGCCAAAGAAATCTAGTACACCACTTTTATCACAATATTGCCTGGTTACTTTTAGTCCATTACAAAACCCTCCAGGACATCATTAAACTTTACCATGGTTAATCAAAGATCTCTGAAAATCTTTTGTTTCCATTGCTAGGTAAGAAGAAAAACTATTTTCCATTGCTAGGCAGGAATAGCATGGCAACCTCCTTGACTTACTGATTTCTAAAAGAGTTAAACTGATTTCTAATACCTCTAGCAGAGTAGCAGCATCTAAGTTTTACCACAATCTTACAGAAACGGCTTCTTATTATTTGTATGCGAATTAAGTAGATAGTGTTGTAAGTATTCCTTACGTGATTTTATCAGTCTTTGATCACCTAACTAAATTGAGCTATATTGCTCAGCTCCCTGGAGGAGAGAGGAAGCAAACAGGTGTTTCTGGTACCATGTTTCTACCCTTAGCTTAGACTCTTGCTCTTTAAGCTCATTGCCTAGACAATATCAAATAATTTTTGAACAAGCCTTTCTTCCTATAAATGTCATCTTATAGATGGACTCTTGCAGCAGCATTATTGAACTTTCCTCTTCGATTTACTAGTACTGGAGAAATCCAAGTTTCTCTGCACTTCTTAGGGATCCCAAAGGCCTAACTTGAGTTCCCATTACCAATTATTTAACTCTTACAAGTAGTTATAGTAATACACACACATGCACGCATGTACACACACACATGCACACACATACAAGCAAATACCAGAGTCCCACAATCAGGGGTGCACTAGAAAGTAATGGAATCTTCGTTACACTCTATGTCCTATTTTGCTGATTTTTTTAAAGGAGGATAAAATAAGCATTTTATTTATTCATTTGGCTTTGATTTAATTAATTATTTATTTATTTATTCATTCGTTTTCTTTACTCAACCAGTGTTTATTAGGTATATGCTCAGTACAAGGAATATAAAAATGAATGAGGCTCAGATCCTACCCTTGAAGAAGAAGAGATCACAGATGATAGAAGATTAAGATATGTAAGCAACTAACTACCATGCAATGTCATGTAAAGCCCGCAGAAGGGCTACATAAAAAGACAGAGGAGTAGTTTTACCAGTTGCTGTAAAAAATAATGACAAATAGAGACCCAGCTGAGCCAGTGTTTAGACGGTTAAAATTCAGGCCATGCTGTATTCTAGAAAACTCCTGCTCATCACTCCACTCACCTCCCCCGACCCTACTTTATCCTCTGTTAACAACATGAGTTGTTTAGGAATCTGCCCATTCCTTTATAGTGAGTCTCTGCTTATACCTGAATTGGTGCACGCCTCCTAGCAGATAAGGGTGCCCCTAGGAATTTGCCCTTTTCTTCTTTGGAGGCCAACTACCAAGCCGCCCAGCAACTGCACAGTTCCCCACAACCACTTAGGGAAAAATGGATCTAGACCCAGTTGGGGCAGAGAAGTTCTTACAGCACTCAGAAAGAACTAGTCATGGATTCAGCCCCAGTGCAGATGAGGAGACAGTATAGTTCAACACTAGAAAACTCTGGCTACATGTCTCAAAGTGGCCCTTAGTTCTTGGCAGGTCCCTGTTAGATAGAAATAGCTTCTCAGAGAGCAAAAGAACCATTTGACATCCATCATAGAAGCATGCATTGGGTAAGCAGGAAACTAAAGTTCACTTACTTATATAACATATACAGGTAGAAATAAACATACAAAAATATATTTAAGACAAGGGATAAAATGAGAAATCAGAGTTTCCCTCACTAGTCCCTACTGCTGAACTCAAAATTCCACTTCCAGTCAGGAGTAGTGGCTCACACCTGAAGTCACAACACTCTGGGAGACCGAGGCGAGTCGATCACCTGAGGTCAGGAGTTCGAGACCAGCCTGGCCAACACGGCAAAACCCCATCTCTACTAAAAAAATACAAAAATTAGCCAGGCATGGTGGCACGTGCCTGTAATCCCAGCTACCCATGAGGCTGAGACAGGAGAGTCACTTGAACCCAGGAGGCGGAGGTTGCAGTGAGCCAAGATCACGCCACTGCACTCCAGCCTGGGCAACAGAGCAAGACTCCATCTAAAAATAAATAAATAAACATCAAGACTAACTGCCTCATTTGGTTGGGTGTGGTGGCTCACGCCTGTAATCCTAGCACTTCGGAAGGCCAAGGCAGGCATATCACCTGTGGTCAGGAGTTCGAGACCAGCCTGGCCAACATGGTGAAACCCCATCTCCACTAAAAATACAAAAATTAGTCAGGCTGGGTGGTACACACCTGTAGTCCCAGCTACTCAGGAGGCTGAGGCACAAGAATCGCTTGTGCCACCAGGAGGTGGAGGTTGCAGTGAGCCAAGATCATGCCACTGTGCTCCAGCCTGGGTAACAAAGCAAGATTCCATCTCAAAAAATAAATAAATAAATACATAAATATTTAAAATTCTACTTCCACTTCTTGTTTTTCTGATGGTTTTTCTTCCTGATTCACTGATGGCTTCCTCTATAACTCTATATTTCCACCTCTGTTTCTTGATTCATTAACCTTAGCTGTGTTGGCTGACTCCCTACTATGAAAGAGAAGGAACTTATACTATTCCTTCTGCTTTTCTCTCTCTTCCTCGTAATTTTTAGTTTTGTTTTTATTTTGAACATTTTTCTTGGTTCCCTTTACAACTTTAGTACACTAAACCATTTATTTTTGGATCCATAAACTTTAGACAGTGTCTCTTGACACCCCACCATGTTAAAATGAATAAATCTCCCCCGACCCCGCATTTCCCTTCACCTCTCTTACCCCCTTGACTTCCCAAATTCTCCCAGATACACAATTACTGAACTTTCACATTGTTATGGCGTAGAACATTTATATTCCTACAGTTAAGCCTTCTGTGTTTGCTTATTGCATGATTTCCCTATGAGGGCGCCCTTGGCATTTTGAAGAGGACAGTTGTGCCTTTGCAGTGAGAACATTTCTCACCTTACTGGATGTTTAGCATCTGTGATTATTGCAACAACCAAAATTATTTCCACACATTTCCAAATGGCCCTAGAGGTGTCATCCTATCCTTGGATGAGAACCATTGGTCTTTAAATTGAATCTGACAATTGAAATTAAAAACCATCCTCACCTGCCATTCATTCTTGCTCCCCTGCAATCTGTCTCTGTCCAGCTGTAGAGTTATCGTGCTGCAACCCTCCTCTGCAGGGACCCTTTGGCTTCCTATTGCTTTTAGAGAAAAGGCATGCTCTAGCATCAGCCACCTCCCCAGGTTTACGTCTTGCATTTTCCATTCTAATCACACTGAGCAATCAGTTCCTGGGACACACTCTGCTCTCTCCTACCTTAGATTATTGCATTCCCTGTTGCCTCTGCCTACACTCTTCTTATTTAGATCTCAGCTTAAACATCACTTCCTCAGAGAATCCTTCTCTGACCCCACTCTCCACTTCTATCCAGCATGGCCAGGTTAGGGTTCCCTGGCATCCTATGCTTCCCCTCCATCATCTTGGAGACAGCATAACATAGTGATTAGGAGAACAGACACAGCAATCTCTCTAGTTTTAAACCCCAAGTCTGCCACTTACTAGCTTTGCAATCAGAGTCAGTTTTCTTAATTTCTCTCTTAATTTTCCATCTGGGACCAAAAACCTAGCAATATACTTGGCACTCAGTTGATGCTCAATAATTGTCTGTTGACTGATTGCCACATTCTGACTTTTGAGCAGGGGTTATTCACCCTTATTAAAATCACCTAGGGAGGGCCAGGCATGGTGGCTCACAACTGTAATCCCAGCACTTTGGGAGGCCGAGACAGGCATATCATCTGAGGTCAGGAGTTGGAGACCAGCCTAGCCAACATGGTAATAGCCCGTCTCTACTTAAAAATATTTTAAAGGCCAGGCGCGGTGGCTCACGCCTGTAATCCCAGCACTTTGGGAGGCCGAGGCGGGCGGATCATGAGGTCAGGAGATCGAGACCATCCTGGCTAACATGGTGAAACCCCGTGTCTACTAAAAATACAAAAAATTAGCCGGGCGTGGTGGCAAGCACCTGTAGTCCCAGCTACTCAGGAGGCTGAGGCAGGAGAATGGCGTGAACCCGGGAGGTGGAGCTTGCAGTGAGCCGAGATTGCGCCACTGCACTCCAGCCTGGGCAACAGAGCAAGACTCTGTCTCAAAAAAAAAAAAAAAAATTTTTTTTTTTTTTTATTAGCCAGGCATGGTGGTGCAAGCCTATAGTCCCAGCTACTCTGGAGGCTGAGGCAGGAGAATTGCTTGAACCCAGGAGGTGGATGGAGGTTTCAGTGAGCCAAGATTTGCACTCCAGCCTGGGTGACAGAGCAAGACCCCATCTCAAAAAAAAAAAAAAAAAAGAAATTATAAAGCTGTGGAGCTTTATAATGCTGATGTCCAAGTGTTACCTCAAACCAGGGAAAGCAGACCCTGAGATGGAGACTTACTTGCAGGAAGTTTATGAGGGTTGCTCTTGGGATCACCACTGAAGGAAAGGAAGGAAAGGAAGCAGGATCAGGCAGGGGAAGCTGTCGGGCTGCAGTGCATTCTCAAGGAAGGCCTCAGCTGACCTACAGGGAGCTCTGAAACTGGTGTGGCCTTTCAGAGTTGTCCTGTTTCAGAGCAATGTTGTCTTTATAGTCCCATATTGATTGGTCATTGGATGCTGGCTACCTCAGGAAGAGGGTATTGCCTTGAAATGCCGAGCAACTTTCCACAGATTATTAACAAGCCGAGTGCTGTCCACTGGCTACACTTTCAGCAACTGGGAGAATAAGCCCTTCATTCCTGAAGGATCAGTTGGGCGGTGCATCTACTATACTGATTAGGTCAGAATCTTTTGGTGTGGGGCCTGGGAATCAGTATTTTATAAAGTGCACCAGGGTATTGTAACATCCAACATAGAGAACTATTGCTCTGAATAACCACAATAAAAGCAAAAAAGAAGAGAGCAATAAGAAAGACCGTGTATTTCAGGCTCATATGCAGCTGAGCTGCACTGAAACCAGGCATGGTAGCCCAGCAGATTTTGTGGTAGCCAAAGGCCTGTGCAAGGATATGTCTGTGTAGTGCCCCTGCCCAGGTCCCCCACCCTGAAGTGCTGGGAGACGTTCCTGTGACCATACAGCTGGGCAGCAACAGAGTTAGATGAATGGTCTTCCTGCCCCTAGGTAGCTTTTTCATTGTGAGTGACTCAGAAAGCTGGAGTCAGATCAGTAGTCCTCATGTGTACCCTGTAAGCCAGGAACCCCTGTCAAGGCTTCAGAGATCAAGAGTTTTCCAGAGCTATGACACCCAAACCTACGCTACTGTTTTCCACATGTGGTTTCTGTCCACAGAGAGTACATGTTTCTCCAAAATTCTTGCCATTGAGAAAGGAGTTTTAAGTCACAGAGCACCCAAATAAGCATACGGCCAACACTTGTCAGGTGTCACAGTCTGTCTGGAAGCTTCATATTGGCTGTTGTGGGTGGTTTAATAACTCAGTATTGACTTTACTTCCAAACTGATGACAGTTTAACAGATTTTTCTGAGCCTATTGAGCTTAGCATACATTTTGTATTAGTTGGAATTTCTAATGACTGAGTCCTGAAATGAACTTGCTGGAACTTCTAGAAGGTTCAGAGTTCAACCTGGGTCAGAACAAGGCACAAGCTGGCTGTTTATCAAGTACCTACTTTGTGCTGGGCAGCACATGCTCTCTTGTTCAGTCCTTAATACGCTACAGTAACACCAAATTTAGGTGAAGAAACTGAAGTTTCAGGAAATTTAAATAGTTTGATTCTTCCTGTTTCCTTGCCACTTTTCCCTAAATTCCAGACGAAACCCTTCAGTGACACCCCTAAAATTCATCTCAAACATGTCTACTTCTCTCTCTCCAGCCACCACCCTAGTCTAAGCCACCATCATTTCTTACTTAAATGACTTCAATATCTTCGTAGCTGGATCTTCTCTTCCATCTTACTCTCTCTATACTCCAGAGAGAGACAGAGAGACGCAGCAGCCAGAATCATTTCTTTGAAACAGGAATCAAATCTTGGACCTCCCCTGCGTGAAACTGTTCTATGGCCTTCAGAATAAAGCTTCATCCCATACTGTGGTTTTTGAGGTCCTGCACAGTTGGATCACTGCCCACTTTGCTGGCTTCATCTGCCTTCATTCTGCCACATTCATAGAGTCCCACAGTCCACATAGTTACGTGGGCCTTCTCTCTGTTCCTTGAGTCCCAAGGCCTTTCCTAGCCCAGGGCCAGTGCTCTGCACAGGGGGTGCCTCCTGCCCTAGCCATTCCCATATCAAGCTGGCTCCCATGCTTTTGTCCCAGGTCAAGTGCTTCCTCTCAGAAAGGAACATTCCTGACTGCCGCCCAGTTTATAACCACTTTCCTCATACCCAGATTACTCCCCATTAGTTTGCCCAGTTTATTTTGTGTATAACATCCAAATCTGAAATGATCTCATTTGTTTATTTGTTACTTGTTTATTGTCCATCTCTTTTCCTGTGAAAATACAGCCTTCATGAGGACAGGGACCTTGTCGGTCTTGTTCATCTCTGTATCCACAGCATCTAGCACTGTGCCCTGGTGCAAAGTAGGTCATCAGTAAAATTCTGTTCAATAAATTTTGTTTGGTACGTATGTGGTCAATGAATGAATAAAAGAATGAGTGGGTGGACTTTCTAGGGTTGGGAAGTGGCAGAGCTGGGGTCTGAATCATGGTCTAGTCAACTTTGAAGCCTGCCTTTTAGTGCAGGGTATCTTTGGGTGGTCAAGGTCTCTCTCCAATCTTAGGGAAGGCCTGTTCTTGCGCACCTGGAGAAAATGAGGCTCTTCAAGCCTGCCTTGGGGTGTAGGCACCTTTTGTTATTTAATTCTCACAGTACTCCTGTGAGGGAAGTAAAGTATTTCTTTTCAGTGTCCTTGACATTTTAGAATGCAGTCTAGCTTAAGGTCCCCCAGATGATCTAGTAGAAATGAATGCCTAAACTGAGAGCCTGGCACACATGTGTCACCTGCCTATGCTTTTTGTGACCTCTGAACCCATTCTAAAGCATGTCAGGTGTGTTCTTGAGGGCCCAACTCAAAGACAGTACGTGCCTTCATGAACATTATTTCCACCTCTCAGTGAGTTGTCACATGTGACCAGAGCTGAGGTGAGTGAGCAGCAGCCCGCACAGAACTGTAAAGAAGTCCAGCCTTTCAGCTTCTCTCCAGTTATTTCCCTCACTCCTGATGCCTGCCTTCTGCCTCCCCTGTGCCTTTCTGATGGCCTCCCACTCTGGATGTTGCTTTACCTTGCTTTCTCCTATTTGCAGTTATCCAACCTGTTTTAAGGACAATGGGCTGCTTATTAATAACCCCTTGCTGTCTTCCCTGGGTAGTTTAATCTTTGGCAGAAACTATAGGGATGAAGCAACGCTAAGAGTTTCCCTCAGACCATTCTAGCAAAGTAGCCTTATGGACAGATTCTGTGAGATATTATCACAGCCTCCAACAACAGAGGCTAGGCTGTTGTTGAACACTCTCCAGCACTTCATTTGATGCCACAGCTCCCTAGGAAGGAAAGCAGTCCAGCGCCATTTAACAGATGAGGAATGCTCAGGCAGAAAATTAAGGACATTGTTCAGCATTACACAGCTATTAAGTGGCTGAACTGAGAAGCAGATCCAGGTCTTTTTGACTCCAGAATTGATGCTTTTTACACTAAGCCTAGTGTAAAAAGCCTCCCAGCCCTCGCCTGGCTAACATCAAAAGTGTAGGATCAGGTCCAGCCCTAACTCTCAGGATTCCTGAAAAAAATTTGGACTTTATTTTTAACCTTCTGGTGTTCTAGTTTAGAAATAACTTTGGCTCCTAGGAGGGGTCAAAATTCGGCATTATAGTTTGAGCTAGTTATGTAACCTTCCTGAGCCTTCCTTTTCTTTCATGTGTAAAATGGGTATACCAGGAGTATAGCCATATATCCATAGTACCTGGTAAAGCTCAAAGGCAATGCATCATATAAAGTTCTTAGCATATAAAGTTCTTAGCATAGTACCCACACATATCATTTATTAAATTTAGCTGAGCAGAGAGAAAAAGACTAATGAATGTTTTTTTCTTAGTCCTGATCCCCATAAGGTTTTATAGACAACATCTCTTTAATACGTGGATAATTCTACACCTGATTTTTGCTCTGAAGTTCTTTAAACTAAAAATCAGGTCAGAATTAAACCTTTATTTTAATAAGATGATACTTTCTTAAAGAAATGGCTGCTTTTATACAATTATAAACAGTTTACAATAATAAAACTTTATTTAATGTTTTAAGAAACGTTTTGAAAAAGGATGAATCATGAAATGGTCCTCTGGATCTGTTTTTCCTCTTTATGAAATAGAGAGCAGGTAATCAACAGTTACATTGAGACTTTCACACATTAAGGAGGATAATGAGGAGAGAGAACAATTCAGTCCAAAACACTTTTCCTAAAGGCCAAATATTAGGAAAGACTAGAGAGTGATTGTCAGAAATTCCATAACAATGGACACAAACATTAGCCCTTATATATTCAAATCCTTAGTTTATCTTTATGCTTGGTCACCCATGGTAGCATACATATTAGATCCTGCAACGCCTTCTGGCCTGAAGCTAGCCTTTCCTTTAACAAAGATCGTTCAGTGGTCTGTTAATTAGAAGCACTGGGAGGAACTCGATATTGTGTTCATTAAATATTTCTTTTGGAGAAAAATCGTTAAACAGTCCATAAATGAAAATGACTAAAGGCATTCCATTTCACTGGGATCAGGCTTAATAATCAGCCCAGCAGTCATTAAAATCTTCATGGTAAATCCTTTTAAGTCTGCATCTTTACTCTGTCATAGGACTGAAAAAAAAAACTTCAAAGTCATTTATGTATTTGGGAGAAAGCCCCCATCCAACCAGTTTTTAAAAATATAAATACATATTTTTTTTTCACTAGGTGAGAATCTTGTGTCAGCCCTTCTCATCTTATGTCTCGTGGAGCACAAATGCCTTGAGATATTCCATTGAAAAAGAGTTCTGTTGTCAGATGAGTTTGCAGAACTTGGCAGACTGGATCTCTACTCCACACACATGAAGATTCACAAAGCACAGTGACATATTAGAAACTCTCAGTAAGGTTGACGTTAAAGAATCCAGTTTAACCTTGTTAAAGGGTGGCAATTTTCTCAAAGCAATTAACCTAGAACCCTTGTCTTGTATAGCACCTATCACCATCATACTACTCTCATAGCACTTAATGCATTATGTTGAAATTGTACTTACCTGTCTCGTTAAATCAGATGTAAGCTTCTGGAGAATACGGCTCCATGTTTTTTGTTTTGTTTTGTTTTTTTAATTCCTAACATCAAGGCAATTTCTGGAACAGAGTGGGTTCTCCTGTTAGTAACCCACTAAATAGTTAAGACAGAAAACTATACTATCAATGAATAGGTGTTGATGGTAAGGAAGAACATAATTCCATCAAAGGAAAAAGGAAGATTAAATGTTTCTGCCTTTGGCTAAGATAAACTATAATCCCTTATAGCATAGCACCTGAGCAATTTGTCCTACAAGGAATTTTAGTGTGAATACTTAAAACCAGGAATACCTGGCTAGAGTGAATATTAAGACATTTATGGTATGCTGAGTCCGATTTGGAACAATTTTTTTTTTTTTTTTTTTGAGACAGGGTCTCTGTTGCCCAGGTTGGAATGCAGTGGCACGATCATGGTTCACTGCAGTCTCCACCTCCTGGGCTCAAGCAGTCCTCCCACCTCAGCTTCCCAAGTAGCTGGGGTGCAGAGCCAGCTAATTTATTTTTCATTTTTTGCAGAGACAGGGTCTCACTAAGTAGCTCGGGCTGGTCTGAACTCCTGGCCTCAAGCTCTCCTCCCACCTCAGCCTCCCAAAGTGCTGGGATTACAGGCGTGAGCCACCGTGCTTGGCTTGTTTTGGAACTTTTTATGATGGTATTTACTAAAACCAAGAACTGTGATTCTTCCCTTTGAAACAGCTTCCCATTCTTAAACTGTGCCTTTTCCTATTCCCAAGAACCTAAATCAAGTTTTACCAGCCCCCATGCAAATCCCAATCCTTTCCCTGCCCCACAACACAGCTTATCCAGCCTCCATTCTGCGATCATGGTCAGTGATGTGGTTGCTTCCACGTCATACCCTCCCCACCTGCAGGTCTTCCTGGCTTCTCCACCTTGGTCCTCCTAATGCCTGGAAACCCAGGGTAGCTTTCATCTTTACCCCAGTCTTCTCAGCACAGCTGGAGAAAATAAGACTAATCTCCACTGTCCCCTCCATTCTGCTGGGAAAGCCTTTTATGCATCTCATCTCTTGTTGACTTTTCCTCGTCCCCCATCCCAGATATTCAGGTCTATTTTCACTCGCAAATTTCCAACTTGACCCTCCCTGCCTCATTCTTAGGATGTGATCTCATGGGTTCATCTCCCAAAGGATAAAGGCATCCAACACAAGCTCCTTCAGTTCTGTTCCTCTCTGAATCTTCACCTGCCTCTCTTCATCTCCTGATCAATCTGACAAAGAAAGTATTATCCTTGCTCTTCGTCAAAACCAACCTGCCCATCTAGGCATTTGATCTCACCTTCTTGCCTCCTCTGGGAACTTATTTCATAAATTATTCCCTCTCTCGTAAATCTTCAATCTCCATTAGTCCTTTGCATACTGCCAATATATGTTAGTCTCCTGCATTCGACACCGATGAACAATAAACCTTCCTTTCATCTCAGTACCCATTTAAGTTGCCAATCCCTCCCATTCCTTCAGCCTCCAAACTTCTGGAAAGATGTATCTTCAATTATTGTCTTCACTCCAGTGTGGCTTCTCATTCCTCAAATCCTTGTCTTCTGCCCTCTGCCTTCCTCCTCCAATGCTCCCTCAGCGTTTATCAACAGCAAAGTATATCTCATTGATCTTGTTGCAGAAATCATTATACATACCCAGGAAAGTCCTATGCTTCTCTCAATGTCTACCTCAAATGCCTCTTCCTCTTTGAATCTTTTATAAGTCATTGACTTGGGTTTTACTTGTTGGAATGGTATTTGTGTAATGAAGGAGCTCTAGTTCAGGAATATAAAGAGTTGCCCTGACTCTAGCATTTACTATGTAAATCAGAATGTCATGTCACCTTTCTGTGAAACAAGGACATGTTTTAAAATGACTTCTAGGTCTCTTCTACCTCCTGTTATATTTTTGGCATCTTAATAGCAGAAACTGTGTTTTAACATTGTGCAACATGGTTCTTGTTGGTAATTTTCTCTACTCCTTCATTTTCTCTTACAAAAATCTTTCCCTTTTAGGAAAAAAAAAGTTGAAATTTAAGTCTTTGATTCAAATTTCCACTTTTAAAATCTTTTTAACTATGCCCTTACAGAATGACAATATGATTACATGTAAAATACCTAGGGTTCTGAAATTTTAAAGGCAGCTCTAGAAGTTCACTCGAATAGAAGAGCAAGTCTAGAAAGTTTCTGTAGAGATTTATAAATAGTTGGCTATTTAACAGCCAGACACCCTGCTATAAAGAGATTAAGGAAGCAGAAAACCAATGTGTAGACAAGACACATGAGAGGAGGTGAATTTCCTATCACATTTCATGATGTCTGGGAACACTGGAAGAGAACTGCTTCAGGATATTAATGTCCCAGCATTATTAAAGCAGAGCAGCTGAGAGCAAAGTAGAAATAGAAAGGTCATTAATTACTGACAAGATAATCAACACATTATAGAGCAGATTAAGGTGGCTTTGTACACAGAACAAGGAAAATTATACTGTCAAGTGGAATAAGTTTTCATGTCAAAGAATAAGGAGCTAAGTATGGAAAAGGAACCTACTCTTGAGTTTTTCAAGCTAAACTCAGCATCATTTGTGAGTTCATGAATTCTACATTGCTTTAAATATGAGTAAGGCAGGCTGAGATACTCTTGTTTTCCTTCTGTTTCATTTCCTTTCAGTTATTTGTTGAGACCTTCTGTGTTTCATGCCAACTTATGAGAAAATTACTGGGAAGATAGATTAGCACAACTGGTAGTTGCTGACACATACTTTACACGAACATAGTGTTTATGTCAGTCCATTCTTTCGTGAGTTTTCTGAGTAATTTCATGGAACATTGTTGGATCAGCAATTTGTTCTCCCAGCAATATGGAGACATCCGAAAAGACAGACCAGGCATTCTTTCCCTATAGTTTTACTAATAAGCTTAATTAGGCAAACATTTATTCCAAAGTTTGTTTATGAACCTGAAAATACCACTTCCCTTCCCCACTTCCAAACTTCTATCTTGTGAATATTTCACAGCCGTACAGTCATTGCATTTTAAAGAAATATTTTCCCAAATTCTAGGTGATGCCACATTATTTTTTGATGCTCGCATTGAGATTCTCTGGGGATCCTCTGGTTTTCTGAGCTCATAGACCAAATAAGTATTTGCTGGCCTCTAGAGCTATAAGCTCAACTCATGCAATTAGAAATTGACAATTCACACATTAATAAAGACTCTCTAATTTCACCAGAGGAAACATACCTTATTTCCTTTTGCATAGATATGCCTACCTTTCCCTCCTCCTCTTATATGTCTTTCTCTGGATATTTTCTGCACTATCTGTTTAGTACTTACTTCTAGTAGAAGTCTCTCTCCAGTGAGTCCACAAATCACTTCCCTCTGGCATATCCCACCACATCACTGACAGTCCATGAGCATTTACTTTTGTTTAGTATCAGGTTACATGTTTATCTATACGATGCTCAAAGATAAATTACTATTTGTGGCCCTCCCATTTCATCTCAATCTTCAAACCAAGACATTTGGTTCTGCTTTATTCAAACGAGGAATGCCACATAAACAAATCTGAAAGGCAAATGTCAAGTCAGAGGGGGAAAAAAAGGTTGCAACATATGCAACAAAGTCTTAATACATTTAAAATAAATATATAAATCTAATAAATCAATAAGCCAAAGGTAAACTAAGCAATAGGAAAGCGGATAGGATATATACAGGCAAATCAGAAAAAAAGAAATATAACCAGAAAATAAATGCACAAATATACCCAACCTCATTATAATCAAAGACATTATGTTTTTAGACAGGGTCTTACTCTGTCACCCAGGCTGGAGTCCAGTGGTGTGATCATAGCTCACTGTAACCTTGACCTCTGCAAGGTCAGGTGATCCTCCCACCTCAGCCTCCCAAGTAGCTGGAAGTACAGGTGTGCACCATCATGTACAGCTAATTTTTGCATTTTTTGTAGAAATGTGGTCTCACTATTACCCAGCTTGTCTCAAACCCCTGGGCTCAAGCGATCCACCCATGTATGACCTCCCAAAGTGCTTTACAAGTGTTAGCCAACACACCCAGCCAAAGAAATCTTAAAAGTAATGAAATAATACATTTGTCTATCAAAATATTTTAAAAACATAATACCCTGGAGTATGATGTTTGTATTAATTGCTGTATTTATACTGTACACTGTTTGTATTGTTCAATTTATGAATTAAAACATAAATCTTTCACTTTAGATGCAAGTATAAATATATATACCCATTTATATATATACATATATGCATATTTGGGTCTAAAGTGAAATATTTATTTTTAAATATATATAATATGTACATATATACATATAAATGTTTTCTGGTCTAAGTGAAAGATTTATTTTTCAATATATGTACTATACATATGTATACATATTAATGTTTTCTAAAGTGAAAAAATTTTTAATTGATAATTGAATAAATACATTCAAATGTACTTATATATGTATATACAGTCATGTATCACTTAATGATAAGGATACATTCCAAGAAATGTGTTTGTTAGGCAATTTTGTCCTTGTGAGGATATCATAGAATATTTATACAAACCTAGATGGTATAGCCTACTACACACCTAGACTGTATGGTATAGCCTACAGATCCTGGGCTTTAAACCTATACAGCATGTTATTGTATTAAATAATGGCAACAGTTACAACACAATGGTAAGTATTTTTGTATCTAAACATATCTAAAGAGACAGAAGTACAGTAAAAATATGGTAGTATAATCTTATGGAACTACCATTGTACATGCAGTCCATCATTGACTGGAATGTCATTATGCAGTGTATGACTGTATATGTATATATATAAACATATATGTGTGCATGCATAATACACACACACACACACACACACACACACACACGTATAACATTACCCTGGAAAGGTGAGGATGCAAGGAAATAAGGATTATCATGTGCTCTTATATGAGGGTAAATTGGCACAATGTTTTAATAACAATTTAATTACATGAATAAAAAAGGAAGCGCTCAAACATGCATACTTTATTACATAACAATTCTACATCTAGGGATTTATCATAAGGAAATAATCATGGTTATGCACAAAGATTTAGCTATAATCGTTCATTCCAGTAATATTTATAATACTGAGAGAGTGGAAACTACCATATTGTCTGTTATTAGGAGTTGGTTAAATAAGTGTGGCATAGGTTAAAAAGGGGTAAGAGTTATGTAAGCTTTAAACTGCAGCTCTTCTTCACTTCATGGATCTACACTTTGGCTTGGGAATCAATGAAAATCAGGCTAATTGCCTCTATGTCTCAGAGGTGGGTAGGGCAAAGTCAGCATTCTTATTAGCAAAGGATTGCTAAAAGTGCTTGCTGTCTTCTTCAGGCCCAGGAGGGGTTCATCTAGAGCAGAGTGAGCCCTTGAGAGGCAAGAGGAGGACCTAGATTCTTCCTTTTTGCTGTTTGTGGATTGCATTCTATAAATCTATCTTCTGGCAGGACTGACGTTTTTGTAACTCCAAGTGAGCCACAACAATGACTCCAATTATAATGCCTGTCCTTGGACATGACAATTAAATTGGTCTTTACATTTTATTACATTACATTTGTCAGGGCAGTGTTTGACCAGGAGAACTCCCTATGGGAGGTGGGCCAGAGAGAAACCACATTGTATTTTTAGCCCAGCACTGATTTTTTTTACACAAAATCACAGGCAGCCCGGAGGCCTATTAGAAATCACCAGACTGGCTGGGCACGGTGACTCACACCTGTAATCCCAGCACTTTGGGAGGGTGAGGCAGACAGATCACTTGAGGCCAGGAGATCAAGACCAGCCTGGCCAACATGGTAAGACCCTGTCTCTACTAAAAGTAAAAAAATTCGCAAGGCATGGTGGCGCATGCTTGTAATCCCAGCTACTCAGGAGGCTGAGACACGAGAATCCCTCGAATCCAGGAGGGAGAGGTTGCAGTGAGCCGTGATTGCGCTACTGCACTCTAGCCTGGGCAACAGAGGGAGACCCTGTCTCCAGAAAAAAAAAAGAACAAAAAACAGAAGTCACCAGATGGTCACCTGCCCTCTTGAGGAGTACATGTAAAAATCAGGAAGGCATTTGCACCTATTTTCCTTCAGTGATAATGAAAGCTTTATGGGGTAATTAAATATAATAATGTCTTCATTATTAGGGTGGGGAATTAGAGACTAAAACATTAAAAATGATGTCATCTTAGCTTTGTCTAATGTTCATTTTTTTCAGAGGTTTTTCTCATTTATTTTCCACTTGCATCTTCAACATTAATTGTGTAGGATTAGTCTTCTCTGTCCCACCATGAAAAGAACATGAACTTTGCAATCAGACACACTTTGCTCTCAAAACAAGGGGGAAAAGTGAAAATGGGTGCAAGTGAAGATAAGGGTGTAGATGTGGATGTCGGAGAAGCTGTGAGCATTCTTTCTGGGGGGCCTACATTTTCAGCGCAGAGCAGGGCAGTGATGTCTTCGGCTAAGGGTGAGAAGGACGTGGCTGAGGTGAGGGAAGAGCTGCTGTGGAAAGGAGGAGATACTATGGCTGGTTCGACATTAGCCAGTTCTGAAAATCAGCCACAATCTATGTAAGAGTCAGGCTCCTGTGCTGAGTTACCAAAATACTCCATCAACAAACGTAAGGCAAAATGACAGGAAGCTTGTTGTAAACACAAGTCAAAGAAATGTTTGGTCCCATGCTATTAACTGGGGAGTTGCATCATGTCTCTCAGAATCGTATTTTAAGATACCTAAAGCAAAATAGGGAAAATGAGGGGGCTGTATAATGAAATACATTCTATCAGGGATCAGGAAGGGGTGTAATGTTTCATACCCGAGTCTGCAACTGGCTGTTGTGTGAGCTGCTATCACAGGCTCTCTGGACCTGTTCTTCATTCTAAAAAATAGCTGATTCTGTGGTCCCTTCTGGAACCTCCCCTCCCCTTACAGTGGCCTAAAGATCAGAAAATAAAGCAGATTTCTGAAATCTTTGAGTTGAGAGGTTTGGATGTTTACCATCCAAATAGCAATGAAAAAGTTCAGCTACAGGCCTGTATTCTATCACAGTGTGGTCCCTAGCCCAGACCTGAAGGCTCCTGGGAGCAGAAAGACTTTCACACTGAGAAAAGCTGGAAGCTGCTTGATCTCTGTCGCTTGTAAGAGCCAAAAGTTGAATTAAATCAGATGGGTCTTTTAAAAAAGAAAAAACTAACCAGATGGGTCCTTTAAGAAAAAAAGTATTGGTCAGCTAAAAACTTATTTAAAAACACATGGTCATTCTGCCTTTTGTGGGAGATGAAGACCAAATATAGTATCTGCAGCAGGCATGCTTTTGCAATTTTGCAGCTATTTCTCAAAACAGTGCTAGGTTCTAAGAATGCTAAAGCCTCACACTTACTTTTCTAGATAAAGCTTCACTTAGTCTGCCTTCAGGGATTTGTAATAATTTCATCCATTTTGCCAAGTATCTCAATATTGAAATTTTTTAAAAACTCTATTACAACTTATTGTCAAACAGTTAAATGAATGCAATTACATCGTATAGTATATCTTACAGATGTGTCAGTAGCATCTTAATGAAGGGCTCTGGAATTTCACTGACTGGATTATAGTAATTTTGTGAATAATTATGCCACCAACTCTGTAGTTGTCGTAACCAAATTTATCTGTGCAAATGATTTCAAAAGATTTTAACCTCATCAGAAGAAAAGTTAAATTTAACTCAAAATCAAACCGTCTGGGAAATTGTTGAGGTCTACCACTTATAATAAGAACTTAACTAGGTTCATTTTGTGAAAATGGGTAAGTTATGATATTGTTGGCACAGGACTGAAATGTTTCTATCCAAATATAGAAGGCAATTTCTGGAAGCTATCATTTACATGCTAATTATAGGCCTAAATGGGGCCATTCAATTGGTAAAGTAGATGGTGGATTAACCCAACAACCTAGTCTACCATGTCTATCAAGCAGGTCATGGAATCTACTCTAAAAGGCAGTGAAAAAATATTTAATACAGCCAGTGTTTAGTTCTTTAACACAAACAGTCCTTTTGAACTATATAACAAAGATTTGATTTGATTTGACTTCACAGCACCCAACAAAATTTATTTCCTCCATTTCCTGGCAAAATTCTATTCATTATATTTGGTAGTTGTTAAACTATAACATCCTATAAAGTGAAAAGCAATAACCCTGATTATTTTAAAACCTATCTTGATTTGGTTTGAGAACATGAATTCCTGACATACCTGATTCTCTACTTTTTCTTTCCTGGGTACTTTTGTTTTGTTTTGTTTTTTTAAGACAGGATCTCACTCTGTCACCCAGGCTGGAGTGCAGTGATGTGATCACAGTTCACTGCAGCCTCAACCTCCCGGGCCGAGGTGATCCTTCCACCTCAACCTCCTGAGTAACTGGAACTACAGGTGTACACCACCGTGCCCAGCTAATTTTTTATACTTTTAGTAGAGAGGGGGTTTTGCCATGTTGCTCAGGCTGGTCTCGAACTGGCTGCAATCTGCCTGCCTTGGCCTCCCAAAGTGTTGGGAACAGGCATGAGCCATGGCACCTGGACTCGTGGGTACTTTAACCAGGAACTTTTATGAACTTTGACAGGCCTAGGGGCAGTCTGACCCCTTGGACTAACACAACCTTGTAGGTGGGTTTCCACACAGACCTCCTCCTAATCAACCACCCCCCTCAAAAAAAAAAAAAAACTTTAGAAGAGACTTAAAATTATATACTATGAGGAGCATTTGCTCAGTGACCTTTTAGGTTCTGCTGCCTGTCATTATGTTGTTTCTAGAGAGCAGATCATTGTTTTTTTGAAAGGGAGAAAGATGAAAATAAAGAGGAGATTCTATTGTCCTTTAATAATTACAGTTTTCTAAAGCAGGAAATTGGAACAATAAATCCTTGATAATCCAGGGGATGATTATTCAGTTTGGGTATTAGTCCATCTGCCTTGCATTTCTGCTCCTTTACCTTTTGTTTCCAGGGCTTCAGGATATTTCTTTCTTTCTTTTTTTTTTTTTTTTTTAGACAGAGTCTTGCTCTGTCACGAAGGCTGGAGTGAAGTGGCACCATCTTGCCTCACTGCAACCTTTGCCTCCTGGGTTCAAGTGACTCTCCTGCCTCAGCCTCCTGATTAGCTGGGACTACAGGCGTGAGCCACCATGCCCAGCTAATTTTTGTATTTATGTAGAGACAAGGTTTCGCAATGTTGGCCAGGCTGGTTTTGAACTCCTGACTCAAGTGATGCGCCTGCCTTGGCCTCCCAAAGTGCTGGGATTATAGGCGTGAGCCACTGTGCCTGGCCCATATTTCATCGCTTGTTAGAACAATCACCTGGTGATGTGTAGAGGAAGAGAAAACTAAATCTAGTCCATTTTTAGAACAGTCTTGTTCTGAGTGGAGAGAATAAATAGGTTGAAATCGACTGTGAATCCAAAAATCAGGTAACAGATCTGGTCACAGTGACTTATCCTGTAATCTCAGCACTCTGGGAGGCTGAGGCAGGCAGATCACTTGAGTCCAGGAGTTCGAGACCAGCCTGGGCAACAAGGTGAAACCCTGTCTCTACAAAAAATACAAAAATTAGCCGGGTGTGGTGGTGCACGCCTGTAGTTCCAACTATTTGGGAGGCTGAAGCAGGGGGATCACTTGAGCCCAGGAGGCTGAGGTTGCAGTGAGCCAAGATCACACCACTGTACTCCAGCCTGGGCACAGAGTGAGACTCTGTCTCAAAAAAAAAAAAAAAAAAAAAATCCAACTCCGAAAGTGCCTAGCACAAGGACTGCACATAACAGGAATTTAGTTAAGTGAGGTTTTATAATCCACACAGCAGTTTTCTACTACTCTTTACCAGTGGTTCTCAGGGAGATTTTCCCCCAGTGGACATTTGGCAATGTCTGAAGAAGTTTTTGATTGTCACGACTTGGCAGTGATGCTGGCATCTAATGAGTAGAGGTTACAGTTGCTGCTAAACATCCTACAATGCACAGGGCAGTCCTCCATAACAAAGAATTATCTGGCCCAAAACGTCAGTAGTGCTGAGGTAGCAATACTCTGTTGTGGATTTTAAAAAGCATGTATACTATGTATTTTTAGTATAGTAGAGAGTAAGTTAAGTAATATTGTTGATCCCTCCTTGACTGTATTTAAAATTATTTCTTTGCAAATATGTTTTTACAGCTCTCCTTTCATTGCCTGTTTGTGTTTCCAGTCTAGGCAGATTTCCTCGGCTATGAATATTCTCCATCAGGACAAACATTTTAAAGTATTATCAGAACCTAAGGACTGGGATCTTGAGTACATGGAGACATTGATTTACATAAATTTAATTTGTCTCTAACTTTTAAGAGATTTGCATAAAATCAGGAATACCTTTCTAAGGGATATCACTTTACTTGGCCCCTCATCTTCTTTCCCCTTCTTTTTTTTAATTAATTGTTTTTGAGAGACAGGGTCTCACTCTGTCATCTAGGCTGGAGTACAGTGGCGTGATCATGGCTCACTGCAGGCTCCAACTCCTGGGTTCAAGAGAGCTTCCCGCCTCAGCCTTTCAAGTACCTGGACTACAAGCGCACACAGCTAATTTTTAAAATTCTTTTGTAGAGATGGAACCTCTCTATGCTGCCCAGGTTGATCTTCAACTCCTGGCCTCAAGTGATCCTACTGTCTCAGCCTCCCAAAGTGCTGGGATTATAGATGTGAGCCTATAATTAATATAATTAATATTTAATTTAATATTTAATATAATATTTAATATTTAAGAGGGTATGGTACCCTCTTAGATACTAATATACATTTAAGCTAAGATTTTTTCTAGTCTTAGAGATGTTCCACTTGCTTCGAAATACTGCCTACAATGAAATAAACACTGCTTTTAAGAAAGATCTATAAATAAGAGGTTAATCCCCTCAAGAATTTAGACTATGACTAATTCCCTTCTTGTTATGTTCTTAACTGGACCCAGAGGGTAAGTCCTTAAGAACAGGACAAGATGTTTGACTTATTCTTTGTCCTGCCTCAACCAGGCCCACTCATCCGCTTGCCCAGTCACCAACTACCCTAAAATAACCTCTCCACCTCAAGGAGCATACAAAATGTAAAATGGCAGCCCCAAAATAAGCGCTGACATGATCAGCATTACTAATAGCCAGGCAGAAAATCCAGTGTGTTAGATCAAACAAGCTGATCTGGTTGTGCTTCTTTTGTGTGTTAAAATACTGACAGACAACTGCCAAGCAAATTTGGGGATTAAGGCCGTCATTTGAACCTAGTCAGTAGCTGACTAACCTTAGGGATCTTTTATCAGACAGAACAACACATGGTCTGGCGAATGTTTTAAGTGTGGAAAAAGTGCTAAGGTAGAACAACCTAGACGTCTGCTATTGTCCAAAACATGCTTAACATTTCATTCAACCCACTGTGGCAATTCACGAAGTATTTGGAATATCCAAAAGGAGCCAGGGAAGTCTATCCAATAGAACTTTCTGTAATGAGGAAATGCTGCATACCTGCTGTGTCCAATTCAGTTAACCATGAGCTGCATGTGGCCACTGAGCATCTTCGAATGTGGCTCGTGTGACTGAATACATGAATTTTTAATTTAATTTTAATAGACACATGTACCTAGTGGCTATCATAATAGACAAGATCATCTAGGAAATAATAATGACTGATTATTCCACATCTTAATTGTAAATATCCTGATTCCTTTTTCTTGTGTCAAATATAAATATAAAGGCTGGGTGAGGTGGCTCATGCCTGTAATCCTAACACTTTGGGAGGCCAAGCGGGTGGATATCACCTGAGGTCAGGTGTTCGAGACCAGCCTGGCCAACATGGCGAAACTGCATCTCTGCTAAAAATACAAAAATTAGCCAGGCGTGGTGGCACATGCCTGTAATCCCAGTTACTCGGGAGGCTGAGGCAGGAGAATTGCTTGAATCCAGGAGGTGGAGAATGCAGTGAGCTGAGATCGCATCATTGCACTCTAGCCTGGGCGACAAGAGCAAAACTCCCATCTCAAAAAAAAAACAAAACAGAAATATATATATATATACACACACACACACACACACACACACACATATATATATATACATACACATATATATACACACATATATATACACACACACACATATAAATATAGAAAGAAGGGGGAAATTCTGTTTAATGCCCATAATTTTATGAGTCTAACATAATTGTTGTAAATTTGGTAAACTTTCCAGTCTTTTTCTATTATTTTTAGATGAACTAGATATTATTTTGTCTTATTTTATTTAGTTTTTTCACTTAACATTATGAGAGGAATATATTTCTGTACTATGAAATAATATGCCCAAGTTATCAAATCTGACAATGGCCAGTTTCCTAGATAATTGTGCCGTAGTTCATTTATTTCTTCTATTTTTAAAATTCTGGGTGTTTGCTTGCTTACTTGCTTGTATGGTTTTATGGTCACTATAAAACAATGCTATAGTAAACATATGAAAGCATGTTAATATTTCTCTTCTTTGGAATTTATTACCATGCCAAATGTTTGAGTTTTATGTAGGTAATGATTTAGATGGTGAACCATTTCACTACCACATATTCATTTTGAAAAGGTACTTTTTTAGTATACTTGTGAAAAATAGACTTTAAAGCTACCCCCCACACCCCATAAAATAAAGCCAAGACTCTTCTGTCTGCACCACAATTAATTCAGTAAATTATGAGATGGATTAATATTCCTTCCCATATAACAAAAAAAGTTACTGCTAAAATATAACCGCATTCAGGGCTGATGACACAGACCTTTGCTTTACAAACAGGGAATAAGTTCCCAGTAGTAAACTCTGCAAGTAAAATATTTTACATGTTCAGATCATCTCTAGAATCTATAAACATGAGAAAATTAACAGAAGTAAACGAGAAAAAAAAATCCACCCTGTTTTGTTTTGTTCTTTGTATATATACAGAGTTATACATTGTGACAAGTCCAAACTATCCTTTTTATAATTGAAAGCAATATGAATACAGTGCAAGTAAACCTTCACACATCTTACAATTAGTAATTATCCAGAAGGTCTTGGATTAAGACATTTTATATTTTGCATACTGGTAAGCTGTCACATGATCTTTACATTTCTTTTTAAATAAATTCTATATTCTAATGACTCTGATCATCAAAAAGCAAAAGAACCCTACTGATAAAACAATAAATTTAAAACATAACATTTTAAACTAGAGCCTAAAAAAATCAAGTGTTCTCATTATTTGTAAGTTGGGTTTCAACTTCTGTTATATCATCCTTTGTCTGTTTGAATTAGATTTGTAATTGAGGGATTCAATGAACATGGACTAAATGAGCTTGTGCTACGTAAACATTGTGATACATTCAAAGCAGCTTTGTAATCTGCAAGTACAGTGAAAATCTAATACAAATGTTTTTAAAAGGTCTCTTAGCTCATCCTATATATGAAAAGTAGCCTTTAAAATTTGCCTGATGGAAAGAAATCCAAGACTTTTCTGTCTTTCTCTGGAACAGTAGATTTAATAATTTATGGTATGGATTTGTTTTTCCTTCACAGACAACAATAAAAATGTTTGGACTGATAAAATAACTGCATTTAGGGCTTTTATTAGTGACACCAACTGGGAACACAGATCTTTGTCTTTGGAAATGGAACATAAGCCTCCAGATGGCAAATCACCAGGACTTTGTTCACAATGTGAATGAAGCATGTTGCCAGAAAGTCATTTCCAAAAAATCAATAGTGTTTGTACTGGAAATGTTTGAAAAATGCTCAGAAAACCATCAAGTCTATATGTACTTTGTGGATTATCTGGGGAAAATGTTTAAAACCTGACAGGCATTTCTCTGTCACGCAGTTAACTTCTTGCTTTCCTCACTCTTCCTGTCAATTCTTTACGAAATGCCACTAATTTCAGCATTAGTATGCACAATATATCGTTATATTCTGCTCAAATATATTAAGTAATTCTAGGCCAGGTGTGGTGGCTCACAACTGTAATCCCAGCACTTTGGGAGGCCAAGGCAGGCAGATCACCTGAGGTCAGGAGTTTGAGACCAGCCTGGCCAACATGGTGAAACCCCGTCTCTACTAAAAATACAAAAATTATCTGGGCATGGTGACGGGTGTCCGTAATCCCAGCTACTCAGGAGGCTGAGGCAGGAGAATCACTTGAACCCAGTAGGCAGAGGTTGCAGTGAGCCAAGATCGTACCACTACACTCCAGCCTTGGCGACAGAGCGAGACTCCATCTCAAAAATTAACAATAATAATAAAAGTAATTCCAGGGTTTTATGCAGATGGTAACCATTCTTCTTCCTACTGTGTTCTGTTGTTCATACGGACGCTGAAGAGCTGCTTGTAGTTTGCCTATGCTCGCCTGCTGTGCTAAGTGAATCCCAGGTTGTTAGGAGTTTCCAGTTTTCAGTTAACAGAATTCATAGCTTTATTTTTATGAATTTCAGGTGGTTTTCATGAGCCTATGCAAAAGTTTCTGGGACTGTGGGCTTGTAGCCCTGGATGACATTACAATACAATTGGGAAGCTGCTCATCTTCAGGTAAGACGGCAATCATTTTAGCTCTCTGTCTCTCTGACCTATACATACATTTCCTGTATCGCTGAGAATCACATACATTTCATCTGTGCTAGTCCATCCTTTGCTTTTGTTGACAAAGTGTCTCCTGCAGAGCTGTGTAGCAGGCTTTGAAATTTAGAAATGATGATTCCAGTGTAATATGTGTCTTTGTACATGTGACTTAACCCCTTTATCCTCATTTGGAAGGCAACTAGTGGTATCTACCTGAATATTGGGGATAATACATACATTTTCCACAAAACAGTGCTTTAAAAACAAATATCTTCTACTATAATTATTACTATTACTGTTGTTTTTGTTATCTTACATGAATGCAGATTTTCAAGCAATATTAATGAAATTTTTATTTCACAGATACTTGCTAAGCATGTAATTTAAAAATTTTAATAAACATTTTCTAAGTGAATTAAATGACAGTGGAACAATAGACCAAGCAATGATGATAGTAGCAAAATAAAGTCATGGTAGCTAGCTATGTGTCATACATTACGCCTAATGAGAAAATGGTGCATAACTCAATCCCAATCATTGATCTGTATCTGCTAATTACCATTGCATCCTACATCATAGGACATCCATTTCTTTGACACACAGGCAAATCGTGGTATCAGTCTGGTGCTGGAGAATAATCTCCATGTTTATTTAATTAAAAGACAATTTGTTCTTAGTCTCTTAATTTGCCAGGCACTGCAAGGACAACCCAGATAAAAATCGTTCCACTCAAGGCATAGAAGAAAGAATGAGGTTTCATTAACCAGTACTGTGTGTAAAATAAAATGAAGTAAAACAGTGATCACAAAAGAGACATATGAAACAAGCTATTTATTAGAAAAATTTGGCTAAGAATCTGGATATAGGGAGGTACAACCAAGTTTAGTCAAAGGAAAAGTCCCCAATAAATTGGGAAGAAGCACCATTCTAATAATTATGAATGTTATTGAAGATAGCATTCAAAGACATAAACATTGGATTTGGGAAAAGGAAAATAAACCTCTGGGTGGCAAAATAAGTTCTAAAATTTAATTATTGAGAACTTCACATTAAAAATGATCACTTTACATATACCATCTCATTTAATCCTCACAGACCCATGAAGTGACTACCATCAATATTCCCACATTAGAGATAAGAACTCTAAGGCACAGAGAAGTGAAGTCATTTGTTCCACACAGCTATGCCTCCAGGAGTCCATTTAGCACTCTCACATTCTCCCCTACCTACAAAGCAACTGTGGAGTTGTTATGAGGATACCCTTCACTCATCCAGGATTTCTGAAGAAAGTGCCTGCATTATGAAATTTTATTATTTTCCATATTTTCATAAAGGCAATATACCTATAATTTCCAGAGCTTTATAAAAAGAAATTCACAAAAATTCACAAGTCAGAGAAAGTTTTTTTCTCAAAGTAGCCCAGTATTTTAGATCTGTATATCTGATTGTTCTCTATGTCTGTGGCAGGACCCGCAGTGGAATGCAGCCTCTAGCTGGAAGCAGTGGCTCCGTGTAGGTGGGCCACCAGTGGGGGCTGCCTCTCCATCGCATGGCATATGGCCAGACAACATTCATACATGCAGAGTGGGCTGCTAGCAACACAGAGTCATTGAAAGAGTCTCAGTGATTGCAACATCTGCTATTTTCTTGCAGAGAAACTTCCACCTCCACCTGGAGAGTGTACTTTCGAGCAAGATGAATGTACATTTACTCAGGAGAAAAGAAACCGGAGCAGCTGGCACAGGAGGAGGGGAGAAACTCCCACTTCCTACACAGGACCAAAGGGAGATCACACTACTGGGGTAGGTGAGTTATGCCACGTGGTGCTGTTTCCTAAGGAAAGCTTCTAAAATAGCATTCTAGGAATCGTTTACTGCATTTTGAAATGTGCAAAATTATGTCTTGTGTCTATAATGAAATGCACTTGTGATTCTACACACACAGGATGATTTGATATGGGCATTGAATATCTCATCCTTTCTGTTTATTACATTGCTTATGTACATTGCTGCAGCAAGGATCTAACAGGGCTTACAAAGTTCTGCACACAAAGAATAGAAGTAAGTTAAAAGGTCAAAGAGAGGGACAAAGTAGGGGAAAAAATGGTAATCTAAATTGGAGCCAGGGCCGAGGCCTAATATACAAAATATATTGGCAGACAAAGGAAGAGGCATACAGGTTTGACTCCAAGCTTTCAGTAGCCAAAACGCACCTGTAAAACATGATTCACAGAATGAGCAGTCCACGTGGGTGGGCTATAAGCAATGATGGGGTGCATTTTCTGTAGAAAATGTATAAACTGCAATAAAACAGAGTAAGAGTTCATCTACTTCATATTACCAACATGTATCAGCAATTGTAAACATTGTCAGGGACAAAATATGTCCCGTAGGCCATGTGTGGTGGCTCACTCCTATAATCCCAGCACTTTGGGAGGCCAAGGTGAGAGGATTACTTGAGTCTAGGAGTTCAAGACCAGCCTAGACAACATAGTGAGACTCTATCTTGACAATTTTTTTTTTAATTTAGCCAGCTGTGGTGGTGTGCACCTGTGGTCACAGCTACTTGGAAGGCTGAGGCAGGAGGATTGCTTGAGCCCAGGAGGTCAGGGCTACAGTGAGCCATGTTCATGCCATTGCACCCAGCTTGGGTGACAGAGCAAGGCCCTGTCTCGAAAAAAATAAATAATAAATTAAAAAGTACCTTCCATAGAATGGATCTTTCTCACTCACACCCCCATTCCATTTGGTATACTAACTGAATAAAAGCACAACACTTGGTCCAGAGAAGCAGAACTACCCCTGATACTAAGCTCATAGAGATATTTCCTCATGAATTCTCCTAGAGAAACCATTATGATAGTAAATATGAGGGTAATTTGCATTGTGCTGTTTCTTATGGTCTAACTTGGGATATTTAATCTTTTGGCTTCTCTGGGCCACATTGGAAGAAGAATTGTCTTGGGCCACACATAAAATACACTAACGCTAATGACAGCTGATGAGCTAAAAAAAATTGCAAAAAAAATTCTCATAATGTTTTAAGAAAGTTTACAAATTTGTGTTAGGCCATATTCAAAGCTGTTCTGGGCCACATGCAACCTGTGGGCTGCAGTTTGGACAAGCTTGATCTAACTCAAGATAAGCCTATGGAATAATTACCACAGAACCACCTCCAGTAAAACCTGTTTAATTGGCTAAACATGGTAGAATGTAATAATGAACAGCTTTATTTTTTCTATCATTCTTCAAACATAAAGATCCTCTTTTCCCCATGCCTTGGCAAATCCCTTAGCTTCCCAGTCCTGTTGAGACATTAGAACAATTAGATATTCAGGTATGTCAAAAGTCCAGTTCAAATCAAAACTTCCATTTCTCATTCAACTGAATCTTCTCTCTTTCCCTCAGCTTGGGCCTGACTCATAGTTTGGAAGGATAAAGGAAGAAACAGTCTATTTTTTCATTTTCTTTGTTTTACCTCCCCTCCTGCCCCTCATCTTCATGACTTTTTAATCAGGGAAGGTGGAAGATGGATTAAAAGAAAGGAACTTTAAAAATATTTGGTGCTATTTAAAGTGATCTCTTAGCTATTGAATGTCCTTTGTTATGACAGATGTCTAAATGCTGGCTCTTTCAGGAGCCTCTGCATCTTACCATTTCTGGCAATGTTCTCACTGGCTAACCCTCTGAGACCACCCGCTTCCCTTAGTACTTGCACTACAGAATACAACCCACATAGATTTTTCTGTTTGGGTTCCTCCTGGAAATTTTTCCTTGGGTTCTTTCTGGAACAGTTGTTTCCAGCCACCTTGCTAGTGAGTGTCCATTTGGCCTCAATAGTGATGCACTCCTGCCTAAGAAGATATGCAGCTTGGTCCTACTGCTGACCTCTTTTCTTGCTGCTTCAGCAGATTCTGGGACAATGTTGCTTCGGTAAAGGATGCTGTTGAAGAGATTTAGCATTGGCCCAAAGGCAGACCAGATGCTCACTTTCAGCATTGAGTGAAGGATGCTAAGGTGGTTCCTTATGTGTGAAGCTATCTCTGGAAAGATATCAGGATGTTAAAAATATAACTAGAAAGGCCTATATGTATTAGGACTATTCTAAAAGCTTATAACAGAAAATACAACTCAAACTGACTTAAGTGAAAAGAAAATCCTTTTTTGGACTTTGTTACAGAAAGAGACTACTGTGGGGTTAGCTTCAGGCACAGCTTGATGCAGGGATTAAAACTGTGTCCTCAGGAGCCAGTTTCTCTCTCTCTTTCTCTTTCTACCTCTTTGAGCTGGTTTTTCTGGGTGGGCTCCAATCTAGACAGGATCTCCTGTCATGGCAACACAGTGGCTGTAGCAACTGCAGTCTCATGGGCCTTTCAACATTGAATCTAGCGGAAAGTGAAAACTCAGACAAAAATACCCAAACTGAATCTCATTGGCTCTGATTGGAAATGTCTTGAGGGCATAGTACTATAAAGGTCATTTTTGATTCCCCACAGAATTTAGTATTCTGTCTTATACACAATAGTTGCTCAAAAATGCCTATGGAATGAATGAATGAATGAATGCACAAATGAATAAATGAATCTATAAACCTTCACTGACACATTTAATAATAACTAACCAATTAATTATTGAGACCCTAGAAAATCGGATGGTGGAAAGGTATCTATTTATTGCAAGAGGATTGAAGTCAAGAATGAATCAGTTTTAGCTAGAGTCTATTGTAGTCTAGATGTTATGTGTATGTGTATTTTTCTTGAGAAGGTTGATAGTTTTTCTTCCTTTTGTCAGGTATAGCAGTAAGAGATCTAATAAGAGGTACAACCAAAGAGAACTATGTTATGGTAGACTACTACAGGGAATTCTGTGGGTAATGAAGACTGTGGAATGCCTTAGACATGGAAGAGAAGACATAGAAAAATAGCACTGAAGGGAAGGAGTCCCTGAAAAGGGCAAGGAGAGACACCAGGCCAGGTTATAACAAACCCAGGAACTTAGGGCATCAGGACAACCTAAGGTTTCCCATTCACTAAGTAAGGTTCCCATTCACCTTGAGAAAGTTACTTAAAATCTCTAAGTCTCAGTTCTGTCATCTAGAAAATGAGAATAATCATAACCACTTACCTATTTTCCTAACTTCACAGGGTGGTTGAATTTAAAAACTGAAAGGCTTTGGGATTAGACTGCCTAGGTTCAAATCTTAGTTCTACCTTTAACCTCTCTAAGCCTATTTTCTTTATCTTTGTATTAAGAATAATTAATACCTACCTCACAGACTGTGGTGAGGTTTAAATGAAACAAGATATAAAACATACTTAGAATAAGACCTGGCATATGACAATTAATTATTGCTCTATTATTCATTTACTCCTTCATTCAGCAAATAGCTATTGAGTGTCTACTATGTGCCAGGTACTGTTTTAGGTACTCATGAAACACAGATGAACAAAACAGACAAGCATTTACCCTCACGGAACTTCTAGTAGAGGAGACAGACAAGAAATATTAAGCTTAATTATAATTATGCAGTATTTTAAAAGGCGATAATTGCTACAGAAATAAAAATGGAGCAGGTGAGGGAGTTAGGGAATCGAGAGGAGAATGTGGGTGGAGTTAACTAATGTAAATAGAAGAGTCACAACGAAGCCCATTGGAAGGTAGCCTTGAAAAGAGTTGAGGTAGCTCACCAAGAGCATATCTGGAAAGCAATGTTCCAGGTAGAGGGGACAGCCATTGCAAAGCCCCATAAGTGAAAGCATGCTCAGTGTGTCCTAGGAACAGCAAGGCGGCTGGTTTAGCTATAGCCTAGTGAGCTAGGGAGACAGTGCTAGGAAATGACCCAGAGAAATAATGGTAGGCCAGCTCATGGAGGACCTTGTAATTAATTAGAAGGGCTTTGGATTTTTTTTTTTTTTTCCGAGATAGAGTCTTGCTGTGTCGCCCAGGCTGGAGTGCTGTGGTGTGATCTCAGCTCACTGCAACTTCCACCTCCCGGGTTCAAGCAATTCTCCCTGCCTCAGGCTCCCGACTAGCTG
The DNA here is from genome assembly GCF_000001405.40 of Homo sapiens. Classification (NCBI taxonomy): domain Eukaryota; kingdom Metazoa; phylum Chordata; class Mammalia; order Primates; family Hominidae; genus Homo; species Homo sapiens. The sequence continues at coordinate 70,174,860 of NC_000009.12, forward strand.
GGATTACAGGTGCCCGCCACCATGCTCACTCATTTTTGTATTTTTTAGTAGAGACAGGGTTTTGCCGTGTTGGTCAGACTGGTCTTGAACTCCTGACCTCAGGTGATCCATCCACCTTGGCCTCCCAAAGTGCTGGGATTATAGGCATGAGCCACTGTGCCCAGCCAGGACTTTGGATTTTACTTTATTTCAAATGGAAAGTCACTAGAGAGTGTTGAACTTAGGAGAGAAGCGATCTGATCTAATTTTATAAGGATTGCTCTGGCTACTGTGTTGAGGAAAGACTAGGCGTGCAAATGAAGCAAGGGTGAAATCAAAGAGCCCTGTTAGAGGCTACTGCACATAACCCAGGTGAACAATGATGGTAAATTTGACTATGATAGTGGATTTGACTATGATGGCACATTTGACCAGCAACCATGGATTGAACTGTGTATTAGCAATGAGGGTGGTGATAAGTGGTCAAATCCTGGATATATTTTGAAAGCCAAGCCACAGAATTTCATGATGGATTAGATGAGTATAAGAGAAAGAGCAACGTTCTGAGTAGCCTGATAAAACCTTGCTTGTGTTCAAGAAACCCTTATTCTACTGAAAAATGGCAAAGTGTAAGGGTAGTGATGCTAGCATATTGTTATAATTGTCTTATTTTATTATTCCTTGTTAATCTCTTACTTGGCCTAATTTATAAATTAAACTTCATCATAAGTATGTATGTATAGGAAAAAATATATAGTATACATAGGGTTCAGTAGTATCAGCAGTTTCAGGCATCCACCAGGGATCTTAGAACATATCCCTCAAGGATAAGGGGGAACTACTGTAGTTTGCCAGGGCTTCCATAACAAAATATCCCAGACTGGGTGGCTTAAACATTAGAAATTTGTTTTCTCACAGGTCTGGCAGCTTAAAGTCCAAGATCAAGATGTCGGTAGGGTTGGTTCCTTCTGAAATTTCTCTCCTTGGCTTGCAGATGGCTGCCTTCTTGCTTCACATGGCCTTTCCTCTGTGCCAGTGCACCCCCGATATGTATCTTCTTGTAAGTTCACCAGTCATAATGAATTACAGCCCACCCTAACAATCCCATTGTGACTTAATTACCTCCTAAAAGGTTCTATCTCCAAATACAGTCACATTCTAGTACGTGGGTTAGGGCTTCAACATACCTCTTTGGAGAAGACACAATTGAACCCACTCCCAGGATTTAGGGCAATGGGTTGAACATTGAAGGAACAGGGTAAACTCTTAAGTTAAATGGCTGACAACCAAGCCCTGTCCTGCTCCTCATGTCATTATGCTAAAATAATGTTATAGTCTGAGCTTGCTTGACTAGTAGACCATGTCCTACCTTCTCCTCATAAATACACAGTCTATGAAAATCTAACAAAAGCACATATAGTAGATATTAAATTGCTCCTAATTCTACTCCTGTATTTACATTATTTCTGGGTTATGTGGACACACTTTAGCTAACATAGTATTGCTTTGTCTAAAGAAAATAATTTGGTTGTGTTTGCTTTGTCTTCTTAAAAACTTTGAAAGATGCTTCAGCTGCCTCGGGTTATACTTCATAGCAAAAATAGAGTGCATGTTATTATATGAATATATTGTGGAAAATTTTGAATGCACAAACTTAGTGTGTTCAACATTTATTTTGAGTGAATATTTGACATATTAAATAAAACTCTCTGGTGCACAACACAGAAAATTCTGATTTTTAAAGTAAATTTTTTCTAGGGCCTGCCTTCTTTATTCTCTGTTTCATTTGCTTCAATATAGATTTTCAAAAATTTCTCAAGACACCTTCCACTTTTCTAACTAACTCTTTTACCACTTATATCTTTTTATTCCCATGTACAACAATGTAAATAAGAAAAACAAGTTTTGCTACACTGTGCCCAGGGTACCTACAAATATAGCATTAGGTTGAAGGTGTTTTGTTCTTGTTCTTGAAATTACTTTAATAACTAATTTTCTAGGGAAATATAATATCAGTGATTATTTACAGTAGTTCCCCCTTATCTGCAGGGCATATGTTCCTCGATGCCTAGTGGATGCCTGAAACCAAAGGCAGTATTAAACCCTATATACAATATATTTTTCTCATACATACATACCTATAATAAAGCTTAATCTATAAATTAGGCACAATAAGACACTAACAATGACCAATAATAGAATAATTACAATATATTGTTCTCAATTTCACAGACAGAAGATTTGTTCCTACTGTAGATCTCAGCAACCTCAGATTTTTCCTTTCCTTGTTAAGTCACAACCTTTCACCTTTTCACTTGAAGCACTTTATGGCTTCTCTTTGCCATATCTAAACTGTCAGCATCACTACTCTTGCACTTTGGGGCCATAATTAAATAAAATAAAGGTTACTTGGACACAAGATCTGTGATACTGTGACAGTCAGTCTGATAACAAAGATGGCTAAGTGACTCACAGGCAGAGAGTGTAGACAGCATGGAGACATTGGACAAAGAGATGATTTGTGTTCTGCTTGGGACAGAGTGGAACAGTGGAAGATTTCATCATGCTACTCACAACAGAACATAGTTTAAAACTTATGAATTGTTTATTTCTGGAACTTTCCATGTAATATTTTTGGGCCACAGCTGACTGTGGGTAACCGAAACCATGGAAGGCAAAAACAGATAAAGGGGGCACTACTATATTGGACATTTACCACGTGTAGGCACTGCGCTAGGAACCTCAACATCCTTTCCACAACCTGTAAGGTAAGTGAAAGTTCCCACGTTTTGCAGGAGGAAGCTGAAGTTTAGGGAAGTTAAGTGCCTTTCCAGGGCCAGCACTTACTGGTGGAGCAGTAACTGGTGGAGCAAAGACTTAATCTCACATTTGTCTGGTTCTAATGGCTATATATTCTGCCTACACTGCCTCACTAGGGTTTCCAAACCTACATGCTACTAAGAGACCACACATGGCCTGGAACAGCTGTGACAACTTATATGTGAAAAGCACAGTTTTTCATAAACCAAAGACCCTTCACACCAAAGCAGAGTGTCTTCTCCTAGAAAATACAATGATTGGTATTTTGGAACATTCCTAGAAATTGATCCAGCAGAAAACATCTAAACTTTTTCTGATCTATTTCTAGTGTCTGTATAACAATGTTGTCAGTGTAACCCCAGGGCTGTAGGCCACACACTTATTATGTATCCTACACCCCACAAAAGAGTGGTTTTCCTTTGTCCTAGCCTCTAATGGTGTGAGCTCAATGTGGCTGATGTATTGGCACTCAGATTGCAATGTGACAAGGGTTACTGTCTCAATCCATTTTGTGCTGCTATAACAGAATGGCTGAACTGAGCAATTTATATAGAATGGAAACTTATATCCTTACAGTTCTAGGGGCTGCAAAGTCTAAGATCAAGGTTCTGATATCTAGTGAGAGCCATCTTGCTACATCATCCCATGGTGGAAGGGGCAGAGAGAGGGTAAGGGAAAGAGCAAGAGGGAACCAAACTCATCCTTTAACAAGGAACCTACTCCCATGATAATGGCATTAATCCATTAACAAGGGCAGTGCCCCCATGACCCAAACATCTCCCATTAAGCCCTACCTTTCGACACCACTGCATTGGGGAATCAAGTTTCCAACTCATGAGTTTTGGGGGATACATCCAAACCATGGCAGTTACCCATTCAAAAATTAATGCATAAACAAACAAAGGTTTCTCTAAAACATTCACTTATTTGTTAAAACAACCAGCATCATAAGCTACATGTATATAAGAATTAAACCTCTCATAACTGAAAGCAATCAGAAATGGTATATAGTCCAGGATCCCTAGGATCTTGTTCTATTCCATATTTCCTGAATACCCACTATGCATTATACATCAAATAATTGCCCCAGAGTTATAATAAGTCAAGTAATAAGGGTTAAGTCCTAGAGGTAATGAAACCACACAGCTAGCTCTCCTTGTGGGTATCTGAGTGTGAGTTCATCAAGAATGGTAGGGAGGAAGGAAGCATTCCAGGATGAGGGAATGGCTGGTGTGAAGTATGGAGCCATTAAACAGTGTGGCAGCTTTCGAAGAACTGTAAGTGACTAGGCTGGCATGTAGAATATTGTCACCCAGGATTACCAACAAAGTGGAGTCTAAAATATAGGCTTTTTTGTGCAATATTGGCAGTTTTGTTTTAATATTTCCAAAGATTATCAACTTACAACCTTGAGACTAAGAACACTTATCATAGGAAACATTGGTTAAGACGTTATTGTAAAAAACGTATTTACTTAAAATTAAATGTACCCACCAACTTTATCAAAATTACCTGTAACTAAGACATTGGAGATCTATCTCTAGCTAACATAACAATACTAAAATGAGGTGGGGCCGGGCATGGTGGCTCACGCTTGTAATCCCAGCACTTTGGGAGGCTGAGGCAGGCGGATCACGAGGTCAGGAGATCGAGACTATCCTGGCTAACACGGTGAAACCTCGTCTCTACTAAAAACACACACACACACACACAAAATTAGCTGGGTGTGGTGGCGGGTGCCTGTAGTCCCAGCTACTTGGAAGACTGAGGCAGGAGAATGGCGTGAACCCGGAAGGCGGAGCTTGCAGTGAGCCGAGATCATGCCACTGCACTCCAGCCTGGGCAACAGAGCAAGACTCCGTCTCAAAAAAAATAAATAAATAAATAAATAAAAATAAAATAAAATAAGGCATAGATTCCCTTAAAATTAGGAACATAACTAAGGCATTCCTTTCTACAAATGAAAAAAAAAAAAAACAAAAGCTTTAAAATCTAGTGCATAAACTCAATATTACATTTCAAACTCTTAGCCAGAAGATATATGCTCCTATAAAATTCCAGCCAGGATGGGTATAGTGTGTAGAAAGATGAAGAAAAATAAATGAATTATAGACCTCTTTTTCTAGCAAAAAAAAAATACACTAGAGATCACTGTGCACTCGCTACAAAACACCTGAAAATGCAAGAAAAAAAGGATAAATGGATAAAATATTCCTTTTTTTTTTTTACATTAATTTCTGGGATACAAGTGCAGAACATGCAGGTTTGTTACACAGGTATACATGTGTGATGGTGCTTTGCCAGACCTATCATCCCAACATCTAGGTTTTAAGCCCTGCATGCATTAGATATTTGTCCCCCCACCCCCCAACAGGCCCCGGTGTGTGATGCTCCCCTCCCTGTGTCCACGTGTTATCATTGTTCAACTCCCACTTATGAGTGAGAACATGCAGTGTTTGGTTTTCTGTTCCTGTGTTAGTCTGCTGAGAATGATGCTTTCCAGCTTCATCCATGTCCCTCCAAAGGACATGAACTCATTCTTTTTTATGGCTGCATAGTATTTCATGGGGTATATGTGCCACATTTTCTTTATCCAGTCTATCACTGATGGGCATTTTGGTTGGTTCCAAGTCTTTGCTATTGTAAATAGTGCTGCAGTAAACATATGTGTGCATGTGTCTTTACAGTAGAATGATTTATAATCCTTTGGGTATATACCCAGTAACGGGATTGTTGGGTCAAATGGTATTTCTGGTTCTAGATCCTTGAAGAATTGCCACACTGTCTCCCACAATGGTTGAACTAATTTACACTCCCACCAACAGTGTAAAAGCATTCCTATTTTTCCACATCCTCTCTCTACATCTGTTGTTTTCTGACTTTTTAATGATTGCCATTCTAACTGGCATGAGATGGTATCTCATTGTGTTTTTGATTTGCATTTCTCTAATGACCAGTGATGATGAGCTTTTTTTCATGTTTGTTGGCTGCATAAACATCTTCTTTTGAGAAGTGTCTGTTCATATCCTTCGGCCACTTTTTGATGGGGGTTGGTTTTTTCTTGTAAATTTGTTTAAGTTCACTGTACATTCCAGATATTAGACCTTTGTCAGATTGATAGATTGCAAAACTTTTCTCCTATTCTGTAGGAATACTCTGATGGCAGTTTCTTTTGCTGTGCAGAAGCTCTTTAGTTTAATCAGATCACATTTGTCAATTTTGGCTTTTGCTGCAATTGCTTTTGATATTTTAGTCATGAAGTCTTTGCCCATGTCTATGTCCTGAATGGTATTGCCTAGGTTTTCTTCATGGTTTTTATGGTTTTAGGTTTTATACTTAAGTCTTTAATCCAACTTGAGTTAATTTTGTATAAGGTGTAAGGAAGGGGTCCAGTTTCAGTTTTCTGCATATGGCTAGCCAGTTTTCCCAGCAACATTTATTACATAGAGAATCCTTTCCCCATTGCTTGTTTTTATCAGGTTTGTCAAAGATCATATGGTTGCAGATGTGTGGTGTTATTTCTGAGGCCTCTGTTCTGTTCCATTGGTCTATATGTCTGTTTTGGCACCAGTACCATGCTGTTTTGGTTACTGTAGCCTTGTAGTATAGTCTGAAGTCAGGTAACGTGATGCCTCCAGCTTTGTTCTTTTTGCTTAGGATAGTCTTGGCTATACAGGCTCTTTTTTGGTTCCATATGAAATTTAAAGTAGTTTTTTCTAATTCTGTGAAGAACGTCAATGGTAGCTTGATGGGAATAGCATTGAATCTATAAATTACTTTGGGCAGTATGGCCATTTTCATGATATTGATTCTTCCTATTGATAAGCATGGAATTTTTTTTCCATTTGTTTGTGTCCTCTCTTATTTTTCTTGAGCACTGGTTTGTAGTTCTTTTTGAAGAGGTCCTTCACATCCCTTGTAAGTTGTATTCCTTGGTATTTTATTTTCTTTGTAGCTATTGTGAATGGGAAGTTCACTCATTATTTGGCTCTCTGCTTGTCTATTATTGGTGTATAGGGATGCTTGTGATTTTTGCACATTGATTTTGTATCCAGAGACTTTGCTGAAGTTGATTATCAGCTTAAGGAGTTTTTGGGCTGAGACAATGGGGTTTTCTAAATATACAATCATGTCATCTGCAAAAAGAGACAATTTGACTTCCTCTCTTCCTATTTGAGTACCTTTTATTTCTTTCTCTTGCCTGATTGCCCTGGACAGAACTTCCAATACTATGTTGAATAGGAATGGTGAGAGAGGGTATCCTTGTCTTTGCCAGTTTTCAAAGGGAATGCTTCCAGCTTTTCCCCATTCGGTATGATATTGGCTATGGGTTTGTCATAAATAGCTCTTATTATTTTGAGGTATCTCACATGAACACCTAGTTTATTGAGAGTTTTTAGCATGAAGCGGTGTTGAATTTTATCGAAGGCCTTTTCTGCATCTATTGAGATAATCATGTGGTTTTTGTCATTGGTTCTGTTTATGTGATGGATTACATTTATTGATTTGTGTATGTCGAACCAGCCTTGTATCCCAGGGATGAAGCCGACTTGATTGTGGTGGATAAGCTTTTTGATGTGCTGCTGGATTCGGTTGGTCAGTATTTTATTGAGGATTTTTGCATTGATGTTCATCAGGGACATTGGCCTGAAATTTTCTTTTTTTGTTGTGTCTCTGCCAGGTTTTGGTGTCAGAATGATGCCGGCCTCATAAAATGAATTAGGGAGGAGTCTCTCTTTTTCTATTGCTTGGAATAATTTCAGAAGGAATGGTACCAGCTCCTCTTTGTACCTCTGGTAGAATTTGGCTGTGAATCCATCTGGTCCTGGGCTTTTTTTGGTTGGTAGGCTATTAATTACTGCCTTAATTTCAGAACTTGTTATTGGTCTATTCAGGGATTCTACTTCTTCCTGATTTAGTCTTGGGAGGGTGTATGTGTCCAGGAATTTATCCATTTCTTCTAGATTTTCTAGTTTATTTTCATAGAGGTGTTTATAGTATTCTCTGATGGTAGTTTGTATTTCTGTAGGATCAGTTGTGATATTCCCTTTATCATTTTTTATTGCATCTATTTGATTCTTCTCTGTTCTTTTTTATTAGTCTGAGCGGTCTATCTATTTTATTGATCTTTTTAAAAAACCAGCTCCTGGATTCACTGATTTTTTTGAAGGGACTTTCATGTCTCTATCTCCTTCAGCTCTGCTCTGATCTTCATTATTTCTTGTCTTCTAGCTTTTGAATTTGTTTGCTCTTGCTTGTCTAGTTCTTTTAATTGTGATGTTAGGGTGTCGATTTTAGATCTTTCCTGCTTTCTCCTTTGGGCATTTAGTGCTATACATTTCCCTCTAATGCTGCTTTGGCTGTGTCCCAGAGATTCTGGTACATTGTGTCTTTGTTCTCATTGGTTTCAAAACACATCTTTATTTCTGCTTTCATTTTGTTGTTTTCCCAGTAGTCATTCAGGAGCGGGTTGTTCAGTTTCCATGTAGTTGTGCAGTTTTGAGTGGGTTTCCTAATCCTGAGTCCTAATTTGATTGCACTGTGGTCTGAAAGACTGTTTGTTATGATTTCTGTTCTTTTGCATTTACTGAGGAGTGTTTTACTTCCAATTATGTGGTCAATTTTAGAATAAGTGCGATGTGTTGCTGAGAAGAATGTATATTCTCCTGATTTGGGGTGGAGAGTTCTGTAGATATCTATTAGGTCCGCTTGGTCCAGAGCTGAGTTCAAGTCCTGGATATCCTTGTTAATTTTCTGTCTCATTGATCTAATACTGACAATGGGGTGTTAAAGTCTTCCACTATTACTGTGTGTGAGTCTAAGTCTCTTTGTATGTCTTTAGGAACTTGCTTTATGAATCTGGGTACTCCTGTATTTGGTGCATATATATTTAGGATAGTTAGCTCTTCTTGTTGCATTGATCCCTTTACCATTATGTAATGGCCTTCTTTGTCTGTTTTGATCTTTGTTGGTTTAAAGTCTGTTTTATCAGAGACTAGGATTGCAACCCTTGCTTTTTTTTTCTCTTTGCATTTGCTTGGTAAATATTCCTCCATCTTTTTATTTTGAGCCTATGTGTGTCTTTGCATGTGAGATGAGTCTCCTGAATACAGCACACTGATGGGTCTTGACTCTATCCAATTTGCCAGTCTGTGTCTTTTAATTGGGGCATTTAGCCCGTTTACATTTAAGATTAATATTGTTATTTGATTCTGTCATTATGTGAATTTGATTCTGTCATTGTGTGAATTTGATTCTGTCATTATGATGGTAGCTGGTTATTGTGGCTGTTACTTGATGTAGTTTCTTCATAGTGTTGATGTTCTTTACAATTTGGTACGTATTTGCAGTAGCTGGTACTGGTTTTTCCTTTCCATATTTAGTGCTTCCTTCAGGAGCTCTTGTAGGGCAAGCCTGGTGGTGACGAAATCCTTCAGCATTTGCTTGTCTGTAAAGGATTTTAATTCTCCTTCACTTATGAAGCTTAGTTTGGCTGGATATGAAATTCTGGGTTGAAAATTCTTTTCTTTAAGAATGTTGCATATTGGTCCCTACTCTCTTCTGGCTTGTAGGGTTTCTGCAGAGAGATCCACTGTTAGTCTGATGGGCTTCCCTTTCTAAGAAACCTGACCTTTCTCTGTGGCTGCCTTTAACATTTTTTCTTTCATTTCAACCTTGGAGAATCTGATGATTATGTGTCTTCATGTTGCTCTTCTCATGGAGTATCTTAGTGGTGTTTTCTGTATTTCCTGAATTTGAATGTTGGCCTGTCTTGCTAGGTTGGGGAAGTTCTCCTGGATAATACCATGAAGTATGTTTTCCAACTTGGTTCCATTCTTCCCCTCACTTTCAGGTACACCAATCAGTCATAGATTTGGTCTTTTCACATAGTCCCATATTTCTTGGAGGCTTTGATCATCTTTTTCATTTTTTTTCTCTAATCTTGTCTTTATGCCTTATTTCAGTAAGTTGATCCTCAATTTCTGATATTCTTTCTTCTGCTTGATTGATTTGGCTATTGATACTTGTGTATGCTTCACAGAGTTCTCATGCTGTGTTTTTCAGCTCCATCAGGTCATTTATGTTCTTCTTTAAACTGGTTATTCTAGTTAGCAGTTCCTGTAACCTTTTATCAAGGTTCTCGGCTTCCTTGCATTGGGTTAGAACATGCTCCTTTACCTCAGAGGAATTTATTACCTATCTTCTGAAGCCGACTTTTGTCAATTTGTCAAACTCATTCTCCATCCAGTTTTGTGCCCTTGCTGGAGAAGAGTTCTGATCATTTAGAGAAGAAGCAGCATTGTGATTTTTGGAATTTTCAGCATTTTTGTGCTGGTTTTTACTCATCTTCATGGATTTCTCTACCTTTGATATTTGAAGTTGATGACTTTTGGATGGGGATTTTGTGTGGGGGTCCTTTGTGTTGATGTTGATATTATTGTTTTCTGTCTGTTAGTTTTTCTTCTAACAGTCAGGCCCCTCTTCTGCAGGTCTGCTGCAGTTTGCTGGAGATCCATTCCAGACCCTGTTTGCCTGGGCATCATCATTGGAGGCAGCAGAACAGCAAAGATTGCTGCTTGCTCCTTTCTCTGGAAGCTTTGTCCCAGAGGGCCACCTGCCAGATGCCAGCCAGAGCTCTCCTGTAAGAGGTGTCTGTCGGTCCCTGCTGGGAGGTCTCTTCCAGTCAGGAGGCACGGGAGTCAGGGACCCACTTGAGAAGGTAGTCTGTCCCTTAGCAGAGCTTGGGCACTGTGCTGGGAGAATCCTCCCTGTCAGGATCCACTGTTCTCTTCAGAGCCGGCAGGGAGGGACATTTAAGTCCACTGAAGCTGCACCCACAGCTACCCCTTCCCCCAGGGGCTCTGTCCCAGGGAGATGGGAATTTTATCTATAAGCTGCTGCCTTTCTTTCAGAGATCCTGCCCAGTGAGGAGTGATCTAGGGAGGCAGTCTGGCCACAACCGCTTTGCCACACTGTGGTGAGTTCTGCCCAGTCTGAACTTCCTGGCCTCCTTAGCACTGTCCGGGAAAAACTGCCTACACAAGCCTCAGTAATGACGGATGCTCCTCTCACACCAAACTCCATCATCCCAGGTCAACATCAGACTGCTATGCTGGCATTGAGAATTTCAAGCCAGTGTTTCTTAGCTTGCTGGGTTCCATGGGAGTGGGACCCACTGAGTGAGACCACTTGGCTCCCTGGCTTCAGCTCCCTTTCCAGGAAAGTGAACGGTTCTGTCCTGCTGGGGTTCTAGGCACCACTCAGTTGGAAATGCAAAAATCACTCGTCTTCTGCATAGGTCTTGCTAGGAGCTGCAGACCAGAGCTGTTCCTATTTGGCCATCTTGCCAGATTTCAATATACGCTTTTTGTTGAGTTCTTATTGTTTATATTCCTTTACAAGTTGTTTTTTTTTCTTTAGCTCACAACTAACATTACGATAGTTGTATTATTTTCATAACTAGCCTAGTATTTGCTTTATATTTATATGTTTTTTAAATCCTAAAAAGTATTCTATATTTATTCACATATTTCCCCATTCATCTTCATTCCTTTCTACATTTCCATGTTTATCTCTTGAATTATTTTCTTTTGTGGGAAGTGTTTTTCTTTTGCTAGAATAATTTTCTTCTGTATCTAGCTTTTTATTTTTGTTTTGTTTCATTTTATTTTTGGTGCATGTCTGCTGCTGATTCTTTCAGTTTTTGTTTGTCTGGGAATGTCTTTTTCCTTTACATTTGAAGGATAGTTTTTCTGGGAATAGAATTCTAGGTGAACAATTATTTCCTTAACAGCCATTTATTTAAAGATGTAATTCAACTGAATTCTGGCTTCCATCATATCTATTGAGAAGTCAGATGTCAGTCCTAAAATTGTTTTTTGTTTTTGTTTTTATTTTGAAAGTACTATTTTCCTCTGGGTGCATTTAATATTTTCTCCTCATGTTTGATTTTCAGCATTTTAGTATGATATGTATTTGTCCACTTTGCATTGTTATAAAGGAATATCTGAGATGAGAATTTATAAAGAAAAGTGTTTTATTTGGCTCATGGTTCTGCAGGCTCTAACAGCATAGCACCAACATGAGCTCAGCTTCTGGTGAAGTCTCAGGAAGATTTTACTTGTAGCGGAAGGCAAACGCAGAGCAGGCATGTCAACATGGTGAGACAGAGCAAGAGGGAGGCAGGAAGGAGGTGCTAGGCTCTTTAAACAACCAGTTCTTACGTGAACTAATAGAGCAAAAACTCACTAATCATGAAGGGGATGGCACCAAGCCATTCATGAGGGATCCACTCCCATGACCCAAACATCTCCCACTAGGTCACACCTCCAACATTGGGGATCACATTTCAACATGAGATTTCAGAGGACAAATATCCAAACTATATCAACATGCATGTGTGTAGTCTTCTTTGTAGTTATTCTGCTTGGGTTTCATTAAATTTCTTTAATCTTTGAGCTGAGATCTTTCAATAGTTTTCAAAATTTCTTGATCTTTATCTTGTCAAATATTGCCCCTGCCTAACTGTCTCTCCTATCTTTCTGAGACTCCAATTATATGTACATTAAAAGTTCTTACTATGTATTATATATCCTTCATGCTCTCTTACAAATATTTTCTTTCTTTTTGTTCTCAGTTCTTTAGTTTGGGTATTTTCTCTTGGCCAATTAAAAAATTTTTTTTGAATCTTAGCGATGTTCAGTATGTTATTAAACCCATTAACTGATTTTTAATTTCTGTAATTCTATTTTTCAATTCTAGAATTTCCATTTGTTCATTTTTAAATAGTTTTGAGATGGAATTTGCATTCCAAATAATTCATTTTTTAAAGTATATAATTCATTGGTTTTAAATATACTCATGAAGCTGTGTAATGCTTATCACTATCTAATTCTAGAACATTTTTTATCACCTCAAAAGAAACTCCATACCCATTAGTAGTCACTCCCATTCCCTTTCCCTATCTCTTCCCTCTTTACCCCACCCCCAGAAAACTACTAATCTACTTTCTGTCTATATAGATTTGCCCATCTAGACCTTTCATACAAATCAGATCATACAATATGTGGTCTTCTGTATCTGGCTTCTTTCACTAAGACAAGGTTTTCAAGGTTTATAAATTTATCAATTGATGAACATTTGGATTGCTTTCATTTTTTGGCTACTATAATAATGATGCTATTTTATTTGTGAACAACTTTTTCTGTGGACATATGTTTTCATTTTCTTTAAGGTATAAACCAGGGAGTGGAACTGTTGGATCGTATGGTAACTCTACACTTAACTATTTAATAATTGCCAGACTTTTTCAAAGTGGCTGTACCATTTTACATTCCCACTAGCAGTGTATTAGGGTTTCAGTTTCTCCATATCCTTGTCAACATTTCTCACTTTCTCTTTTTTATTATAGTCATCCCAAGTGGGAGGTGGCATCTCATGTCTATTTTGTCTGATATTATTGTAGCCACTCCAGTTCTTTTTTGGGAACTGCATGAATGGTATATCATTTTCCAATCTTTCAGTTGCAACTTATTTGTATATTTGAATCTAAAGTGTGTCTCTTGGAGACAACATATAGTTGGATCATTTTTTCAATTCATTCTACCAGTCTCTACCATTTGATCAGAGTGTTAACAATTACGATTTACAATTAACATAATTATTAATAAGGTAGAATTTATGTTTGCATTTTGGCATTTGTTTTCTGTATGTATTACATCTTCTTTTTGTTCCTTTATTCTATTACTGTTTTTCATGTTAAATAGATATTTTCTAATATACCATTTTAATTCTTGTTTTATTTTACTATATATTTCTAAGTTATTTTCTTAGTGGTTGCCCTAGGGATTTCAATTAACATCTTTAAAAAATATTTTTACAAGTAATTTTTTAAAATGTTATTATTCCCCAAAGAGGGTGCACCATTCCTGGAGGTACTGCAATACCTGGAGTGGACAGAGTAAGCTCCTATCCCATCTCCCTGCTCCAAAAACCCATTTAATATAGTATCCTCAGATAGAGGACATATCAGATATTAAACTTATAAGAACAGATACTACACTTGATCTTAGCCAAAACACTGAGAGGTGATCAAAACAATTGATTTTTTTTTTTTTTTTTTTTTTAGAAAGAAGTGGGGTCTCACATGCTGTCCAGGCTAGTCTCAAACTCCTGGGCTCAAGCCATCCTCTCACCTCGGCCTCCCAAAGTGCTGGGATTCAGGCATGAGCCACCACTCCTGGCCCTCAATTAATAACTTGACTTAAGATAATCTAGTTCATATTAACTTAATTTCATAGCATACAAAAACTATGCTTCATTTCTTCCTTCCATTATTCTATCATGAATATGGCACCTTTTTGTGTTATAAGCCCATTGACACAGTTTTATAATTATTGCTTTATGCAGTTGGTTGTCTTTTAAATCAGAAGATAAGAGAAATAAAAATATACTTATTCTGTTCTTTATATTTACCTACACAGTTATCTTTATTGGTACTTTTTATTTCTTCATACAAGTTTGAGTTACTATCTAGTACACTTTGCTTTTAGCCTGAAGGACTTCCTTTAGTAGCTAGTGATGAATTTAGTTTTATTTATTTGAGAGTGTCCTAAGTTCCCTTTTGTTTTTGAAGGGTAGATTTCCTGCATATAGAATTCTTAGTTTTCTTTCAACACTTTTATATATGTCATCTCACTATCTTCTGGCCTTTACAGTTTCTGATGAGGAGTTAGCTGTTAATCTTATTGAGGTTCTCTTGTATATAATGAGTCACTTTTCTCTTGCTTTCAAGATTCTCATCCTGAAGTCAGCTGATTAGCAAAGAAAAAATTTTATTAATTAAAAAGATTTGCTCATTGTCTTTGGCTTGTAACAGTTAAATGTAATTTTTCTAGTAGTGACTCCTTGAATTTTCCTAGTTGAAGTTCTTTGACTTTCTTGAATGTATAGACTTATATTTTTAAAAATCAGGTTTGAAAAGGTTTTGGCTATTAATTTTTCAAATGTTCTTTCTTCCCCTTTCTCTCTCTCTTCCTTTTGGGACTTCCACTATGCATATGTTGGTACACTTGATGGTGTGTCTCACAGGTCTCTGAGTCTCTGTTCATTTTTTCTTTTATCTTTTTTTTCTTTATGTTCTTCAGATTGGATAATCTCATTGACCTGCCTTCAAGTTTAGTGATTCTTTCTTCTGCTAGTTCCAATCTGCTGCTGGGCCCTCTCATGAATATTTTATTTCATTATATTTTTCAAATCTGTAATTCGTACATGGTTCTTACTTATAATTTGTAGTATTATTAATGATACTCTCTATGCATTGAGTCATCATTCTCATACTTTATTTAGAAATGGCTTTCATTAATTCTTTAAACATATTTGTAATAGTTGCCTTAAAGTCTTTGTATAGTAAGTCCAATGTCTTGACTTCCTCAGGGATAACTTCTATTGACTGCTTTTTATCCTGTGTATGGGCAATAGTTTCCTATTTCTTTGTGTGTCTCATAATTTTTGCTGAAAACTGGACGTTTTGAATAATACAGTTTTACAGATTCTTCTTCTCCCCATAGTTTTTTTGTTATTGCTGTTTGTTGTTTTTGTTTTTGTTGTCATTGTTGCTGTATGTTTGCTTAGTGACTTTCCTAGACTAATTCTGTAGTCTATATTCTTTGTTGTGTATGGCTCTGCTCTGTTAGCTTAACAGTCAACTAATTATTGAACAGAGATTTTCCTTAAATGCCTTAAACCAACAGATCCCCCAGAACACAGCAGGTTCTGTGTTTGTGTTGGGTCATGTCTTCAGTGCTCTAGCGGGAAGTTTACAACTTTGCCTTAGCCTCCATTTCTTGCTCATGAAGAGCCTAAAGGTCAGCCAGAGGTGACAGATTAGGAGTTTCTCAGTTTTTTTTTTTTTTTCTGGGGATGTGTACAGCTCTTTATATTTACATGGCCTTTCAGATTTCCAGAAATATGTTAGAGCTTTGTAAAGCTCCCTACAGATATCTCATTCCCCAATTTTTTTCTTTTATTTTTGGTCAGCCTTTTGTTAGCTTCAACTGTCAATGCCACCTCAGGCAGCTGCAATGTTAAACAATTAAACAATTAACTGATTGTTTTTGATAAATGCCATGTGGATACAGTTGTTCATATAGAATAAGATTTACTTCAATCAGGTTAAATAAAGGCAAGCCCTGAGAATGAAGCTTTTCAGAAGCTGCTAAACAGGTTAAATAATGCCAGTTCTCTAGAGATGGGGCTTTTAGGGAGCTCCAAATCTGTTCTGTATCTTGCACTGGCTGCTAAGCTACTGCTTTTTAAAACAGATAGTTATAAAGCTCTTGGCTTTCACATCTTTTGTAGAGTATAAGAGATGGAGATGGAATTAGGGCAAGAAAAAAGGTCACTGTTCTTAGCAAAATTCAGTCATTTTTAGGAGGTTTAGTCAGGTTTAGGAGCCTGACTGAAGTTCAGTCAAGCAAAGAGTGCTTGGGAAAAGCACTCTTGGATTGTGAAAAGCCTTTGATTAATTCCCAGAATTCTGAAAAAGTTTATTGTGACAGTTTTTTTGCAAGTGTTCTCATTGCTTTTATGGAGAAGATTTTCAGAAGTCCTTACTCCACCATTTCAAAGGTTCCATATTCCTCCCTGATTTTTTTGCTTTTGAACAGATTTGAGTTTGTTGGTGTAACTGTTTTATCTATTTTTTTAAACATATAATTAAATGCTCATATTATTGAATTATTAATCATAATTATTTACAGTACTTGTGTGATAACTCCATATGTGGGCCACTTGTGGTTCTGTTTCTGTCATCTGTTACCCCCACCCCCATCCCCTCTGGTCCTGTTTCTTGATAATATCAGGTGAATTTGACTGAATAATGGACTTGTCAGTGAAAAATTATAGAATCCTGGGGTGATGGTATTTCCCACTAGAGAGAGTTCAACCTGTTCTCCAGTAGACAACTAGAATAGAGCAAGTCACCTCAGTCCAATCAGAACTAAGCTAACCTGAGGTAGTGTTGTAGTTCTGTTTTGCTAGCCTACTTCTGCTTCTACCCTAAACCTAGGATATACCCTCCAAAAATATACTCTCGGATTTAACTAGGGACTCTCCTCCTTAGTATGTACTAAACTTCAATTTTTGCCTCTTCAGCTGATGAGATTGCTGAAAATCCCACTTTGTTTTGCATTTGGCTTCTTGTCCTCTTACTCTCCGTAATTTAAGAATTTCACAAATGCCTTAGAAGATTGCCAAGTGATGGGATCACTTTTTCATACCTCCCTTTTCTCAGAAAACTTGTCCCTGAATGTTTTGTCTGCTTTGGTAGCCCTGAAATTCGGTTATTGCCTTCCCAACCCAGTGAGATCTGTTGGTTTCTCTGCCACTTGGCAGCTGTTCTCTGAATAGCATCTAAACTGAAACAGGCAAGTCCCCCAAGGTGGAAAGCATCTTGAAGAATACTAAGCTCATTTCACTGACCTTCCATTTTTTCTTAGATCTTGATCCCTCATGTCCTTGCTGTTTGGAAATCTCTCTGATAACTTCAAAACAGGTGTTTTCTTTAAAAAAAATGGTCTTTTTTTCTAATTTTTCTCAGCAGAGTACAGCTCTGCTACAAGTTACTTAACAGAGACAGAGGGGATGTCTTTGGTATTTTATTTTTCAGTATTATTTATTTAAGAACATGATTATTATACTCAAAATATACTCTTTCTTCTGCACTGCAAGCCAACCAGTCATAGTGCTCTGAATGATATATTTGTGTGTCTGGCCTCTTACAACATATTCTTCTGTTGATATGTTCTGACTGTTCTGCCCAAGGCCTTGCTGTATCTAAGATTACCTTATTCCACGGTATGCTGCTCTTTGACAAGGGGTAGGAGGGGAAGAGTATAAAAATTTATATTTATATTGCCTTTGGCTTTAAACTGCCTAAGAGACCATGGAATTTTCTACTTCTTTCCCTTTATAAGTCCTCATCTTGAGTAATAAATATTGGTGACATCCAACTATGTTAAAGAAAAAATTATGTAATGATACTTGTTAAAGCACAGTAAGGCAGGCTTGATTCAGTACCATTTTGATAGTTACAGGGACCACTGCAACGGGATTTTGCAGTAGGGAAGAGAGGTTGGGCTCAACTTTGAATAAAGTGCAGGCAAGTGGGAATTTATAGTCAAATAGTTGGTTGAAGGTCAGTGAATGAAAAATGACTAACAAGTAACATCAAGGGCGAGGGAGGTTCTGGCTAAACCAGCCTAACAGGATTCTTGCTGAGGACAGGCATGGTGATTAGACATCACCTGGAGGATGATGGAGGATGAGGACCCTTACATTGAGGGTGATCAGATATTGAGGGTGGGGGGTTCTTGCTAAACTAACTTATTAGGGTTCCTGCTAACACTGGATTTTACAAGTAAGTACAAAGATAGGCCTAGGAGAAGGTTTAGGAGCCTGACTGAAGTTCAGTCAAGCAAAGACTCTGTCAACCATCACAGGAATAAAGTAATTTACTTGTCTTTTTTGTTCAGTTATCAGAGAAACCACTTTGATAATCACCTAAAGGTTTTTTGGAAAGTAATCTATATTATAAACGTAGTATTGCTTACACTGATGTCACTGAAATTTCTTTTCCATGGAGGATATATTCTAAAATAATAAGAAAATTTTAATTGACTCAAGTTCATAGATCTGGAGGTAGATCGGATCTTCTAGATCAGCTAAGGCAGCATACGCATTTAAAATATTAAAACACTGAATAAAACCCATTCAAGGGAGTATTAACTATTGTCTGCTTGGATCCTGAGATAGCAACAAGAAGCTTGCCTGTAATTAGATGTACAATTTAAGCAATGATCATATTACATTTGAAAAGGAGACCTCCTATAGCCTGTCTTGCTCATTTATTGCATTTAGTCCTAACAACCTTTTCTGTGTCTCCTTTTCATATATAAGGCAATAAAAAGTAATACTGGGATACCAAAATGGCTGAACTTTCTTTGCTATACATTAGTAAAGTAATAAACTCAAAGACTTGGCTAGGAGCACAGTATTTTTCTCCTTGATGACCACAGGGTATTTGTTTGGTATTGGTGGTAACAAGATTCTTTTTGAATGAATGCGGTGCACTCTGGGACTTTCTGAAGATATACCTGTATTTGTAGATTGAATTCTGCCTTTTCACTTCCCATTCTTAAAGCCTGTCATCTATACTTGAAACAACATATACAGGGAGGAAAAATAAAGGGGAGAGGCCTACAAAGCTGTTTTACAGATAGCTACATTAGCTGGTCAGTCAATATGGATCCATTAAATAAAAAGAGAAGCTCAGAAAAGTCACACTATAAATATGTCAGTTTATTTTGTGTCTATCAGAATCAATACATCATCATATGTAGCAATTCCAAGGGAGCTATAGTTCCTGACTTACTAACTGGTGATGCAATAAACCTTTCCAAATTCTACAGTACAGCATGGTATGGAAAGACCAAACAATGAGCTGCCTCTGCCATTTGCTGCCTGCATAACCTGGGGAATAATTACATGACTTCGCTGAGCCTCAGTTTCCTTATATGTAAAATAAAGATAACAATCAGTGACCTGCTGCTATGATTTGAATGTGTCTCCTCCAAATTTCAGGTGTTGAAACTTAATGGCCAGTGTAACAGAATTAAGAGACAAGACCCTTAACAGGTGATGATTAGGCAATGAGGGCTCCTCCCTTGTGAATGGGATTGAGGTCTTTGTAAAAGAGGTTTCACGCAGCATTCGACTCTCTTGCCTTTATGCCATCCACCATGTGAAGACATAGCGTTCCTCCCCTCAGGAAGATGCAGCCCTTGTTAGACAAGCAAACTTGTTGGCACCTTGATCTTGGACTTACCAGCCTCCAAAACTGTAAGAAATAAATTTCTGTTCTTTATACATTACCTAATCTTAGGTATTTTGCTATAGTAGCATAAACAGACTCACATCTGCTAATCTCATAGTGTGGCTCTGATGATTAACTGAGATTGTATTTGTGAAAAGAATAATATGTAAGCTCCACTGAATTGAATGGTATTATTATTTTTACAATTAGTGAATCTTTTACAAATTCTGATGTTTATCTCTGGAGTATTTTCTTGGACTCCTTGTTTTGTCATTTGTGCTTTTATAAAATAGAAAATTATGACATATGAGTACAAGTAAAATGAGTTAGTAGAAACCAGAAATTCTGTCGGAACCTTAGGCCAGTATTACCCAGGTTACATTACATTTACCACCAGGTAATTCAAGTGGTAAGTACATGAGTATTTTTCTAATTTGTTAGTAATATTCACATACAAGAAAAATATATAACCAGTACATCAAAACCATTATTTCACAGGTTTACAGCTAGCTGTCTATTTTCAGGCTAATATGAAGTTTCCTATTTGAATAAACGTACTAAAAATGGAATCTATTTAAAGAAAAACATTAAATGAATAATAGTACAAATATGGACAGGCAAAAAAATATCACAAAAACTTTTGTATGACTAAAGTTTGGGAAACATTTGTAGAACAAGTCATTCTAGTAGAACAACAATAAAGACCAAAAAGCAAACCAACCAACCAAATCCAGCCGCACCACCTGGCTCCTATTTAATAACATAATAAAGGTACGTGTAACAGATGGATAGTGACTTGCATCAAAGTGGGATGGATGCTGCAGGATTTGACAAACTATTTCCTGCCGCCATTTACTTCAGTAGCTCTATCCTGGCAGAAACAGAAAGTTTTCTGACATAGATGCTACTTACAGTAGTCCCCTCTTATCTGTGATCTTGCTAAGGGCAAAAAGCCATGGTCTGAAAATATTAAATGGAAAATTCCAGAAATAAATAATTCAAAAATTTTAAATTGAGTGCAGTTCTGAGTAGTGTTATGAAATCTCACACTGTCCGGCCCCATCCTTCTCCATCCTACCCAGCATGCGAATCACCCATTTCACTAGCATCATCCATGCTGTCTATGCTCTCTGACCATGAGTCACTTAATAGCCATCTCCATTATCAGATGTTCTGGTACCACAGTGCTTGTGTTTGTCACCTTCATTTTACTTCCTAGTGGCCCAAAGCACAAGCATAGTGTTTCTGGCAATTCAGATATGCCAAAGAGAAACCATAAAGTGCTTCCTTTAAGTGAAAAGGTGAAAGTTCTCGACTTGATAAGGAAAGAAAAAACAATTGTATGCTAAGTTTGCTAAGGACTACATTAACAATGCAACCTTCTGTATTAGTCTGTTCTCACTCTGCTAATAAAGACATACTTGAGACTGGATAATTTATAAAGGAAAGGAGGTTTAATGGACTCACAGTTCCACAAGGCTGGGGAAGCCTAGTAATAATGGCAGAAGATGAAGGAAGTACAAAAGGATTTCTTAACGTGGCGGCAAGGCAAGAGAGCTTGTGCATGGGAACTCCCATTTATTAAATGAGCAGATCTCATGAGACTTATTCACTACCACCATAACAGTATGGGGGGAACCAATCTCATGATTCAATTCTCTCCACTTGGCCCCACCTTTGGCACATGGGGATTATTACAGTTCAAGGTGAGATTTGGGTGGGGACACAGCCACACCATATCACCTTCTATCTGTGACACTGTGAAGAAGGAAAAAGAAATTTATGCTAGTTTTGCTGTTGCACGTCAAACTGCAAAAGTTATGGCCACAGTACATGATAAGTATTTAGTGAACATGAAAAAGGCATTAAATTTGTGAGTGGAAGACATGAAAAGAAAACATGTTCCAATTGATGACAAAATGTTGCAACAGAAAGCATTGAGACTACATGAAGACTTCAGCAAGGGATCCCCTGAAACAAGTGACACCAAGCCATTTACTGCAAGTAAGGGATGGTTACATAGATTCAAAAATAGGTTTGGACTGACAAACATAAAAAATACTGAAGAGGTTGCATCTGCTAATGAAGAAGGTTCTGCTACCTTTCCAGCAGAGTTGAAGAAATAATTAGAAAGGATGCCATCTAAAGCAAATCTTCAAGTCTTCTGGAAGAAGATAAAACCTGCATTCATAAAAGTGCAAAGAAGGCACCAAGGCATAAAACATGGAACGACAGATGAACTCTGGTACCATGTGGCAATGCTTCAGGGCATATGATAAAGCCAGGATAGTGTACAAAGCAAAGAACCCAGTACTCTTAAAAACAAAAATTAACTGCCCATGTTCTGGCAACATAATCAGAAAGCATGGGTGACAGTCATCTTGATTATGAAATGGTTCCACCAATGTATTATCCCAGAAATAAAAAAAAATTACTTGGAAGACAAATAGTTGGAATTTAAAGTCCTGTTAATAAGAGACAATGCTCCTAGCCATTCTAAATCTGTCTGCTATAAAAAATGAAATGAAAATGTTCAGGTTGTTATTGCCTCTGAATACAACCTCACTGCTTCAGCCTTTTACCATCACTGAATTTGTCACTGCCTTGTATTTGATCACATTTGATCAGCAATTGATGTAGACCCTAATCTGGATGTAATCTGTTCTGGAAATCATTCACTATTACAGATGCAATAACATTCATCAAAGCTGCAATGGACAAATTAAAACCAGAAACTGCAAATGTCTGCTGGAAGAACTTATGGAGTAAAGTTGTGAATGATTTTAAAGGCTTTCTGGGGATTGATGAAGAAGTTAGGAAAATCATTCACACGGCAAGATAAGTTGGTGGAGGATTTGCCAACATACTTGATGAAATGGAAGAACATATTGAAGGTTTTCAAGTATTACCAAATGAGGAATTGGAAGAACATGTTATCTACAAAGGAAGAGAAAGATGAAGAAACTGAAGCAAAACCAGCTGTGTGGGTATTACTGAAATTTGCCAAAGTGTTTCACATTGCACAGACATCAAAGGACAAAATTATGGAATATGATCCTAGGAAGGAACGCAGCATTAAAGTCACCGGTATGATCAAAGGATTACAACATCTGTGGCAACACTTTAATGAGTTAAAAAGAAAGAGACAATAACATTCTATTACAATGCTCTTCCAAAAGTTTTTGGCAAAAACAAAACAAAACAAAACAAAAACCTTCAACGATTGAGGATCCCCAAACACTGACATCATCTTCTCCTGACATCCAGCCATCCACATCGTCATAGCTCATTCATCCAGGATCACCCAAATCAGATGCTGCTCCTTCTGATGTATCCTTAGAAAG
Source organism: Homo sapiens (assembly GCF_000001405.40). Lineage (NCBI taxonomy): Eukaryota > Metazoa > Chordata > Mammalia > Primates > Hominidae > Homo > Homo sapiens. The sequence goes on from NC_000009.12 coordinate 70,197,876, forward strand.
TCAATAGTAGCCTAACGCTACTTTACAATGCCTGGGTCATTCGTCCCACTTTATCTCATCACGAATGCATTTTATTATCTCACGTCAGCACAAGAATAGTGAGTACAGTACAGTAAGATATTTGGAGAGAGAGAAAAGACCACATGTACATAACTCTTAATACAATATATTTTTATAATTGTTCTATTTTTTTATTATTGTTGTTTATCTCTTACTGTTCCTAACTTGTAAATTAAACTTTATTATAAGTACATAGTATAGAAAAAAGCATAGTGTGTATGTGTGTATATATATATATATATATATACACACACACACACACAATATATAATATATAATAAAGTTTAATTTACAAGTTAGGAACAGTAAGAGATATATACAAACTACATATATACAGTTTGGTACTATCCACAATTTCAGGCATCCAGTGGGGGTTGTGGAACTTGAGACTACAGTATTATGAGACAATAATACAAGTCTTAACAAAGTTCCCAAGGTGGTACTGGCCATTATAATTTTATTAACATTTATATGATACTATGCTGTCAGAATTCCTTGTAAACATTAGTTTTAGTTGACCTGGAGTTTACAGGGATTTTGCAGCCAAATGATACTAGAATATATAAGCCAAGAGTAACTATCCAGGTTAGTGAGAAAATGTCTTCAACTATTTTCTCCCACTGACTCCCCCAGTGAATAGATTAAAAGTCATTCAGTTCTCTCTCCCTGATCCTACTATTCCAGAAAAGCAACCCTGCAACATTTAACAATTTCCAGAGAAAGAAACACCAGCACTTTCTTTTGTAGTACAGTTAAATATTCCAATAAATCTTCCATATTTTGGGCAAATAAATTCTCTTCCAATATGCTAATAAGTAAAGGTAGAAGTATTCTTCATTTCCAAGAACACAAGAACTTCTTGTGTGATTGAAATATTAATAACACAATAAAATATTAAATAATGAAGTTTATCTATAAAAGTTTGCTATGAGACAAAAGAATATCACAACTCTGTTAGTTCCAGTTTATTTCAAGTCCCTGTCTTTTAAGAATTTTCATAGTTGATATTCAGACATGTAGGAATGCTATCCAGTGAGTCTGTAACTATCTGAGGAATTAGCTCCAGATTATTAAAGTCTCCTATATCCTTCAATCTTTCCATAGCTTATTTTTTTTTTCGTTTGTTTTTTTTTTATTATACTTTAAGTTTTAGGGTACATGTGCACATTGTACAGGTTAGTTACATATGTATACATGTGCTGTGCTGGTGCGCTGCACCCACTAACTCGTCATCTAGCATTAGGTATATCTCCCAATGCTATCCCTCCCCCCACCCCACCACAGTCCCCAGAGTGTGATATTCCCCTTCCTGTGTCCATGTGATCTCATTGTTCCATTCCCACCTATGAGTGAGAATATGCGGTGTTTGGTTTTTTGATCTTGCGATAGTTTACTGAGAATGATGATTTCCAATTTCATCCATGTCCCTACAAAGGACATGAACTCATCATTTTTTATGGCTGCATAGTATTCCATGGTGTATATGTGCCACATTTTCTTAATCCAGTCTATCATTGTTGGACATTTGGGTTGGTTCCAAGCCTCTGCTATTGTGAATAATGCCGCAATAAACATACGTGTGCATGTGTCTTTATAGCAGCATGATTTATAGTCATTTGGGTATATACCCAGTAATGGGATGGCTGGGTCAAATGGTATTTCTAGTTCTAGATCCCTGAGGAATCACCACACTGACTTCCACAATGGTTGAACTAGTTTACAGTCCCACCAACAGTGTAAAAGTGTTCCTATTTCTCCACATCCTCTCCAGCACCTGTTGTTTCCTGACTTTTTAATGATTGCCATTCTAACTGGTGTGAGATGGTATCTCATTGTGGTTTTGATTTGCATTTCTCTGAGGGCCAGTGATGATGAGCATTTTTTCATGTGTTTTTTGGCTGCATAAATGTCTTCTTTTGAGAAGTGTCTGTTCATGTCCTTCGCCCACTTTTTGATGGGGTTGTTTGTTCTTTTCTTGTAAATTTGTTTGAGTTCATTGTAGATTCTGGATATTAGCCTTTTGTCAGATGAGTGGGTTGCGAAAATTTTCTCCCATTTTGTAGGTTGCCTATTCACTCTGATGGTAGTTTCTTTTGCTGTGCAGAAGCTCTTTAGTTTAATTAGATCCCATTTGTCAATTTTGGCTTTTGTTGCCATTGCTTTTGGTGTTTTGGACATGAAGTCCTTGCCCATGCCTATGTCCTGAATGGTAATGCCTAGGTTTTCTCCTAGGGTTTTTACGGTTTTAGGTCTAACGTTTAAATCTTTAATCCATCTTGAATTGATTTTTGTATAAGGTGTAAGGAAGGGATCCAGTTTCAGCTTCCTACATATGGCTAGCCAGTTTTCCCAGCACCATTTATTAAATAGGGAATCCTTTCCCCATTGCTTGTTTTTCTCAGGTTTGTCAAAGATCAGATAGTTGTAGGTATGCGGCGTTATTTCTGAGGGCTCTGTTCTGTTCCATTGATCTATATCTCTGTTTTGGTACCAGTACCATGCTGTTTTGGTTACTGTAGCCTTGTAGTATAGTTTGAAGTCAGGTAGCGTGATTCCTCCAGCTTTGTTCTTTTGGCTTAGGATTGACTTGGCGATGCGGGCTCTTTTTTGGTTCCATACGAACTTTAAAGTAGTTTTTTCCAATTCTGTGAAGAAAGTCATTGGTAGCTTGATGGGGATGGCATTGAATCTGTAAATTACCTTGGGCAGTATGGCCATTTTCACGATATTGATTCTTCCTACCCATGAGCATGGAATGTTCTTCCATTTGTTTGTATCCTCTTTTATTTCCTTGAGCAGTGGTTTGTAGTTCTCCTTGAAGAGGTCCTTCATATCCCTTGTAAGTTGGATTCCTAGGTATTGTATTCTCTTTGAAGCAATTGTGAATGGGAGTTCACTCATGATTTGGGTCTCTGTTTGTCTGTTGTTGGTGTATAAGAATGCTTGTGATTTTTGTACATTGATTTTGTATCCTGAGACTTTGCTGAAGTTGCTTATCAGCTTAAGGAGATTTTGGGCTGAGACAGTGGGGTTTTCTAGATATACAATCATGTCGTCTGCAAACAGGGACAATTTGACTTCCTCTTTTCCTAATTGAATACCCTTTATTTCCTTCTCCTGCCTAATTGCCCTGGCCAGAACTTCCAACACTATGTTGAATAGGAGTGGTGAGAGAGGGCATCCCTGTCTTGTGCCAGTTTTCAAAGGGAATGCTTCCAGTTTTTGCCCATTCGGTATGATATTGGCTGTGGGTTTGTCATAAATAGCTCTTATTATTTTGAAATACATCCCATCAATACCTAATTTATTGAGAGTTTTTAGCATGAAGGGTTGTTGAATCTTGTCAAAGGCTTTTTCTGCATCTATTGAGATAATCATGTGGTTTTTGTCTTTGGCTCTGTTTATATGCTGGATTACATTTATTGATTTGCGTATATTGAACCAGCCTTGCATCCCAGGGATGAAGCCCACTTGATCATGGTGGATAAGCTTTTTGATGTGCTGCTGGATTCGGTTTGCCAGTATTTTATTGAGGATTTTTGCATCAATGTTCATCAAGGATATTGGTCTAAAATTCTCTTTTTTGGTTGTGTCTCTGCCCGGCTTTGGTATCAGAATGATGCTGGCCTCATAAAATGAGTTAGGGAGGATTCCCTCTTTTTCTATTGATTGGAATAGTTTCAGAAGGAATGGTACCAGTTCCTCCTTGTACCTCTGGTAGAATTCGGCTGTGAATCCATCTGGTCCTGGACTCTTTTTGGTTGGTAAACTATTGATTATTGCCACAATTTCAGATCCTGTTATTGGTCTATTCAGAGATTCAAATTCTTCCTGGTTTAGTCTTGGGAGAGTGCATGTGTCGAGGAATGTATCCATTTCTTCTAGATTTTCTAGTTTATTTGCGTAGAGGTGTTTGTAGTATTCTCTGATGGTAGTTTGTATTTCTGTGGGATCGGTGGTGATATCCCCTTTATCATTTTTTATTGTGTCTATTTGATTCTTCTCTCTTTTTTTCTTTATTAGTCTTGCTAGCGGTCTATCAATTTTGTTGATCCTTTCAAAAAAGCAGCTCCTGGATTCATAGATTTTTTGAAGGGTTTTTTGTGTCTCTATTTCCTTCAGTTCTGCTCTGATTTTAGTTATTTCTTGCCTTCTGCTAGCTTTTGAATGTGTTTGCTCTTGCTTTTCTGGTTCTTTTAATTGTGATGTTAGAGTGTCAATTTTGGATCTTTCCTGCTTTCTCTTGTGGGCATTTAGTGCTATAAATTTCCCTCTACACACTGCTTTGAATGTGTCCCAGAGATTCTGGTATGTTGTGTCTTTGTTCTCGTTGGTTTCAAACAACATCTTTATTTCTGCCTTCATTTCGTTATGTACCCAGTAGTCATTCAGGAGCAGGCTGTTCAGTTTCCATGTAGTTGAGCGGCTTTGAGTGGGATTCTTAATCCTGAGTTCTAGTTTGATTGCACTGTGGTCTGAGAGATAGTTTGTTATAATGTCTGTTCTTTTACATTTGCTGAGGAGAGCTTTACTTCCAAGTATGTGGTCAATTTTGGAATAGGTGTGGTGTGGTGCTGAAAAAAAATGTATATTCTGTTGATTTGGGGTGGAGAGTTCTGTAGATGTCTATTAGGTCCGCTTGGTGCAGAGCTGAGTTCAATTCCTGGGTATCCTTGTTGACTTTCTGTCTCGTTGATCTGTCTAATGTTGACAGTGGGGTGTTAAAGTCTCCCATTATTAATGTGTGGGAGTCTAAGTCTCTTTGTAGGTCACTCAGGAATTGCTTTATGAATCTGGGTTTTCCCGTATTAGGTGCATATATATTTAGGATAGTTAGCTCTTCTTGTTGAATTGATCCCTTTACCATTATGTAATGGCCTTCTTTGTCTCTTGTGATCTTTGTTGGTTTAAAGTCTGTTTTATCAGAGACTAGGATTGCAACCCCTGCCTTTTTTTGTTTTCCATTTGCTTGGTAGATCTTCCTCCATCCTTTTATTTTGAGCCTATGTGTGTCTCTGCACGTGAGATGGGTTTCCTGAATACAGCACACTGATGGATCTTGACTCTTTATCCAATTTGCCAGTCTGTGTCTTTTAATTGGAGCATTTAGCCCATTTATATTTAAAGTTAATATTGTTATGTGTGAATTTGATCCTGTCATTATGATGTTAGCTGGTGATTTTGCTCGTTAGTTGATGCAGTTTCTTCCTAGTCTTGATGGTCTTTACATTTTGGCATGATTTTGCAGCGGCTGGTACCGGTTGTTCCTTTCCATGTTTAGCGCTTCCTTAAGGAGCTCTTTTAGGGCAGGCCTGATGGTGACAAAATCGGTCAGCATTTGCTTGTCTGTAAAGTATTTTATTTCTCCTTCACTTATGAAGCTTAGTTTGGCTGGATATGAAATTCTGGGTTGAAAATTCTTTTCTTTAAGAATGTTGAATATTGGCCCCCACTCTCTTCTGGCTTGTAGGGTTTCTGCCGAGAGATCCGCTGTTAGTCTGATGGGCTTCCCTTTGAGGGTAACCCGACCTTTCTCTCTGGCTGCCCTTAACATTTTTTCCTCCATTTCAACTTTGGTGAATCTGACATTTATGTGTCTTGGAGTTGCTCTTCTCGAGGAGTATCTTTGTGGCATTCTCTGTATTTCCTGAATCTGAACGTTGGCCTGCCTTGCTAGATTGGGGAAGTTCTCCTGGATAATATCCTGCAGAGTGTTTTCCAACTTGGTTCCATTCTCCCCATCACTTTCAGGTACACCAATCAGACGTAGATTTGGTCTTTTCACATAGTCCCATATTTCTTGGAGGCTTTGCTCATTTCTTTTTATTCTTTCTTCTCTAAACTTCCCTTCTCGCTTCATTTCATTCATTTCATCTTCCATTGCTGATACCCTTTCTTCCAGTTGATCGCATCGGCTCCTGAGGCTTCTGCATTCTTCACGTAGTTCTCGAGCCTTGGTTTTCAGCTCCATCAGCTCCTTTAAGCACTTCTCTGTATTGGTTATTCTAGTTATACATTCTTCTAAATTTTTTTCAAAGTTTCCAACTTCTTTGCCTTTGGTTTGAATGTCCTCCCGTAGCTCAGAGTAATTTGATCGTCTGAAGCCTTCTTCTCTCAGCTCGTCAAAGTCATTCTCCATCCAGCTTTGTTCTGTTGCTGGTGAGGAACTGCGTTCCTCTGGAGGAGGAGAGACGCTCTGCGTTTTAGAGTTTCCAGTTTTTCTGTTCTGTTTTTTCCCCATCTTTGTGGTTTTATCTACTTTTGGTCTTTGATGATGGTGATGTACAGATGGGTTTTCGGTGTGGATGTCCTTTCTGTTTGTTAGTTTTCCTTCTAACAGACAGGACCCTCAGCTGCAGGTCTGTTGGAATACCCTACTGTGTGAGGTGTCAGTGTGCCCCTGCTGGGGGGTGCCTCCCAGTTAGGCTGCTCGGGGGTCAGGGGTCAGGGACCCACTTGAGGAGGCAGTCTGCCAGTTCTCAGATCTCCAGCTGCGTGCTGGGAGAACCACTGCTCTCTTCAAAGCTGTCAGACAGGGACATTTAAGTCTGCAGAGGTTACTGCTGTCTTTTTGTTTGTCTGTGCCCTGCCCCCAGAGGTGGAGCCTACAGAGGCAGGCAGGCCTCCTTGAGCTGTGGTGGGCTCCACCCAGTTCGAGCTTCCCGGCTGCTTTGTTTACCTAAGCAAGCCTGGGCAATGGCGGGCGCCCCTCCCCCAGCCTCGCTGGCGCCTTGCAGTTTGATCTCAGACTGCTGTGCTAGCAATCAGCGAGATTCCGTGGGCGTAGGACCCTCCGAGCCAGGTGTGGGATATAGTCTCGTGGTGCGCCGTTTTTTAAGCCGGTCTGAAAAGAGCAATATTCGGGTGGGAGTGACCCGATTTTCCAGGTGTGTCCTTCACCCCTTTCTTTGACTTGGAAAGGGAACTCCCTGACCCCTTGTGCTTCCCAGGTGAGGCAATGCCCCGCCCTGCTTCAGCTCGCGCATGGTGCGCACACCCACTGGCCTGCCCCCACTGTCTGGCACTCCCTAGTGAGATGCACCCGGTACCTCAGATGGAAATGCAGAAATCACCCGTCTTCTGCCTCGCTCACGCTGGGAGCTGTAGACCAGAGCTGTTCCTATTCGGCCATCTTGGCTCCTCCCCGCTTATTTTTTAATTATGTTAGTTTCTGACATTGCCAGATTCTACTTACACAGAGAAGGCTTCTGTGACAAGCTTTTTAAAAAATTGGTGGTAAAATGCACATAACATACTTTAACCATTTTAAGTGTCTAATTCAGTGGCACTGAGTCTATTCACATCATTGTGTAACCATCACCACCATCCATCTCCAGAGCTTTTTTTTCATTTCCCAAAACTGAAACTCCGTACCCATTAAACAATAACTCCTCATTTATGACAGCCTTTTAAAATCACTTAAAAGTATAGTAAAGAGAAATTTTAGAGCGACACCTTCTACAATTGTTCTTCACAAAATATTGGTATCTTTTTCCCCTGATTTTTAAGAATTCTTTTCCAGCTAAGGAATGCAGCTAGCTGTCCATTCCACACAGCCTCTCCATGCAGGCCACTCAGGCTCCTTCCCTACCCTGAAAAAGAGCCCTGAGACTGGAGGAACAGCTGCTTCACAGTCCAGAATTATGGATGTGGAATGTGTCTGTGTGTCTCAACACATCACAGTTGCTGTGCAAAGAACAGAGGGGACCCTGATCTCCCAATAGATCCATTGGAACCCCCATCTTGAATGTTAAACAGTGACCCACAGAGAGAATGTAATTTATTTTCTCCAGTTAATAATCCCTTCCACAGACTGGAATCCTTCATGTGCAACAACATGTGAGCTGGTCTGAAGCTTCAATACTGGGGCTTCCTGGCTCCCATCCAGAGCTTTTCTTTGCTGAGACAGACAGTGCTTGAAGCTGTAATGTGGTAAAACTTGTCAAACAGGGCTTTTCTCTGCTTTCCAAACACATGTGAGGCAGAGTGGCTCTGCGTGAAGTTCTGATCTTTTCTGGGGAAACCAAGTGTCATTTGCAAGTCAAGAAGAAAAAAATACTTGTCATCAAAACGAATGACTGGTTTGTGCATCAAAGGGGCATACTCTGATTCATTGGTAAGTTTGTTAAAATTATGTTTAGGTAAGATGTTTGTCTACATTACTCTACATAGGTACTGCTTTATGGAATAGACATAAAGTAGTCCTCCCTTATCCACAGGTTCACTTTCCAACTGAGAGTTTCAGTTACTCTCAGTCAATGGCAGTCTGAAAATATTAAATGGGAAATTCCAGAACTGGCCAATTTATAAGTTTTAAATTGTGCACCAGAGTATTGTTATAATTGTTCTATTTTATTGTGAGTTATTGTTGTTAATCTCTTACAGCATCTAATTTATAACAAAATTTATCACAGGTATATGTGTACAGGAACAGTCTATACACGGCTTGGTATTATCTGTGGTTTCAGGCTCCACTAGGGGTCCTGGAACACATACACTAAGGATCAGGAAGACTACTGTGTGTGCTTAGAATATAAACTATATCCTGAAGGATATTTACAAAGACCAAAATTATTCAAGAAAAGTAGTGGGCATTTATAGTCCCCTCGATGTTACTCCTCTCTTCCAAAAGCAGCACAATTATACAACAAGCAACATAGGAGACTTTGTTTCATATTTTTTTTGGTATATATCTTTTTTTATTATTATTATACTTTAAGTTCTAGGGTACATGTGCACAACGTACACATTTGTTACATATGTATACATGTGCCATGTTGGTGTGCTGCACCCATTAACTCGTCATTTACAATAGGTATAACTCCTAATGCTATCCTTCCTCTCTCTCCCCACCCCACCACAGGCCCCGGTGTGTGATGTTCCCCACCCTGTGTCCAAGTGTTCTCATTGTTCAATTCCCACCTATGAGTGAGAACATGCAGTGTTTGGTTTTCTGTCCTTGTGATAGTTTGCTGAGAATGATGGTTTCCAGCTTCATCCATGTCCCTACAAAGGACAAGAACTCATCCTTTTTTATGGCTGCATAGTATTCCATGGTGTATATGTGCCACATTTTCTTAATCCAGTCTATCATTGATGGACATTTGGGTTGGTTCCAAGGCTTTGCTATTGTGAATAGTGCTGAAATAAACATACATATGCAGGTGTCTTTATAGCAGCATGCTTTATAATCCTTTGGGTATATACCCAGTAATGGGATGGCTGGATCAAATGGTATTTCTAGTTCTAGATCCTTAAGGAATCACCACACTGTCTTCCACAATGGCTGAACTAGTTTACAGAACCACCAGCAGTGTAAAAGTGTTCCTATTTCTCCACATCCTCTCCAGCACCTTTTGTTTCCTGACTTTTTAATGATCGTCATTCTAACTGGTGTGAGATGGTATCTCATTGTGGTTTTGATTTGCATTTCTCTGATGGCCAGTGCTGATGAGCATTATTCATGTGTCTGTTGACTGCATAAATGTCTTCTTTTGAGAAGTGTCCGTTCATATCCTTTGCCCACTTTTTGATGGGGCTGTTTGATTTTTTTCTTGTTAATTTGTTTTAAGTTCTTTGTAGATTCTGGATATTAGCCCTTTGTCAGATGGGAAGATTGTAAAAATTTTCTCCCATTCTGTAGGTTGCCTGTTCACTCTGATGGTAGTTTCTTTTGCTGTGCAGAAGCTCTTTAGTTTAATTAGATCCCATTTGTCAATTTTGGCTTTTGTTGTCATTGCTTTTGGTGTTTTCGACATGAAGTCCTTGCCCATGCCTATGTCCTGAATGGTATTGCCTAGGTTTTCTTCTAGGGTTTTTATGGTTTTAGGTCTAACATTTAAGTTTTTAATCCATCTTGAATTAATTTTTGTATAAGGTGTAAGGAAGGGATCCAGTTACAGCTTTCCACATATGGCTAACCAGTTTTCCCAGCACTATTTATTAAATAGGGAAACCTTTCCCCATTTCTTGTTTTTGTCAGGTTTGTCAAAGATCAGATGGTTGTAGATGTGTGGTATTATTTCTGAGGGCTCTGTTCTGTTCCATTGGTCTATATCTCTGTTTTGGTACCAGTACCATGCTGTTTTGGTTACTGTAGCCTTGTAGTATAGTTTGCAGTCCGGTAGCGTAATGCTTCCAGCTTTGTTCTTTTGGCTTAGGATTGCGTTGGCACTGAGGGCTCTTTTTTGATTCCACATGAACTTTAAAGTAGTTTTTTCCAATTCTGTGAAGAAAGTCATTGGTAGCTTGATGGGGATGGCATTGAATCTATAAATTACCTTGGGCAGTATGGCCATTTTCATGATATTGATTCTTCCTATCCATGAGCATGGAATGTCCTTCCATTTCTTTGTGTCCTCTTTTATTTCATTGAGCAGTGGTTTGTAGTTCTCCTTGAAGAGGTCCTTCACATCCCTTGTAAGTTGGATTCCTAGGTATTTTATTCTCTTTGAAGCAATTGTGAATGGGAAGTTCACTCATGATTTGGCTCTCTGTTTGTCTGGTATTGGTGTATAGGAATGCTTGTGATTTTTGCACATTGATTTTGTATCCTGAGACTTTGCTGAAGTTGCTTATCAGCTTAAGGATATTTTGGGCTGAGATGATGGGGTTTTCTAAATATACAATCATGTCATCTGCAAACAGGCACAATTTGACTTTCTCTTTTCCTAACTTAATACCCTTTATTTCTTTGTCTTACCTGACTGCCCTGGCCAGAACTTCCAACACTATGCTGAATAGGAGTGGTGAGAGAGGGCATCCCTGTCTTGTGCCAGTTTTCAAAGGGAATGCTTCCAGTTTTTGTCCATTCAGTATGATATTGGCTGTGGGTTTGTCATAGATAGCTATTATTTTGAGATATGTCCCATCAATACCTAGTTTATTAAGAATTTTTAGCATGAAGGGCTGCTGAATTTTGTCAAAGGCCTTTTCTGTGTCTATTGAGATAATCATGTGGTTTTTGTCTTTGGTTCTGTTTATATGATGGACTATGTTTATTGATTTGTGTATGCTGAACCAGCCTTGCATCCCAGGGATGAAGCCAACTTGATCATGGTGGATAAGCTTTTTGATGTGCTGCTGGATTCGGTTTGCCAGTATTTTATTGAGGATTTTTGCGTCGATGTTCATCAGGGATATTGGTCTAAAATTTGCTTTTTTGTTGCGTCTCTGCCAGGCTTTGGTATCAGGATGATGTTGGCCTCATAAAATGAATTAGGGAGGATTCCCTCTTTTTCTGTTGATTCGAATAGTTTCAGAAGGAATTGTACCAGCTCCTCTTTGTACCTCTGGTAGAATTCGGCTGTGAATCCATCTGGTCCTGGACTTTTTTTGGTTGGTAGGCTATTAATTATTGCCTCAATTTCAGAGTCTGTTATTCCTCTATTCAGGGATTCAACTTCTTCCTGGTTTAGTCTTGGGAGGGCATATGTGTTGAGGAATTTATCCATTTCTTCTAGATTTTCTAGTTTATTTTCATAGAGGTGTTTATAGTATTCTCTGATGGTAGTTTGTATTTCTGTAGGATCAGTTGTGATATTCCCTTTATCATTTTTTATTGCATCTATTTGATTCTTCTCTGTTCTTTTTTATTAGTCTGAGCGGTCTATCTATCTATCTATTTTATTGATCTTTTTAAAAAACCAGCTCCTGGATTCACTGATTTTTTTGAAGGGTCTTTCGTATCTCTATCTCTTTCAGTTCCGCTCTGATCTTAGTTATTTCTTGCCTTCTGCTAGCTTTTGAATGTGTTTGCTCTTGCTTCTCTAGTTATTTTAATTGTGATGTTAGGGTGTCAATTTTAGATCTTTCCTGCTTTCTCTTGTGGGCATTTAGTGCTATAAATTTCCCTCTACACACTGCTTTAAATGTGTGCCAGAGATTCTGGTATATTGTGTCTTTGTTCCCATTGGTTTCAGAGAACATCTTTATCTCTGCCTTCATTTCGTTATGTACCCAATAGTCATTCAGGAGCAGGTTGTTCAGTTTCCATGTAGTTGAGCGGTTTTGAGTGAGTTTTTAAATTCTGAGTTCTAGTTTGACTGCACTGTGGTCTGAGGGACAGTTTGTTATAATTTCTGTTCTTTTACATTTGCTGAGGAATGGTTTACTTCCAACTATGTGGTCAATTTTGGAATAAGTGCAATGTGGTGCTGAGAAGAATGTATATTCTGTCGATTTGGGGTGGAGAGTTCTGCAGATATCTATTAGGTCTGCTTGGTGCAGAGATGAGTTCAATTCCTGGATATCCTTGTTAACTTTCTGTCTCGTTGATCTGTCTAATGTTGACAGTGGGGTGTTAAAGTCTCCCATCATTATTGTATGTGAGTCTAAGTCTCTTTGTAGGTCTCTAAGGACTTGCTTTATGAATCTGGATGCTTCTGTATTGGGTGCATATATATTTAGGATAGTTAGTTCTTGTTGACTTGATCCCTTTACCATTATGTAATGGCCTTCTTTGTCTCTTTTGATCTTTGTTGGTTTAAAGTCTGTTTTATCGAAGACTAGGATTGCAACCCCTGCCTTTTTCTTGTTTTCCATTTGCTTGGTAGGTCTTCCTCCATCCCTTTATTTTGAGCCTATGTGTGTCTTTGCATGTGAGATGGGTTTCCTGAATACAGCACACTGATGGGTCTTGACTCTTTATCCAAGTTGCCAGTCTGTGTCTTTTAATTGGAGCATTTAGCCCATTTACATTTAAGGTTAATATTGTTATGTGTGAATTTGATCCTGTCATGACGTTAGCTGGTTATTTTGTTCATTAGTTGATGCAGTTTCTTCCTAGCATTGATGGTCTTTACAATTTGGCATGTTTTTGCAGTGGCTGGTACCGGTTGTTCCTTTTCATGTTTAGTGCTTCCTTCGGGAGCTCTGTAAGACAGGCCTGGTAGTGACAAAACCTCTCAGCATTTGTTTGTCTATAAAGGATTTTATTTCTCCTTCACTTATGAAGCTTAGTTTGGCTGGATATGAAATTCTGGGTTGAAAATTCTTTTCTTTAAGAATGTTGAATATTGGCCCCCACTCTCTTCTGGCTTGTAGAGTTTCTGCCAAGAGATCAGCTATTAGTTTGATGGGCTTCCCTTTATGGGTAACCTGACCTTTCTGGCTGCCCTTAACATTTTTCCTCCATTTCCACTTTGGTGAATCTGACAATTATGTGTCTTGGGATTGCTCTTCTCGAGGAGTATCTTTGTGGCGTTCTCTGAATTTCCTGAATTTCTATGTTGGCTTGCCTTGGTAGGTTGGGGAAGTTCTCCTGGATAATATCCTGAAGACTGTTTTCCAACTTGGTTCCATCCTCCCCGTCACTTTCAGGTACACCAATCAGATGTAGATTTGGTCTTTTGACATAGTCCCATATTTCTTGGAGGCTTTGTTCATTTCTTTTCACTCTTTTTTTCTCTAAACGTCTCTTCTCACTTCATTTCATTAATTTGATCTTCAATCACTGATTACCTTTCTTCCATTTCATCGAATCAGCTACTGAAGCTTGTGCATGCATCACATAGTTCTCTTGCCATGGTTTTCAGCTCCATCAAGTCATTTAAGGTCTTCTCTATACTGTTTATTCTAGTTAGCCATTCATCTAATCTTTTTTCAAGGTTTTTAGCTTCTTTGTGATGGGTTCAAACATCCACCTTTAGCTATTAGTTATTACCGATCGTCTGAAGCCTTCTTCTCTCAACTCGTCAAAGTCATTCTCCATCCAGCTTTGTTCCGTTACTGATGAGGAGCTACGTTCCTCTGGAATAGAAGAGGTGCTCTGATTTTTAGAATTTTCAGCTTTTCTGCTCTGGTTTCTCCCTATCTTTGTGGTTTTATCTACCTTTGGTCTTTGATGATGGTAACGTACAGATGGGGTTTTGGTGTGGATGTCCTTTCTGTTCATTAGTTTTCTTTCTAACAGTCAGGACCCTCAACTGCAGGTCTGTTGGAGTTTGCTGGAGGTCCACTCCAGACTCTGTTTGCCTGGGTATCAGCAGCGGAGGCTGCAGAACAGCAAATATTGCAGAATGGCAGATGTTGCTGCCTGATCATTCCTCTGGAAGCTTTGTCTCAGAGGGGCACCCAGCTGTATTAAGTGTCAGTTGGCCCCTACTGGGAGGTGTCTCCCAGTTAGGCTACTTGGGGGTCAGGGACCCACTTGAGGAGGCAGTCTGTCTGTTCTCAGATCTCAAACTCCATGCTGGGAGAACCACTACTCTCTTCAAAGCTGTCAGACAGGGACGTTTAAGTCTGCAGAAGTTTCTGCTGCCTTTTGTTCAGCTATGCCCTGCCCCCACAGGTGGAGTCTACAGAGGCAGGCAGGCCTCCTTGAGCTGTGGTGGGCTCCACCCAGTTGGCCCTTCCTGGCCGCTTTGTGTACCTACTCAAGCCTCAGCAATGGCAGATGCCCCTTCCCCAGCCTCGCTGCTGCCTTGCAGTTCAATCTCAGACTGCCGTGTTAGCAGTGAGCGAGGCTCTGTGGGTTTGGGACCCTCTGAGCCAGGCACGGGATATAATCTCCTGGTGTGCCATTTGCTAAGACTGTTGGAAAAGTGCAGTATTAGAGTGGGAGTGTCCTGATTTTCCAGGTTTCCCTTGTCACGGCTTCCCTTGGCTAGGAAAGGGAATTCTGCGACCCCTTGCGCTTTCCGGGTGAGGTGATGCCCCACCCTGCTTCAGCTCACACTCCGTGGGCTGCATCCGCTGTCCAATAAGCCCCAGTGAGATGAACCCAGTACCTCAGTTGGAAATGCAGAAATCACCCGTCTTCTGCGTCACTCATGCTGGGAGCTGTAGACTGTAGCTGTTCCTATTTGGCCATCTTGGAACCTCCTCCTATTTTATGGTACTAAATACAAAGGTTCCTGGAACTGGAAACCTTAGTGAATAGTTTCAGCCTGATACCTGTGGCCCAGGGGCACATGAACTGAAAGCATAGTAGACTTCAGGAGTCACATCTGTAGAGATGTGTGTGGTCCAAAGAACAGATGGTTAGAGGAGGCTGTGCAGGCTATCCCTGATTTAGTTAGAGTCCAAACCTGTTGGGAAGAACTGGTCAACCAGACTAGTGCTTCACCCTCACAAACTAAATGAATTAGTCCATTGTGCCCATGAAAGAAAGAAGTCAATCGAATGATCCTGGGGATAATTAAGAGGTTTCCTCTCTTCCAGGACCTCAGAATAATCCTGGTCAAGACTTGTACTGTTACCAGTAGGAATGCACAGCCATGATCACTAAACAAAAGACAATTCTTAGGTCATCTCTCTCATGATGAATTCATTACTTCCCCTCCATTTTGAAAATACTTCATGTTTCAGGGCCCTTAGTCTCTACTTTCCACTTTCCCAGTGACAGCATCTTTCAGTGGAGCTTTTTCCCCTCATTGAGAATTTCATCTATAGCTAAGGTCCTTTACTTTGGATTCAGGTGGGCCTTTTCAGAGCTCCATAGCCAGGTGTGAACATTTTTTTCTTGTCTTAAAAATTACTTTTGGGATGAATTTTTTTTAAGCTAAATGTATTAGGGTATTGTTTCCATCTACCATGTTACTAACTTATGTGTAGGATAGCATTGGATTCCTTTGTACATAGTTAGGTGATATACTATGGTCATTTTCATGCCTTGATCTCTCTTTCCATGGAATTAAACACACCCTTCTGTTAGGATTATGTATATCTGTATTGTTTACATTGACCTAAGTTAGAAAATGTTAAAGAAAATATGTACAAAAGAAAAAGTTTCCTTTCATCATTGAATGTGCAAAACCCCCTGTGCTTCTTGTGGACCAATTTGCTTGCCAGTGAAAGAATGAAGGTAATGAACTCAAAGAAAGAATTATGTGTTCATCTAAAAAATACTTCAGATAGTGTAGAACTTGTCTGAGATGATTTGCTTTGATAAGACTTTAATTTTACCAAAACTGGGATTTGCTCTAGTTTGCCTTGGATCATCATAGTCAAGTGCATATCTCACCGCCAAGAACTTCACACATTTGGAGTGACTACGGTGGAGCCATGTGCCCTAGAAATGGTCAAACTGGTTTGTGCTTAGAGCTGTGGGAAAAAATGCATTCATTCATCCATTCAACAGATATTAATGAGCATTTACTATGTTCCAAGCACTGTTCTAGGACCTGGGAATGTGGCAGTGAACTAAACAAGAAAAAAAATCTCTGTCCTTGTGAATTCTAAAGGAAAGAGACAGGCAAACATAAAAATAAGAAAATTATACAGTATGTTAAGAGGCAATTAACTATGGAAAACATAAATTAGGGTATAAGGAATGAGGAGTGCCAGGGAAGAGGGACTGCAATTTGGAATAGTATAGTCAGAACAGGTCTAATAGAAAAGGTGACATCTGAGCAAAGACTTAAAGGAGGTAAGAGAGTGAGACCTGAGAATATCTAGAGGAAGAACCAGACTTAGCACATGCAAAGGCCTTCAGGCAGCAGCATACCTGCCATATTCCAGGAATAATACAAAGGCCAGTGTGGCCAAGCAACACAGTAAGTGAGGAGAAAGCCAGTAGGAATGAGACAGGTAAGAGAATAGGTGGGAGACTGTATGGGGTTCTAAAGCCAATTGTAAGGACTTTAGCTTTCACTCTGAAATGCTAACCCAGTGGAAGGTTTTAAATGAGTGGTATGATTTTGCTTTTGCTTTAGAAGGAGCACTATGAATACAATTTTGAGATGAGATTGCAGGGGACCAGAGTAGAAGCAGACAGAGTAGTTGGGAAGCTGTTGCATTAATCCAAGCGAGAAATGATAGCAGCTTGGACCAGGGTGATAGCAGTGGAGGCGGTAAGAAGAGAAGTGACTGGATTCTGGATATATTTTAAAGGTAGAGCCAGTGGGAATTCCTGATAGCCTTGATGTGGAGAATCAGAAAAAGAGAGTAGTGGTGTGCGACTCACAGGTTTTGGGTGTCAACGACTGGATATTTAGTCTACTTCAGGCTGTCAGGAAGTTGAGTTTTGAATATGCTCAGTGTGAGATGTCTACCTGACAGTAAGTGGAGATGTCCATTAGACAGTTTGAACAAGTCTAGATTTCAGCAAAAAGGTTGAAAATTTGAGTTTGAGATATAACATATTTGGTATTTAAAGCCCTGAAACAAGATGAGATCATCAAGGAAGTAAGAATAGCGAAGTAAAAACTGGACCTTGGGGCACTCCAGGGTCAAAAGGTCAGGAAAGAGAGAGTGGAATTGTGAAAAAAGTGACCAGCAAAGGAGTCACCAGTGAGGAAGGAGAAAAAGCAGGAGAATACAGTGTCTTGCAAGCCAACGTAAGAATGTAATTCTACTTTCTGAAGTGGTAAACCACTATGTCCAATGTTACAAAAATGACAAAGACTGAAAACTGACCACTCGAGTTCGTAATGAGGATGTCACTGGTGAGCACTGCAGAACACTGACAGGTTTTTTTGCTATTATTTTTGAGCAGATCATGGGAAAGTTGGCAGCTATGCCATTTCCCTTAAGCATGCATCTGGATGAAACTACTGCCAATGAGATGAAAAGTTGAAGTTGACTGGATGTCAAATGTAACATACCAGATCAAAGACACTCCCACAATTTCAATTTCTTATTTAAACCAATTAGCTTTCTAATTAAAATTTACTTTTGAACTGCACTGAAATATATGTAGTCTTTAGAGTATCCTAAAGGAGGTTTTGATTTCTACTTGTTCACTGCATTCAGGAATCCCCAGCTAGTGGAGCCTATGGTGGCACCATGCCTTGTTAACAGGCAACCTGAAGTGACAGACACAGAACTCTGCTCTGATTTTGCTTCTTTGGGGCAGCGTCATTCCTTATATGTGACTGGTTGATGCAGGCCATATCCTGAGTCAGCCCAGTTTTGCAGGGTGAGAACTTTATAGAGTAAAACAAACACTGGGGGAAGAGGTTGCACAGTGCACACAATTTATTAAGACCAACGATGCTTTCTCCCACTGTTTTAATAAACTTATAGAACTTCTCAGATTTGTGTTTGTAGAAATAAGAAAAAGAGAATGGAGAAAGGCCTCCCAGGCACATAGAGGGGACTTCTAACCAATTCTTGTTTGGATGTCTCGATTGCCATATTTTTGGAAATGATTAATTAGAGTTCATTGATTAAACTTCAAACTATAAAGAAACCATTTAATTTGCATGTATTATTTGGGATCTCTTTATTTTTCCCCTTGATTTGGTCACCAATTTCTGCATGAAATAATGAGACATATGATACTTTGTAAAGATTACTTTTTACATCATATATGTAAAAAATAAATCAAAATTGGCAAATGTTGGTGTTTGCTTGGGCTGCCATAACAAAATATCATAGACTAGGTGGTTTAAACAACAGAAACTTACCTCTCACAGTTGTGGAGGCTGGAAAGTCCAACATCAAGGTGCCAGCTGTTTCAGTTCCTGGTGAGGGCTCTTTTCCTAGTTTGCAGACAGGCACCATCTTGCTGTGTGCCCACATGGCCTTTCTTGGTGTGTGCGCCTGAAGAGAGAGAGAGAACAAGCTCCCTGCTGTCTCTTCTTATAAGGGCACTATTGTCATCAGGAGGGCTTCAGCCTCATGACCTCATCTAGCCCTAATTAGCTCCCCAGTGCCCCATCTCCAATTACTATCACACAAGGGGTAGGGCTTCAACATATGAATTTGGGGAGACACATACATCCATTCCAAACACAAATGTAACACCAAACAAGGCAACAAAGTTGCATGCAAACTTTCTTTGTGTACTTTTCAAATAGAGGCAGTCTAAACTTTTCATCAAGTGATCAAAGGTTAATACCTACTAGTGAAGAGTTTAGGGCCTTTTTTAAAATGGGCCTCAGATGCACAGAATTATATTACCAGTGAATTACTCTAGAAAAGATCTCTTGCATTACTATTCATATATAGTTTTACTTCAGTGACATGATAGTGATTGTTTAACACCAACTGGCTTTGAGAAGGATGTACTGACTTGTATACATGTCCAATTTCTGTAGTTTAAATAGTCCCATCATGGCCCAGTTCCAGCTACCAATGTGAAATCACCTGGAGCTCGGACAGAATGCATACAATGGACTATTGGAAGCCCGTACAAGTTGGCTGCAGCACACCACTGCCTTATCTACATGCCGATTAATCCTGTTTCTGCCTGAAGCCAATAAATTTAAAAATAGCAATAAAATAAAATTAGAAAAGGAAATTGGAAAGGCAATTTAAAAATATTACAGAATATGGCTCTTCGCCATCTTTTCTCTTCCCGTGGAGCCGTCGCCACGAAGGTCGAGCTGTGCAGTTTTAGTGGGTACAAGATCTACCCGGGACAGGGGAGGCACTACGCCAGGACCGACGGGAAGGTTTTCGAGTTTCTTAATGCGAAATGCGAGTCGGCATTCCTTTCCAAGAGGAATCCTTGGCAGATAAACTGGACTGTCCTCCACAGAAGGAAGCACAAAAAGGGAGAGTCGGAAGAAATTCAAAAGAAAAGAACCCACCCAGCAGTCAAATTCCAGAGGGCCATTACTGGTGCATCTCTTGCTGATATAATGGCCAAGAGGAATCAGAAACCTTAAGTTAGAAAGGCTCAACGAGAACAAGCTATCAGGGCTGCTAAGGAAGCAAAAAAGGCTAAGCAAGCATCTAAAAAGACTGCAATGGCTACTGCTAAGGCACCTACAAAGGCAGCACCTAAGCAAAAGATTGTGAAGCCTGTGAAAGTTTCAGCTCCCCAAGTTGGTGGAAAACGCTAAACTGGCAGATTAGATTTTTAAATAAAGATTGGATTATATTTAAAAAAATTACAGAGTATGTTTTCAAAACTAAAAAAAAGTGTCACAAAAAGTTTTAGGAATTAAGTAGGACAGGAAACAAATAATGGAATATGCATAACATGTGAGCATATGTCATTATGTTATTTAATTCTCACAATTCTGTAGCATAGGTATTAACCCTTATCTTAAAATGATGAATGTAAGTTTAGAGATTATTCATTAGACCAGAATCACATAAACAACAAATATTATAGTCAAGACTTGAACCCAGATCTACCTGACTACAAAACCCACCCTCTCTTTCTCTCCAAACCAACGTCTGGAAGCTTTAGGATATTGTCCATGAATAAGTAATATAAATTCTGATGTGTTAATCACTGTATCAGTGGCATAATACTGGTATATTAATTACCTCTTGTATATTAAACTGAATTATAAATCATTAAATTTAAGAAATCATTTTGTTGGTCTCATTTTTGGAAGTTATTCATTCTCCTTAGATAATATGCATTCTTCAAAATTATAAAACCCTTTATCAGTACTTTTAGTCAGATCATCTTGACTTGACACTCTGAAAGAACATTATGAAAGGAGAAAATGTAATTTGTGTCCTTTTTAACAATACCTGCTTTTGCATTCACCTCAAGGCTACTACATGTACATTGAGGCCTCCCATATGGTGTATGGACAAAAAGCACGCCTCTTGTCCAGGCCTCTGCGAGGAGTCTCTGGAAAACACTGCTTGACCTTTTTCTACCACATGTATGGAGGGGGCACTGGCCTGCTGAGTGTTTATCTGAAAAAGGAAGAAGACAGTGAAGAGTCCCTCTTATGGAGGAGAAGAGGTGAACAGAGCATTTCCTGGCTACGAGCACTGATTGAATACAGCTGTGAGAGGCAACACCAGGTAAGCCAACAGAGATAAGAACTAAGCAATGGAAAACGTGTAGGAGCTTCTGATGTTCTTTCTTATTCTTGCTACCAAAGAGAATATTTTGTTCTTTTTCAGGGTCATAGACAAAGGCAGGATTAAGAGGGAGTAAACATAATTAGTCTATACATTGATTAAATCTAAGCAGTGACAGGGAGAGAAAGCTTTGAGAATTTATGCATAAAGTGATTTTCTTGCAGTTCTATGATAAAAGTATATCTATTTTTGTCTTGATACATTATGGGTGTCAAGTATATTTCTATGTATCATGCATATCTCCAAAACGAAGTCTTTTCTTCTAAATATGGTATTACCTAATTAGTTGCAGCTGCATCTTTTACTCATCATTACTCACATACATCTAAGAGCTTTTGCCTTAAGCCTCTATTTAACAGTGAGCATGGTCCAGAGTAAGTTTTGTTTTTTTAATGCCTCTGCCTCCATCACTGCATTGATGCAAAAGAAACTGAGAGACTTGATCCTCAGTCCTGGGTCTCCCCCAGGTCCTCTCATGTGCTATAGAAGATGTCCATCCTAGATGTTCTCTATCATAAAGGAATCTGGGCAGCAATAGGAAACACCCTTTTAAATTCTAGTAGGTAGGGGCTGAACAGCCAGTCTAGCCTGGAGAACCACACCTGCCTTCTGATAGCCACAGATTTTACCTGCCTACCATGAGCCAAAGCTCCAGAAAGCTGTGGGAGATGATAACGTTCAGATTTCTGACTGTTCTTAAAATTGCTCTGTAGAATTCTCAAGTGTGACCTCCAACTAAAGGCACACCTTCCTACTCATTCTTACTTCTGGCTGATAAACCTCCTGGACCAGCACTCTGCGTCTTTAACCACTGGCTGCCTTGTCTAAACCCAGATCTTCCTGGGAAGGGATATCCAAATTAAGGGTTTTATTTTGCACCAACCTATGACCAAAAATAATTTTCTACAGATATAAATGGGAAGGAATTGCAGAAGCTCAGATGGCCAAGTTGCAGTGCAGTCAAAGGTGCTACATTGTTAAAGAGCAAATGACAGGGAAGATGAGCCATTATCTGGGAAAGGCCCATTATCCCAACATGGATAAACACCTAGACATTTGGCAAAGAATAACAGGTAGCTTCAGGAATAATTTTATAGTGATTTAATGTCTGTTCGAAAGAAGAAAGTGGATGGCTCAGGAACTTACTAATATAATTGATCATTATTCAGAGATGATGGATTAATTTTGTTAGGCTATTAGGGTACTCCTTCTGTATTCAAATGGTTCTCAAAGTTTGGTCCAGGTACCAGCAGCATCAGCAATACCTGAAATGCAAATTCACTTGAAACACAAATTCACTTAAAATGCAAATTCTCAGGTCCCACTTTAAAACGAATGAATCAGAAACAGGATTTGGGGGCCCCAGAAATCTGTTTTAATAAGCCCTCCAGGTGAATCTGATGCATGCTAAAGGCAAAGAATCTCTATGCTAGACTAAATGAATCTAAATCTTTGGGGGTGACACCTGAGCACTGATTTTTTGTTCAACTCTCAAGCGATACTGATGCGCAAGTGCTCTAAGATTTGAGTTCTGGGGACAGGTAACTTATCAGCATCTAGGCCTTGGGGATCAGACACATGGCCTTGCATATAATAGACTTACTGGGGAGGTAGTTATTTGAAATGTTTTTTGAGTACAGAGTAGTGTGGCATCTGAAATGGCATTTAGGGCTCTTCAAATGATGCAGAATCGCCCTGGAGACTTCCAGCTCACAGTCTGGGAAGAAGACTCCAGAATCCTCCCCCTTGGCTTAGAATGGAACAGATAAGAATCTCCTCTGTGTTAGTGATTCCCTCAGGAATCCAAATGATGCCAGGGAGACCAGGCTGAACTAGTTGCTCCAAAACATCCTAGTGTCTAATAAAACAGATATACTCATGTGCACATAGATCAGCCATCTGCTACATGCCAGGCACTTACAGTGCTAAGAGCTGTACGTAAGTTCTTTCAACTGATCCTATTTCCCCATTTTACAGGTGGGGAAAAGTAAATGTCTGGCTGATAAGTGGCTGAATGAGAACCAGATCTGCATGGTTCCAAAGTTTGTATCCCTAAGCCACTGTTCTACACTGCCTCCTACCATAGAAGTTCCAAAATAATCCTCATTGGCCTGAAGGTCACAAGCACTGCATGATTTTGGAGATACCTTTTACACTCTGAGAGTTTATACATTCTCAAAATGGGGTAATAATTCCTAGTCAGCTGTGCTGACATTGCAGAGTTAGAGAGTCAAAGGAGATTATGTATGTGAAAGGGTTTTATAAACTTTAAAGTATCAAAATATTATCACTGTTCTACCAATATATTCTCACCTAAGTCTCCCTAGTCACTAATTCATATCACCGTGGCAGAACTGGTATTCTCAACAGCTACATCAGGCATCCAGACTGAGCTCCTGTTGTTTGAGACCAAAATATCTCATCTCAATAAGTACGTATTGTCCATTTACTATTCTAGGTGCTGAAGATACTGCAATGAATGTAATATATAAAGTTCTTATTTGTTTGGAATTTACATTCTAGTGGGGAGGACGTAGAAAATGCAAGCCAAGGCCGGGCACAGTGGCTCACATCTGTAATCCCAGCACTTCGGGAGGCCGAGGTGGGAGGATTGCCTGAGGCCAGGAGTTTGAGGTTTGAGATCAGCCTGGCAACATATTGAGACCCTGTCTCTAAAAAAAAAAGCAAGCCAAACAACAAATATATATATATATATATATATATAGAGAGAGAGAGAGAGAGAGAGAGAGAGTAACATCAGATAACAAGTGCTATGAAGAAGTCAAGCTGAGCTCATGGAAGTAGAGAGTAGAATGATGGTTACCAGAGGCTGGGGGAAGCAGGAGCAGGGAATGGGGAGTTGTTGGTCAAAGGCTACAAAGTTTCAGATAGACAAGAGGAATATGTTTTTGAGATTTGTTGAACACAGGATGACTACAGTCAATAATGTATTGTATATTTCAAAATAACTAAGAGAGTAAATTTCACATCTTATCACAAAAAAGTGATAAATAAGTGAGGTGACAGATATGTTAATTAGCTTGAGTTAATCATCCCACATTTTGTGTGTGTGTGTGTGTATATCACATTGTACCCCATAAAGGTATAAAATTGTGATTTATCAATTAAAAATAATATTAAGAAGAGGAAGGAAAATAAGAGGAAGAAGAAGTCAAGTTGATCAAGTGGTGAGGTCAAAGAAGTATTGTGATAATCATGAAAATCCTTAGAAGGTGTGGTAAAGAGTTTGAAATTTGTTCCAAAAGCAGTAAGAAGCCATCATACAGCTTTAAGGTAATATTATCTGATTTTGAAATGATCACTCCAGCTACTGCGTGTAAAGTATACTGCAATGGGACAAGGAGACTTTGGGGGCTGCTGCAGTAGCCCTGGCAAGAGGAGTGATGGCTTAGGCTATGCAGCAGAGGTGAGGAGATGTCATCAGAAGCCCACGAGACTTCTTATGTATAGAATGTGGAGTCTGAGGGAAAGGGAGACACCAAGATGACTCCAAAGCTTTTGGCATGAGCAATTGCTAAAATGAATTGAGATATCATTTATTGAGATGAGGAAGAGTTGAGACAGAGCAGACCTGGAGTGAGGGCAGTGTGTGCAGGAAGAAAATTAATAGACTTCTGGGGGGACATGTTAAGTTTTCTATGTCTATTAGAAATCCAAATGGTTGTAAGTAAATAATAGGATATGAGATGAGTTCAGGGAAGAGAACACAGTTAGGGAAGTAAATGTGTACAGCTTGAATGGGGGTGGGCAGGTAGAGATGGTATTTAGAGTGTGATAGTACTGCTGCCATTTGAGATTGATCCTATGGGGAAAATATGTGGGTGGCCTCCTAAAGGCATTCCACTCATTAGATCATCCCTGTGGGAAAAAGAAATGCATCAAACGGCAAATGTTTAATCATGCTCCTTCCTAAGGGATTTATTAGTGCTAAGCAGAAACTGACTCACTATTGATCAAAAGCACAAAATCATTCTATTTCCTTTGGATTCCCTGATTACCCCTCCTCCCCAGCTTTCATGACTTTTCCTCCTTGGTTTCTTAGATTTTTATGCCATTGAAGTAAAGTGTTATACAAATTCCCAGCTCACTGAAATATTTACATCAGTCATATTATTAATTATACTGCCTAACAGTTACTAGGAATTTCTATGCACTGCATACTCAGCTAAGACTCAGGTTGGCAGGGTGCGGTGGCTTACACCTATAATCCCAGCACTTTGGGAGGCTGAAGTAGGGGGATTTCTTGAGCCCAGGAGTTTGAGATCAGCCTGGACAGCATGGCAAAACCCTGTCTCCTCTAAAAGTACAAAAATTAGCCAGGTTTGGTGGTGCATGCCTGTAGCCCCAGCTACTAAGGCGCCTAAGGCAAGAGGATCACTTGAGCCCAGGAGGCAGAGGTTGCAGTGAGCTGATATCGCATCACTGCACTCCAGCTTGAGAGCAAGACTCTGTCTCAAAAAAAAAAAAAAAAAAAAAAAAAAAGATTCAGGTCTCCAAATTTTCTTGTTTATGATGCCCATAGTAATTTTTTCTTGGTGCCGCAATACCAGAAGAAACACCTAACAGTTTCATATATTAAGTATTTGGATTCAAACAACTTAAGTATTTATGTTCTAACAACTTAGTAGCCATCTGAAAAAATACTTAAAATAAAAATTAAGATTTTATCTAATTATTAACCAAAATTATGTACAAATAGAATGTATATACCTGTCGGGCACAAACTTCCCAAACCTTGGAATTAGATTGGATACACTACCCTTATTTTATGTTCCACATTGATTTCTACACAATGCTTGCTTTTAATTGTAGCAGCTACCAAAAAACTCAGCTCTATGAAGATATGTTATCAAAAGCAATACAGGACAATCCCATGTTAAAACTTTGAATGACATTGAGCTAGCAGTTCACATGGTGTCTGCTAAGTATTGAATATTGCCATGTTTCCCTTAAAATTTCAAACTATCCACAGCACCCCATGAATGTACTTGGGCACCCTGGGGCACCTCAGCACACACTTTGGGAACCAAGGACATATATGATCTTATTTAATCCTACATTTGTTATGTCTATTATCTAAATAAACAAGTATTTGCTCAGTAGCTATTTGATTTGGATAGATTTGGTTAGTCTTAAAGTGCAAAGATAAGTCAGCTTAATCCTATTGTCAATGTAGAAAAAGAAGAGGTATTACTACATATTTATAATACAAGGGGGAAATCATAGTACTATAAAATGGTGATCACTACTGTATTAAGAAATTTCAGAGGAGAAAGTTGTATAAAATCAAGTGTCTGGCCAAATCATAGACTATTCAGAATATAATTCCTTCAGGTAATTTTATTACTCTTTTCATTACAGACTTGAAGGCCAAAAAAACAGATTTTATTGTTGTTCAGAGAACCAAAATGCTTATTATGTGCACTCAGGTGTCCTTTTATCTAGGTGTGTTAGGACATTTTTTCCCTCTTCTTGCCACTTATTTGGATTCTTATTTAGCACTGTGTATTAATCAGTGTTCTCCAGAGAAACCGAACCAGTAAGAGGAGAAAGAGAGAGACAGACACAGAAGGTGAGAGAGATATGAAAGGGGATGTATTATAGAAATTGGCTCATATAATTATGAAGGCTGAGATGCTATATTCAAGCATCTCATTGTATATAGCAAAGGTTTCCATTGCTATATACAAGCTGGAGAACCAGGAAAGCTGGTACCATAGCTCAGTCCAAATCCCAAGGCCTGAGAACTAGAGAAGCCGATGGTATAACTATTAGTCTGCAGCCAAAGGCCTGAGAACCTAGGGTGCCACTGGTACAATTCCAGAAGTCTGAAGACTGAAGAACCTAGAGTTCTGATGTCCAAGGACAGAAGCAGACGGGTGTCCCAGTTACAGAAGAGAGAGCAAACTTGCTTCTCCTCTGCCTTTTTGTTCTATCTGCATCCTCAACCAATTTGATGGTCCCCACTCACATTGGGTGAGGACAGATCTTCCTTTCTCAGTCCACCAATTCAAACGCCAATCTCTTTCAGAAACACCCTCACATACATACTGAGAAATAATGCTTTACCAGCAATGTGGGTATCCCTTAACCCAGTCAAGTTGACACCTGAAATCCACCATCACGAGTTGGATCCTTAGCATTTTTATTAAGAGTATTTTGCCACCAGTCTGTCACTGAAGCATCTTTGAAACATTAATTTCAAGATAACTTTATAAACATATTATTTAATTTATATTCTTTAATTTTAGGGAGGGTTTAAATAAAATTTAAGGTCTTTCTTTTTTATTTAAATTATAAACTACTCCAATGAAGACTCACTTGCTTATAAAATGAATAGAGCAAATGTGTCTTCTGAACAACTTTCATTACCCATGGGCCTCCCTGGACTATTCAGTAATTTGTTAACCATTGTTGGGACAGCCTTAGAGCTGGTTAAGTAATCTATTTTTCCTACAACCACAATATCTGATCAGTTATTTTCTTCTCAGAATCTGAAGTTATAAAACTGATTCTCTCTTCTGCCTGAGCTGTGTCTTTGATGTTATGGTATTTAACATAAGTGAACCATTATCTTTGGTAAACTTCATCATTATGCTTTTCTGTTCACACATGGGTATCATCGGTCATATTAAATTTTTCCACCTCGTAGCAGTATCAAAGGTAGATTTATGGAGTGCTAAAGGAAATTTAAATTTCTGAGCCCCTCACTTTCACAGACCCTGTGTGGGTGCTGGGGGATGCTGGGAGAAGAGTGTTCCAATTGGGAAGAGGAAACCAGGTTACCACCAAGAAGCATTTCTAGGCAAGCATTTCTGGGAAATTGCCTAAAGAGATCTCAGAAGACAGGGACCTGAATCTTCAAGGCTTCAGTAATTTATTGTGTTTCTTTAAATTCCAAATAAATATTCTCTTTAATACCTAGATTTCAATTTGTAATTTGGTATCCTTTTCCTTAAAGGGATCCTCAAGAGCAATCTACGTTTTCATATTTACAAAGCCTGGATCTGCCCTGACCAGCACTGTAATCAGGATGATTCTATTTCTAAATTCAAACATATTATTCTTTCAGATAATTTTTGAAGCCATTCGAGGAGTATCAATAAGAAGTGATATTGCCATTGATGATGTTAAATTTCAGGCAGGACCCTGTGGAGGTAATATTTTTTCCCAATCATATAAGCTTGACTGAAAATGGACTTTGCGATACTGTCTCAAACTACAAGAATACAAATTAAATATTTTTCTATAATAAAAATACTGTTATTGTATATTTGTCTTTCCTGACAGAAATGGAAGATACAACTCAACAATCATCAGGATATTCTGAGGACTTAAATGAAATTGAGTATTAAGAAATGATCTGCATTGGATTTACTAGACGAAAACCATACCTCTCTTCAATCAAAATGAAAACAAAGCAAATGAATACTGGACAGTCTTAACAATTTTATAAGTTATAAAATGACTTTAGAGCACCCTCCTTCATTACTTTTGCAAAAACATACTGACTCAGGGCTCTTTTTTTCTTTTTGCATATGACAACTGTTACTAGAAATACAGGCTACTGGTTTTGCATAGATCATTCATCTTAATTTTGGTACCAGTTAAAAATACAAATGTACTATATTGTAGTCATTTTAAAGTACACAAAGGGCACAATCAAAATGAGATGCACTCATTTAAATCTGCATTCAGTGAATGTATTGGGAGAAAAATAGGTCTTGCAGGTTTCCTTTTGAATTTTAAGTATCATAAATATTTTTAAAGTAAATAATACGGGGTGTCAGTAATATCTGCAGAATGAATGCAGTCTTTCATGCTAATGAGTTAGTCTGGAAAAATAAAGTCTTATTTTCTATGTTTTATTCATAGAAATGGAGTATTAATTTTTAATATTTTCACCATATGTGATAACAAAGGATCTTTCATGAATGTCCAAGGGTAAGTCAGTATTAATTAATGCTGTATTACAAGGCAATGCTACCTTCTTTATTCCCCCTTTGAACTACCTTTGAAGTCACTATGAGCACATGGATAGAAATTTAACTTTTTTTTGTAAAGCAAGCTTAAAATGTTTATGTATACATACCCAGCAACTTTTATAAATGTGTTAAACAATTTTACTGATTTTTATAATAAATATTTTGGTAAGATTTTGAATAATATGAATTCAGGCAGATATACTAAACTGCTTTTATTTACTTGTTTAGAAAATTGTATATATATGTTTGTGTATCCTAACAGCTGCTATGAAATTATAAAATTACCTAATAAAAATAATTTGAAAATCTTTTCACTAGCAATTAACTCATTTCTACATTATTTGTCTTTATCAGAGTATCTTCACTACAACACTGCAGATTCTAATTTGAATCTCTACTCTGCCACAACAAAATGCTTAAGCCTTTTTATTAGTGACATAAGCACTCTATACATTAATATAATAATTATTACTTTTTTCTCTTAATTTTCCCTTACCTCTTTTTACTCCACTGATACAATAATTTTTATAGCATGCTTTATTTCACATAGACAATCTCAATTTTTTATCTCATTAGAATGTAAACTCTATATCCTAACATGGAGTACAACATTTCTTGCTGTTTTGTTTACTTTTGTATTCTCAGTACCCAGAAAGTGTCTGGTATAGTAAGTGTGCAACAAAAAAATACTTGAATGAATGAATGTCTTTCCCACTTCTGTGAGATGGAAATATTTTAGCTCTTTCACAGATAAGGAAACAGAGTCTCAAAAGAGTGAAGAAATTACTCAAGATTTTGTATCTGTTAAATGGAGGAATTTAAGAGTCTGGTCTGATTCAAAGGCTCATACCTCTTTACTACTTTAGCCAAAAGTCCATTGTTTTCTTGAAGTTGGGAGGGTTTCCCACTCAAGAGTGTCCAAACTCATAAATTAATCTATTAAGAGCATTATCTTTCTGAATGCAAAGAAAACAAAAAATTCTCAGCTACACAAAATAAATATTCTGAAGTTTATGGAGAAAATAAAATTTTATAATAAAACAAAATTTTGCAAATGAAATTCTTTCTATTTATGATTAACTGCCTATAGTGGAGGAAATCCCTAAACAGAGCTGAAACATTGGGGAAGGAAGATTTCAAGATGTTGACCTATTCAGCTGCGTACTAGGCTAGGCATCATAATTCCTCCAAAGCATTATTCCTGTCCAGAGCTATCAATAAGAAGTGATATTGCCATTGATGATGTTAAATTTCAGGCAGGACCCTGTGGAGGTAATATTTTTTCCCAATCATATAAGCTTGACTGAAAACGGACTTTGCGATACTGTCTCAAACTACAAGAATACAAATTAAATATTTTTCTATAATAAAAATACTGTTATTTGCTGAATTACTGTATTTGCTGAATTAAGGAGTGAAGATTGCATATTCAGGACTCAACACAGTATCTGGTACCTAGTAAGGGGGTTATAATATGTGGTGAGTGAATAAAGTCATTCACCAGCCTCCTTGCTGGTAACATAAATCCATAGTAATAATCACAGCTAACATTTGTTGAATACTATTTTCAGACATTGTTCAAAGAGTCTGTTTCGCTGACACAGCTGTGTTTTTATCCTTACAAGGTCACCTCCTGAACGTGCCAGCTCTCCTACCAGCTCCATCCTCAATGTCAATTTACACTCTAGGCAAAGATTCCAAGTTTCCCTCTTTCAACAGGATTTATTGGCTACCAAAATTGCCTCTAAGGTTGCTAAACTGGGAATCCTACTAGGGATGCCAACTTTGGAAATTGGGGGAAAAGAGGGTGGGGGTTGGGGTACTGGATATTGGCTTAGAGCAGAAAAGGAGGTAATTCTTACCAGTTGTTGCTAAGAAACAACCTGAAGTTAATCTAAGAGAAAAAAAGGAGGTGGAAAGTGAGCTGCTTAACTCCCCTTCCCTCATTTATGCTTCTTCGACAAAATTCGATTGTTTGATGCTTCTTTTCCCTTTCCAAGTTGCCTTTGGCATTCATTTCAACTATATTTCACCTTCATTTTAACTATATTTCACATGGATGAATACATGGAAGGACAGTAAGCACATTATAGGTTTCTCAGGTTTAGAAATGCCCAGGGAGAAGAAATGCTAGCTAACAGATACTGCTTAACAATTTAAGCCCAGTGTTGGCTTTTATTGCAATTCTCAGCAGCACCTAAACACACAAGTGCTTCAAATAGAAATTGCTTTCTCACACAGATTGCCTTCTCTCCTATAATTTCCTGTCTAGGATGGAGATTATTTGTGTATAGAAGGGAGTGAAGGACTGAATACTGAGAAAATAGTGCCTGTGATGCAAGGTCTGGTTTAATATGGAGGAAGAAAAGGTTCAACAAAGATTTCTTGAGAAATCTATGCTCCAGGCATTGTACGGAGCATGGAGGTTACAAAAATGCTCACAGATTAGTGAGGGAGAGAGAGAGAAACCAGTCAACACAGTTCGGAGTGCTAAGTACAAAACGGCCATATGCCCAGGGTGCTATGGGAGGGCCTCTTGGGGGAATCTGACCTGGCAGGGCAGAGGCAGCCTCCTGGCTGCAGTCTAGGGAGAGCAGTGGAAAGCAGCAGTGCCCACTCGCACAGTGTCCCTGATGCCTTCATGTCTTCTCTCACACTCTGAGGGCTAAGACCTGGGCTCTGTGACTTCTTGGTCTCATGCCAGGGACTTGTGTGATTTAACCAGAACTGGAAAAAAAAAAAAAAAAAACCCTGAGTTTTTGTAACTAATAATTCTAATGACACTGCATTTTCAACATATGGATTACTATAAAGAGGTAATATGGCACAGTGATTAAGGACCCTGTTTCTGGATTTATGCTGTCTGTTTAAATCTCGGGTCTGCCACTTACAAGCTACGTGACTGAAGGCAAGTCATTTACACCCTCTCTGACTCCTTTTCTTAGTCTGCAAAATGGGGCAAAGACTTATTCCTGCTTCTTAGGTTGCTGCAAAGATTAAACGAGAATAATATGAGCACCTACAACAGTCTCAGACACACAGAAGCCATTCCAGTTTATAAGGTTTCAGTGAAATTTCAGATAAATATGGTGATTTTTATGTATTCTTTTTCTACGAAGGAATTGTGAGTTTACAGCGCCATCTTAAGGATAAAGCAAACATATAATCTTGTCATTTTATCATCTTTTTCTTTATTACTCACAGTACAACTCATTTTGACTAGTAGCTGGGTAATGCTTTCCCCTGTGTTCTTCCCACTCCACTTGCCCCTAGCAAAATCCCACTTGCCCCTAGCAAAATCCCACTTGCCCCTAGCAAAATGTACCATTGCTAAAGCTAACTTCTTGTTTATCTCCTCAAGAATGCTCACTTACTCAGTTTTGTACCCCCACTGCCTAGCATACTCAACAAAGATTTCTGGATTAAATAAACAAATGCTTAGTAAAAGCATTTCGTTTAGTACAAACATGCATGT
Organism: Homo sapiens; assembly: GCF_000001405.40. Classification (NCBI taxonomy): domain Eukaryota; kingdom Metazoa; phylum Chordata; class Mammalia; order Primates; family Hominidae; genus Homo; species Homo sapiens. The sequence continues at coordinate 70,230,138 of NC_000009.12, forward strand.
AGGTTTCAAAAATCACAAGGAATATAATGGTGCTCTTTGATCCATCACAATTTCACTGGTCATTTTAATATATTTGTCTGGACATTACTCTCCCCAGATAATCCCAGCCTCTAACATTTCATAAACGAACCAGGCTGCACCGTGAATACTTGTATATTTAAAAATACACGGTGAATTCGAACCCAAATCAAAAACCCCACTGACTATTAAAAAAATATGGCAAGAAAGGGTGGGGGGAAATGGAAAACAGATACATAAAGGCAGGTGAGTGAAACATCACAATGTATACCTATTGATATCATATAAACATATTGCTTATTCAAAAAATTAACAAACATGGCAAGATTTATATGCTTAAGAACATGAAGGTATTCTATGTGGCAAAATAAATTATCTAAACGCTGCCCCATTCCCCTATATACATGTGTACACATACACACACAAGACAAAACATTTAAAAATTCTTGGTGAAATTTGACGACCTTTATTGTAAATGAATACCTAAGCTGGTAGGAAAGTAAGGGAAATGTCCAGACACCCTCTGCAACCCCTCCTCTGCTTTGAAAAAGAGAACTGAAAAGCAGAGATATAAGTACATAAGCTGACGCTATAGCTACCTGGAGGGAGGTTGTCAGTCTTGGTAACCTGGGGGCTTAGGCTCTTAAGCCATAAAGGGATCAGAAAAGAGCCTGCCAAGGGTGGGGAGGATAGAACAGAGACTTCACAAATAAGCCCAAGACTCTTGAAGAGCTACATTTTTACTAAAAGGGTAAATCCAGACAATAAAATAAAAATAGAAATCTTCCTTCAGCACAGGGAGATTGGTAGGATGCCAACTCTTCTCCATTTAGACTGTGGTATGGGGGATAGGAGTTCTTCCTTGAGAATTCCTAGTTATATTACACAAATTTAGAGTGCAAAATTACCCTGACCTCATGATCTGGGAATCCACAAGCTCAAAGTTTAATGTGAGAATATGTCCCTGGCCAGTGATATTCTTGGGGCACCTGGTTGAAATTAATATAAAATTCTTTAGGGGACTGTGCACTCAACCTAGGCTGTGCAGAGTTCACACATATAAAACTGCACTAAAGAAAGCTCACAATCCAAAACTACAGAACGTTTTGTGAAAGAATCCACTAACAGCAAAAATCAGCTGCTAAGAAACAGAAGAATTATATACCCAAGACTTCATAAGATGAAAATTGTTTGTAGACACTTTAAGTATTTTTTAAAATGATTAGAAAAAGATATAACGAAGCCAATACTCTATGAAAATGCAGATAGTTTTTGTTTTCATTTTTGTTTTTGTTTTGAGAGAGAGTCTTACTATGTTGCCCAGACTGGAGTACAGTGGCTATCCATAGGCACAATCATGGTGCACTATAGCCTGAAACTCTGGGCTTAAGTGATCCTCCTACCTCAGCCTTTCAAATAGCGGGGACTATAGGCACATGGCACTGCACCCAGCAAAAAGCAGGTAGATTTTTTAAAAACCGAATAGAACTTCTGCATATAATAAATAATAGTCATAAAATTAAAAATTCAGTGTGAAAGACAAACAAGCAATTAGCCATATCTAATAGAAAGAGAATGATGAACTGGAATACAAGGTAATAAAGCTGAGTACAGCACAGAGAGATAAAGAAATGGAAAACATGAAAAAGAATAGGAATGAGAGTCAATGTATTGAAATCAGTGACAGAAAAAGAGAATGGGGGAGAGGTAATGCTCAAAGGGAGAATATTTGAGACTGTTTCAGAATTGATTATAGACAAAAATGTTCAAAATCATGAAGTTCAGTAAATTCTGAGCAATATAAATAAAAATAAATCTATACCTAAATACTTTATGAAATTATGGAACACCAAAATCAAAGAGAAAAATGCAACCAAAATGAAAAGACAGATGAACTACAAATGAATGAAAATTAAACAAAATCTAACCCGTCAATAATGAAGCAAGTGAGAAGACAGGGAAATAAAAACCTTAAAATGTTAAGAGGAAATAATATTCAACCAGAATGAGGACGAAATAATGTCATTTTCAGATAAGAAAGAAATCATGGTATTTTTGCTGGCAAGATGGCCAAATAGGAACAGCTCCGGTCTGCAGCTCCCACTGAGATCGATGCAGAAGGTGGGTGATTTCTGCATTTCCAGCTTAGGTACCTGAGTCATCTCATTGGGACTGGTTGGACAGTGGGTGCAGTCAAAGTTGGGGGAACAGAAGCAGGGTGGGGCATCACCTCACCGGGAAAGTGCAAGGGGTTGGGGAACTGCCTCTCCTAGCCAAGTAAAGCCATTAGGGACTGTACCATGCACTCAGGCCCAGATACTGCACTTTTCCCACGTTCTTCACAACCTGCAGACCAGGAGATTCCCTCCAGTACCTACACCCTGTACCACCAGGGCCCTGAGTTTACAGCACAAAACTGGGTGGCCATTTGGCAGACACCAAGCTAGTCACAGGAGTTTTTTTTTCATACCCCAGTGGTGCCTGGAATGCCAGTGAGACACTCCCCTGGAAAGGGGACTGAAGCCAGGGAGCCAAGTGGTCTGGCTCAGCAGGTCCCACCCCCACGGAGCCCAGCAAGCTGAGATCCAATAGCTTGAAATTCTTGCACCACCACAGCAGTATAATCTCGACCTGGGATGCTCCAGCTTGGTGGGAGGAGGGGCGACTGCCATTGCTGAGGCTTAGGTAGGCAGTTATACCTTCACAGTGTAAAGAAAGCCGCCCAGAAGTTTGAACTGGGCAGAGCCCACTGCAGCTCAGCAAGGCCACTGCAGCCAGACTGCCTCTCTAGATTCCCTCCTCTCTGAGCAGGGCATCTCTGAAAAAAAAGGCAACAGCCCCAGTCAGGGACTTATAGATAAAACCCCCATCTCCCTGGGACAGAGCACATTGGGGAAGGGGTGGTTGTGGGTGCAACTTCAGCAGACTTAAATGTCCCTACCTGTAAGCTCTGAAGAGAGCAGCAGATCTCCCAGGATAGCATTCGAGCTCTGATAAGGGACAGCCTGCCTCCTCAAGTGGGTCCATGACCCCCATGTACCTGACTGGGAGACACCTCCCAGTAGGGGCCAACAGACACCTCAAACAGGAAAGCTCTGGCTGGCATCTGGCAGGTGCCCCTCTGGGACGAAGCTTCCCGAGGAAGGAACAGGCAGCAATATTTGCTGTTCCGCAGCCTCCGCTAGTGATACCCAAGCAGACAGGTTCTGGAGCAGAACTCCAGCAAACTCCAGCATACCTGCATCAGAGGGGACTGACTGTTAGAAGCAAAATTAACAAACAGAAAGGAACAGTATCAACATCAATAAAAAGGACGTCCACTCAGAGACCCCAGCCAAAGGTCACCAACTTCAAAGACCAAAGGTAGATAAATCTATGAAGATGGGGAGAAACCAACACAAAAAGGCTGAAAATTCCAAAACCCAGATCACATCTTCTCCTCCAAAGGATCCCAAATCCTCGCCAGCAAGGGAACAAACATGTATGGAGAACGAGTTTGACAAGTTGACAGAAGTAGGCTTCAGAAGGTGGGCAATAACAAACTCCCCCGAGCTAAAGGAGGATGTTCTAACCCAATGCAAGGAAGCTAAGAATCTTGAAAAAAGGTTAGACAAATTGCTAACTAGAATAACCAGTTTAGAGAAAAGCATGAATGACCTGATGGAGCTGAAAAACACAGGACGAGAACTTTGTGAAGCATACACAAGTATCAATAGCCGAATCGATCAAGTGGAAGAAAGGATATCAGAGATTGAAGATCAACTCAATGAAATAAAGCAAGACGACAAGATTAGAGAAAAAAGAGTGAAAAGAAACAAACAAAGTCCCAAGAAATATGGGACTCTGTGAAAAGACCAAATCTGTCCAAGATGGCTGAATAGGAACAGCTCCAGTCTACAGCTCCCAGCGTGAGCGATGCAGAATACGGGTGATTTCTGCATTTCCAACTGACATACCGGGTTCATCTCACTGGGGAGTGTCAGACAGTGGGTGCAGGACAGTGGGTGCAGTGCACTGAGGGTGAGCCAAAGCAGGGCAAGACATCGCCTCACCCGGAAAGCACAAGGGGTCAGGGAATTCCCTTTCATAGCCAAGCAAAACTGTGACAGACAGCACCTAGAAAATCGGGACACTCCCACCCTGATACTGTGCTTTTCCAATGGTCTTAGCAAACGGCACACCAGGAGGTTATATCCCACGCCTGGCTCGGAGGGTCCCATGCCCACGGAGCCTCGCTCACTGCTAGGACAGCAGTCTGAGATCCAACTGCAAGGCGGCAGTGAGGCAGGGGGAGGGGTGCCTGCCATTGCTGAGGCTTGAGTAGGTAAACAAAGCAGCCAGGAAGCTCGAACTGGGTGGAGCCCACCATAGCTCAAGGAGGCCTGCCTGCCCCTGTAGACTCCACCTCTGGGGGCAGGGCATAGCTGAACAAAAGGCAGCAGAAACCTCTGCAGACTTAAATGTCCCTGTCTGACAGCTTTGAAGAGAGTAGTGGTTCCCCCAGCACAGAGTCTGAGATCTGAGAACGGAGAGACTGCCTCCTCAAGTGGGTCCCTGACCCCCGAGAAGCCTATCTGGGAGGCACCCCCAAATAGGAGCAGACTGACACCTCACACAGCCGGGTACCCCTCTGAGACGAAACCTCCAGAGGAATGATCAGACAGCAACATTTGCTGTTCAGCAATATTCGCAGTTCTGCAGCCTCCACTGCTGATACCCAGGCAAACAGAGTCTGGAGTGGACCTCCAGCAAACTCCAACAGACCTGCAGCTGAGGGTCCTGACTGTTTAAAAGGAAAACTAACAAACAGAAAGGACATCTATACCAAAACCCCATCTGTACATCACTATCATCAAAGACCAAAGGTAGAGAAAAACCACAAAGATGGGGAAAAAACAGAACAGAAAAACTGAAAATTCTAAAAATCAGAGCACCTCTCCTCCTCCAAAGGAAGGCAGCTCCTCATCAGCAACAGAACAAAGCTGGATGGAGAATGACTTTGACCAGTTGAGAGAAGAAGGCTTCAGATGATCAAAATTCTCCGAGCTAAAGGAGGAAGTTCGAACCCATCACAAATAAGTTAAAAACCTTGAAAAAAGATTAGATGAATGGCTAACTAGAATAACCAATGCAAAGAAGTCCTTAATGGATCTGATGGAGCTGAAAACCATGGCACGAGAACTACGTGACGAATGCACAAGCTTCAGTAGCCAATTCGATCAAATGGAAGAAAGCGTTTCCATGATGGAAGGTCAAATGAATGAAATGAAGTGAGAAAAGAAGTTTAGAGAAAAAAGAGTAAAAATAAACAAACAAAGCCTCCAAGAAATATGGGACTATGTGAAAACACCGAATCTATGTCTGCTTGGTGTACCTGAAAGTGACAGGGAGAATGGAACCAAGTTGGAAAACACTCTGCAGGATGTTATCCAGGAGAACTTCCCCAACCTAGCAAGGCAGGCCAACGTTCAAATTCAGGAAATACAGAGAATGCCACAAAGATACTCCTTGAGAAGAGCAACTCCAAGACACATAATTGTCAGATTCACCAAAGTGGAAATGAAGGAACAAATGTTAAGGGCAGCCAGAGAGAAAGGTCAGGTTACCCACAAAGGGAAGCCCATCAGACTAACAGCTGATCTCTTGGCAGAAACTCTACTAGCCAGAAGAGAGTCGGGGCCAATATTCAACATTCTTAAAGAAAAGAATTTTCAACCCAGAATTTCATATCCAGCCAAACTAAGCTTCACAAGTGAAGGAGAAATAAAATCCTTTACGGACAAGCAAATGCCGACAGATTTTGTCACCACCAGGCCTGTCCTACAAGAGCTCCTGAAGGAAGCACTAAACATGGAAAGGAACAACCAGTACCAGCCACTGCAAAAACATGCCAAATTGTAAAGACCATCAAGGCTAGGAAGAAACTGCATCAACTAACGAGCAAAATAACCAGCTAACATCATAATGACAGGATCAAATTCACACATAACAATATTAACCTTAAATGTAAATGGGCTAAATGCTCCAATTAAAAGACACAGACTGGCAAATTGGATAAAGAATCAAGACCCATCAGTGTGCTGTATTCAGGAAATCCATCACAAGTACCGAGACACACATAGGCTCAAAATAAAGGGATGGAGGAAGATCTACCAAGCAAATGGAAAACAAAAAAAGGCAGGGGTTGCAATCCTAGTCTCTGATAAAGCAGACTTTAAACCAACAAAGATCAAAAGAGACAAAGAAGGCCATTACATAATGGTAAAGGGATCAATTCAACAAGAAGAGCTCACTATCCTCAATATATATGCACCCAATACAGGAGCATCCAGATGCATAAAGCAAGTCCTTAGAGACCTACAAAGAGACTTAGACTCCCACACAATAATAATGGGAGACTTTAACAACCCACTGTCAACATTAGACAGATCAACAAGACAGAAAGTTAACAAGGATATCCAGGAATTCAATTCAGCTCTGTACCAAATGGACCTAATAGACATCTACAGAACTCTCCACCCCAAATCAACAGAATATACATTCTTCTCAGCATCACATCGCACCTATTCCAAAATTGACCACATAGTTGGAAGTAAAGCACTCCTCAGCAAATGTAAAAGAACAGAAATTATAACAAACTGTCTCTCAGACCACAGTGCAATCAAACTAGAACTCAGGATTAAGAAACTCACTCAAAACCGCTCAACTACATGGAAACTAAACAACCTGTTCCTGAATGACTACTGGGTACATAACGAAATGAAGGCAGAAACTAAGATGTTCTTTGAAATCAACGAGAACAAAGACACAACATACCAGAATCTCTGGGACACATTTAAAGAAGTGTGTAGAGGGAAATTTATAGCACTAAATGCCCACAAGAGAAAGCAAGAAAGATCTGAAATTGACACCCTAACATCACAATTAAAAGAACTAGAAAAGCAAGAGCAAACACATTCAAAAGCTAGCAGAAGGCAAGAAACAACTAAGATCAGAGCGGAACTGAAGGAGATAGAGACACGAAAAACCCTTCAAAAAATCAATGAATCCAGGAGCTGGTTTTTTGAAAAGATCAACAAAATTGATAGATTGCTAGCAAGACTAATAAAGAAGAAAAGACAGAAGAATCAAATAGATGCAATAAAAAATGAAAAAGGGGATATCACCAATGATCCCACAGAAATACAAACTACCATCAGAGAATACTATAAACACCTCTATGCAAATAAACTAGAAAATCTAGAAGAAATGTATAAATTCCTCGACACATACATCCTCCCAAGACTAAACCAGGAAGAAGCTCAATCTCTGAATAGACCAATAACAGGCTCTGAAATTCAGGCAATAATTAATAGCTTACCAACCAAAAAAAGTACAGGACCAGATGGATGCACAGCTGAATTCTACCAGAGGTACAAGGAGGAGCTGGTACCATTCCTTCTGAACCTATTCCAATGAACAGAAAAAGAGGGAATCCTTCCTAACTCATTTTAGGAGGCCAGCATCATCCTGATACCAAAGCCTGGCAGAGACACAACAAAAAAAGAGAATTTTAGACCAATATCCCTGATGAACATCGATGTAAAAATCCTCAATAAAATACTGGCAAACCGAATCCAGAAGCACATCAAAAAGCTTATCCACCATGATCAAGTGGTCTTCATCCCTGGGATGCAAAGCTGGTTCAATATATGCAAATCAATAAACGTAATCCAGTATATAAACAGAACCAAAGACAAAAACCACATGATTATCTCAACAGATAAGGAAAGGCCTTTGAAAAATTCAACAGCCCTTCATGCTAAAAACTCTCAATAAATTAGGTATTGATGGGACGTATCTCAAAATAATAAGAGCTATTTATGACACACCCACAGCCAATATCATACTGAATGGGCAAAAACTGGGAGCATTCCCTTTGAAAACTGGCACAAGACAGGGATGCCCTCTCTCACCACTACTATTCAGCATAGTGTTGGAAGTTCTGGCCAGGGCAATCAGGCAAGAGAAAGAAATAAAGGGTATTAAATTAGGAAAAGAGGAAGTCAAATTGTCCCTGTTTGCAGATGACATGATTGTGTATCTATAAAACCCCATTGTCTCAGTCCAAAATCTCCTTAGGCTGATAAGCAACTTCAGCAAAGTCTCAGGATACAAAACCAATGTCCAAAAATCACAAGCATTCTTATACACCAATAACAGACAAACAGAGAGCCAAATCATGAGTGAACTCCCATTCACAATTGCTTCAAAGAGAATAAAATACCTAGGAATCCAACTTACAAGGGATGTGAAGGACCTCTTCAAGGAGAACTACAAACCACTGCTCAATGAAATAAAAGAGGACACAAACAATTGGAAAAACATTCCATGCTCATGGATAGGAAGAATCAATATTGTGGAAATGGTCATACTGCCCAAGGTAATTTATACATTCAATGCTATCCCCATCAAGCTACCAATTACTTTCTTCACAGAATTGGAAAAAACTATGTTAAATTTCATATGGAACCAAAAAAGAGCCCACATTGCCAAGACAATCCTAAGCCAAAAGAACAAAGCTGGAGGCATCACGCTACCTGACTCCAAACTATACTACAAGGCTACATTTACCAAAACAGCATGGTACTGGTACCAAAACAGATATGGACCAATGGAACAGAACAGAGCCCTCAGAAATAACACCACACATCTACAACTCTCTGATCTTTGACAAACCTGACAAAAAAAAGAAATGGGGAAAGAATTCCCTATTTAACAAATGGTGTCGGGAAAACTGGCTAGCCATATGTAGAAAGCTGAAACTGGATTCCTTCCTTATACCTTATACAAAAATTAATTCAACAGAGATTAAAGACTTAACTGTTAGACCTAAAACCATAAAAGCCCTAGAAGAAAACCTAGGCAATACCATTCAGGACATAGGCATGGGCAAGGACTTCATGTCGAAAACACCAAAAGCAATGGCAACAAAAGCCAAAATTGACAAATGGGATCTAATTAAACTAAAGAGCTTCTGCACAGCAAAAGAAACTACCATCAGAGTGAACAGGAACCTGCAGAATGGGAGAAAATTTTTGCAATCTACTCATCTGACAAAGGGCTAATATCCAGAATCTACAAAGAACTTAAACAAATTTACAAGAAAAAAAACTCCATCAAAAAGTGGGCAAAAGATATGAACGGACACTTCCCAAAAGAAGACATTTATGCAGCCAACAAACATATGAAAAAAAAAGCTCATCATCAGTGGTCATTAGAGAAATGCAAATCAAAACCATGAGAAGATACCATCTCACACCAGTCCGAATGGCGATCATTAAAAAGTCAGGAAGCAACAGATGCTGGAGAGGATGTGGAGAAATAGAAATGTTTTTACACTGTTGGTGGGAGTGTAAATTAGTTCAACCATTGTGGAAGACAGTGTGGCGATTCCTCAAGGATCTAGAACTGGAAATATTATTTGACCCAGCCATCGTATTATTGAGTATACACCCAAAGGATTATAAATCATTCTACTATAAAGACCATGCACACGTATGTTTATTGTGGCACTGTTCACAATAGCAAATACTTGGAACCAACCCAAATGCCCATCAATAATAGACTGGATAAAGAAAATGTGGCACATATACACCATGGAATACTATGCAGCCATAAAAAAGAATGAGTTCATGTCCTTTGGAGGGACATGGATGACACTGGAAACCATCATTCTCAGCAAACTAACACAAGAACCGAAAACCAAATGCTGCATGTTCTCACTCATAAGTGAGAGTTGATCAATGAGAACACATGGACACAGGGAAGGGAACATCACACACCGGGGCCTGTTTGAGGGTGGGGGCCTAGGGGAGGGACAGCATTAGGAGAAATACCTAATGTGGATGACAGGTTGATGAGTACAGCAAATGACCATGGCATGTGTATACCTATGTAACAAACCTGCACGTTCTCCACATGCACTAAAGAACTTGAAGTATAATTAAAAAAAAGAAGAAATCATGTATTTTATAGATATGCATATAAATGTATGACAATATGTGTATATATATACGTATCATGGTAAAGTACTATGTATCAAAATTTGTGAGGTGTGGCTAAATTAATACAGAGAGAATTTTATTACCTTAAAAAATTAACTTAAGAGGAGGGCGTTCCAAGATGGCCAAACAGGAACAGCTCTAGTCTGCAGCTCCCAGCATGATCAATGCAGAAGACGGGTGATTTCTGCATTTCCAACTGAGGTACCTGGTTCATCTCATTGGGACTGGTTGGACAGTGGGTGCAGCCCACAGAGGGCAAGCTGAAGCAGGGCGAGGCATTGCCTCACTCAGGAATTGCAAGGGGTTGGGGGATTTCCCTTTCCTAGCCAAGGGAAGCCGTGACAGACCACCTGGAAAAACGGGACACTGCCACCCAAATACTGCGCTTTTCCCAAGGTCTTAGCAACCGGCAGACAAGGAGATTCTCTCCTGTGCCTGGCTTAGCAGGTCCCACGCCCACAGAGCCTTGCTCACTGCTAGCGCAGCAGTCTGAGATCGAACTGCGAAGGGGGCAGCCTGGCTGGGGGAGGGGCATCCGCCATTGCTGAGGCTTGAGTAGGTATACAAAGTGGCTGGGAAGTTCGAACTGGGAGGAACCCACCGCAGCTCAACAAGGCCTACTGCTCTAGACTCCACCTTTGTGGGCAGGGCATAGCTGAATAAAAGGCAGCAGACAACTTCTGCAACTTAAACGTCCCTGTCTGACAGCTCTGAAGAGAACAGTGGTTCTCCCAGCACAGTGTCTGAGCTCTGAGAACAGACAGACAGCTTCCTCAAGTGGGTCCCTGACCCCCATGTAGCCTAACTGGGAAACACCTCCAGTAGGGTCCAACAGACACCTCATATAGGCAGTTGCCCCTCTGAGACAAAGCTTCCAAAGGAAGGATCAGATAGCAGTATTTGCTGTTCTGCAATACTTGCTGTTCTGCAGCCTCCACTGGTGATACCCAGGCAAACAGAGTCAGGAATGGACCTTCAGCAAACTCCAACAGACCTGCAGCTGAGGGACCTGACTGTTAGAAGAAAACTAACAAACAGAAAGGAATAGCATCAACATCAACAAAAAGGTAATCTACACCAAAATCCTATCTGTAGGTCACCAACATAAAAGACCAAAGGTAGCTAAAATCATAAAGATGGGGAGAAACCAGAGCAGAAAAGCTGAAAATTCTAAAAATCAGAGCACCTCTTCTCCTCCAAAGGATCATAGCTCCTCACCAGCAACGGAACAAAGCTGGATGGAGAATGACTTTGATGAGCTGACAGAAGTAGGCTTCAGAAGGTCGGTAATAACAAATTTCTTGGAGCTAAAGGAGGATGTTCGAACCCATCGCAAAGACGTTAAAAACCTTGAAAAGAGATTAGACGAATGGCTAACTAGAATAAACAGTGTAGAGAAGATCTTAAATGATCCGATGGAGATGAAAACCATGGCACGGGAACTTCACGACACATGCAGAAGCTTCAAGAGCTGATTCAATCAAGTGGAAGAAAGGGTATCAGTGATTGAAGATCAAATTAATGAAATAAAGCAAGAAGACAAGGTTAGAGAAAAAAGAGTAAAAGAAACAAACAAAGCCATCAAGAAATATGGAACTCTGTGAAAAGACCAAATCTACATTTGATTGGTGTACCTGAAAGTGGTGGGGAGAATGGAACCAAGCTGGAAAACGGTCTTCAGGATATTATCCAGGAGAACTTCCCCAACCTAGCAAGACAGGCCAACATTCAAATTCAGGAAATACAGAGAACACCACAAAGATACTCCTCAACAAGAGCAACTCCAAGACACATAACTGTCAGATTCTCCAAGGTTGAAATGAAGGAAAAAGTGTTAAGGGCAGCCAGAGGGAAAGGTCGAGTTACCCAAAAAGGGAAGCCCATCAAACAAACAGCGGATCTCTCGGCAGAAAACCTACAAGCTAGAAGAGAGTGGGGGCCAGTATTCAACATTCTTAAAGAATTTTCAACCCAGAATTTCATTTCCAGCCAAACTAAGCTTCGTAAGTGAAGGAGAAATAGAATCCTTTAAAGACAAGCAAATGCTCAGAGATTTTGTCACCACCAGGCCTGCCCTACAAGAGCTCCTGAAGGAAGCACTAAACATGGAAAGAAACTGGTACAAGCCACTGAAAAACCATGCCAAATTGTAAAGACCATTGATGCTATGACGAAACTGCATCAATTAACGGGCATAATAACCAGTAAACATCATAATGACAGGATCAAATTCACACGTAACAATATTAACCTTAAATGTAAATAGGCTGAATGCGCCAATTGAAAGACACAGACTGGCAAATTGGATAAACAGTCAAGACATCAGTGTGCTGTATTCAGGAGACCCATCTCACATGCAAAGACGCACATAGGTTCAAAATAAAGGGAGGGAGGAAAATTTACCAAGCAAATCGAAAGCAAAGAAAACCAGGGGTTGCAATCCTAGTCTCTGATAAAACAGACTTTAAACCAACAAAGATCAAAAGAAACAAAGAGCCCATTACATAATGGTAAAGGGATCAATTCAACAAGAAGAGCTAACTATCCTAAACATATATGCACCCAATACAGGAACAACCAGATTCATAAAGCAAGTCCTTAGAGACCTACGAAGAGACTTAGACTCTCACACAATAATAATGGGAGAATTTAACACCCCATTGTCAGTATTAGACAGATCGATGAGACAGAAGGTTAAAAAAGGGTATCCAGGACTTGAACCCAGCTCTGCAACAAGCAGACCTAATAGATACCTACAGAACCCTCCACCCCAAATCAACAGAATATACATTCTTCTCAGCACCACATCGCACTTATTCTAAAACTGACCACATAATTGCAAATACAGCACTCCTCAGCAAATGTAAAACAACAGAAATCACAACAAACTGTCTCTCAGACCACAGTGCAATGAAATTAGAACTTAGGGTTAAGAAACTCACTCAAAACTGCATAACTACATGGAAACTGAACAACTTGCTCCTAAATGACTACTGTGTAAATAATGAAATGAAGGCAGAAATAAAGATGTTCCTTAAAACCAATGAGAACAAAGACACAACGTACCATAATCTCTGGGACACATTTAAAGCAGTGTGTAGAGGGAAATTTATAGCACTAAATGCCCACAAGAGAAAGAAGGAAAGATCTAATATTGACACCCTAACATCACAATTAAAACAACTAGACAGGCAGGAGCAAACAAATTCAAAATCTAGCAGAAGGCAAGAAACAACTAAGATCAGAGCAGAACTGAAGGAGATAGAGACACAAAAAACCCTTCAAAAAATCAATGAATCCAGGAGCTGGTTTTTTGAAAAGATCAACAAGATTTATAGACCTCTAGCAAGACTAATAAAGAAGAAAAGACAGAAAAATCAAATAGACACAATAAAAAATGATAAAGGGGATATCACCACCGATCCCACAGAAATACAAACTACCATCAGAGAATACTATAAACACCTCTATGCAAATAAACTAGAAACTCAAGAAGAAATGGGTAAATTCCTGGACACATACACCCTCCCAAGACTAAACGAGGAAGAAGGGGAATCTCTGAATAGATAAATAACAGACTCTGAAATTGAGTCAATAATTAATAGCCTACCAATCAAAAAAAGTCCAGGACCAAACGGATTCACAGCCAAATTCTACCAGAGGTACAAAGAGGAGCTGGTACCATTCCTTCTGAAACTATTCCAATCAATAGAAAAAGAGGGAATCCTCCCTAACTCATTTTATGAGACCAACATCATCTTGATACCAAAGCTTGGCAGAGACGCAACAAAAAAAGAGAATTTTAGACCAATATCCCTGATGAACATCAATGCAAAAATCCTCAATAAAAAACTGGCAAACCGAATCCAGCAGCACATCAAAAAGCTTATCCACCACGATCAAGTCGGCTTCATCACTGGGATGCAAGGCTGGTTCAACATATGCAAATCAATAAATGTATTCCATCACATAAACAGAAGCAACAACAAAAACCACATGATTATCTCAATAGATGTAGAAAAGGCCTTCAATAAAATTCAACACCCCTTTATGCTAAAAACTCTCAATAAACTAGGTATTCATGTGACATACCTCAAAATAATAAGAACTATTTATTACAAACCCACAGCCAGTATCATACTGAATGGGCAAAAACTGGAAGCATTCCCTTTGAAATCCAGCACAAGCCAAGGATGCCCTCTCTCACCATTCCTATTCAACATAGTGTTGGAAGTTCTGGCCAGGGTAATCAGACAAGACAAAGAAATAAAGGGTATTCAATTAGGAAATAAGGGAGTCAAATTGTCCCTTTCTGCAGATGACATGATCATATATTTAGAAAACCCCACTGTCTCAGCCCAAAATCTCCTTAAGCTGATAAGCAACTTCAGCAAAGTCTCAGGATACAAAATCAATGTCCAAAAATCGCAAGCATTCCTATACACCATTTCACAAGCATTCCTATACACCATTAACAGACGGAGAGCCAAATCATGAGTGAACTCCCATTCACAATTGCTTCAAAGAGAATAAAATACCTAGGAATCCAACTTACAAGGGATGTGAAGGACCTCTTCAAGGAGAACTACAAACCACTGCTCAACAAAATAAAAGAGGACACAAACAAATGGAAGAATATTCCATGCTCATGGATAGGAAGAATCGATATTGTGAAAATGGCCATACTGCCCAAAGTAATATATAGATTCAATATATATTGAACCCCATCAAGCTACCAATGACTTTCTTCACAGAATTGGAAAAAACTACGTTAAAGTTCATATGGAACCAAAAAAGAGCACACATTGCCAAGACAATCCTAAGCCAAAACAACAAAGCTGGAGGCATCACGCTACCTGACCTCAAACTATACTACAAGCTACAGTAACCAAAACAGCATGGTACTGGTACCAAAACAGAGATATAGACCAATGGAACAGAACAGAGGCCTCAGAAATAACACCGCACATCTACAACCATCTGGTCTTTGACAAACCTGACAAAAACAAGAAATGGGGAAAGGATTCCCTATTCAATAAACAGTGCTGGGAAAACTGGCTAGCCATATGTAGAAAGCTGAAACTGGATCCCTTCCTTACACCTTGTACAAAAATTAATTCAAGATGGATTAAAGACTTAAACGTTAGACCTAAAACCATAAAAACCCTACAAGAAAATCTAGGCAGTACCATTCAGGACATAGGCATGGGCAAGGACTTCATGTCTAAAACACCAAAAGCAATGGCAACAAAAGCCAAAATTGACAAATGGGTTCTAATTAAACTAAAGAGCTTCTGCACAGCAAAAGAGACTGTCATCAGAGTGAACAGGCAACCTACCTAATGGGAGAAAATTTTTGCCATCTATCCATCTGACAAAGGGCTAATATCTAGAATCTACAAAGAACTTAAACGAATTTAGAAGAAAAAAACAACCCCATCAGAAAGTGGGCAAAGGATATAAACAGACACTTCTCAAAAGAAGACATCTGTGCAGCCAGCAGCCACATGAAAAAATGCTCATCATCACTGGTCATCAGAGAAATGCAAATCAAAACCGCAATGAGATACCATCTCACACCAGTTGGAATGGCAATCATTAAACAGTCAGGAAACAACAGATGCTGGAGAGGATGTGGAGAAATAGGAACGCTTTTGCACTATGGTGGGAGTGTAAATTAGTTCAACCATTGTGGAAGACAGTGTGGTGATTCCTCAAGGAGCTAGAACTAGAATTACCATTTGACCCGGCAATCCTATTATTAGGTATATACCCAAAGGATTATAAATCATGCTACTATAAAGACACATGCATACATATGTTTATTGTGGCCCTGTTCACAATAGCAAAGACTTGGAACCAACCCAAATGTCTTTCAATGATAGACTGGATAAAGAAAATGTGGCACATATACACCATAGAATACTATGCAGCCATAAAAAAGGATGAGTTCATGTCCTTTGCAGGGACATGGATGACTATGGAAATCATCATTCTCAGCAAAGTACACAAGGACAGAAAACCAAACACCGTATGTTCTCACTCATAGGTGGGAACTGAACAATGAGATCACTTGGACACAGGGCAGGGAACATCACATACCAGGGCCTGCCAGGGGGTGGGGGGCTGGGGAGGGACAGCATTAGGAGAAATATCTAATGTAAATGATGAGTTGATGGGTGCAGCAAACCAATATGGCACATGTATACCTATGTATCAAACCTGCACGTTGTGCACATGTACCCAGGACTTAAAGTATAATAAAAAAAATTAACTTGAAACAGAAAAAAGAAAATTATTCAGACAAGCATCCAACTCAAAACATTAGAAAAAGAACACAAAATCTAAAGAAAATAAAAAGGAAGGAAAATATAAAGAACATTAATTAAATTTAAAAAATCTAAAAGGGAAAGAATTAATAATTTGTGCAAGCATCTCAGGTATTAGATAGTATGCAAAGGAGACCCCTACCCTAAAAGCCTATTATTGGGGCTTCAAACTTTCCATGAGCGTTCTCAGTTTCCGACGTCAGTTGAGAATACCAGGCTATTCTCATGTCTTGTTTTTTATTTGATTTTATGTGGCAGTTAGAAGGTAGCCCTGAAGAGTCAAGGAAGTTGTTACCAAGCCCAGGAAGAGTTGTAGCCATAGAAAAAGTGTTGTGTAATAGGGACTGTGGCCATAGGAGGTGGAACTCAGCCACTACCAAAATGCAACCACCCTCCAGTCTCCTGCTAGAGTCTCCCACCAGCCAATCAGTCAGGGGGCAAGCAAGCCGAGATGTGACTGGCCAGAGAAATCAGGCTCCCAGGGCATAGAGCAGGTTGAGGGACGAACAAGAGATATATAAGTGTGAGCAGAGAAAAACCAGCAAAGAATCTTTAAATCTCTTAATGATTTTTCTCATGTTAGAGCATTATCTAGGAACTTCAGTACTGAGGATTGTGATACCTTTGTTTTGATCTTAATTAGAATGAATGCAAAGTATCTTCATTAATTATAATGCATGCTCTAGGTTTTTGATATATAGCAGTTATCAAGTTAAGAAACTTCAGTCTCATTCCTAGTTTTCTAAGAGTTTATTACAAATAGACATTCAACTTTATCAGATGTTTATTTGCATATATTGAGATAATTATTTCTTCCCTTTGATCCATTAATATGGTAAATTACATATTTTCCATTAAATATGTATACGTTAAAGATTTTCTTTTTTTCCCATTGAAAATGTTTTACCTTTTACGTGAAACGTAACTGTAAAAGTGTGTAGGTAAAATGTATATATATTTTAAGGAATAGTAATCAAATGAGCACTCATGTAACATTGATACAGCATGAGAAATAGAACATTACCAACAATTTAGAAACTGTGTACTACTCCCCAATCACATATCCTTTCCTCTGCCAGAGAGGTAAGCACGTTCTTAAAATTCATGTTAATCTTTTTTTTTAAACTTCTTCTTATGTAGTCCTAACTCTTATATATGTACCCTAACAATACATTGTTTAGTTTTGGTTTTTAAAAAATGTTCAGATAAAATCATTGTATATATATTCATCTATAACTCATCTTTTTTTGCTTAAGATTATATTTTTGAGATTCAGTTATGTTGAATTTCTAGCTGTAGTTAATTTTCACTATGATATGGCATTTCATCAAATGATTATACTGCAGTTTATGAATCCTTTCTACTATTGATAAATATTTGAGTTGTTTCTAGATTATTCCTACTGTGAATCATTGGGATAAAATACTCTTTTATAGGTACCCAGGTACCCATGTGAAAGAATTTCTTTAGGTTATGTATCTAGTATATACATTGCTGATTTGTAGGATATGTACACCTTACCAAATGATAAAAAACTGTTTCCCACTGGCTGTACTAATCCACGCTACCCTTACCAATATACTTAAGTGCCAAAACTTGCTAGTGTCCAACTTTTTAATTTTTGCCTATCTCTAATTGTGAAAATGTATTTCATGGAGGTTTTAATTTGCATTTATCTAAGTATTAATGAAATTGAGTATATTTCCATATATTCCATGACCATTCACATTTCACCTTGGGTAAAAATGCTTATTTTGTCTATTTGCCTACTGGGTTATTTGGGTTTTTTTGTTTTTTGGTTTTTTTTTTTTTACAGATCTATAGGAATTATCTAATATTCCATATACTATGCTTCTGTTTGTTTTAAATGATGCAGATCAATCTGAAAATTCATAAGTTTAGAGGATTAGGATGTGGACAACTTTGCGGGGAGCATTATTCTGCTTACAATTTTCTTTTGCTATTAGGTCAAACTTCTTAGCAAGACAAGTTTTGGGTTTTCCTTTTTTTTTTTTTTCTTTTTTTGAGACAGAGTCTCGCTTTGTCGTCCAGGCTGGAGTGCAGTGGCGAGATCTTGGCTTACTGCGACCTTCACCTCCTGGGTTCAAGCAGTTCTCCTGACTCAGCCTCCCAAGTAGCTGAGATTACAGGCGCATGTCACTGCGCCCGACTAATTAATGTATTTTTAGTAGAGACGGGGGTCTGCCATGTTGGCCAGGCTGGTCTCAAACTCCTGACCTCAGGTGATCTGCCCACCTTGGCCTCCCAAAGTGTAAGGTTACAGGTGTGAGCCACTGCGCCAGGCCTGGGTTTTCCTTTTCAACTCTTCTATCCTATGTTCTTCATTTATTTGGCAGGCTAAGATATTCAATGCAGTGCTCAACAGAAGTAGTGATAGTATCATCCTTAATGTTCTTAAACTAAAGAGAATATTTCTAAACAATTCATCACTGAATATGAATTTACTCAATGTTTTTGAAGTTGCCTTTTATTGGTTAAAGGAAGTTTTCTTCTATGCATAGTTTCCTAGAAATATTAACCATGAACGTGTGTTGAAAATGATTGAATGTTCACAATTGCAAAGATATGAAACCAACCTAAGCGTCCATCAATCAATGAGTGGAAAAATAAAATGTGGTATATATACACCATGGAATACTATTCAGCAAAAGAACAAAATAATGTCTTTTGCAGCAACTTGGATGAAGCTGGAGGCCATTATTCTAAGTGAAGTAACTCAGGAATGGAAAATCAAATACAGAGCGTTCTCACTTATAAGTGGGAGCTAAGCTATGGGTATGCAAAAACATGCAGAGTGGTAAAATGAACTTTGGAGACTCAGAAAGAGGAGAGTGGGAGAGGGGTGAGGGATAAAAAGCTGCATATAGGCTGGGCACAGTGGCTCATGCCTGTAATCCTAGCATTTTGGGAGGCTGAGGCAGGCAGATCGCTTGAACTTAGGAACTGGAGACCAGCCTGGGCAACATGGCAAAACCCCGTCTCTACAAAAAATACAAAAAAATTAGCCGAATATGGTGGCGCAAGCCTGTAGTCCCAGCTACTTGGGGGGCTGAGGTGGGAGGATTGCTTAAACCCAGGAGGTTGAGGCTACAGTGAGCTGAGATCTTGCCACTGCACTCCAGCCTGGTGACAAACTGCATATTGGATACAATGTACACTACTCAGGTGATGAGTGCACTAAAATCTCAGATGTCACCACTGTATAATACTTGCATGTAATAAAAAGCTACTTGTACCTCAAAGGCTATTGAAATAATATATATTTATAGTATGTATAAGTAATGCGTATTATATATTACATAATATACATAATATATATATTTTTGCCATGTTGCCCAGGCTGGACTCCAACTCCTTCTCCCATTCTGAATATACATATTATGTATATGATAGCCTTGCTTTAAAAAAAAGAAAATTATTGAATGCTTTTTCTTCTTTAATCTTTCTCCTTTAATATTTTCATATGAAGAATTACATTAATTGATTTGACTTACTTGTATTTAATCAACCTTGAATTCCTTCAGTGAACTCAAGTCATGTTATATTTACTTTTTTTGGACATTGCTGGATATTTTCACATATGTTCATAAAGTAAGATTAACAGAACATTTTCATTTATTTTAATTTCATTATCTGATTTTAGACAAAGTAAGACTCATAAGAGGAACTGGAGAGTGTTCTTTATCTATACGCCAAAAGAATGGATAGAATTAGAGCAATGGTTCTCAACTGAGGGCAATTTTGCCCCTTAAGGGACATTTGGAAATATCTGGGACATTTTGGGTTGTCAAAATAAGGGAGGTGCTACTGACATCTAGTGAGTAGAGGTCAGGGATGCTGTTGAACATCCTCCAATGCACAGGACAGTGCCTCACCTCCCCCAACAAAGAACTCTAGCTAACCCCAAATGTCAACAGTGCTGAGACTGTGAGCTTTTCTCCCATTCTGAATAATCAGAATTTGTACTTGTAATTTTGTATTTTTTCAGAGGATACTTCAAAAATTATATAAGCTTCAGTCCCCATAGAATGAAAATATGGTGGAGGAAAGAGAGGACACTGTGTGAAGGAGATATGTGTGTCTGTAGGTGTATGTGCAGGTGCATGGGAGGGAAAGAGAGACAGAGACACACACATAGACAGAGAGAGACCAACTAAATACAATGGTAGAGAGAGGAAGCGAGAGAGATGGGGAGAAAAAGAGAGAGAGAGATGAACTAAAGACAATGGTAGAGAGAGGAAATGAGAGAGATTTTGTTCTGATATAATTTTTTTTTTTTTGAAACCAGGTATTGCTGTGTCACCCAGGCTGGAGTGTAGTGGTGCCATCACGGCCCACTGCAGCCTCAACCTCCCCAGGCTCAGGTGATCCTCCCCCCTCAGTTTTTGTTTTTTTCCTTTTTGTGGAGAATGGGTCTTGCTGTATTGCCCAGGCAGGTCTCAAACTCCTGGGCTCAGGCTATCCTCCTGCCTCTGCCTCCCTAAGAGCTGGGATTACAGGTGTGAGACACCGTGCCCACCCACAGTTTTTACATTTTTAGTAGAGACGAGGTTTTGCCATGTTGCCCAGGCTGGACTCCAAATCCTGGGCTCAAGCGATTCACCCTCCTTGGCGTCCCAAAGTGCTAAGATTACAGGCATGGGCCACTGAGTCAAGCCTGTACTGATATAATTCTCAAATTATCAGTTACCAAGAAATTTGCCACAAGCAATAATATCCACAATACCAAGAAACTGAAGGAGAGTAATAAGTATGGCATACAGTCTAGCAATTCTAAACTTTGGTATCTATCCTAGAGAAATGCTTGCACATGTACATAAAGACATATCCCTGAAACACTGTAAAAATGAAAAACTGGAAGCAATCTATATGTCAAATTAGTAGAGTAATGGATAAAGTGTCATATACTCACATAAAAACTCTACAGCAATAAAAGGGAATTAGATTTATATGTATCAACATGGACACATTTCAAAATATATACTTTTTAATATAAAATCAAATTGTATAACTATTCTTAGTTTATTTTTATATTAATACATTTATGTATGTATTTAATATATTGTGTTTATGTAATACATTTGCACTCAAAATATTATTACATATTCTCTATAGAAAAAATGCATGTAAAATACAAAAATGGCTTGAAAGGACATTATACACTGCACAAGCGCATACGAGTAGTTAACTCTGGAGGATAAAGGATAAAGCAACAAGACTGAGAGAGATAAACGTCAAATGCACACTAATTTTATTTGTATTATTCTCACTTTTAAAAAGGGAATGTAATCATATGTTTCACATGTAATTTATTTTTTATTTTGAAGCAGAGTCTCACTCTGTTGCCCAGGCTGGAGTGCAGTGGCAGTCTCGGCTCACTGCAACCTCCACCTCCTGGGTACAAGCAATTCTCATGACTCAGCCTCCTGAGTAGCTGGGACCCCAGGCACACACCACCACGCCCAGCTAATCTTTTTGTAATTTTAGTAGAGACAGGGTTTCGCCATGTTGGCCAGGCTGGTCTTGAACTCCTGGCCTCAAGTGATCCGCCTGCCTCCCAAAGTGCTGGGATTACAGGCATGAGCCACTGTGCCCGGCCCCACGTGTAATTTTTTAAAAAGTAGATAATAGGAAAGAACAAAAACTAGAAGATATGTCAAATTGCCATGTGTTAATTTTTTTTGATTGTAGGAATGTGGATGAATGGTGACTGGTTTCTGCTCTGTGCTTTTTGGATATTCAAATTTCCTAAATAACAAAAATACAAAAATAATTTTAATTCTAAAAAAAAATTATATCTACTAATGAAAGCAGTGGAAATGAGAACTTAAAACCAGCCCGTTTCTGGGGGAGCTCGGCAGCATCCCAGCTTGTTAGAACAATGCTAGGATGAAAGTGCCACTCTAGGAGACTGATACCAAAAGACTCGTTTTATAATTTAGGTAGCTGGTTTCTGAAGTTTTACCACAGTTCTGACAACTACCAATTTTCTTTCCTTTGGGAAGTAACGGGGTAGGAGAAGAAACATTCGTCCACTCCCGAAGTCCTCCCAGAGCTCTGCTTATGTTCCTGGCCTTCCCTGGGCAAGAAGGACTGTGAGTTCAATAAGCACAGACTTCCAGCAAAGGAGATTACACAGTGCTTTAGCAACTCATTCATCTTTCTGAAACTGAAGGTCAGTTCTTCTGGAACAATTTAATACTGTTTTCTCATTTTACATCCTTGAAAGCGATGAAGGCCCATTCATCTTTAGGCTCTCTATTGTAACACATCACAAAGAACACTTGAAATGTTACATTAATTGTGATTATTTTTTTGAATCTTTCCGTCAGTTTTTGCACCCAATAAATAGAAATTTTAGAAAGAGGCCAGTCTGTTGAGACACTGATCCAGCATATAGAAATGAAATCAGTAAAGGTGCTTAGAACCATAGCTGGTGTGTGGTAAATGCTGTTGTATTAGCTATTACTACCAATTCTACAGCTACTACTATGCAGTTCCAATGTTAATACTACTACAGTAAGAAGCAGCAGACATTTTGATCATTTTAAACTTTTGTATGATGTTTGAAACAAATGTTTAAAAACGAAAAACATTTTTAAACATTCTCTCAAGAAGGTTTTCATATCTCCAGCAGAAGCCTGCTGTATGGGGTTTTAGTTCCTCCGTGGGAGGGGCACTGGTTTTCCTCAGATCCCTAATCCCTGCCTAGATCTGTTCCACCAATTCTTTAACAAGATTGATTAGAAAGTGTGTGGTTTTGCTCAGCGTTTGGGGGGATAGAATGGGACTTGGTCCTGGGTACCAAGGACTTGAGTTTTACCATCTGCCTTCTTCCCTCCCTTTCAGGCCATGAAGGTTCACTTATTTACTTTATGAATTTGCCAAAAGCAAAAGTAATATGCCCTCAGTTAGAGACGGTCTCACAGGGTTCTATTACCTGCACCTTGTTCCAATTTCTTGTGGCACCATTATCAAAAGCTTGGAGTAAAGCCAAAAAAGAGAACACAGAAGATAGTTGTTATGGTCTAAATGTTTGCATCCCTTCAAAATTTATATGTTGAAACTTAACCCCCATTATGATGGTATTAGGAGGTGGGGGCTTTGGGAAGTGATTAGGTCATGAGGGCAGAGCCCCCATAAATAGGATCAGTGCCCTTACAAGAGGCTACAGAGATGAGTTCTTCCTCTCCACCATGGGAGGACACAGTGAGAAGGCACTGTCTATGAGGATGTAAGCCCTCACCACACACCAAATCTGCTGGTTCCTTGATCTCCCACCTCTCAAGCTCTAGAACTGCTAGAAATAAATTTCTATTTTTATAAGCCACACAGTCTATGGTATTTTCTTAGAGCAGACCAACCCAAATTAAAACAGTGTATTGTGATAGTGAGGTGAAATACATGCATAATCCTTGACCCTGCCCATTTCTGTCAACTTTTTATTTGTCAGTTTTTAAAGTTCCTGCAGAATTGGAAGGCTGTCACTCAAAATGGCCCTGGTTACTTACTCCTTGGTCAGTAGAAAGTTAAATACAATTGCTTTGCCATGTCTATTAGCTGATGTCTGACTAAGCTGATAAGTAGCATCGGCTCTATTGTGGCTCACTCATTAATTAGCATCAAATTCAGGTTGATATTCTATTTCCAAAAATCTCCCTCTGCCTTTTTAAAATCACCTCTTTCAAGATGGTTTGCAAAAGTGGAATTAAATAATCGAGATGTGGCAAGATAATGTGTATACTCTGATAGGTGCATGAAATTTTCAAAGTGTTAAAAAGCACTGAGCTAGTATAGTTTGCCAGAGAATCTTTGGTTATGCTAACTTCCAGTTATACAGAATCCAACAAATGAGAACTATTTAAATCAAGAATGGTACATTTGTTTAATGGAATACTATGTGATTACTTAAAACTATATCACAGAAAAAAAAACTATATCACAAAAAAAATTATGGCATGGAAAGTTATTCATAATATATTAAGTGGGGGACAGGGGTAAATATGGTATCTATAGAACAATTTGTGCAGAATCATCCTTTTTTAAAACAAAAGGCACAGACCATATGTACAAGTATACAAGAAAAAAAGATGCCAAAACATACACCAAAATTTTAACAATTAGTCTGGGTAGAGGAATTATAAGTTTTTCCTTTGCATGTGTTTGTTTTTCTGTGTGTTTTCCCAAATTTTCTGCATTTAACATGTGTTGCTATGGTAATCACAGCTAAAACCAGTAACATTTCCTTTTTAAAAGGATGGTGTTACAGCATGACTGAGTAGCTGTTTAAAACTTGTAGAGTGTCTACATTTGTGAAGTCATCACAAGTTCAGGGACTCATTCTAAAATTTCAAGTTTAGAAACACAATTTGATTAGTTCACTAAAGACTAATCACATAGAAGGAATACATTCTAATGTTTGATAGCACAGTAGAGTGACTATAGTTAACAATTATCTATTGTATTTTTCAAAATAGCTGGAAGACTTGAAAGGGACCCATCACATAGACATTATAAATACCCTAACTTAATCATTACATATCATACGCATGTAACAAAATTGCACATGTACCCCATTAATATGTACAAATATATATATATTCAAAAAATAATTTTTAAAAAGCTGAGGAGGAAAGAACAAATTTTAAAAAGCTGGAGGGGAAAGAACAAATTAAACTTTAACAGAAAGTTAATTACGAAGATAAGTAGAAATTATGAAATCAAAAGTCAACAAAAGCAAAAATCAAGTTGTTCCTTTAAAAAGATTAATAAAACATACGTAACCTCTACTAGATTAATAAATGAGAGGAAGAAATGAACAATTTACCAGTATCAAGTGAGAAAGAGGAAGCATCACTATAGATGCTGCAAACGTTAATGGATATTAACACATAACTTCATGTAATAAGTTTGACAACTTAGATGAAAAGGACAAATTACTTGAAAAGCACAACCTATTAAAACTGACTCAAGAAGACACAGAAAATCTGAAATTATTTAATCATGCTATTCACACAGCTACTTCAGAGGCTCCAAGTCTTATAATGTGGGGTTTCTTGGCTCCTTACCCCTCTCCTGGGGGATCTAGGAAATAAATGTTGCTATTGATTGCCAAAAAAGGGAAGAAAAAAAAGGACTGATCATTGTACAAAAATGATGACTAGCTCCCTGCCCTCAGCTCCCATTACTAATGTCTATAATTCTTATTTGTTCATCAGGGTAGATTCCCCTAAATGTAGTAACTTCATCAAACAATCTGACTTTTCTACAGCTCTTGAAGCAGAGCCTTTACTTTTCAAAAAATTCATGCTAGCAACTCAGGGAAGGACAGTATTGTGCCCTCCTGAGCACTGAGTTTTTTCGTTACTCACCGCCATTTGAACAGTTTAAAAATTATTCTTTATTTTTGTTGCAGTCTCACCAACGCACCTTAACGTAGCAGTTTCTCATTGTCTGAACTAGTACCCTGGGTTCTTTGTCCTCACGTCCAAGAAAATTAAGGAACGTGGACACAAAGGTGGGGTTGGAGCAAAAGTTTAATAAGTGAAAGAAAGAAAAGAAGCTCTCTGCATTAGAGAGGGGAGTCTGACTGGACTGCCAAGTTGTAGTAAAAACGTCAGGGTTTTTATAAATGGACTAGTGAGGAGGGGTGTCTTATCTTCCCAGGGCCTGAAGATTTAGTTGGGACCAGGTGTGCTATCGGCATAGAGCAGAGTTCCTAACAGCCTTTACCCAATTCCTTGATCACATAAGCAGGCTTTTAGTTTATGCTGCTCTGTGCTGCTTTGTGTCGCTTAAGTTTCTGTGTCTGTTCCCAGACATTTTCTTGCAGCTGCAGGCATCCCCCAACCCTCCCTGTATAAGCTTCTCGCTTCCGTATCTTAGTGGGCCTAAACGGAAAGGAATGTACTTATTAAGTCTCACAGTTTTTACTGGGGCCCATTGTATGAGTATGAAGTCGAGACTCTCCCACTCCTGTGCTTGTTTATCTGTGCTTAAAGCTGTCTATCTGTCCAGGTGCAACCTGAGGTTTTCCCAAGGTTGTTTTATTTTTTGCCTGTTGCTGTGACTTTTCAGGTAGGCTGCTGCTGCAGTCTGAATTTTTTCAATGATTTTTCCTTCCCGTCTCTCTCATTTTCATTTGCATTTAAGAAAATTTCCAGTAACTACGACAAGTTCACATGCTTTTTACTTACTCTATTTTCTCTGGAGCGGAGTCCTTGTGTGAGAGGAAGCAGCAGAGACCTGGGAAAGGAGCTTTGGTCTAGGAGTCAGGAATCAGGGATCTACTGCAATAGCTTTCTAAGTGGCCTTCCACTTCCACACTTGGTGCCCTCTAATCCATTTTCCACACAGCAACCAGAATTATTATTTAAAAACTTTAAGGCCAGGCACAGTGGCTCATGCCTGTAGTGCCAGCACTTCGGGACACCGAGGTGGGCGGATCACTTGAGGTCAGGAGTTACAGACCAGCCTGGCCAAAATGGTGAAACCTCGTCTCTACTAAAAATACAAAAATTAGCCAGGTGTGGTGGCATGCACCTGTAATCCCAGCTACTCGGGAGGCTGAGGCAGAAGAACCGCTTGAACGAGGGAGGCAGAGTTTGCAGTGAACTGAGGTGGCACTACTGCACTCCAGCCTGGGCGACTGGGTGAGACTCTGTCTCAAAAAAATCAAATAAAAAAAATCAAATAAAAAAATTAAAAGCTTTAGTCAGAACATGGCCCTCTCCTGCTTAAAACTTTGCAATGGCTTCCCATTGCTTTAAAAATAAAATTCAGGCTTTTCCACGATGGACAAGGTTCTGCTCTGCAACCTTGTTCACTGCTCTGCAGCAACACTGGCCTTCCCACCTCAGAGCTTTTGTCCTTACTGGTATGTTCCAGCAAAATTCTTTTGCCTGGGGTGCTCTTTTCTCAGATCGTCACAGTTTCTTCTCGTCCTTCAGAGTTTATCTTAAACACCACCACCTCTCTAAGAGGCCTTCCGTACCTCCCACCCATCAGGTTCATTTTGTTTTCTTCCTAACACCTGTCACAGTCTGACATTATGCTAATCATTTGTTGTGTCAGCCTTAAGTAGTGAAATTCAGAAAATATCATTAAGTATAGAGTTTATTCTAACGCAAAGCTTGAGGACAGCCACCTGGAAACACCAACTCCAAACAAATAGGGTCAATGTTCCAAAGTGAAGTTAAGGTTTCATTTACACAGGCAGAAACAGAGAAGGTTCAGCAGGAGTACATTTTCAATACAAGAGCAGTGCATAAATTACAGCGATTAGATTAGTTATAGATAGCTACATTCCAAGGAAGATAACTATATTAATTTATGAAGGGGGTAGTGATCTGAGGGGGTCTTACCTCTGTCTCTGTTTGGTCTTCCTGATTATAGGAAAAAACAAGGCAGACATTGCAGCTGTATGCCATGGGACTCAGGCCCCATCGCCACATTCTTCGCAAGGCTCAGAATAATTTAAAGTTCCAACAGCTTTAAGTTTGAATTATTTAATTTCACAGTTGATTCACTTGTTCTTTTCCTGTCTCCCACAATAGAAAATAAGCTCCCAGGGATGCAACCTTGGCAGGCTCCTAAACTGCCACGGCTCCAGTTTCTTGTAGATTAGATATTCACTGTTGGTTAAATGAAAGAAGTTCTAGACAGGCCTCGGTGTGCTGCCTCCTCTTTAACGAGAGGGCTTACTAGATGAATGTGAGCAGACGGAAGCAGAACACCCTCTTAATGAAGGCAGCGCATTCCAGCTCAGGGATTTCTAGAAACCTCGGGGGCGGAAGTTTAACCAGAGAATTAGGAGGCAAGGGGAAGAGTAGCAATGAGGTTAACCTGTGCAGTGTAGTCATTTCACGAGTTTGAGAACGCCTAGCACGATGCCTTAACGGAGCGTCGGGCACAGAGTCATTTGGGAGGATTTCTTTTTCGGATTTTTGAGACAGGAACCTGATTTGAAGCAACAGGGAAGAACACCAAGAGGACGAAGAGCCAACGACGGGCGTGCCCGGGAGCTCTCACCTGGAAGGGGTGGGAGCAAGCAGGGCCTGACGTCCTCCCGCCTTGGCGGCCGTGGACGCCCCAGGTGCCACCCACAGCAGCCTCCCACCACACATGACTGAGGCTCGGGAAGCAATAAAGTGGCTTTCAAAATACTAAACGCAATTGAGATTTTTTCCTGAGTTAAAACAAAAAAAAAAAGGAACTGAATGCCGAAATATACGGAGAAGAAACTCCAGTTGCCACGTCCCCGAACGTCTCCACCCAGTCCTGCCTGCTGTTTCGCCCTCAGTCTGGGCCTCGCACAGCGCGGCGGAGCGCGGGAGGGGCGGGGCGGGCCTGCTGACGTCGCCGGACCTGAACTGCGCAGGCGCGGCGCGAGATCGCGGGAGCGAGCGCGCGGTAACAGTTCGCGGCAGTTCGCGCGGGAGCGGGGCGCCTGGGTGGATGGGCGCTTGGGCGCCTGGGCTGCCGGACGGTGGGAACGGAAGTCGCTGTGGGACGCTGAGGAAGCCAGGATGGCGACTCCGAGCAAGAAGACGTCAACTCCAAGCCCCCAGCCTTCCAAGAGAGCTCTCCCGAGAGACCCTTCGTCGGAGGTCCCGAGCAAGAGGAAGAATTCGGCCCCGCAGCTGCCGCTGTTGCAGTCGTCCGGGCCTTTCGTGGAAGGCTCTATCGTCCGCATCTCGATGGAGAACTTCCTGTAAGTTGCCCGGAGGCCGCGCCGCGGGTGTGGAGGTGTGCTGGCCAGCAGGCCCCGGGGCTCCGGCAGCGCGCGGGCGTGGGCGTGTGGGTGTGTACCTGGCTTGTGGGTCTGGCCTTGAATTCGTGCCGGGGTTCCCTTGAGGATTTTCCTACGTAGGCTGTGGAGATTGACGTGTATGATGTAGGAGATGTGTGCCTTGGGTGATGTGGTTTTTAAATTTAGTCAGCCAAGGTTTTCCAAAGGTGTCATGTAGCAGGTAGTGGTTGTAGGAGGGAGTAGGTCTCTGCCCGCTGGGAGTCGCGATCCATAGCGGCCCTGGTCTGGAATTCACAGAAGTATTGTCCCCGGGAACTTAAGAGGAGGCAACAGTTAATTCGGCGTGATAGTGATGCTGTGGCGGATTCTTAGGGTAGGCATTTGCCAGAGAGGAGTAGATAAGACGGTAAAGGTTGTTCGGGAATGGAGGTTACAGGTACAAAAAAATTAAACACTTACTGGCAATTGTTGGACCTCCCTACAAACCCTTGACCCCACTAAACCCAGTTTTCTTCCCTGGTTCCTCCCTCTCCCCTTCAGACAACTAGTTACCGCTTTAGAATTTAGTAAGTTTTAAATATATCATGTATTTGCCTAGCACCTTCCAGTTCATTTGTTCCAGGTCTTTTTTTTTTTTTTTTTCCTCTTTTTTTTTGAGACGGAGTTGCGCTCCTGTAGCCCACGCTGGATGGAGTGCTGTGCCGCGATCTCGGCCCACTGCAACTTCCGCCTCTCGGTTTCAAGCGATTCTTCTGGGTCAGCCTCCCGAGTAGCTGGGACTACAGGCGCGCGCCACCACGCCCGGCTAGTTTTTGTTTTTGAGACGGAGTGTCATACTGTCGTCCGGGCTGGAAGGTAGTGGCGCAATCTCGGCTCACTGCAACCTCCGCCTCCCAGTTTCAATCAATTCTCCTGCCTCAGCCTCCCGCGTAGCTGGGATTACAGCCAGCCGCCACCACGCCCAGCTATTTTTTTTTGTATTTTAGTAGACTCGCGGTTTCACCGTGTTGACCAGGCTGATCTGGAACTTTTGACCTCAGGTGATCTGCCCGCCTCGGCCTCCCGTAGTGCTGGGATTACAGGCGTGAGCCACCATGTCCGGCCGGAAGTCTTTTTAAAGCTTGCACATAGTGGCATAAGGATAACAGAATTGTAATAACAATACTACCTTTTTTTTTCAAGCACCTATTGTGTGCCAGGTACATAGTGCACTCATTCTTTCTTCATAACAACTCTATCTTGATAATTTCCATTGCTGAAAGAAGCTCAGTAGGTTATTTTGCCCAGTTTTACGCAGCTGTTACATAGTTGCATTGCTATTTGAATCCAGATCAGGAAAGATAAATGTAATCAAATGAGTTAGATACCATAACAACATATATCAGGATCCTTCACAAAGGATGAAGTGGTTAGTTTTGTCTACGAGTATGAGAAAGGGCTTTGTAAAGAAGATATGAAAGTCTTTGGTCTTGCTCTGTTGCCCACGCTGGAGCTCAGTGGCATGATCAGGGCTCCGTGAAGCCTGGACCTCCCCTTCTCAAGTGATCCTCCTACCTCAGCCTTTCAAGTAGCTCGGACTATAGGCGCGTACCATACCTGGCTAATGTTTTAAAATTTTTTTGTAGAGATGGGGTTTCACCATGTTGCCCAGGCTAGTTTCGAACTTCTGGGCTCAAGAAACTCACCTCGGCCTCCCAAAGTGCTGGGATTACAGACATGAGCCACTGCACCCGCCTAAGAAGATAGGAAAGTCTTGCAAGAAGTGAAGAGCATTGAAGACAGAAGGAACTGTCTGAAATAGTTTGGTATATTTAGAAAGCGTCAAGTATTTTAGTAAGGCAAGAATATAGGATGTGAATGAGTATTTGGACAAAGGGTAAGCAACCATTCAGGGGCCTGTATGTTTACTATGCTAAGAAGTTCCGACATCATCCTGTAGGCAGCCACGGTGTGTTTTCAACAGGGAATGACGTGTGTTCTGTGTTATTCTGGAAGCACTGTAGAGGATGATTTAGAAAGGGTGCAAGATTGGAAGCAAAAAGACAATACGAAGGCAAGAGATGATCAGAGTGTGAAGGAATGAGATTTGACAGGATCCAGCTACAGAATAGTTGTGAGGCATGGGGGAAAGGGAGGAATGCAGCATTTTTCCCAAGTGTAAGAGCCTTAGCTAATTGATCAGGTGCTATTCAGAAGAGGGAGCAGTTTGAGGAGAATAATAAATGCCTCTTAGATCCTGTGACTTAAAGTTTCCTTTGTGGCATCTAAGAGAGATGTTCTATAGGCAGAATGTAGGAGTCTGGAGCTTAGAGGAAAATATGAACAGATGAGAGTTTTGGGAGTCATGCATACAGGTGATTGATGAAGTTGCAGAACTGGTTATGATTGCCCAATAGGAATTATGAATTGAAGAACTAGAAGACCATGTACAGAGTCTTGGGAGAATGCCTACATTAAGGGTGAACTGAAGAAGGACTCAAAGTCAGAAGGAACTATTCAGGGAGGTAAGATGAAAACAGTGGGAGACAATTATCAAAGAAGCCAAGGAAAAAGAATGTTTCAAAAATATCACCTGCTACATTGAAGTCAGATAGCGGGACTGAAAAGAGCCCACTGCATTTAGCAATTGGGAAATCTTTGACCTTTTAATGAAGCAGTGGAAGCAGAAAACTTTGCAGGCCGGATGCAAAGAGAAGAAAGAGAAGGTAGCTGGAAGTGCAGAGGTTGGTGAGATGCTGTTTATTTTAATGAGGGGATTTTGAGTTTTAGGCATGAGGTAGAGAAAGATGCGCTTAGAGAATTAGCAAGGAAATAAGATGGGTAGTTAGAGAATGTAAATGGCCTGGAAGAGAGTAGTGAGTGAACCAAGTCAAATGGAGTTGGGAGTGGAGGAAGACACTTGGAGGCTGAAGGAATAACATGTGCAAATACTTCAGAGCAATAAGGAATTATAGTCACAAAACTGAAAGAAGTACATTATAGGTAGAATTTAGAGGTCTAAGGAGAGAATAGGGAAAGGAGATAAAAAGTAGAAAAAGATGAAACTCGGCTGTGATGGGTTTTTCCTTAATTTTTCTTTTTTAACAAGTGACATCAGATTTACAATTCTACCAGCATCACTTGGTGATTGATTGGATGATGGAGTGGTGGTTTGGGTGGAGTCAAAAGAGATGAAAGAACCAAAGAGGATGCAAAACTAATGCCTAGGTTTCTGATTTGGTCAATGGCATGAATGATAATACCATTCACTAAGAGACCACAAGAGTGGTTTTGGATGGGAAAGATGGTGGATTTCGTTTTAAATGTGTTAAGTTTAAGATGACTGTTATGGGACATTCAAATAGCGTTATTGAGGTGACCATTGCATATAGAGGTCATCTGGACTGCTTTCAGCATGTAGATAGTATGCAAAGACTTGGAGAAAAAAAGGAATCATTGAGGCCATAGAGAATACATGAGATACCTCGTGAAGTATATGGAATGATAAGAGGGTGGGTCTTTACCAATAGCTCTTTCAGAGGGAGCTCAGAGGAAAGGAAACTCATGATAAGGGAATTCCCAATAAATACATCGTAGAATCAGAAGATTGATTTTAAACAGTGCAGACACTTGATCTGGGTAGCTAAAGGCAAGAAAAATCCCCCGCCTACCCCCGCCAAAAAAAAAAAAATTGCAGAGGCTTTGTTTTTGGCAACTGTCCCTATTTGTAATATCGATGCGTATTTTATAGGCCAGAAATTCTCATGCTTTTCCCTGTTCTGTTTTCTTAAATACCAGTTTCATCGTTTTAGTATAACATTTACACAGAGATTTCACAACAGGAAATCCAAGTGGGGCTTCATGTGTTGAGCGTAAGAAGTTCCATGTCAGGTAATTTCCTACATGTCTGAAGTTCCCAAACTAGTTTTATTGTAACCATAATAAAGGGCTCTTTTGAAACCCAGCTGCTAGCAGAACAAAACAGCTAAAAAGATAAAGTAGTAGATGCTGTGTAGAGGTGTGGGATTAGCAAACCTGCCAGAAAATACGTCTTTGCCACCTGTATTTTTATTACCACCCGACATTTCAAAATCATTAATTTCTTAAAATATTAATGTGTGTGCTTGGTTATTTATATACTTAGCAGATGAATAGCAGGCTAAGCATTTATTCATGAGGAATTAGTTGGCAGCTACCTGAGAGCTAACTGAAATGCTGTGGACAAAGGACACTTTATGGGTTCAAATTCAGAGTATTCAAAGGCGAGTTAAAAGAATGTCTGAGTCAGAGTTTGCTTCACATTTTGTCATAACTGTCCCTAGCAACTAATAAAGATTAGATGCTAACTATAATTAGAGTGCTAGTCAGCTTTCAACTTTTGTTTTGTAGGGCAGTGTCTCTCTATGATGCCTAGGCTGGCTTTGACCTCCTAGGCTCAAGTAGTACCCTGGCCTCAGGCTCCCTGGTAGCTGGGACTATAGGCACATACCATGGTGCCTGGCTTGGAAAATAATTTTTAAAAGTTAATAAAATGAAACCTTTGGGTTGAGATATATCTTCAGTTTTGTAATTAAAAATCTGCTTAGATTGTTTGAAATATTAAAATATGAATAACCATTAAGCATTATAATTTAAAAGAAATATGAATGTAAAATTCACAGATTCAAGGTAAGCCGTGGCGTCTCCTATAAAATTTGTTTTAAAGTTATTTTGTGTAGTATCTTTGATATAGTGTCCAGTGTTTTGTAATTATTAAAAAAGAACAAGGTATCAAACTTCACTTTCTTCAGCAGACTTTTGAAAAAAGTATATGAAATTATATTCTTTAGTTATGCATTACTGCCTTTTCATTTCTTCTATTGGTATTCTTTCTAAAGTTGTTTATTAAAAACCTATAAAAAAACATTAAATTTGTAAGGTTAGCTAGTTTTTAAAGGAATTTGAGGAAGCTCATAGATAATGTAAAGCAAGGAAAAGTGGTTTTGTATCTCTCCTTAATAATTTCATCTCTTTATAATTCAGAACATATGATATTTGTGAAGTATCTCCTGGACCCCACTTGAATATGATCGTTGGAGCCAATGGAACAGGGAAGTCGAGCATTGTGTGTGCCATTTGCCTTGGTTTAGCTGGAAAACCTGCTTTCATGGGACGAGCAGATAAGGTGAGTTAATATAATTACTTTTTAAGAAATTTCAAACCTATTAATTGCTTTTAGTAACATCAATTTCTACACCTCAGTTCCTTGGGTATAGCAAACTTAATAGTGCATGAATACAAGGAATAAATTTGGCAGGTAGAGAAGCTAGAAGGAGATTTTCATTTCTAGAAGTATTTTGGATCATAATACTAGAGGATTCTTCAAGTCTCTTACACCTAAAATGCTAGAAATAATGTAATATGTCTTTTTTTTTAAATGCATCACTTGGCTTGTGGAACAGTGAAGTAAACTTACAAAGGGCAGAAACAAAATCCAGTCATATGTTGCTTAATGATGGGAATATATTCTGAGAAAATGCATCATTAGACAATTTTGTCATTGTGTGAACATAATAGAGAATATTTACACCTAGATGGGTTAGCCTACTATCCACTTAGGCTATATGGTGTAGCCTATTGCTCCTAGACTACACTCCTGTAGAGCATGTTACTGTACTGAATACTGTGGACAATTGTAACACAATGGCCTACACTGTACTTATGTAAACATCTCTAAATATAGAAAAGGTACAGTAAAAATACAGTGTAAAAGATAAAAATGGTACACCTGCGTAGGGCACTTAACCATATTCATGAGAGTGGGGGGCGGAAAAATACTGCCCGAACAATCCAGAGGGAGTCTTGAGAAAGGAGGAGGAGGAGGAGATAAGAAACAGATACAAAAAATGAGATCATTAAAAATGACAAAATATTGGCTGGGTGCGGTAGCTCATGCCTGTAATCCCAGCACTTTGGGAGGCCATGATCAGGAGTTCCAGACCAGCCTGGTCAACATGGTGAAACCCCGTCTCTACTAAAACTGCAAAAATTAGCCAGGCATGGTGGCGGGTGCCTGTAATCCCAGCTACTAGGGAGGCTGAAGCAGGAGAATTGCTTGAATCCAGGAGGCGGAGGTTATAGTGAGCCAAGATCGCACCATTGCACTCCAGCCTGGGCAACAAGAGTGAGACTCTGTCTCAAGAAAAATAAATAAAATAAAAATCACAAAATAAGATGGTAGAAATATGTGCAGATATAATCACAATGATTATAAATGATCTAAACTCTAAACTCTCATTAAATTATAAAGTCTGTTAGAATGGAGAAATGAAACAATGTTTAGTTCTCTTTTGTTTTTAATAAGCATATCTAAAATAAAGTGCTACAGAAAAGTTGAGAGTGAAAGGATGAAAAAAAATACATGCCAGGCAAATATGCAAAAGAAAGTAGATGTAGCTGCATTAATACTAGGAAAAACAGACTTTAGAGCAAAAAGTATTTTATAGATAATAGTGGTCATTAAACACTGACGAAAGTTTTAATTCACTGGAAGATAATTCGATTCCCAACTCAAATTCACATTATAATCTAGCTCCAAAATATATAGGCAAAATCTGCAGAATGCTAACAAGCAGTTAACATATCCATAATCATACTGGGAGAGCTATCAATAATAGTAGACCAGTCAGATAAAAAAATTAGACTACAAAAGATTTGAACAATGAAGTTAAGCTTGAACTAATGGACATATTATAAAAAGTGCACTCAACAACTGGAGAGTATGCATTCTTTTCAAGCACAAGTTAACATTTCTAAAAGTTAATTGTATACTGAGTCATAAAGCAAGTATCAAAAAATTTCAAAAAATGGACACCACGTAGACCATATCCTATTTCTATTAAGATAGAAATAATAAAAAAAAAATTAAAAGTTAATGGATGGTTACAAAATGGAAGCAAATTCCCCTTAAGATTATAAATTATTTAAAATGTGTGTGTGTGTGTTTAGTGCTATATGGAAGACATTTATCAGGTAGAAGATACTTTTCTCTGTTAATAACTAGCCTTGTGACCTTGAGCAATTATCTGGACTTCAGTTTTTCTTCATTTCAAAGATGAGAGAGTTGGAACAGATAGCATCCAAGGACCAACTCAGATTTTTATGAATATTGATATATAGTTTTTTAATTGTCAGATCATTTAATCCCTATCTCTTTGTAATCGTCTGTTGGATTGTACTCCAGGGGCTGTACAGTAGGACTGAATTGGCTATAACAATTTTTACTAACTTTCTCATGTTGATTTTTGTCATGAAAACACATCTCATCCTTGAGTGATAGGATTTTTAAGGGAGGCTGTGGAGTGCAGTGTTTCCTAGATGACAGATTGCAGCCCTTTGGGTACACAGATGTATTTATGGGATGCCCAAGTTCTCAGCAAGAATATTTAATGTATTTTTGTTTAAATGCTAATATAAAAATTTAACAAAAACATACTCTACACCATCTGTATGGATACTTTATAATAAGAACTGCCTCCTGATTTTTGTTTCCTCCTCATTGGTACCAAGTCTTTTAATTCTTGCAAGCTAATGAGCAGATGTCATTCCTACATGGATGTCCTTGGTTTTCCTGTGAGGAAACAGAGAGGTTAAGTAACTGTCCAATGTTTAACAACTTGTATGTGGTGGAGTTGAGATTTGAACCTAGATAGTAGATGTTAAAACCTGTACTTTTAAGCATTAGGCTGTACTTGGTGGTTACAAGATAAGGCTTTTTTTTTTTTTTTTCTCCCATCTTTCTGGGACTCAGCTTTATTGTCTATAAAATGAATGTATACTTCAAGGTTGCTTATGAGTATTAAATGAGAAAAATACATGTTTAGTGCTTAG
Source organism: Homo sapiens (assembly GCF_000001405.40). Taxonomy (NCBI): domain Eukaryota; kingdom Metazoa; phylum Chordata; class Mammalia; order Primates; family Hominidae; genus Homo; species Homo sapiens. Next base: position 70,267,151 of record NC_000009.12, read on the forward strand.
CACAACAGTATATAGTAAATGCTTGATAAATGTTAGCTGTTGTCATCACTGTCATTATCACTATTAAAAAGATTACTATTTGTGAGGTATATTTTCTACCTTTTTTAATATTTATCACTTATTTATAGCCTGATTTAAGATCCAGTCTGATTTTTTTAGGCTCAGACTTTGTTTTCGGACTTAGACTCATAAGCATATAGAAACTAGCACAGATATGTCTGCTTTATCATGTAAATTTCAATTATATTGCTCCTTTTAGAACGATGCTTGGTGGCAATTATATCATTAACAGGATAGGTAATATTAGCGTGGTTGTTAATATTTAACCTGCGCGACTGTAGGAAGTCTTCAATGGTAATAAGAAGCTTTGAGTGCTTAGTGGTTATACTATAGGACCTGTTTTCCCACAGGCATTTTCTCTTCTGTCTGGGTGTTTAATATAGTGGACAAGTACACAGGCTCTGGAGCCAAGATTTCCTGGGTTCAGATCGTTTTTCTGGCACTTACTGGCTTTGTCACGAGGTTGGTAAGAGGCTATGGAGTGCATAGGAGTTCGATAAATCTTACCTAATATTATTATTGTTGTTATTTGTGGGAGGGAACAATGGAGGAACCCAGATCTGGGAGAGATACCTTAGAAAGTGACAGGAGCGAACATACAAGTGGTACCTGAAAAAAATCTTGATTTGACAAATAATAATGACTGCTAAATCTCTGATTGTTAACCTGGGAATGTCACTACACAGCTCACTTTTTCTTTTTTATGTCTTAGGTTGGGTTTTTTGTGAAGAGAGGATGTTCTAGAGGCATGGTTGAAATTGAATTGTAAGTGTTAAAAGTGCTAAAACTCCTTTTTCCTATAAAATTCTTAGTTTATATTCATGTTTTCCTGATGATTAGAAAAGAGTATTAATATAGTATTATGGCATAAATATTGGAAATAATATTTAAAGAATACTTAATCCAGATAAGTAAGGGGTTTAAAAAATATATTTTAAAAACTTAAATTGTAGGCTAGCCATGGTGGCTCATGCCTGTAATCTGAGCACTTTGGGGAGGCCGAGGTGGGCAGATCACCTGAGATCAGGAGTTGGAGACCAGCCTGACCAACATGAGGAAGCCCCGTCTCTACTAAAAATAGAAAAATTATCCAGGCATGGTGGCACATGCCTGTAATCCCAGCTACTGGGGAGTCTGAGGCAGGAGAATTGCTGGAACCTGGGAGGCAAAGGTTGCAGTGAGCCGAGATGGCGCCACTGCACTCCAGCCTGGGAGACAGAGCTAGACTCTGCCCATGCCCCCTGCCCCCCCCAAAAAAAAAACTTGTGAGAATTTTATTTTAAAAAATTATCAAGGAAATGATAAGTTTATAGCAGGTAATGAAATAGAACTATACTACTATTAAGTAGTCATGATGAAGTTGCAATATTTTTCACAAATTTAAAGTATCTGGGTTTTTTTTTTTTTGCTGATCTTGAAAGTAATACTTGCTTGTCTTTAAAAAACGCAAACAATGTAGAAGTGTATAATGTTGAAAATAAAAGCCTTCTTGCCATCATTCCTAATTCTATAAATAACTACTGCTAATAGTTTGATGAATCTCATGTATGACAAGGACTTGGTACTTCTGTCACCATTTTTTATTTTCTCCCTTATGACACCAATAATTCATCATAGTATTCTTTTCCCTTGAGCTTGGATATTCTCAATTGGCCATTCTTGGCAGCTATTTTTGATAGACTAGAGTTGATGTTTATGATGAAACCAGTTGACCATCCTTGGTATATATAATTTTAATCCTTTACACATAAATATGCACATTATTTAGGTGATTTTTAGAGACTGTTGCTGTTGGAATATTAGTGGAAAGTTGTGGCATTTTTGAGCTGAAAAGCCTTTAAAGATTATCTGATAGCCCTACTATTTGATATGAGATGAGGAAACGTTCTTTTATAAAAAATTACTCAGTTTTTATTTATATAGAGATGAGAAAGATAAACATGGAAGTAAAAAGAAAATAAATTTTGAAATACCCAACTTATTAAAATATGATAGAATTTTGTTGAAGAATATAAAATCAAGACCTGAAGAAATGGAGGTGCGTGATACGTTCCTAGAAACATAAAGTTAATGTCATTATTAACATGTCAGACCAGGTGCAGTGGCTCATGTGCGTAATCCCAGCACTATGGGAGGCCAAGGCAAGTGATTGCTTGAGTCCAGCAGTTGGAGACCAGCCTGAGCAACATGGCAAAACCCCATCTCTACAAAAAATACAAAAATTAGCCAGGCCTGGCTGCGCACCTGTAGTCCTAGCTACTTAGGAAACTGAGATGAGAGGATCACCTGAGCCTGGGGAGGTAGAGGATGTAGTGAGCCATGATTGTGCCACCGCACTCCAGCCTGGGTGACAGAGTGAGACTCTGTCTGCAAAAAAAACAAAAACAAAAAAAGTCAATCCTTTGTAAATTAATACATACATTTGATACAATTACAATGAGAGTCTCAACAGGTAAGTTTACAAGTTGATTCTAAACTTCATCTTGAAGAATAAATGTGCCAGAAAACCCAAGGAGATTTTGAAAAAGCAAAGTTGTAAATAAGATTTTTGTCTACCACATGTTGAAGTATACTGTAAAGTTGTTGATTTAAAAATAAGCGTGATACTGGTATAGAAGATGAGAGGAGCAGAATGTAGAAACCAGGAACAGATCGAAATGTACATGAGAACTTATTATAAAAGTGGCAGTTTAATTAAGTGTGGGATATTTTAAGAGATAGGAAAAACCAAAGTTGTTTTTGCTATTCTCAAACTCAACACAGCACAGAACACTTCTACACCAGATGTGTGGGGTTTTTTCCCCACACCCTGCAATTCAGTTCAATTCTGACACTAACCAAAAATTAGTGCAGGACCCATAGTTTAGGGGCTCAGTCACACAGGACTGCCCTCCACTTTATATGCCATTTGTAAGTCTTAGGTTGTGCCCTGTACTTCTGACCAACCAGCTGTAAATTGAGGTTCTCAGGACCCCTTTCTTGGTCCAGTTATTTGCTAGGATGGGAAACACTTAGGTTTACCCATGTATTATAAAGGATACTACAGAAGATGCAGATGATTAGCAAAATACAGGGCGAGGTCTGGAAGGGTCCGGAGTGCAGGAGCTTCTTTCCCCACTTTCCCAGCATATGGATGTGTTTCGTAATCTGGGAACTCTCTGAAACCCATGGTTCAGGGAATTTTATGGAGGCTTCATCACATGGGTATAAGAAACTCAATCTCTAGCCCTGCTTCCCTTCCCAGAGGATGGGGAGTAGGTTGGTGGGGCTGAAGGTTCTAAGTTTCTGTTCATGGCTTTATCTTTCTGGTGACCAGCCCACATCCAGGAGCCCAACAAGAGTTGCCTCATTAGAAAAAGACACACTTGTCACCTAGGAAATTCCAAGGGATTAGGAGTTCTGTGTCAGGAATTGAGGACAGAGACTAAATAATTTTTTTTTTTTTTTTTTTTTTTTGGGACGGAGTGTCACTGTCGCCCAGGCTGGGGTGCAGTGGTGCAATCTCGGCTCACTGCAACCTCTGTCTCCCGAGCTCAAGTGATTCTTCCACCTCAGCCTTCCAAGTAGCTGGTATTACAAGCACCCACCACCACACCTGGCTAATTTTTGTATTTTTAGTAGAGACAGGGTTTCGCCATGTTGGCCAGGCTGGTCTTGAACTCCTGACCTCAAGTGATCCGCCCGCCTTGGCCTCCCACAGTGCTGGGATTACAGGTGTGAGCCACCATACCCGGCCTACATATTTCTTAATACAGGCTGAGTATCCCTTATCTGCAACACTTGGGACCAGAAGTGTTTTGGATTTTGGATTTGTTTTGAGTTTAGAATATTTGCATTATACTTATCGGTTCAACATCCCCAATCTGAAAATCTGAAATATGAAACACCCCAATGACCATTACCATTGAATGTCATGTTGGCACACAAGAAGTTTTGGATTTTGGAGCATTTTGGATTTTGGAGTATACAGGGATACTCAACCTGTATATCACAGTATCATAATGTAAATTATTCAAATTGAGCTGTGATAATTATCTTATTATATAACTTTAAAAAAGTTAATTTTTTAAAGATAAATTTAGAGCTTTACCTAACACCCTACACATAAATAAAATTTAAGTATATAAACGTCAAGCACTTTTTCCACGAAGGTTCACATGGCCTTGAGAGTACCAAATGTAAAACAGCTCATCATTAGTTGTTGAAATTATTGCCATTAAACAAGTATACTAACTGGCCATGTATTCCTTGAGTAGAATGGTGGGTAGAATAATCTCTGGCATGTATTTATGTAGTCATTTTCCAAATATTTATTGAGTACCTATACATTGGGGATACTCTTCCCTCATGGAATTTATAGTTAGGGGCATAAGGAGGGACAGTTAGATAAGTAAAATGTATATATGTTAGGTGGTGATAAGTGCTACATAGAAAAATAAAGCAGAAAAGGAGGATAGGAGTGACAGAGTGGAGTTTTACAGTTTTAAATAACCTGATCAGGAAAGATCTCACTGAGAAGATAGGATTTAAGCAAAGACCTGAAGGAGGAAAGGTAATGAGCATGGAGATAATTGGGGAAATAATATTTCAGGTATAGAGATTTGCAAATGCTAAGGCTCTAAAGTGGTACCCACAGTGACTGGATCACTTTGAAGGAGGAGAATAGTAAAAGATAAGCTGCGAAAATATCAGGAAGTCAAGCCTGTATTCATTGTAAGGAGTTGGCATTTATTCTGCATAAGCTGTGAAGCTGCCTGGTTTTTAGCAGAGGAATGATGTGATGTAACTTAAAAAGTTTAACCAGATTGGGTTGCTGTATGGAAAGTAAACTTTAAGAGAGCAAAGGCAAAAGCAAGAATATCAGTTAAGTGACTAATAGAACAACGCTATGAGAGATGATAGCTTATGATTTGCTTATGAATTATATACAGAGTATGGGAGAAGGAGCAAGATATCAGGGAGGACTCCAAGATGTCTGGCATGATTAAGGGTAGAGTTTCCATTAACTGAGGTAGACAGACCTACTGCAGAAGGTTTTGGGAGCAGATCATACATCATTGAACTAAGATGCCACCACTTGTAGCTTCCAATTAAAATTAAACTAGCACAGATAGTTTGAAATGTGCATCCCAGTTTCAGAGATGTTAAAATGTTTTTTTAAAAAAGGAACTTTTCGGAATCAAACATGGTAAAGTTTGAGATGCCTAGTAGATACTCAGGCAGAGCTGGGCACGGTGGCTCATACCTGTAATCCCAGCACTTAGGGAGGCAGAGGCGGGAGGATTGCTTGAACTCAGGAATTCACCAACCTGGGCAACATAGCGAGACTCCATCTCCACACACACACAAAAAGGTCTGAGATTCAGGTAGAAATGTTTTTAGTGGGCAGTTAGATATATAAACCTGTCATTCTTGGAGAAGTCTGAGCTGAAGATAAACACATTTGGGAAATCATTAGTATTATGATGGATTAAATCACCAATGAAGCAGGGATAGATAAAGAAGAGTTCTAAGAACGTATCTGCTACAGTGCACCGTTTAGAGATTGAACATAGGGAAAACTAGGAAAGGAAACTGAGAGTTGGCTAGTGAGTCAGAAGAATACAGTACTTGGAAACCAGCACTTGGAACAACTTCAGGAGGAGTCAGTTGTCTATCACCTGTGTCTGATACTGCTGATAGGTCAAGTAAATTGAGAACAGAGTTTATTATCCGCATTTATTGAGTTGGTCATATCATTTAAGTTGAAGAATTAATTAATTCCCTGATGTTTGCTCAATTTTGCATTCTTAGAATAACCCAGTTTGGTCATAGTATTTTTGATGTGTTGCTAGATGGGTTTTCTAGTATTTTATTTAGAATTTTTACATCCGTATTTTGTTTGTGAAAGATATTTGTAGTTTGAATGTTTGGTTAAGCTTACTGTTTAAAAAAATCTGATGTGTGTTATAGGGTGTCTTGCAAAAAAAATCATCTGGCTTTTTTTTTTTCTAACTATACTGATTTAATTTTTTTCTAACTACTGATTTCATTTATTTATAGTAATCGGTTGCTTAGATTTTTCTGTTTATTCTTGGATTACTGTGGTTATTTATACTTCGTAAAGGATTTTCCCATTTTTCTTAGTTTTAAATTTTATTGACATGAATACCATCCTCTTATTTGAGTTTACTATATATATTATTTTATACAAAACAGTATGTCTTCTAAAGATTGACTTGTCAATTTTAGTAGTTTTTTTCAATGAACTAACTTTTGCATTTGTCGTATATCATGGTTTTCTATTTCATTAATTTCTATTCTTACCTTTACTGATTCTCATTTTTTGAAATGGATATTTATTGCACTAATTTTTAGTCTTGTTTACCCTAATATGAACAGTTAACGTTAAAAATGTCCCACTTACTACTTTAGCTCCATCTCTCAAATTTTAGTATATAGTATTTACTGTTTTTCAGTTCTGAATATTTTCTTTATGAGTTCATAATTAGAAGTTGTTTCTAATGTAGTGATTTTCTTATTTTTTAGTATTGGTTTCTACTTTGATTGTAGTGCAGTTAAATATATAGAGATACTGGTTTTATGTTACTCATCCTTTGAAATGTCTTTCTTTTTGTAGTGAACTTTAGTAATTGTTCTTTGGCTAAAAGAATAAGTTTTCTTTTGTAGATACCTGCAGTGTTCTGTATTTGTGCATTAGTGCAAGTTTATTAGTTATATTGTCAAATCTTCTATATTTTTGCTGATTTCAGTTGTCAGATTGATACCTTAATTACTGACAAAGGTGTATTACACTATTCCTCTATGCAGATTTGTGAATTTTCCTTGTCCTGTCAATTTTCGCCTTATGTATTTCTAGGACATTATTAGTTGCATCTAAGATTAAAATTGTTTATCTTCTCGCTTAGTCGCCCAGGCTGGAGTGCAGTGGCGTGATCTCGGCTCACTGCAGGCTCCGCCTCCCGGGTTCACGCCATTTTCCTGCCTCAGCCTCCCGAGTAGCTGGGATTACAGGCGCCCGACACTACGCCCAGCTAATTTTTTGTGTTTTTAGTAGAGATGGGGTTTCACCGTGTTAGCCAGGACGGTCTCGATCTCCTGACCTCGTGATCCACCCACCTCGGCCTCCCAAAGTGCTGGGATTACAGGCGTGAGCCACTGCGCCCGGCCGTGAATTCAACTTTCTGTTGTTAGGTACTGACCTCTATCTTTCTTTTGCCTTAAAGTCCGTTTAGTTTGCCATTAATGTAGTTAGCAGCTTTTTTTTTTTTCCCAGTATTTTTCTAGTTGTCTTTTTTCATTCATTTCATGTTTTTAATATCTTTTGTTATCTCATTTAAACTAGTATAGCTGTATTATTTTTTCTGGAGTCTTTTAAGTAAAGCATATAATCAATTTACAAATATATGTTTGAACTTATTTTTCCTGTCTTATTCTCTGCTTTTTATTTTTCACAGTCTTCAGCATTTCTTTTCTTTCTTGCTTTTGTTGGATATTTGTTTCATTTTTCCTTCTCTTTTGTCTTGGAAATTAGGCATTCTTTTAGTGGTTACTGGAATTTTAGCAGGTATACTTGCTGGAGTCCAGACTTAATATCTGTCTTCCTGCTAAACAAAGATTTTACAGTACTTTGTTCTTAATAACTTCTCTGAACTTACATGCTTTTAAAGTTCTATCTTTTTAAAACTCCTCAAAACATTATTATTAATATAATATAGTTATATTAATTATGCTGTCAGTGTTTGTTTAGAATTACCTCAGATATTTCTGTTTTGCTTTTCATTCCTTCTTCTATTTCTGATTTTCTCTCTGGGATCACTTTCTGCCAAAAGGATATTTGAAGTTTTCTTTTATGAGAGTTTTCTGTTGGAACACTCAGTTTTTAATCTGAAAACGATATTATTTAGCTCTAAATCTTGAAAGATGTGTTTCATGGATATAACATTCTATATTGACAGGTCTCTTTTCTCATATTCAGAGTATAGTATAATATCATTGCTGTATTCCTTTTTTTGTTGTTTTGTTTTTGTTTTTGTTTTGGTGACGGGGTCTCACCCTGTCATGATCATGACTCACTGCATCCTTGACCTCCTTGGTTCAAGTGATCCTCCTGCCTCAGCCTACAGGCACTCACCACCAGGCCCAGCTTTTTAAATTTTTTTTATTTTTTGTAGAGAATGGGGTCTCACTATGTTGCTCAGACAGGTCTCGAACTCCTAGGCTCAAGTGATCCTCCCACCTTTGCCTTCCAAAATACTGAGATTACAGGCGTGAGCCACCACATCTGGCCTGATTGTTGTCTTCTAATGTGAATCTGATCTTAGTTTATTTGATAGTAATCATTCTCTTTTTCTCATTGTTTTCTGATGTGAATCTGATCTTAGTTTATTTGATAGTAATCATTCTCTTTTTCTCATTGTTTTCTGATGTGAATCTGATCTTAGTTTATTTGATAGTAATCATTCTCTTTTTCTGAAGATGCTTATAAACTCATTTCTTTTTTTAAGTATGTTAGTTTCATATATATTTAGGTGTGGATTTATTTTTTATTTACTTTTCTTGGTTTTAATGACACTCTTAAACCTACGGTTTGGTGTCTTTCATCAGTTTTGCAAAGTTCTTTTTTATTATCTCTTTAAATATTGCCATTGACCCATTCTCTGTCTCCTAGAATTCTTATTAGACATATTAGGCTTTCTTAGTCATCCAAATATCTTTAATATTTTTGATTTATCATTCTGCATTATGTTATTTCCGCTAGTGTTCTTGATGCTTTGTCTTCTTGTGTGTGTGTTTGTAGCGAACTACTCTTCTTAGAACTTTATCTGTGTTAATTCTTTTAAGATAACATAGATTCCGGCAGAGGAAATTATTAACTTCTGCCAGAGACCATTGAATACTTTCAATTCAGAATCACAATGTACAGAATTCTCAGCTTGTGGTGGTAGCAGTGAAGTATTTCTAGTTTACCCTTACAGTGAGGGTATATCGCTTAGATATGGCTTTCTATTGGACTGTCCACCTTGAATAGCTGTGGGCTTTGTCTGTTTTTGTCCTTTACCAGCAGATCATCAAAATGAGTCCTCAAGATCACTTGATTGGGCGAATGCCTTCAAGATGAAAGCCAATTTTATTTTTCCACTCTGGGTTTTCACCTATACTATGATGTTAGCCAGAATTCCTTACTTTCATGCTAACTGATAAATTCATTTATGAAGATGTTTTAATATTTTATTATTTTTAGTTGTTTACAGCAGGAGGATCAGTAAGGGTACTTTATTAGTCGTTCTGCTGGAAATGAAAGTTTAAAACTACTTCCTTTAAAGTCATAAAGTCTTACTGTTCCAAGTGGTCTGGTTACAATATAATTTATATATACAACATTCATAAGTTATTATTGTCATTTAGTGATTGGATACCAATAATTTATCTTTCTGCCACATGCTGCTGAATCCCAGTGAAGAAGATGGATGAATAGATGGGAGGTGTGGAGCAGTAGTACTTCTAAAAGCGAGAAATAAGTAAATACCCTTCTTTCAGATTCTGTATTGCTAAATGTTCCTTTATATCCATGTGATGTAATCCTCTCTGAATTTAGAGTGGAGTACATGGTGAGGAATCCATGGGCTACCTGTATGGGTAGTTTTGATTTCTGGAAATGCCACGAGTCAGTTTTCATTCATATGTTTTCTGAGCAGGGGGAGTTTCAAGGTTTAACTGCTCTACCCTTTAATATACTAACACATTTTGAATTGCAGTCAATGCATGTGATTGAAGAATAGCATAGTAATTAAAGGATAAACAACTCCAGCTATGTGACTCCTCTAGTAGTGTTTATGAATTAGTGTTCACATTTGCTTTAATTTTAACAGTTTAAATAATTTTGAATGTTGAGTAAGTAACTGATGTGGTCAATTATGGCATTATGACTAATAAAATGCCAAAGTTTCCTTCTTGAGGGGCCAAAATATCAAAAGGAGTAAAAATCATAATAATAATTCTATCTGGCACCTTTTGTGCAAGAGAATTTTGGGAATTTTATTTCTAAACTAATGTATATATTTTGAATATAAAGATTCTTAAATTATTTTTTAATTAGGTTCAGGGCTTCTGGAAATCTTGTAATCACCCGTGAGATTGATGTGGCAAAAAATCAGTCCTTTTGGTTCATCAACAAAAAATCTACAACCCAGAAAATAGTGGAAGAGAAAGTTGCAGCCTTAAATATTCAAGTGGGGAATCTTTGCCAGTTTCTCCCTCAGGTATGAGAGAAATAAATGTAAAGATGGGAAAATTTTGTATATAGTGTTTCCTTTTTATGCCGTTGAAGGGATATCATAATGACTGCTATTTAAATTGAACATAGCACTCTTACAGTTCTTTGTAAAGGTAGCATTTCATCACTTAGAGTATAATGTTATTAATTTGTAGTAATTTGGAAAATTTCAATTAGTAAAAAAGTCTAAATTAGAGTATTTTGAAATAAAGTATTATTTTTGAAGTTCAGAGAGTGGCTCAGATAGCTATGTGCTTCTATTTGTAGAACCTTAAAATGTTGTTAATGAACAACTTTTTAGTCAGTTTTTGTTCGTATACATTATACATATATTTGAGTCTACAAAATATTTGATATAATAAAACTCCTATATTTATAAGTATACCTTCTAAAATCTTGTTATAGTTTATTAAACATAAAAAATGCTAATAATTTATGTTAAATGTTAAAGTCATATTACCTATTAAATTTGACTTTGAATGCTGTCTAGGGACAGCATTAACTAATATTAATTTCTTTTTTGTTCAGAAACACAATGATGATTTCATAATGAGCAAATTAAATAAAACTTAAACATTTTTAAAAGCTTTTTATTTATTTTAACACTTACCAGCTGATGTCAGATTATCTCCAGAAGTAGATGTTTGAAATTGCCTTTTTTTTTCCTTTTTAAACCCTCTAACATTTCAACTGATATGTAATAGACAGTGATCATTTTCATCTTGGGACTATGTGTTCTTTTATTCCCAAACTTTTATTATACATATGTAGACATTTCAACCTTGAAATATTGGCACAGAAAATTTTTAAAGATGATCAAAAAGGTAACAGTTTATATCCTAAGTTTATCTTCATTATTCTAAAGAATAATGCACAAAAGGTTTATATCTCAAATGTTTTTTTTAATGAGTTTCACCTTGACAAGTGTAAGCATTGAGTGAAATACATTTTGAAGATATATGTAAATGAATGATAGTTGCTGATATTTAATTTTTGTGCTCTAGGACAAAGTTGGAGAATTTGCTAAACTCAGCAAAATTGAACTCCTCGAAGCCACTGAAAAGTCAATTGGTCCCCCAGAAATGCACAAATATCACTGTGAACTCAAAAACTTAAGGGAGAAAGAAAAACAGCTCGAGGTACTTTAAATAGACAACTCATTTGTATTGTTTCTTATTGATTTCTGTATCTCAGAACATGGGAGAGAGAGTAGTAGTATTGATTCATTGAGTGAATTCGTATTTGTGATTTTTTTTCACTTAGGATTGTACTGCTAATATCAGTTAAAGTGACAGAGTGAGAATGGATCTAATAATGTGAAGTTTAAAAAGGTTGACTATTTCAGCAAATACGTATTACTAATTGAATTTTTAAGGAACCAGTAACAGTATTATAAAAAAAAATTATCTCAGGAAGTTATTCTTTCATTCATTCAGTATCTATTAAACACCTACTATGTGCCAGGCACTGTGTAAGGCTTTGAGTAATAGAAGAGATACCATGTGCCATTTAATATAGCACTTCCGTTGAACCAATTCTCTCATGTATTTTTTTCAGTCACATGAGGGTAGACTTTGGAAGAGAATTACACATTTAGTTGGAATGTTGGTTATTTTCACCATTAATAAACATAAAAATGTACTTTTATAGCATATCCTTTGTAAAGGTGTTTTATTTAATGGATCTTTTTTCTACATCCCAGCAACTAAAATAAATACAGTAAATTTTCATAATAAGAAATCTTTTAGTCTGGGTGTGGTGGCTCAGACCTGCAATCCCAATACTTTGTGAGACTGATTCGGGAGAATCGCTTGAGTTCAGGAGTTTGAGACCAGCCTAGGCAACAGGGAGACCCTGTCTCTACATGAAAAGAAATGAGAAAAGTTAGCCAGGCATGGTGGCGCACACCTGTACTTCCCGCACTTGGGATGCTAAGGTGGGAGGATTGCTTGAGCCAAGGAGGTCAAGGTTGCAATGAGCTGTGATTGCACCACTGCATTCCAGCCTGGGTGACAGAGCGAGACCCTGTGTCAAAAAAATGGAAATCTGGCTGGGTGTGGTGGCTCACGCCTGTAATCCCAGCACTTTAGGAGGCCAAGGCGGGTGGATCACCTGAGGTCAGGAGTTTGAGACCAGCCTGGCCAACATGGTGAAACCCTGTCTCTACTAAAAATACAAAAATTAGCCGGGTGTGATGGTGGGCGCCTGTAATCCCAGCTACTTGGGAGGCTGAGACAGGAGAATCGTTTGAACCTGGGAGGCGGAGGTTGTAGTGAGCCGAGAACACGCCATTGCACTCCAGCCTGGGCAACAAGAGCAAAACTCCGTTTCAAAAAAAAAAAAAAAAAAAAAGGAAATCTGTTTTTCATTTTAGGTTCAGGGGTACATGTGCAGGTTTGTTATATAGGCACATTGTGTCACAGGGGTTTGGTGTGTCACCCAGGAAATAAGCATAGAAATCTTGTAACCAATTGCTTTCTCTTAAACTGTGACTTTATATACTTAATAATATGTATTTTACTGTAATTAAATGTTATTTTTTACCTTTGTCCACCAGACAGGGAAAAAAATGTTTTTATTATACTTATTCAAAGTGAATAATCAAAGGAGTTGTTCTGAGCTTTTTATAGTTATTTTAGCTTCAGATATTCTGTTCTTTTACCTTTCTGTATGTCAAACAAATAGTTTCACTTGAAACACTCACCTACACTCTTGACCATCCGCTGAAAGAAAACAAGCATACAAGCATATATTCTACTAGGTTCTGAGTACATCTTTGTATTTATTAATTGACACCATAATGGCTAATTCTTAGCTTTCTTTCATCTCGTTTCTAAGACCTTTCAGTCATGAGTGTTCATTTAACATCCTAATCCTAGTATTACTATTTTTCATTTGTATATCACTTTTACAGCTTTTGTTTAGCTTTCATTTATATTAAGTGAATTGCTTCTACCCTTCAAGTGGATGCAGCAGATATTTGGGCAAGAAGAGCCTGGGCTCAGATGTGACAGGGCTTCTTTACAGTTAGGACTAATAAATTGTAGACCCTAGACCAGAACTTGGGTATGAATGTTGCTTTTACACAGGTTTTAGGTGTTTTGTTGAGACAGGGTCTCACTGTTGCCTAGGCTGGAGTCTACATAGTTCTTAAGAACTCCTGTGAATTCTTTATTGTGAAATTTTGCCATCGTTTATTTTTCATTGTTAAAAGATGTGACCTGTTGTCATTTTTTCTGTCAAACTGATTGTTCAACATATATTTATTGTAGACCTCATGCAAAGAGAAAACTGAGTATCTACAGAAAATGGTTCAGAGGAATGAAAGATATAAACAAGATGTGGAGAGGTTCTATGAACGGAAGCGACATTTAGATTTAATTGAGATGCTTGAAGCAAAAAGGCCATGGGTGGTAAGTCATAATTTTTAGAGGCAAAGTACGTGTTTCTTTAAGTAGCAGAGTAATTATGATGAAAGTATTAGTTACTGTGTATTCAAGTTAGGTGCTTCTTTTTCATTTTTGGCTTTATATGTTATACATAATAAAATTCATGTCTTTTTTTTTTTTGAGACGGAGTCTTGCTGTGTCTCCCATGCTGGAGTTCAGTGGTACGATCTCGGCTCACTGCAACCTCTGCCTCCTGGGTTCAAGCGATTCTCCTGCCTCAGCCTCCCAGTAGTTGGGATTATAGGCATGTGCCACCACACCTGGCCAACTTTTTTTTTGTATTTTTAGTAGAGACAGGGTTTCACCATGTTGGCCAGGCTGGTCTTGAACTCCTGACCTCAGGTGATCTGCCCCCCTCGGCCTCCCAAAATACTGATTACGGGTGTGAGCCACCGCGCCAGGCTTTCTTTTACTAGTTTATTACCTTAGCTGTGTGCTAGTTGTTACTGTTTAATAAATAATAATTAACACAGTGCTCTTAATTCTTCCACATTTTAGTCCTCAACAGATAGTTTTTGATTGTTGTTTTAAAGATGTTAATGATCAGAAAATTAAATCTTTGGGTGTCCTCAGTCAGGTCACTGAGAATTTATTAAGACTACAGTTCGGGTTAAAGATTCAATTCCCTCATTGCATTACTTTATAATTGGTAGAACAAAATAGGTAAGAAAGTTTTGTAGTGTTTGTTCCAAGGTTAGAATGGAAATAATTGTTACTTGCTTCAAAAAGAGTATTTGTGGCATTCTTGTTCTGTCTTCCCCCTTCTACCTACCCTATTCCATCATTTCATGATTCTTAAATTTTCCTTTCTTCGGCTTTTCTAAATTTTATTTTTCCTGTGTCCATTATTACTGCTTCACTCACTTTGTCTTTTGATTTTCCTTATTTTTTCTAAGATTGATTTACCTTTTTTTCATTTTTCTTCTTTTTTGATGTACTTATATGTTTATTTTTTCTTTTCTTACCATCATCCCATTCACTCTTATATAATGTTGCCTTAGTGTGCCACTTAATTTTTTTTTAGCAAATACTCCTATGACATGACAGGCATCACTTTCACCTACATGCTGGTTTTTATTTTTCTTTTGACCCATTTTCATTTTGTTTTTTTTTTTTATTTTTACCCTTTATACTTGAGTTTCTTTTGCTTCTTTATACATCCCTGTATCTCTTCTTTATTGACAGATTAGAGGTAAGTCACATTTTCGTAGCCATTAAGATATGTTTCAGATAACAGGATGGAAGTCTGAGAATCTGAACTGGTGATAGAAATAAACGCTCAGTGATTATCAGGACTGTTATTAAATCATTACACTGGTATTTACTATTTCTGAAGTTGTCCCAGAGGACAAATTTACATTAATAAACCTGTTTTGATATCA
This sequence comes from Homo sapiens, assembly GCF_000001405.40. Lineage (NCBI taxonomy): Eukaryota > Metazoa > Chordata > Mammalia > Primates > Hominidae > Homo > Homo sapiens. Next base: position 70,282,318 of record NC_000009.12, read on the forward strand.
AAACAATCTTTTCTTACATTTGGTTTCTGCCTGTATCTTGATTTTTAGTATATGTGTTAGTTTAAGGTAGGGCATTAACTTCTGTTTGTTGAATTATTTGCAAGGAATATGAAAATGTTCGTCAGGAATATGAAGAAGTAAAACTAGTTCGTGACCGAGTGAAGGAAGAGGTCAGAAAACTTAAAGAAGGGCAGATTCCTGTAACATGTCGAATTGAAGAAATGGAAAACGAGCGTCACAATTTGGAGGCTCGAATCAAAGAAAAGGTACTTTTTGGTTTCAATTTTGGATTATCTGAATTTTATTTTAGCAAATATAAAAAATATTTTGCAGGTGTTTGAAAATATTTTCAAGGGTTTTCTTGTATCTTTCATTTCTTAAGTTTTTTAACCAGGAATTCTGCCACCATAGGATTTTCAAGGACATACTTATTACTGTGGAAGTGTTGCTACTTTATAGGACTTCCAAGATATAAAGAGAGAAAAGTGAAATATGATTTTTTTTAGGTACAAGAGGATTCATAGTGGTATTCCTGGAAACACTGAGCTCTTTTTGTGAATATATTATACATCTGCTTTGTAATTATACACCCTTTTGAAGGAGGGCAATATAGAAAATCTGATGTTTTTGGAATAGATAATAGAATAATATTCCCTGTATTTTAAAAGTATAACTAGATATTTTTTATGACTATGGCTTCTAACCTTCGGTGGATTTTGAAGTTAGAGATTATTTGAGAATTGTTTAAATTCCTGCTTCTAAAATAACGCAGTATAGGCAGATCCAAAATCGTGCATGAGATTTTGGAGATTCATGGATGCACTGAAGTCAAGGTATTGACCCCTACTTAAGAACCTCTGATATGGCTGGGCACAGTGGCTCATGCCTGTAATCCCAGCACTTTGGGAGGCTGAGGCGGGCGGATCAGTTGAGCTCAGGAGTTCAAGACCAGCTTGGCCAACATGGTGAAACCCTGTCTCTATGAAAAACACAAAAAACTTAGCCAGGCATGGTGGTGTGTGCCTATAGGTCCCTGCTACTCATGAGGCTGAGGCAGGAGGATCACTTGCGCCTACGAGGCAGAGGTTGCAGTGAGCTGAGATTGTGCCACTGCTCTCCAGCATGGGTGACAGAGCGAGGCCCTATCTCAAAAAATGTATATAATAATAAAAATTTAAAAATAAATCAATAAAGAATCTCTGATATAAATTGTCAGTTGCCTCAAATATGTAGAATTATTTGTAATTAGACCAGCGGAATTTATGCTATATATAGGTAATTTTATGAAACCAGAAAACCATTCACAACCTTTGTGTACTGTATACCCCTGATGTTGGCCACTGTGCTTGAAGATGGGTGTCAGTGATGGTAAAGGGTGGATCTTAGCCTGGCACTGCTATTGGGAAAAAATTGTATGAAACATGATTTCTGCTATTGAAAGATCATTTAGGAGATAGTGTGTTATGAACTTAGCAGTATTTTTTTTTACAGGCATCATCTCTATTTTTAAAGGTTTTAAAGATTGTGTTTTATTCTTGTGAATATGCTACTCCAGGGTTTTTGTTACTGAATTTAAGATTGCCATTTATACAGGTTTGACTAATGTAAGTTTCATCTTTTGTTTGTAAAAAAAGAAGTTATGTGGAGCTCTTCGATTTCTAGATGTGATTGTACTTTTCTCTTTTTAGGCACCTGAAAGTCAGAAAAATGACTTCTTGAGCTAGATTGTACCAGATACTATGTTGAGCATTTCTACTGAGTGAGAAAGGCCATATCTAGGAATATAAAGTAAACTTTGTAACAGAGGAAATGAATCAACAGTTTTGACTTTGCTACTATCATGTGGGAAAAGCTCCACTATATCTTAATTCTAATACAGGTTAAAGTGAGTTAAAATTATTGCACTCAAGTCCAAAAAATTAAACAGTTACTAAGATCAGATAAAGGTTTTAGGACTTGATTAGATCTGATTCTGAAAAAGCGTTGCCATTGGTCATTTTAAATGTTACGGGGAAAAGGAATTGTAGATATTATCTAGACAAGCCCCCTCATTTTATTGTTACAGATACTGAATACCAGTGATAACACGACTTCCTCAAGGATATGAAACTAATAATTGGCAGTCGTTGTTATGTTAATGATGGTTGGTTATAGTTAAGTTGTGGATTTGTAATTGCTTTTTTTGGTTCTTGAATTTTCTGTTACTGTAAAACTACTTTTGTAGTGGAAAATATGTACATAATAAATTTGAGATCTCTTAATTAAGGAAACATATTTAACCCTTTGTTTTGTCTATTTATAACAGAAGCCCAGCTATTGTTATATTAGGCTCATTGTCAAACATCCATGAGCCTAATTTATTTATGTGAAAATCTGCATGGCCTAAGATGTTTTAGAATTATTTTCCTAAAGAAATAATTCTGAAGTGGTACCTTATGTCAGTCTATAGTAAAAGTAGTTATTAGCACCCATAGCCTTGCAACAGAACACAGTGGTTAATTTTGTTTAATATTCATGCTGTTCTTCTTCCTGCTCATTCTGTTCCAGCAGAAAACTTTTTCCAATACTTGTAATTTTTTTTTTTTAATTCCAGGCAGGTGATGAAGTGTTATGGACAGGGCATAGCTTTTGAGACACACAGACCTGTATTTTAAATCCTCACTCAGCTGTCTGACCTTCAGCAAATCGTTTAGTCTCTCTGAGTTTTAGTCTCCTCAGTCAGGTGAGGACAATAATAGTAATCTTTATCTTACATGATTAGCATGTATGATTTAAGCATACATACATCAGTGTTACTAGCATCAGAAAATTAATTTTCCTCTATCAGAAGAAACTATTGTCTCTTGGCATCAGAGATCCACCGGAGACATGATTTCCTAGGAGGGCTCACAGCTAAGATTTATTACAGCAAAAGGATGCAAAACAGTCAGGAAAGGGAAAATGCCCTGAGGACAAAGTCTAGAAGAAACCAGGCACAAGCTTCCAAGGGTCCTCCCCCAGAGAAATCACACAGAATGTGCTTAATTCTTCCATCATCAAATTATGACAACATTTTAAAAGTCCTGTCTACAAGGGAAGTGCATTACAGACTCAGCACCCAAGGTTTTTATGGGCGTTAGGCAACTAGGCCTTCTAGCAGCATGTTGTTAACTTCCAGAATGCAAGAAGGAAAGCAGATGTTCTGCATCAGCCACATTGTTTGTACAAACACGCACAGTGAGCCACTCTTATCAGTTAGGAAATGGTAGAAACACTCCCAAAATCCAAATTTCCAGACAACAACCAAGGACCGACCTTGCAAACAAGCCTGTCCAAGAATAGTAGTCTTAGTCTATAATGTTGTTTTCTGTATAGCCCTGTTTTCTACTATGTTTGAATTACATATTATAGGTGTTAATGATGTGTAATATGTGTCTATAATATGTCATGTATGTGTTTTATGTGTTAATGAAAAATATCAAGGAGGTAGCATACTTGGTATGATAGAACTCTGCATTTGAAATCAGACCTGATTTTTTATAATTAGTTTCCATTTTTTAGCTATGTATAAAGGTTACTTGGCCTCTTTTGAGCCCTACCAGTCAGTAATATTTGTCCTGATTATCCTGTAGGGTTGTTTTTAGGATCAGATGAAATAAGACAGGAAGATAAATGTAAAGAGAAAAAACATGCATGCGTATTACTGCAACTGTTTATTAATATCATTAGGAATAACCTTTTATAGACTTGCAAATAACTGTTGGTATTTTGTTGATAATTATGGATTTTGCTTGATGTAAATTGTTGTGGGTTAACTCGATATTTGAATGGGCAGGGCCATATAATTTGCTTGCATGAGTTTTTAACTAGCTGTCCCCCCCTCTCCCCGGTTTAATTTTACAGGCAACAGATATTAAGGAGGCATCTCAAAAATGCAAACAGAAGCAAGATGTTATAGAAAGGAAAGATAAACATGTAAGGTTTCATACTAAAATTTTTATTACATTAAAGTTTGCTCTAACTTTTGTTTTCAAATACAGATTATGAGACAGATTCTTGTTGGGGAATGGCCAAGATCCTCTGCATTCTCTATTTCTTAATCCGAGGGAAAGTAAGATTTGGAAGTATAGTAGTTGCTCAGAGGACAATTGTGGAAAATTTCTCAAAACTACTAGCAGCTGTGCCTTATGATATTTGTAGCTGGGTGGCTGTAGTTTTTTAATAGGATAATGGTGGATTTGGTTACCTTAACAGCAAAAACTAAGGTCTAAGGGATTTATTCTGTTGTTGTTTAAAACACAGAAATAGACCTTTTATTTTGAAAAATCAGTGATGACGCTTATGTAGAAAATGCGTATGTACCTTTATGCATGATTGAAATTAATGAGACAAAGTATACTTAAACTATGGAACTTTTCGTCTTTTTTTTTTTTTTTTTTTTTGAGACAGGGTCTCTGTTACCCAGGTTGGAGTACAGTGGTGTGATCTTGGCTCACTGCAGCCTCCGCCTCTCAGGCTCAAATAATCCTCCCACCTCAGCCTCCTGAGTAGCTGGGACCACAGGTGCATGCGACCACACCCAGGTACTTTTTTGAATTTTTGTAGAGATGGGTTTTTGCCGTGATGCCCAGGTTGGCCTCGAACGCCTGAGCTCAAGCTATCCACCTGCCTTGGCTTCCCAAAGTGCTGGGATTGCAGGCATGAGCCACTGCCCCTGACTGGAACTTTTTATTATATTTTTATTGTTGAGTTTTACTCTGTTTTGATATAATCTTGGTTTATAGCTCCAATTTCTAGAAATGAAGACACTTACATTGTAAAACTTTAGCCTACTGCAGGTAATTTATTGCTAAGGAAAAATCTTGTTTCAATTTGTAGTATCCTGTTTTTGATATGTGCAGCTTCTCAATCTGAGAATATAAATTAAAAGTTTTTAAAGTTTTTTTTCCTTTATAATATTGTTTTTTCTTAGTAGATTTTTGTTTCTTTTCTTACTTTGGTTTCTTGCTTTCTTCCTGGAGTCTTTCCTTGCTTATCTGAGAATCTTTGGTTCTCTTTATGGTTAAAAGTAAGGCATTAAAAGGCTGATTACAAATTTTTCGTGCGTGGGTGGGCCTGACGACAAAATTATGTTAGGATGATTAGGTAAGAAAGTGGGCTCTTTTGCTAACAGATGCCCAAATATATGTGTGTTTCTATTCTTCAGGACCATTCTGAGACTAAGTTTTGAAATTACCTGCCTTGGGGGTAGACATGTAACTTCAGGCATTTCTGATGGTTGAAGCATGGTGTTAATCTCCTAGTTCTCAGCCTCACCCCTTTTTCTATCCCTTTATTTTAAGTCCCAGGCTGCTCATTTAATTTCTCCAAAGAATTAACCACAAATGTTCACAGAAGCATCTTGGTTGTCAGTGTTATGTGCTTAGGGTTGTGTATGTTGGGAGAAGGGGATTGGGATGAGAAGGAGGATATGAATAATTGCATTCTATGTGATGTTGTTTCTACTTGGCATTTCCTAGTCCTAAGAATTTCTGGGGTTTTTGTTTGTTTTTATTTTTTAGAAGGAATAATCAGTTCTTCACATCCCTTTCTTTTTCACTCACCCTTTACACTATGGTTCCTATAATATACTGCTAAATTTGTTACTTGTTTTTCCATCTTCTAAGTATTTATTAAACTTTCCATTTAGTGATCTCTCTTCCCTTTCTTTTGTCCTCATGGGATGGATCCCTTTTTACTCCATTCCTATTATTTTATTAGGGTTAGGCAGAAAAAGACATAAAACTCATCCTGTATCCCCAGACGCAAATACAAAGTTGGTAGATTGCCTCATGTTGAACTTCCCTTATATTCCTGTCATGAATTTTAATTGATGTTTTAATATACTGCTGTATTCAACTATAAAATTTTGTATTTAGGATTTTTTGAACTGTGTGAGATTGGCCTATACTTTTATTTTTTGTTCTTTCTTAACTGGTTTTGTTTTCAGGCTTATGCAGACCTGGTAAATAATTTAATACTCTTGGATCAGTTTCAATCATTTATATTTCTTCTCTTCCTATCACTGATATTTGTGTATCCATTTTTTCCCCCTTATCATATTTGCCAGGGCTTGTCACTTTGTAAGTCTTTTCAACTAATTTTTTTTAAAAATCAACTTTATTTTTTGTTGACTATTTAATAATTTCCTCTTTCTTAATTCATTTTTCTGCTTTGAGTATTTTTTAACGTTCTTGAATTGTAAAAAGTGTGTTTCTTTTATTTTTCATCTTTCCTAATTTTTAATAAATGCATTATAGGATATAAATTTTTGGGCATCATTTGGCTACATCTCACGTGTGTTGATTAGTAGGCTCTTTGTTTCAATTTAAGATATTATAATTTTTATTTAAATGTTTTCGTTTGAGGTTACCTAGCAGTTCTTATTGTTTTAATTTCTATGGATATGGAATTTTTTAGGCTTTTGAAAAATGTCAAGTTCTACTTAACACTGCTTTATGGTCAATAAATGTGGCCTTTTGACTTTTTTAAAGAATTTTTTGAGACTTTTTTTTGGCTTTTATTGTGTGTTTGATTTTTGTACCTATTCTTCATGTATTTGAAAAGAATGTGCATTCTGTCTTCAGGTGTGGACATATGTATACACACACATATATACATACGTTAGAATAGGCTTACTATAATTATGTATACTCGTATGTTCTACTTTTTTGTTAACCTACTTGATTTAGTTTTTGTTGTTGTTGTTGTTGTTGTTATGAGACGGAGTCTTGCTCTGTCTCCGAGGCTGGAGTGCAGTGGAGCAGTCTTGGCTCACTGCAGCTTCTGCCTCCCCGGTTCAAGCGATTCTCCTGCCTGAGTCTCCCAAGTAGCTGGGACTACAGGCATGCACCACCACGCCTGGCTAATTTTTGTATTTTTAATAGAGACAGAGTTTCACCACGTTGGCCAGGCTGGTCTCAAAGACCTGACCTCAAGTGATCCACCTGCCTTGGCCTCCCAAAGTGCTAGAATTACAAGTGTGAGCTACCGCACCTGGCCTGATTTAGTGATTTTTAAGGTGTCAGTATCTCCTTCTATGAGTATAGGTTTGTCTATTTTTCCTTGTAATTATATCAGTTTTTGCTTCCTAGATTTTAAAGCTTTCTTATTTTGTTTTTATTTCTGTACCATGTTTTAGTTTATGTGCTGTAAATAATACTGGGTTTTGTTTTGAAATTTTTTTCAATTTGATGGCAAATAAAGGAGTTTAAACAGATGAAGAAGTTTAAACAGTTCACATTTACTGTTATGTTTTCTACTTATTATACTTTTTACTTGATTCCTCCTCTCTTTCTATTTTCTGTTGCTGTTAACCAAGGTTTTCTCATTCTATTTTTTATTCTATAGGTTGAAAGTTAAATTTAGTCCTATTCTAGTGATTACCTTAAAATTTTAAGTGACACATTTCTAACAAAAGAGTTCATCAGTATCTTTATTCTCCCATCTAATTAAGAAAAAAAAATTAGGAAGCTTATACTTTCTCTTCCTGTAATCCCATGTCAGTATCATCAGAAATTTGACTTGTGGTTATTTAAAATATTATTATTATTATTATTATTATTTTACTGCCAGTATTGACATGTTGGGTATCTCTAATATGAAATCTAAAAATGCTCCAAAACCCAAAACCGTTTTGAGTGTGTTGACCTGATGCTCAAAGGAAATGCACTTTAGAGCATTTTGGATTTCTGGATTAGGGAAGCTGAACCTGTAAGTATAATGCAGATATTCAAAGGTCTTAAAAAATTTGAAATCCAAAACACTTCTGGTGCCAAGCATTTTGGATAAAGGATAATCAGCCTGTGTTTAGATATAATGATATGTTTTGTTGGTTTATTTGATCGTGTTGCTTTTGTATTATACTTCCTCTGGCTTGCTAGGAAAGGAGAAATAAAGAGTTCTCTTTTGACTAAAGTTTCATCCTTTTACTTTAAGCCTATTTGTGTCTTTGAATCTAAAATGTGCCTCTTGTAAACAGTAGATAGTTGGACCATGATTTTTTTGGTCCTCATTAGCATAAAACCAGATATTGCAGAAAGGGGCTTGTTATGAATAATAAAAGACATTCCTGTCACTCAGAAAATTCCAAGGGTTTTAAGAATTCTGTGCCAAGAACCTAGGACAAAGACTAAATATATATGTTTATACCGCAATAGTTCTTTTATATTGGATAGGAAGAAAAAAAGTTATAAACAACAAAATACATTTATGTTATATTTTACATTTATCTATTTAATTACCTTTGCGGGTTCTCTTGATTTATTTGTGTAGATTCAGAGTACTATCTAGGGTCCTTTCATTTCAGCCTTAAAGATGCCTTTTAGTATATCTTGTAGGGGAGGTTTCTTTTAGTTCATTGAACATATTTAAAATCGCTGTTTTAATCCTTTTCCTATTTAGAAAAAAAGTACGTGTGCTCACTGCCAGCACTCATTTAATTTTACATAAACACACTCTGAGGCTTAACCAAATCTGACTGAGTTTCAATGTGAAAGTAAGCACCGCCAGCAAGTATTCTCAGGGCAAACAGAAAAAGGGTTAAAGCCCCTTTGTCTTATAAGTCCATTTCTGTACTTCCTCAGGTACTTTTTCTGTTGACTGCTTTTTTCCTGAGTATGGGCCATACTTTTTCCTTTATTTGAAAGTGTTACAAGTTTTTGTTGAAACTGAACAGTTTAAGTAACATACTCTAGCAACTCTGGAAGTCAGTCCCATTCCCCTCCCCAGGGCTTGATGTTGTTGCTGTTTCATTGAATATATTGTTGGTGTTTGTTTGTTTAGTGACTTTCCTAGTTCTGTAAAGTTCTTATTCTTGGTCATATGTGGCTATTGAAGTCACTACTAGGTTAGTTTAGTGGTTAGCTAATGACTGAATCTGTATTTCCTAAAATGCCTGTAACCCATATGTTTCCCAGTCTTTGTTGAGGATCTCTGTGTATATATTGGGTCATGCCTTCATCATTCAGCCAGGCAGTATTCACACTTTACTGAGATTCAATCATTTTTCTTCAATAAATGCTCCTAAGATTGTTGAAAACTTTGGTTAACTCTGTCTCAGCCTTCGCTTCCTATTTGCACACAACCACAAAGTGAAACAGATGAGAACTTAGGGTCTTCTCAGGTCTTTCTGGATCATGTACATAGCCCTGGGCATGCACACAGTCCTGCTAATGCACATGACCTTCTAGAATCCCAGGAATTTCCAAAACCTCATATGGTTTGGGGAGAAGCTCATTCCCCAGCCTTTTCTTTTAAGATTTTTGGTTAGCTTATTGTTTGCTGTAACTGTTATCTGCTTCAGGCAGTTGTGATGCTAAACAATTGCTTCTGATTGTTTTTGACAAATGCATCCAAGGAAAAGGCTGTTTTGCAGTGGTGAGCTGTGAGTCAGGTCAAATACAAACAAGCCTTATACAACTAAGTTTTCCCAGGAAACTGCCGGGTAGATCAGATAATGGCATTTCTCTGAGAATGAGGATTTATTAGGTTGGTGCAAAAGTAATTGCATTTTTTTTTTTTGCCATTATAAAAGAGCTCCAAACCTGTTCATATCTCTCCAGTGGCTGCTAGACTGCAGGTTTTCACTATGATTGTGGGCTGTTGCTTTTCAAGGATACCACATGAATGGAACAATGGGTTTAGGAATGAAGCAAGTTCAAAATTCTACAGAGCTTGCTGTTTTTACTGAGATTCAGCCATTTTTCTTGAATAACAGCTTCCCAGATTGTTACAAGCATTTGGTTAAATTCCAGAGTGCTGAAAGTGTAAATTTTGACAATTTTTGTCAGTGTTCTCATCACTTTTATGGAGGAGAAGATTTCTGGAGTTCCTTACTTCACCATTCCTGATGACATCCAAATCTTTTCTATATCTACAGAAAAATGTTGCTGGGATTTTAATAGGAATTTCATTAAACATTTGGGAAGAATTGAAATCTTTACTATGTTGAATCTTCTGGTCTATGAACATGGTCTGTCTCTATTTATTTAGATTTTTTATTTCTTTCATTAGCATTATGTAGTTTTAGCAACAAGTCCTCTGACTTAATTTCTTTTTTTTCTTCTTTGGTAGATATTTTGGGAGTTTCTACCTAGGCAGTCATGTCAGCTACAAATGGGGACAGCTTTATTTCTTTCTTTCTGATTTGTATGCACTTAGTTTTCTTACGTTATTGCATTGGCTACAACTTCAGCACTCTGTTGAATAAGAGTGGTGAACACTGAAATCTTCACCTTATTCTTGATCTTAGGAGGAAAGCATTCAGTTTTTCATTATTCAGTATGTAATAATAGCAGGTTTTTAAAAGAATATGTATGCTCTGTCAGATTCAGGAAATTCTTATATGTATTCCTATGTTTCTAGGAATTTTTATGTTGAGTACATACTCAATTTTGTCAAATGCTTTTCTGCATCTATTGATATAATTGTGTAAGTTTTTAGGTGGTTAGTAAGTGATGGATTATATTGATTGATTTTTGACTACCAAATCAATTTTGCATCCGTCAAATAAACCCCACTTGGTTGTGGTGTATAAGTGTATAATTCTTTTTACATATTGCTGAATTCTGTGTTAAAGGATTTTTGCGTCTGTATTCATGAGTTATACTGTTTTGTAGTCTTCTTGTATTCTCTGCCTAGTTTTGGTATTAGGATAATAACTAGCTTCATAAAATGAATTGGGAAGTGATCCTTCCTCTTCTACTTTCTGAAAGAGATTGTGTAGAATTGATGTTTATATACTTTAAACATTTTGTGTAATTCTCAAGTGAAACTCTCTGGTTGTAGAGATTTCTTCTTGGAGGGAGTTTTAAAATTATGTTTTCAACTTCCTTAATAGCTATTAGACTAGTCAAATAATCTATTTCATATTAGGTGAATTGGTCCTTTTGTCCAAGTTGTCAAATTTATGTATGCATAAATTCTCTTATCCTTTGATATGTATAGAATCTGCAGTGATAACCCTATTTCATTCCTGATACTGGCAATTCCCCCTCTCCCCCACCCCCCTACTCTTTTTTTAGTTAATCTTGCCAAAGATTTTCTAATTTTATTGATTTTTTTCAAGGAGGCAGCTGTTTGTTTTATTGATTTTTCTCTCTGTTTTCCGTTTCATTGATGTCTGTTCTTATCTTTATGATTCTCCTGCCTGATGTAGATGGGCTCATTTTTTATAGGTTCTTGAGGTGGAAGCATAGATTATTGATTTGATGCTTTTCCTCTTATGTATACACTTGGTGTTATACATTTTCCTGTTATCACTGCATTAGCTGTGCCCCACAAATTTTGATATGTGCTATTTTTGTTTTCATTCAGTTTATTGTATTTTTCTTTTCATTTTTCTTGAGATCACACAATTTGTTTATTCACTAACCTGGTATTAGACATTTAGACTATTTCTAGTTTTGGGCTACTGCCAGTAGATCTGCCATAGATATTCTTCTACCGCTTTTTGTATGGAAGTATGCTTTTATTTCTCTTGGATAATTTCCTAGGAGTAGAATATCATTGGTGTGCGTTCAGTTTTTTAAGGAATTGCCAAAATGTTCCAGAATTTTGGTAAATTAATTGTAATTAATAAAAGTTGACTTGTGATGGCTTGGAATTTTTGTTTTTAATGGTCCTTCGTGAAAAATTACACCTTCTTAAGGTGTAATTTGAGAAACATTTCTCTGGAGTAGCCTTGGAGGGGTTAGATTTAGGTAGCTACATGGAGTCTCCTTACATTCTACAAAGCAAAGCAGAATGAGTAAGGATGTAGGTAAAGTGATAGATTTAAAAGCAAGAGAAGGAGGGAGTACTCTAATTATAACTTCTATTAATGGAATGAATATGAGGCAAGGTCATTAGCTGAGTGAGTGGAAGGAAGGCAGCAATAAAGGATTGAATGAGCAAAAGGTATGAACTCATCTCAGAAAGATAGCACAAGTTTATTAAAGAAGTGTAATAGGTTTATCTGGTAGTTTTGAGTGCCTGTTTAAGTTTTGTGGCCATAGATTTAAAGTGAGACCAGTTTTTGAGGGTTTCTTTCATTAGTTCTGTTGCTTAGATATAGATAGTTAGAAGGTATATCAATAGGTTTAATTAGAACTGGGCTTTTTCCTGGCCAGTGTGACATAAGAAGAAAGGTCAAGGGATCTTTCCAAGGGAGTGGTTATAGCGCTGCATTGTGGAGCCTCAGCTGATTAAGGAAAGAAATGTAAAAAGGTAGTGGGGTTAATGGATTGCACAACCTTGTGGGGGTCAAAAGATAGAGTAGGAATACCAGAGTAAGTAAAATGGAAGAAAAGGAAATAGTGACCAAAGAATAGAATTATGGAAATACATTTTTCAGAAGTGGTATGATTTGGGGGGCTTTATGATCTAGAACATAACCCTCCTCAGCTACCTTCCTCTGTTCACTAGACAGGTGGCTGAGGAAAGGTTAAGGAAAAGATGATTGAAGTTGAAGAAGTAAGGGAACACAGAGGCCAAAGAGTTAGATTGATTTTCTGTAGATATGTTTAAGTCACATGATGACAGATATAATGATGGAGAGAGGAAGACAGTGAATCAGATGCCACAGTCATCCCTGAATGGATAAGGTTGGGGAGGATTTTCAGGGAGGTAGTTAACATAGCAACAAGGGTAATGAGTGACAAAGTCTGACCCCAAGATCTTCAGAGGAACCAAAGTGGGGCTCAATTAAAGGAGGAAGGAGTACAGTGGGGATTAATGAGAATACCCTCCCCACCTCCATGTCCTGAAATAATGGCAGGAAAAGGTCACCACTTGAGAGGGCTCTGGGGAGAACAGGTGTCTTCCAGAAATAGCCAAGTTTCCATTAGAACAAGAAGAGGGAACATTCAGGCGGGGCGCGGTGGCTCACACCTGTAATCCCAGCACTTCGGGAGGCCAAGGCGGGCGGATCACGAGGTCAGGAGATCGAGACCATCCTGGCCAACACAGTGAAACCCTGTCTCTACTAAAAAAAAAAATACAAAAAATTAGCCGGGCGTGGTGGCGGGTGCCTGTAGTCCCAGCTACTCGGGAGGCTGAGGCAGGAGAATGGCTTGAACCCAGGAGGCGGAGCTTGCAGTGAGCTGAGATTGCACCACTGCACTCCAGCCTGGGTGACAGAGCGAGACCCTGTCTCAAAAAAAAAAAAAAAAAGAAGAAGAGGGAACATTCAGAGAAATTACAGATATAGAGCAGTATGGAGACAGTATCCTAGTGAAGGTAGGTGATTTAAGAGGTTTAGACTTACTGTACCTGAGCTAAACATGGATATTAGTCAGAGTAGGACTAATGTGATTAGTCATGGTAGTTTCTTGGATGAAGGTAACAAATGAGTTAGTGTTCAGAAAACTTAATTGAAAGGTAAGGGATCGTTGGGCTGCTTTTCAGTTTTTCAGGTCAATATCAGACAAAGACCTTCTCTTGGTACAACTTTATATGGTAGGCCAGTGATTTTCAGTAGTTTGGTGGTCCCTGTTTTGCTGGGATTGCAGACGTTCTGTTTGTTAGTGAATCTTAATTCTGTATCGTCTTTAGTGTTTAGTGATTCTTAATTATATATTGTCATCTGTGACATGCTCATTTATTTTCCTGAATCCCTTGAATTTCCTATTATCTGCTTTTAGGCCCATTGAACATTGTTAATGTTCAGTGACATGTATGTATCTTAATTTTTTCAGATATATTTTCTCTTGCTTCTGTATGTTTGGTTATAGGAGAGAGGATTTGGGGATATGTGCATTTTGTTACTGCCAAAGCTAAATTTTTAGAAAGGAAAAATCAATACCCGCATTTCAACAGGAGATGGGATAAAATGTGGTATATCCATATCAGAGAACATTATGCACAAGATGTTAAAATTTATTTATTTATTTTGCAAGGACATGAGGGATAATGAGAAACTGCTCTCAATGCATTTTTAGTGATGCCATTTAGTAAAAAGAATATATATTCTACAGGCAGATATAAGTAGGCATTAAAACGTAAAAGTTTACCGAGGCAGGCAGATCACTTGAGGCCAGGAATTTGAGACCAGCCTGGCCAACATGGTGAAAACCCAGTTCTACTAAATATACAAAAATTAACCGGGCATGGTGGCACACGCCTGTGGTCCCAGCTACTTGGGAGGCTGAGACACAAGAATCACTTGAACCCAGGTTGCAGTGAACCGAGATCGCACCACTGCACTCCAGCCTGGGCAACAGAGTGAGACTCTGTCTCAAAAAAAAAAAAAAGGTAAAAGTTTAAGGACATTAAGATTATAAGTTATTTTTATTTGTTATAAGTCTCTATTTTCAGTAATGAATGCATTATAACTTTTATAATGAGGAAGGAGAGGAGTAAATCTGACTTGGAAATAAAGCTGGCTAAAACAGATTATGTGATGTGTTAAATTTATCTATTTTAATGCAAAATTCTAGTTGTAAAATGTAAATTGGGCATATAAGTGTATATTTGTTTATATGTGTGTGTCCTAAAGAAAATCTTTACTCTGTCTTAGGTAGACCATAGTTTTGATAAAAATTTCACTGACATCAAGTGGCAAGTTACATAGCTGGTTATAAAAATGTAATTTACCCTGAATATAAGTGAAGGAATCTAAGCATATAGACTGATGATTAAAATCTCACAATATTAGTCTGAAGTATTGGTAGAAAATATTTCCATTGGAAGAAAATAGTTTATTTCTGTTTCAGATTACAGGTTGAGTATCTCTATCCAAAATACTTGGGACCAGAAGTGTTTGGATTTCAGAGTTTTTCAGATTTTTGGAATGTTTGCATATACATAATGAGGTATCTTGAGAATACAACCCAAGTCCAAACACAAAATTCATTTATATTTCACATACACCTTATACACATAGCCTGAATGTAATTTTAAATGATGTTTTTAATAATTTTGTGTATGAACCAAAGTTTGTGTATGTTGAACCATCAGGAAATAAAGGTGTCGCTGTCTCAGCCACCCATGTGGATGATCTGTGGTTGATGGCATCACCATCATTCCTGACTCTCTATTTATATGCTACTCATAAACAATCATTTTTAAATACTTACTCACACATAAATACTTAACAGTAAAAACTGACATACAACTAATATAGTGCAAAAATAATGTGTTCTGGGTAATTTGTGGTGTCATGTCAGCACTAAAAAAATTTCAGATTTTGGAGAATTTTGGATTTGGGATTTTTGGATTAGGGATATTCAACCTGTAATAGGGTGACTTGTAATCTTTATTATCATTTTTATTATTTATGGAAACTGTATCACATATGCCACATGACTGTTTTAATTTTGGTCTTACGGCATATAGTATGTACTTCCTGTAAATATTTAGAAATCCGTTGGGCTTTTAAAATATTTTGTTTATTCAGGAAATATTTAATGAGTGTTAATTATATAGTGAGCACCACTTAAAGTATTTGAGATATATTAGTGAATGTGTGAAACAAAGATACAGGTAGTCTGGTAGAACTGGTAATGTGCTAGTCTAATTCTCACAGGACACCTTTTAGTGAGGAAAACACCTATGTTAGATTGTTTGCATGTTAAAAACTATATTACTACAGAAGTCTTATAAACCAAGAGGAAAACAGTCTCAAGTACTAACCTACTTTTGTTTTATTAGATTGAGGAACTTCAGCAGGCTTTAATAGTAAAGCAAAATGAAGAGCTTGACCGACAGAGGAGAATAGGTAATACCCGCAAAATGATAGAGGATTTGCAAAATGAACTAAAGACCACGGAAAACTGCGAGAATCTTCAGCCCCAGATTGATGCCATTACAAATGATCTGAGACGGATTCAGGATGAAAAGGCATTATGTGAAGGCGAAATAATTGATAAGCGAAGAGAGAGGGAAACTCTAGAGAAGGAGAAAAAGAGTAAGTTTCATAAAGTTAGAATGAAATGTTTATAAAATGTAGATACATCTCTGTTGATGAACTTTCTTCTGCTTCTATAATTATTTCTATAAAATGTTCAAGTTGCCTTCTTGAGGAAGCTCAACTCAGTTCTTCCAACTTCATACCTTAATTATCTATATCTGTCGTGTACTGTAATTTGCCATTATAGCTGACCACTGTCTTCTATCAGATTATGGCACTTGATTTAATAATTCTCTATAAATGCCTAGCTTTATTTTCTTTACAAAGTCACTCACTATTACTCATATCAAATTTAAGCTCTTTATTCTAGCCTTTGTAACCTTCTGTTAGCTTAGTTCCTTGAAACCTGTCCAATTTCATCTTTGGTTTTCTTTTTTTGTAGACCATGTGAATAGATCTGTGGTATTATTTGGATAGGGATTTTATATTCTGTCTGCTCAATATATATGACTAAGATCAGTTTAAAAAAATTTTATATGTTTATCAAAGTATTAGATGTGTATGGCTAACAAAAAAAAAAAAGAAGAAGAACTAGAAGGATAGAAGGGTGGCACAACTCCTTTTTTACCTCCAAAGCCAACCAAGAGTAAGCACTTTTAACTCTTTAAGAAGATTTTTTCTAGTAATCCTTCCATATATATCATATTCTTATTTCACTATTGCTTGATTAATCAACTTTAGACATTATCTTTTTGTATTTACTCTAGATGTAGATTTTACCTTATAAAACATCTCTATTATAAATTCTTCAAATGGGATTATTAATAATGATTTTTATTATTATAAATAATATACATATCCTTTTTTGGTCATTTAACAATTGTCAGTATTGCTTCAGTCCACACTTCATAAGCTACAAATAGTACTCCCTCGCACCCTTGCTTTTTACTTTCCTCCCTTCTCACATTCTAAATTCTCTCATTTATACTCCGGTTTTTATATTTTCAAGGCCGAAAACATTTAGTGTTTTATGTGCTTTATTTATGGGTTAATTCTAGAAGTTTAGAAATACTAAGTATTGTTTATTAAACTTACTCATAGCTGAACCAAGTTGTGCATTATAATTAAATTTCACTTCATTGATAGCTTTTAAAAAGCTTTTAATTTTTTTTTTTAAATTTGCTTAAGCATTTTCTTAAATTGAAGAGGGAAAAAAAAAGCTGTCTTATCGGGCATTCTCCTGAGTCCCATAGCCTTCTGTCCTTCTCCTTCCATCTAAACTGGTTGTTCTTGAGGCCTCCTGCATGGTTATCATTTGTAATTTCTCTCGTGCCTTTTCTGTGTTATAAACCTATTCCTGAATTCCATGTCTCATTTTCTTACATCACGCCCTTATTTTGTTGGAGTACATTTTCAGGTAAACTTCTAAGAAGAGATATTTAGGAATTAACTTCAGAGTCTTTGCACCCTTTAAAATATTCTTATTTCATCATCCCCCCCCCTTTTTTAGTTTTGTTGTATATACAATTCTAGAATGAAAATATTAATTTTTCTTCCAGAATTTTGAAGGCCTATTGCTGTTTGTCTTTTGATAGGAAATCTAGTGTTTTCCTTGTGGGTTTTTTTGTTTGTTTGTTTGTTTGTTTGTTTTTGTAGGTTACCTGTTTTTTATATTTGATAGTTTCAGGATCTTATGTTTTCCCAGGTTTTTGGACATTTTAGAAAGATTTGTTCAGGTCACATATTTTCCACTATGGGAGTTACTTGCTGAGTGGTGTTTGTAACCTTTAGAACTAGGGTATTCTTTTGTGTTATTATTAGATTATTTCACTAATTAAAATTTTCAGAGAAACAAGACTTTGTTTTGTTTTACAATTTTAGGTGTGGACGATCATATTGTACGTTTTGACAATCTTATGAATCAGAAGGAAGATAAGCTAAGACAGAGATTCCGTGACACGTATGATGCTGTTTTATGGCTAAGAAATAACAGAGACAAATTTAAACAAAGAGTCTGTGAGCCCATAATGCTCACGGTAAGAAACTTTGTTCATCTTGGTAGTATTGGTTTTATTATTGTAATCATAGATTTTTGTTTTAAGACATTTTAGTCCCAATATTACCCTGGTTTTACATTATCAGACTTGTGGCATCTGGCATACTGCTGAATCTATACATGAGCTTTTTAAAGGTCCCCTGATCAATGAGGGTAATAACTGTCATAAAACCTGTGCTTTTTTCTAGAAAGAGGTATAAAACTGGCAACTTATTGACCTAGAATCATGTAGAAAATTAGTTTGGTTAGCTGGTTCCTTTTGGCGCTTGTTACTAGATTGTAGCAGGGATTAGATTAAAACCCTGCTGAAGAGGTAGAATGCTGCTGTAAATAGGTTGATTAAAGGAAAAAAACTAAGAGAATAGGCAAGAAAATCACCTGCTACAAAGAACGGGCATTCTTAGGATTTTGAAAGTGAAACCAATACCTTATTGACATCATAAAATTTTGATAGCTTTTGTTGATGATTGCGGGTCATCAAGATTAGGTGAAGCTATATTTAATAAATCGTCTAGTGAAGTGTGGCCATGGATTTACTAAGATGTTTGCCATCCAGACTGTTTAAAATAGTAAGTTTTGGGCACATAAAAGGATGAAAGAGTAAAAAACTAACATTCTTTGGTAATGATATGTTAGAGCAAACTTAAAGTTATCCTAAGATTACATAAGGATTATTTTTGCTAGATAATTTTTTTTCTTTAGAAAAGAAGACATCCTTTCAGGATTCGTGAAAAATTCTATTCTCTGTAACTCATGTTTGTGTTATACTTTATTAAAAATCATTTTATATAGTTTTCAATTTTTTACCATATCTTAAATTAGCAAAGTTAATATTCATAACATTCTCTTATTCACATATGTGTTATTAGAATATTTTTGCTAGATCAAGAAGAGAATTTCTATTTTAGATGCATTGTTTTGATTAGTCTGATGAGGATTGAAAGAAAGTATAAGAAAAAATATTGTGACCCTTATAAAAGTTATAATGCAGGTGTAATTGTTAACATTTTTACTAAAATGCCAGTGTCAGAATAATACTTCAGAACTGTATTAGATTTGTCTCCTCTTGTCATTTGGTTTTCTAATAGTAGCATATATCACCAAGTCAGATTAATAGCTGGCATATATTTCCATTTTAAATTGCATTCGAATCTTTGAGATAAAGAGATATATTCTGCTTTTTTACCCTTTTCAGACTAACCTTTCACCTTTCCTGCCACCTTCCTACATTCACATCTTCCACGCAGTTTACTCACCTTTCTAGGTCTAGTTGAAATGCCCCTACCATCATACACAAGTGAGCAATATGCAAACTTAAAATTTTAGTCATATAAATGGTCATTTAGTAGTCTATTTCTATGATTTATTTTTAACAATTCCAATCTAGAATTGGAGAAGTGTACAAAGATTTACATATGAACTCCCCACAGTAGTGTTTATGATAGCAAAATGGTGGAGCAAAAAAAGAAAATTTATGAAGATGCTGATTGGTTAAATAAGTTACTTTATATCTTTATAATGGAATATTATGCAGCCCTTAAAATGTTTCTGTAGGTCTCTTTTTACTAATATAAAAATAAATTTATGACATGTTAGTAAATCATAAAGTAGGTTATGGAATAGGATGTATGGAAAAATTTTGTTTAAAAAATCATAAAGCAGAAAGATGCCATCAACCACCAGATCATCACAGAGTGCTGCGTCTCCTATATCTACCTATCTTTATCTTGCTACTTTGATTGTGATGATATGACTGTGAAGTTCTAGGAGGACTTTGACAAATACTTTATTCCCTGAACTCACAAACAGAGGGAACATCCCAAGAAACTGGAACCTGCATAGCCAACAAGATGTCTAAATCTTCCTTAAGGGTTGGGCACCATGGCTCACGCCTGTAATCCAGCATTTTGGGAGGCCGAGGTAGGCAGATCAGCTAACATCAAGAGTTCAAGACCAGCCTGGCTAACATGGTGAAACCTCGTCTCTACTGAAAAAATAGGTTGGGCACGGTGGCTCATGCCTGTAATCAGCACTTTGAGAGACTGAGGGGGTGGAACGAGGTCAGAAGATTGAGACCATCCTGGCCAACATGGTGAAACCCCATCTCTACTAAAAATATAAAAATTAGCTTGGCATGGTGGCACGTGCCTGTAATCCCAGCTACTCGGAGGCTGAGGCAGGAGAATCGCTTGAGCCAAGGAGTTGGAGGTTGCAGTGAGCTGAGATCACACTGCTACAATCCAGCCTGGCGACAGAGCTAGACTCCGTCTCAAGAAAAAAAAATATATATATATATATAAATTAGCTGGGCATCGTGGCATGTGCCTCTAGTCCCAGCTACTGGGAGGCTGAGGCTGGAGAATTGCTTGAACCCGGGATGTGGAGGTTGCAGTTACCCAAGATCACGCCACTGCACACCAGCCTGGGTGACAGGATGAGACTCCATCTTATAAGAATAAATAAATAAACAAACAAATAAATAAATCTTCCTTAAGGATATCAGGGAAACCTCCAAACTGTGAATGTGTATTACACTTGGGAAAAAGTGTAAATAAGTCACTACTGGAACCACATAAACTGGCCAGTGACCCTACTTGTGTGACTTCCTTGAGTCTTCCTGAGCAGGTGAAATCCGTCAAAGAATTGAATTGCCATGTAAACCAGTTTATATACTCTGGGGGCCTTGGAATCTGACATGGCAGAATATTTCTAACAAATACACCTTGGGGCCAGGCATGTTGGCTCATGCCTATAATTCCAGCATTTTGGGAGGCTGATGTGGGAGGACCACTTGAGTCCAAGAGTTTGATACCAACCTAGGCAACATAGTGAGATCCTGTCTCTACAAAAATAAAAATTAGCTGGGCATGGTGGCATGCACCTGTAGTCCTGGCAACTCAGGAGGCTGAGGTGAGAGGATTGCTTGAGCCTGGGAGGTCGAGGCTGCAGTGAGCCGTGATCACACCACTGCACTCAGCCTGGGCAACACAGAGTGAGACCCTGTCTCAAAAAATAGAAAAAAAAAAACAATACAGTCTGGGAGAACGTGATCATGAGAGCTAAGTCCTAGACTGGCTTATCTATAATTATATTTTTTTTAAAAAGATGACTTTCTGTGGTCATTTTGGGGTTACTTTTACCCTTTCTATAAGTTATCGTAAACATCCACATACGTTTTCTTTTATTTGTATCATTTCTTCCAATAAAGTAATTTAGTACCTCCCCCCTCAAATTGCGAAACAATAGGCTGATTGTTCATAGCGTTTATGCCTGGATGATGGTTTTCATGTGGTTTTAATTTTTGTGTGTAACTGTTTTCTCATTTTTCTATACTGAATGGTATTCTATAATTTAAAATAGCACTATTGGCCAACATTTATGCGACAAGCACTGTACTATTATTTTAATTATATTATCTCTTAATCCACATTTAGTTCTATGAGGTATAAACTGTTTTACTATGTCCATCTTACAGATGAAAGTAATGAAAGCTTTTGAGATTTAGGTAGTACTTGAGCAAGATCAAGCATAGGATTTGAAAGGACGTCTGTCTGACCTCAGAGCCCAAGCTCTTAGCTAGTTTGCTTTGTAATAGATTATAGTACATAAATACCTCCCCTTTATTATTTTTTCAAGAAAGCTGATTTCCATGTTTTGGAAATAATCGATCTCTAAAATTCCCTAGATAGTACTTTTTATATTTATACGCTTCTCTTAATGGGAGTTTTATCATGCTCTACTTTCAACATAGTTATTCATCTGCAATAAATAACAGATTATGTACTTCCAGAAGTAGCTTTTTCCCTAGCTTGTCTTAGTATCTTCCATAGCATTGAGCCTCACTTGCAGAATTGTCTAATTCATATTTTTACTTTATTTTACTTTTTAGAGACAGTTTCACTCTGTCACCCAGGATGGAGTGCAGTGTCACCATCATACCTCACTGTAACTTCAAACTCCTGGGCTTAAGCGATATTCCCACCTCAGCCTCCCAGGTAGAGCCATCACACCTGGCTAATTTTTTATTATTATTATTATTGTAGAGACAGGGTCTCACTTTGTTTCCTGGGCTGGTCTCAAACTTCTGGCTTCCAGTGTTATCCTCTCATCTTGGCCTCCCAAAGTGTTGGGGTTATCAGTGCTACCACGCCTGGCCCAGTTAATGTTTTTAAAATAGATCAATAGGTCGGGCACAGTGACTCATGCTTATAATCCTAGCACTTTGGGAGGCCAAGGCAAGCCGATCACTTGAGGTCAGGAGTTCGAGACCAGCCTGGCCAACATGATTAAACCCTGTCTCTACTAAAAATACAAAAATTAGCTGGGCATGGTGACAGATGCCTGTAGTCCCAGCTACTCAGGAGGCTGAGGCGCAGGAATTGCTTGAACCCGGGAGGCAGAGGTTGCAGTGAGCTGAGATCGTGCCATTGCACTCCAGCCTCAGTGACAGAGAGAGACTGTCTCAAAAAAATAAAAAAGAGAAAAGTAAAAATAGATCAATAAGATTATGTTCTGATGTTGCAAACTTCAGGCTTCTCTTGAGGGCTGTAATAGTTACAAATAAGCCATAGCAAGGTTTTTTTTTTTCCCCATTAGTTTTATAAAGTTTAAAGTTCTTTGTGTTTTTGTGCCTATTAGTTATTCCATCTGTGAAGTTCTCTTGAAGATTAAGAAAATATGAAAAGTGTGGGGAAAGATAAGAAATGTTTACACTCAAGTCACAATCTAAGACTGTTTGAAATATTTTCAATGAGTTGACTAGAAAGGAACTAAAGTTATTTCTTAGATAGTATCAAAATCAATATGCACTGTTCAAATCTTGGCCTTTGTTTAACCATGTACTGTATTGATTGTTTCTGGGTAATGGATTAGATGTTTTAAAATAACTCTTTGGTACCAAGTTCTTTTTTTTTATCTTGTTTTTTCTCAAGTATTACAATCTAATTAAATCCAATTTTAATATAAACATGTTTTAATAATCAGTTGGGTTTCATGAAATTCGACCTTTTTTTGCTTGTTTGTTTAGATCAATATGAAAGATAATAAAAATGCCAAATATATTGAAAATCATATTCCATCAAATGACTTAAGAGCCTTTGTATTTGAAAGTCAAGAAGATATGGAGGTTTTCCTCAAAGAGGCAAGTACTAACCAACACAACACTTTGATTCACTTGACACTTACTTTCAGCACTTGAAGTTTTAAATTCACTAGAGCAAAATGTGATAGCTAATTTTACCACCAGTTCACTCTCATGCAAAATCACTCTGTTTTGCTAATTTCTTTCCTATTTATGGCATTGTGGGTCAATTTATTTGCTTTATAAAAGGAAACCAGCCCATAATATTCCATCTGTAACATTTTGAAATTATCATTTGAAATTAATGTGAAGAGTAAGTAATTTTATCATGTTTTAAGAAAACAAAACATAATGATGGACCTTTGGTCTTGGACATCCTTTTTTTGAAAATGTATTGGAATGAACTCAGTTTTACTTTGAAAGGAAAATCAGTACACTGTTGCTTATTAATATAAATAAAACGTCTTTAAAAAGAATGAGAACCCTGTATCTGGCTAGAGAAAGGCCACTAAGAATCTAAGCCACCGAAAGACAGTAAAGCTTAGTAGTTAAGAATGTATACTTTGTAGCTGGGCTGCCAGGATTTGAATTCTGGCATTGCTTCTGACTTGGGCAAGTTGCCTAAATTTAGTTTTATGCTTCAGTTTTCTTGTCTATAAAATGAAGGGTAACATTATCTACTTCAAAAGATGGTTGTAAGGATTAAGTCAGTTAATAAATGTGAAGGTACTTATAGCAGTACTTATTAACTCATCATTATCGTAATACATTGTTATATAACCTACATAATATGTAGTATAATGTATTAGCTATATATGACATTCTTATATATATACGGTTAGCTATATGTTGTATTGTCTGTAAGACTTCTTACTCCTTTTGCATGTCTTCTATTTCTTTAAAAGCCTTATAAGGAAAGGTTAGGTTTAGATTTTTTTTGTATGCCTTGTTTAAAGAATTTTTTTAATTGGTCTAAGTGAGGAGAGATTCTGAATCAGCTCAAGTGGTCCTCTGTTTCTCTGGTACACAAGTGCTTGGAAAGAATCTTGACCCTGCTTTGGCTTTTATTATATTGCCCTACTTCTGGTTTGGGAGTTGGCAAGGTATGTGAACATAAAGGTGACTGGATAAAAAGGTTGGATGTATAAAATTATACAATGGACTCCAAAAAGTTAAAAATTTGTGTTTGTTAGAGCTGTTTAAGCCTAATCAGTGATTTATTGATCTGATGAAAGAGCTCAGTGGAGAAGTCAAGTTGCTTGGGTTGCACGTCTTTTAAGACATGATACATTGTAAAGGGCATGCAGTCAGATGTAATTAAATGATTTCTATTTTTCAAATGGCCAGCTTAGCCTGTTACTTTTCCTGGTGTCAAAAACTCATTCTGCCTCTGCACTAAGGATTTAAACCATATATTGATGATACAATATAGATTCCTGATCATTTGACCTGTATTCTTTTTTCTTGTGTTGTAACAATTTTTCATAGCTGCTCATCAGATAGAACCAGAACTTTCTCCTATATCTGTGACTTTTTGTGTGTATATTTTAAATTGTGAAATTTATTCTATATAACCTTCTCCTGTAATTGTATCTACTAGAGTACCATTTCTCATCCTTCAGTAAATTACAAATCTTCACAATTTTTGCCATTTCTACATACTATTATGTGCAACATCATAATTTTTGCCAAACCTGAGTACTACCTATAGTATTATTTCTTGTTTTTCTTTCAATCACCTCACTTTTTGTTACTCAAACAAAATCTTCTAAAAGGAAATACATCATTACAAAGTTAAAAACAAATAATAGGCCAGGCATGGTGGTTCATGCCTCTAATCCCAGCACTTTAGGAGGCCAAGGCAGACAGATCACTTGAGGTCAGAAGTTCGAGACCAGCCTGGCCAATGTGGTGAAACCCTGTCTCTGCTACACATACAAAAATTAACCGGGTGGGGTGGTGTGCACTATTTTTTCTCTTTGTAATTGTTTGTGTGGAGATACTTTGAGATTGCAGATATTCTGTTCCTCATGAAACCCAATCTAGTAGGTTTAAGAGCCATTAATGATTCTAGCTCTGTCATTCCTTCTGTGTTTATTAGTTAGCATTCTACCTATAAGAAAGAGCTTTTTCTTCTCCTCCATTTATTTGTTTGTTGTATCAGTATAGATTCATAGAATTGTTTTATGTATTTTAATTCATTACTTTTTTTTTTTGAGACAGAGTTTTGCTCTTGTTGTTGCCCAGGCTGGAGTGCAATGGCACGCTCTTGGCTCACTGCAACCTCCGCTTCCCAGGTTCAAGCAATTCCCCTGCCTCAGCTTCTCGAGTAGCTGGGATTACAGGCGTCCACCACCGTGCCCGGCTAATTTTTTGTATTTTTAGTAGAGACGGGGTTTCACCATGTTGACCAGGCTGCTCTCGAACTCCTGACCTCAAGTGATCCGCCCGCCTTGGCCTCCCAAAGTGCTGGGATTACAGACGTGAACCACCACGCCCGGTCAATTCATTACTATTTTAATGCTCAGATTGCCCCATATTTGGCCAGTGAGACCATTTTCAGGTTGACTCCTGTGTCATTTTGATATGTTGCCATTGTATTTTGAGCACTTCTTTCTTTTTGCCATAGTAAGATGTTACAGGCACATCTTGAGTGTATCTTTTTGGGCCTTACAATCAGTCCTTTAACCAAAAATCCTATTTTCTTTTAGACACCGAGCTCTGGATACTAGGTGTGTTCATTGCTGCTGGTATCTCATTGCTTCTGAGTCCTAACATGCAAACCCTTATGTCTGTATTTATTTCCATATTTATCTAGAGACCAGATAATATGTGCACCATGAATTCACACTACTACTTACAATTGCAGTCCAGCTTTGGGGTACCTTCTAGTCTTTCTCCTTTGCATATTTGTAATTCTCTTCTGTATTAGTGAAAAACATAGCTCCCCTTACCATCAGTATATTTAGTAATTTGTTCAAGCCTAGAACCCTCTGAAAATAGTTTAAGAATTACTAATCTGTGGCCGGGCGCGGTGGCTCACGCTCGTAATCCCAGCACTTTGGGAGGCTGAGGGGGGCGGATCACGAGGTCAGGAGTTTGAGACCACGGTGAAACCCTGTGTCTACTAAAAATACAAAAAATTAGCCGGGCGTGGTGGCAGGGCGCCTGTAGTCCCAGCTACTTGGAGAGGCTGAGGCAGGAGAATGACATGAACCCTGGAGGCAGAGCTTGCAGTGAGCCAAGATCACGCCACTGCACTCCAGCCTGGGCGACAGAGACTCTGTCTCAAAAAAAAAAAAAAAAAAAAAAAAAAAAAGAATTACTAATCTGTCCTACCATGAAATTCCTCTATCCCACCGTGCCTCTATTAATGTCTCTCAACATTTTTTCTTTTTCATTGTATTAAGTTTTACACATCTCTTGTTAAATGTGTATTTCACTGTCTAATTTTAAAATATATTTTTTACACTATCATAAATGGATTTCTAAAATGCATTTTCTGGTTGTACATTGCTAGTACGTAGACATATCGATTTTTTTAAACATTGACCTTATATCCTGTGACACTATTGAATTTACATTGAATTCTAGTACAGACATACAAGAAATATAACAGATTTATAAAGCAAATATTGCCATAAAGCAAGTCATACAAACTTTTTGGCTTCCCAGTATATATAAAAGTTAAGTTTATACTATTTATATCTATTAAGTGTGAATAGCATTATGTCTAAAAAATGTACATACTTTAAAAACACTTTCTTGCTAAAAAATACGAACAATCATGTGAGCCTTCAGTGAGTTCAATCTTGTTGGTAGTGGAGGATTTTGCTTCCATATTGATAGCTGCTGACTGATCAAGGTGGTAGTTGCTGAAGGTTGGGGTGGCAGTGGCAGTTTCTTAAAGAAGACAACAATAAAATTTACCACATTGATCAACTCTTCCTTTCACAAAAGATTTCTCTGTAGCATATGATAGCATTTTACCCATAGCAGAATTTCTTTTTCCTTTTCCTTTTTTTTTTTTTTTTTTTTTTTTTTTTTTTGGGGACAGGGTCTTCCTCTGTCTCGCAGACTAGAGTGGAATGGCCTCGCAAAAGTGCTGGAATTATAGGCATGAGCCACCGCGCCCAGCCTAGAACTTCTTTCAAAATTGGAGTTGGTCCTTTCAAACCCTGCCTCTACTTTATCACCTAAATTTATGTCATATTCTAAATCATTTGTTGTAATTTCAGCAGTGTTCCCAGCATCTTCACCAGGAGTAGGGTCCATCTCAAGAAACCATTTTCTTTGCTCATCCATAAGAAGCTACTCCTCCTCCATTCAAGTTTTATCATGAGATTGCAGCAATTCAGTTACATCTTTGGGCTCCACTTCCAATTCTAGTTCTCTTGCTTTTCCACCACATCTGCCATTACTTCTTCCACAGAAGTCGAACCTCTCAAAGTCTTCCCTGAAGGCTGGAATTCTTTCAAACTTCTGTTAATGTTGATATCTTGAGACCTCCTCCCATGAATCAAAAATGTTCTTAATGACATGTAGAATGATGAATCTTTTTTAGGGGGAGACAGGGTCTTGCTCTGTTACCCAGGCTGGAGTGCAGTGGCACAATCTTGGCTCACTGCAACCTCCACCTCCTGGGTATAAGCAATTCTGCCTCAGCCTCCTGAGTAGCTGGGATTACAGGTATGCGCCACCATGCCCAGCTGATTTTTGCATTTTTTAGTAGAGATGGCATTTCACCATGTTGGCCAGGCTGGCCTCAAACTCCTGACCTCAGGTGATCTGCCCACCTCAGCCTCCCAAAGTGCTGGGATTACAGGTGTAAGCCACCACACCTGGCCGATGAATCTTTTTTAGAAGGCTTTTTGTTTACTTTGCCCAGATTCATCAGAGGAGTCATTATCTGTGGCAGCCATACATAGTGTTATGAAATGTGTTTCTTGATAAGACTTGAAAGTCAAAATTACTCCTTGATCCATGGGCTGCAGATTGGATGTTGTGTTTGCAGGCATGAAAACAACATTAATCTGCATGTACATCTCCATCAGAGCTCTTGGGTGACTAGGTACATTGTCAGTGAGCAGTAATATTTGGACAGATGTCTTTTTTTTCTGAGGAGTAGGTCTCAACAGTGGGCTTAAAATACTCAGTAAACCATGCTGTAAATAGATGTGCTGTCATCCAGGCTTTGTTGTTCAACTTACAGAGCACGGGCAGAGTAGATTTAGCATAATTCTAAAGGGCCCTAGGATTTTTTGGAATGGTTAAATAAACATTGGCTTCAACTTAAAAGTCAGTAGATACATTCATCCCTAACAAGAGTCAGCTTTCCTTTGAAGTTTTGAATCCAGTCATTGATTTCTTTTCTCTAGTTATGAAAGTCCTAGATGGCATTCTTTTCCAATAGAAGGCTGTTGGTTCTGCGTTGAAAATCTGTCATTTAGTGTAGCCACCTTCATCAGTGATCTTAGCTAGATCTTCTGGATAACTTGCTGCAGCTTCTACATCAGCATTTGCTGTTTCACCTTGCACTTTTATGTTATGGAAATGACTTCTTCCCTTAAACATGATGAACCAACCTCTGCTAGCTTCAAGCTTTTCTTCTCTCACCTCTTTCAGCCATCAAATAATTGAAAAGAGTTAGGGCTTGCTCTGGATTAGGATTTGGCTTAAAGGGATGTTGTGGCTGCTTTGATCATCTATTCAGACCACTAAAACTTTCTTCAGATCAGCAATAAGGTAATTTTGCTTTCTTATTTGTGTGTACACTGGAGTAGCACTTCTAATTTCCTTCAAGAACTCTTCCTTTGCATTCACATCTTGGCTAGCTTTCAGCCTAGCTCAACTTTTGTCATGCCTTCCTCACTAAGCTTTATTTTTAGCTTTTGATTTAAAGTGAAAAACCTGTGACTCTTCTTTTCACCTGAACACTTAGAGGCTATTGTAGGGTTATTAATTGTTCTGATTTCATTATTGTCGTGTGTCAGGGAATAGGGACACCCAAGGAGAGGGAGAGTGACTGGAGAACAGATGGTCAGTGGAGCAGTCAGAACATATGCAGCATGTATCGATTAAGTTCACTATCTTACCTAGGTGTGGTATGTGGCACTCCAATGACAATGGTAGTATCAAAGATCATAGATCACTAACATATACAACAATAATAAACAAGTTGGGAGAATTACCAAAATATGACACAGAGACACAACGAGATGAGCACAAGCTATTGGAAAAATGGCATTTTAGACTTTTTTTGACATAGGGTTGCTGCAAACCTTGAATGTGTTTTAAAAAATTGTTTTTAAACCAGTCAAATTTAGCAGTGGGGGGTTGTATACCAACTTTAATGACACTATGTTAGTAACTTCTGATTACCCACTACCATTTGACCAGCCAAAAAAAAAAAAAAATGTTTTTTAATGCAGTATCTTTGAAGGTCAGTAAAGCAAAGCACAATAAAATGAGGTATGCCTATAGTTACTTTGTAGAGTCCATAGGACTTTCTATGTAGAAAGTCCTGTCTTTTGCAGATAGGCCGTTTTACTTTCTTTTTTTTCCCAATCTTTTCTTTCTTGTGCATTATTACATTTACTCATACCTCCAGGACAATGTTGAAGAGAAATGATGTATTAGTCCATTTTCACACTGCTATAAAGAACTGCCTGTATTAGCCTAGCATGGTGGCGGACACCTGTAATCCCAGCTATGCAAGAGGCTGAGACGAGAATCTCTTGAACCTGGGAGGCGGAGGTTGCAACGAGCTGAGATCGCGCCACTGCACTCCAGCCTGGGTGACAGAGTGAGACACTGTCTCAAAAAAAAAAAAAAAAAAAAAAAAAAAACTTCCTGAGACTAGGTAATTTGTAAGCAAAAGAGATTTAATTGACTCACAGTTCTGCATGGCTGAGGAGGCCTCAGGAAGCTTATACAATCATGGCGGAAGGCAAAGAAGAAGTAAGGCACATCTTACATGGCAGCAGGAGAGAGAGAGTGGGCAGGGAACTGCAACAGACTTTTAAACCATCAGATTGTGTGAGAACTCACTATCACGAAACAGCATGGGGGAAACCGCCCCCATGATCCAGTCACCTCCCACCAGGTCCCTCCCTCAGCAAGTGGGGATTGTACTTTGGAATGAGATTTGGGTGGGAACACAGAGCCAAACTATATCAAATGACAAGATTGGACACCCTTACTTGTTTCCAGCCTTAGGAGGAAAGCACTTAATGTTTCATCATTAGGTATGAGGTTTGCGTGGATTTTCCACAAATGCTCTTTATTAGGTTGAGGAAGTTCCCTCATCTACCTATTTTACTGAGAATTTTTATTGTAAATGGATGTCAAGTTTTTTCAGATGGTTTCCTGCATCTACTAAGATGATAATATGGGTTTTGCACTTTATTCTGTTAATATGATAAGTTAGATCAGTTGATTTTTGACTGTTACATCAGTCTGGCATTCCTGGCATAAACTCCGCTTGGTCATGTATACTGTTCATACATTGCTGGATTCTGTTTACCAATATTTTACAAAGGATTTTTGCTTTTGTATTCCTGAGGGATATTGGTTTATAGACTTCTTTGTAATGTTTTTGTCAAGAGTTTGGTATAAGAGTTATGTTGGTATCATAAAAGGACTTGGGAAGTGTTTCATCCTTCTGTTTATTGCTTCCTTAACTGTTTTATCAAATTTATCAGTGAAAACATCTTAGTATAGACTTTTCTTCATTAGAATTTTTATAGTAAATTGAGTTTCTCTACTACATATAAAGGCTATTTCAGCTTCTTTTTCATCTTGTTTTAAATTTGGCAAATTGTGTTTTTAAGAAATTTTTCCAATTCATCTAAGTTATTCATGTTTTTGGCATGAAGTTTTTTGTGATATTATCTTTTTAATGTTTTGGGATCTTCCATCAGTAAGCCCATCAGTGAATTTTTCATTTCAGATAATGCATATTTTAGTTCTAGAATTTTCATTTAATTCTCTTTATTCTGTCTGCTGAGATTCTCCACCTGTTGATAGTAATAAACCATAGTTTTCTTGAACGTGTGTATATATAATAGCTACGTTAAACTTCTTTGCTAATTCTAACATCTAGGTCTTTGTGGAATCAGTTCCTCTTAGTTGCTTTTTCTCTTGACTATGGTGGCATTTTATTCTTATGCTTAGTAGTTGTTTTTTTTGTTTTGTTTTGTTTTTGTTTTTGTTTTGAGACAGTTTCGCTCTTGTCACCCAGGCTGGAGTGCAATGGCATGATCTTGGCTAACTGCAACCGCTGCCTCCTGAGTTCAAGCAATTCTCCTGCCTCAACCTCCCAAGTAGCTGAGATTACAGGAGCCCCACACCATACCCAGCTAATTTTTTTGTATTTTTAGTAGAGACGGGCTTTCACCATGTTGGTCGGGCTGGTCTTGAACTCCTGACCTCAGTTGATCCGCCCGTCTCGGCCTCCCAAAGTGCTGCGATTACAGGTGTAAGCCACAGTGCCCAGCCAGTAATTTTTTTATTATATTCTGGAATCGTGGGTAATAACATTGTAGAGACTGGATTCAATTATCAATTATCTTCTTCCAAAGAGACTAGAAGGCAGTTAACTTAGCTGGATTTAAACTCCAAACTCTGTCTCTCAAGCAATGGACAGCAACTGAAATCTCCATTCAGTGGGGATTGTTGTTGTTTTAGTTTTAGCCTTCCACTTGTTGCTTTCCTCCAATCCCCTGGAATTTTCCTGTGCACTCATAGTTCATGGGGCAGCCAAGGATTTAGATGGGCGTTTATATGCAGATTTTGAGGCTTCTCACTTTGCAGCTCCCTTCTTCCAAGAATTTACCCTCTCAGTTTACAGTCATTCTAGTCACCCCAAACTCCATCCTTCCATCTTATGATCCCTCCAGCCAGAAAGACTGCAGCTTTCTACCAGAATTCTTTCCCCACTCCTGATGCTCCAGATTGGGGAATGCCCCCAAGCCACAAGCCACATAAACACAAATCTCACCTAGTGCTATTCTTTCAGATGTCAACTCCCTTCCAACTTCTTTCTTTTGTCCATCTCCAGTGCCTTAAGATAATTGTTTTTAAAATTTTGGCCAGAGTTTACAATCATTGTTTGTAGAAAAGTTAGTCCAATACAAGATAATCTGCCAATAATGTAAGCATAACTATCTCCCTTCTGTATCATTTTGAAGTAATTCCCAGACATTCTGTTTCACCTGAAAATATTTTGGTATGTATCTCTAAAAGAAGTGGACTCTTTTTATAAAAACACATAACTACAGTATTATCACAGTAAAAAAATTTATACTAAGTAACATCTAATATGCCGTGTTCGAGTTTCTTATCCATCCCACGAATGCCAGTAGGAGTATGGTAACTATAAATCATTTCAGTAGAGAATATATGGTAATTAAAATAATATTTTCTTTTCCCTATATTCAGGTTCGTGACAATAAAAAATTAAGAGTAAATGCTGTTATTGCTCCCAAGAGTTCATATGCAGACAAAGCACCTTCAAGATCTTTGAATGAACTTAAGTAAGTCTTGAAAATACTAAGATTTATTTAAATATTGAATTATTCAACATTTATTGTTACATAAATAAGCTATTACAAGCTGTATTATTTCCTTTTAAGATCTCTTAAGTCGAATATAAGGAAAAATTTAGGCACAGGACCATGATATAGTTAGCACACAGTGAGTGTGATGCGATGTGATGTTTCAAGTCTGCAGAATAATATTGAACTATTTAATAAAAGATGCTAAAGTAGTGGGTTAGTTATTGGGAAAATGAAATGATAAATTATCCCTTCATAATGCAGAAACAATTTCCAAAAGGACTAAATGTAAAAAATGTTAATTATAAAATAATTATAAGTAAATATCTTAATTTGGAATATAAGTAAGCATTCTAAACATAATAGAAGAAATTTAAAAAGAGTAGTTTGTAATCATAAAAAGCTTAAGCTTTTCTGGTAAGTGAATAAGTCATATGTGATTTTAAAATATAAAAGAAAAAAGACTTGTCCTGTGTCATTGTTGAAATAATGTATGTTTTACTTATTGTTTATTGGTGGCTTATCAACTCCCAGATTTTTTTAATGATATTTTAAGAAGAAAAATCTAATCAATACTTTTCCTTTCAGACAATACGGATTTTTCTCTTATTTGAGAGAATTATTTGATGCACCTGATCCTGTAATGAGTTACCTTTGCTGTCAGTATCATATTCATGAAGTTCCTGTAGGAACTGAAAAGACCAGAGAAAGAATTGAACGGGTAGGAAAGTAGTGAATCATGTACTGAATCATGTACCAAAAATGTAGTTTTGTTAAAACTTCTTAGCTAAAGGCAAGCAAAACGTGTCAGAATTTAAGTAAGTCTGTTGTTTTTAACCATGCAGAAATTATATTTGTATTAATTATTTTCCATATGACATGAAACATTGACTGTTAACTAATACATTGTGAGAGGAGTGATGTGGAATTAACTAGAATAAATACTTAATACATTTAGGGTAATTCCATAAAGTTAAAACCTGAAAAGAGATACCTAGTACACTAACCTGATTCTGCCTTGCTTGGTAAATCTATGTTCAAACATTGTATTAATAGTTTAGTCTTTTAAATTATTATATTTGAGATTATTTTTAAGACAAATTATACTTTAGAATGGTAGGCTGGGGTATAAAACTGTTTTTGGTCAGCCTTCCTTTTATTAAAACTTGTACTTAAGATTATCTCAGATATGAATGACCACTTCTCATAGGATTTGTTTGGCTAGTACATACAGCCAAAGAAACTCCTAGTTTCTGTATTCTGCTAATGCTGTTGGGAATTTTATTCTTTAAAGCAATCTCTGTGACTCCAAACCGTATGCACTTTTATCACAGGCAGAAACAGAGAGGAAATCTCTCCTGCAACAGGTTTTTCCAGTATTAATACCAAGTTGCTGTATTACTGCTTATGAGCATCTGGTAACTGATTATAGACCTACCTGCTACTTATAATATTTATTAAAAAATATGTTTTACATTTCTAACCAGTATATAAATATTCCTAAGATGATTCATTTGGGGGCTCACTATACTTCATTAACAGAAGATAGAAAAATGAGAGCTCATTACCAACTCATTTTGCAAAAACAAGTTACTTAACAGTAACTTGATTAGAATTATATCATATTATGGTAATCATTTGGGAAAACCAAAAGTAGAAGTCTCTATGTGGGTATACTACTCTTTTTTCTTAATTCACTGAGGTTTAGAAAAGAGGACAAGACCATATGCATAGACCAA
This sequence comes from Homo sapiens, assembly GCF_000001405.40. Lineage (NCBI taxonomy): Eukaryota > Metazoa > Chordata > Mammalia > Primates > Hominidae > Homo > Homo sapiens. The sequence goes on from NC_000009.12 coordinate 70,316,597, forward strand.
ACCAATTTTTGTCAAAGCTTTAGGGGTAGGTAGGGTTCTCTCTGAAAGTAAGATTAGTGGGACTTCTTTACTAATTCAGAAAGACAATAGAAAGGTTGATAAGGACTTTTTAAACTTCACTTTGGGGCAGAAAGGAGCAATTACTTCATTTGGAAATTTCTTTTTTGAACATGGTCATGTACTTTTACTTTTAACATTTTGTTTAAGTCACCTAGGGAGCTTTGACACTGCTGTTTGTACTAGAGAAATAGCTTTGGAATTCATATAATTTATATTAAAAGTGAAATTCTTTTCTTCCCATTTCTTTTTCAGGTGTTTTCATTAATCTTAATCTCTTTGGTTTTATATACTATATTTTTTAAATTCTCAAACATATCAAATACCTTACTGTCCCAATGCCTAACTCAGTTCTATGTTGTATATAAATAATTTATGATGATATACTTTTCAGACATCTGTATGTACAAGAAAACCCAAGTTAGAAAGTATTTCAAGTACCTAGTAAAGATTATCTTAGCTATCTTTCAGAAGATATAAACCTTTATTGAGGAAATTTACTACCTTTATATCCTCAATCCTTCTGTTTGAGACAATAATGGCTAGATAATGGCAATAATGGCTGTATCTCTTCCTCAGAATAAAAGTATACTCTTTATGTTTTCTTTTATTATTAACTCTTAACATTTTAGGTTATCTAACAGTATATCCTATTTATGGAATTGTTCTCTCATTAATTTCTAAGATTCTCCCTTTGGTTAAATTGTCTGCTGACTTCTTTAGCTTGAGATGTCACTTTTATGGGAAGTGCTCTTCCTTCACTCTGTCAGTTCAAATCCAGTTTAAAACTCATTTTTAGGAAACTTGGGTAGGCTAAAGTCATCCAGTCTATCCCTTTTTTTCAGATTAGTCGGATTGTAGGATTTATGCCCTGTTGACCTAGTGTGCTTAAATATGTCTTACTTCTTCACTTAGACTATAAACTTCTGGAAGGAAACAAGCTACAGTAGTATTACAATAGTATCTGAAGGTTTTTAGAGATTGGAAACAACCTCTAAAAATGCTCTGCATTGCAGCAGCCTACTCTATAAATATACAGAAATAGATCAAATAGTGGTATGGTTGTGGTATTTATAATATATTTTAGTTTATGAAATCCATGTATAAATTCTTCAGAGAAAAGTTCTAAAAAACTTTAAAAATAAGAAAAGGCTTTGAAATCTATGAAAAATGTTTCATTTGATTATTCTTCCCAAATATACAGGAACTAAATATAAGATTATGTATCTTTGAACAGTATAACTGAGAGGAGGGGAGAGTAAATGACTTACCCAAGATAACAGTTCAATGTGCTGAGCACTCTTCTCTCCTGCTATCTCTTCTTTAGATGTAACAAAGCTCCAAAACTACTTGGGAGAGTTGTATAGTAGCGTAGAAGTATAGCTGACTTTGCTAGTTGTATGGGCCGCCTTTTTTGAAATTTTGTTGGATAGGTTAAAAAAAAAATTGCTAGATGCAGTGGCTCACATCTGTAATCCCAGCACTTTGGAAGACCCAGGCGGGAGAATCTCAGAGGCAGGAATTCAAGACCAGCGCCCCCATAGGAAGCATGGAAAAACTCCATCTCTACAAAAATTTTTTTTAATTAACCAGGCGTGGTGGCACATGCCTGTAGTCCCATCTACTCAGGAGGCTGAAGTGGAAGGATCACTTGAGCCTGGGGGGTTGAGGCTGGAGTAAGCTGAGTTCGTGCCACTGCATTCCAGCCTGGGTGACAGAGTGAGACCCTGTCTAAAAAAAAAAAATGTATATCTCGTATATTTTGATCTTCCAAAATTCACTTGGTCTGTATTTCTAATTTAGTACTTTAAAACATATAATTTATATTAGATGTGCACTAATAGTTGTTTTACGTTATAGGTAATACAAGAAACCCGATTAAAACAGATTTATACAGCAGAAGAAAAGTATGTGGTGAAAACTTCTTTTTATTCAAACAAAGTTATTTCTAGTAACACATCTCTAAAAGTAGCGCAGTTTCTCACTGTCACTGTGGACCTAGAGCAGAGAAGACACTTAGAAGAACAGCTAAAGGTTGGTTAATTTGATCTGAATGTTAGAAAAGAATATTAACTGGATTTCTAATAGTTTCACTGGAACAGTTTTTTAAATATGTTAACAATTTTTAAATATTTTATAGGAAATTCATAGAAAATTGCAAGCAGTGGATTCAGGGTTGATTGCCTTACGTGAAACAAGCAAACATCTGGAGCACAAAGACAATGAACTTAGACAAAAGAAGAAGGAGCTTCTTGAGAGAAAAACCAAGAAAAGACAACTGGAACAAAAAATCAGTTCCAAACTAGGAAGGTATCTTTTAGCCTATTCAGGGGGGAGAGCACAAATTACTGTATGGGAGAATATTAATTATACACTGTAATAACAACAGCATTTCCACAAGCACGCTTTGTAGTAATTTCTCTTTAATCTTTAATCTTACTGCATAAAACACAATTTTATTCCATAGGGCAAAAGGAGATGAATCTTGAGTGTTGCAAGTTCTTCTGTTCTTCCAGTCTCTGGACTCCTTTATATGCTTAAAAATTAATGAGGACCTTGAAGAGGTTTTGTTTACATGGATTGTATTTATTGATATTTACCATATTAGAAATTAAAACTGAGAATGTTTAAAATATTCATTAATTTATTTTTTTTTAGGTGGAGATGGGGCAGTAATTCATTTTAAAAATAAACCCATTATGTGTTAACATAAAAATGTATTAAAAATAGCTGTTTTCCAGACAAAATACATTTAGTGAGAAGAGTGGCGTTTTACATTTTTGCAGATTTCTTTAGTTGAAGTCAGTAGGTTTTTCCCTACTTAATTCTGTATATTGAGTTTGTAGTGAGATGTTTGAGTTGAAGTATATGAAGGAAATCTGGCTTCCCATAAATATGCAGTTGGAAAAGGAGGAGTATTTTAGACTTTTCAGGTAATTGTGGATATTATTCTTTAATACTACATCAAAATTTGCCAAAGTGTAGTTTATTAAAGTTTAATTGCAGTGTGGAATCTGAAACCATATCAGTGAACTTGTGTACTCTGTTACATTAAAATCCATTGCACTTTAGATGGCGCTTTTACTTGTAAATGATTTAGTTATAGCATGCATTGGTCATTGGGAGAATACTGGTTCATCAAGTCACATAGATATTTCAAACGTTGACATATTTTATTATGTAATATTTTTAAAAGATCACATTGATCACTGATTCCATCAGAAAAGCTGTTAAGAATTGGGAAGCTGTCAAGCTTGCCAGTGGATACAGATTTTCTAAAATTCAAATTTTCATTTGAAAGTTTGAACTTTATCATTGGCAACAAATATTGTCAGTTATTTTCCTTGAAATGACAAGCTCACTTTATTCCTGTTTGGAAAAAGAAAAATGACCAAATAGCCAAGTCCAGATAATTATAGTTTGTCATTTTTTTAAATAAAAATGGTATTCCATGAAAAAAATGTCTAGTATAACTCCAAACTTAGTCACACAAGTGCTTTTCCTTGAAACAACATTTATACTTTTGAATATACTACAAATATTTAATAAGCACAGCCTGCCCTCCATATTCGTGGGTTGCACATCCATGGATTCAACCAACCACAGATCAAAAATATTCAAGAGGCCAGGTGCAGTGTCTCATACTTGTAACCCCAACACTTTGTGAGGCCAAGGCGGAAGGATCACTTGAGTCCAGGAGTTTGAGACCAGCCTGGGCAACATGGCAAGACCTCATCTCTTTAGGCAGGGCAGGGAGGAGGGAAGAAAGAAAAATATTCAGGGGGACAAAAATGGATGGTTATGTCTGTATGGAACACATACAGACTTTTTTCTTGTCATTATTCCTTAAGCAATACAATATAACAACTATTTACATAGCATTTATGTTGTATTAGGTATTATAACTAATCTAGAGATAATATAAAATATATGGGAGGATGTTCATAGGCCATATGCAAATACTACATCATTTTATATAAGGGACTTAAGCATCTGTGGATTTTGGAATCCTTAGGGAGTCCTGCAACCAATGTCTGATGGATACTGGGGGACAACTATATTATGTACTTCCTATGTCATGACATTGAATATTAAAAATATATATACTTAAGATTTTGAGGTTTAATAAAATTTATGAATTTTACTGCTTCATCAAGGATATTCTTAAGGGAATTTGGCATTTTTAAAAATTTCAATTGCATGGCAGTGAAGAATCTAAGAACTAGTATACTTTGGTGCACTAGTTTTGGTACACTACCTTGATTTATTCTAAAGCACTAGCATTTTTACTTTCCATTGCTTTTACACCGTCAGTGCAAATGACAGCATGGTGAGAAAGGCAAATGATGTCCTGTTACCACCATGAAAATAGTTTTTAACTCACAGACTCCTGAAATAGTTTCAGGTATCCCCAGGAGTCTGTAGACCGGACTTTGAGAACCACTGCCCTACATGATTATCCAAAACAATATGTCCCTTGAGTTCTGAATGGTAGGAGAGGAGAGGGGAAGGCAGAAAAATTGTCAAACTAGGCTGTTTTTTCTCTAGTTCTGAAAGAGAGTAATAGGGAAGGAGGAGGTTATATTGAGTTTCACAGAATAGATTGGGCACCTGAGGGTTTATCTCACTCATTTAGTTGCAGTCTTCCTTGTGACAATTAGAATTATGTCTGCTTGGCCTTAATGGGTCATATATTCCACAGAATTCTGTACAAAATGTAAATATAATATTGTCAAATGTCTTTTTTTTTTTTTTTTGAGACGGGGTCTTGCTCTGTTACCCAGGCTGGAGTGCAGTGGCATGCTCACAGCTCACTACAGCTTTGAACTCTTGGGCTCAAGCAATCCTCACGCCTCAGCCTCCTGAGTGGCTGGGACCACAGGTGTGCACCACTATGCCCAGCTTTTTTGTAGAGATGGGGTCTTGCTATGTTGCTGGGGCTGGTCTCGAACACCAGACCTCAATCAGTCCTCCCGCCTCAGCCTCCCAAAGTGCTAGGATTACAGGCATGAGCCACCACACCCAGCCAAAAGTCTTTTCTAAACAGAAAACTGCTGATTTATTGTGAAAACCCAGTCACCCATTCTCAGAACGATTGTAACTTTTATTTTGAATTTAGATCTTTTGTAGAAACCAGAATATATAAGGTGGGATAAAAGCTATTAGGGTTTCAAGTCTGGGGAAAAGGCACACGGTTTCCAGTTTCAAGGTTTTTTCCATATCCTACCATAACACAGCCCACAGCTTTTTGTTGTTGTTGTTGTTCTGACTTCTCGTCTATAGACTAAAGATAGATATTAGTGACATAATCTTTAATAATAAGTAACAGCTCATTGTCTTGAATAAGGTATGTTTACCTTGACTTAATATCGTTTGTATTTCTAAACACATTTATAAATTGAATCATATTTGAAATGTATTAGGAAGATTTGTTCTTTGTTGTTTATGTTTTTTTAAAGCAAACAATTGCCCATTAACTTCTATTTTTAAAATTGGTAATGTGCCTTGGTTGTTTAAAGCAAGATATATCTATTTAGTCTAGCTTCCTAGAATTTGTTTCAACTTTAAACCTTTCTTTAAACTTTTAACCCTTTCCTTCATTCCTATTCAATCTTCTGCAAAACGCTCAACCTTTATTGCGCAATTGCTGTATTGAACCCATTGTCTAAAACTAAACTTTCTCCTCGTAAAGTAATGTTGATTTTTCACAGTGAGATGACTTTTCATACGTGTTACTAGCCTACTATCTCCTACTTCTGTTCACTTTGGACTACTGCAGTGGTGACCTAGTTAGTGGTCTCTGCCTGACTAGTCACTTCTGTATTTAATTCATCCAAAAGACTGTTGCAAAATTTATTTTCTTTGCATGTTCCTACCCCATTCAAGAATATTCATTATGAGGCCAGGTGCGGTGGCTCACGCCTGTAATCCCAGCACTTTGGGAGGCCGAGGTGCGTGGATCACTTGAGGTCAGGAGTTTGAGACCAGCCTGGCCAACATGATGAAACCCTGTCTCTACTAAAAATACAAAAATTATCCGGGCATGGCGGTGGGCGCCTGTAATCCCAGCTTCTCGGGAGGCTGAGGCAGGAGAATTGCTTGAGCTGGGAAGTGGAAGTTGCAGTGAGCTGAGATTGTGCTGCTGCACTCCAGCCTAGGCAAAAGAATAAGACTCCTATCTCAAACAAACAAAAAAAAATTATGGCTTTCTACAGTTGCTACATGAAATTTAATTAAACACTACTCTCCTTTAGGCAAGCTTTTATGATTCTTCAAAATGTTATTTCGCTTTACCCATTCCAACTTATCTCCCTCCCCTCCCCAACATACTCGTCCTTGTACCATTCTGGCCACTCTCTACAGCACCCGCTGAATTTGTTTGTTGTTGCTTCCATCCTTTGTTCTTTTCTCTTCGAGGCAACATGGTGTAGTGGAAAGAACATGGACTTTGGTACCAAACACATCTTAACACTTAATATCTGTGATTTTAGGCAATTTACTTCACTTACCTGAGCCTTAGTTTCTTCATCTTTAAAATTGAGAACATACTATTAACTTTTAGGATTATTGTGTTGTGTTTTTTGTTTGTTCGTTTCTGGTTTTTAGCTATTAACTCTCCCCACTTTAGCTCCTTAAGGGAAGTGACTGTTTTATAAACAATATTAATAGCAACAGAAACAACTTATATTGATTGATCGGTTATGGGCCAGGCACTATATATCTGAAAAGTATTGCTAAATATATCCCAGAAAACTGGGGGGGACCTAAGAATTTGGGATCAATTCTTATGTTTAACACTGATTTCTTCATTATTATATGTGTCATACAGTTTAAAGCTGATGGAACAGGATACTTGCAATCTTGAAGAGGAAGAGCGAAAAGCAAGTACCAAAATCAAAGAAATAAATGTTCAAAAAGCGAAACTTGTTACCGAATTAACAAACCTAATAAAGGTAAGGTATTGTTTTAATTTTAGTCATTTTTTAAAGGAAATAGCGGGCAGATAAGATAGTAAAATCTTTAGAGGGAGGGAAGGTTTTGATTAAGGTTTTTGACATTTTAGTTATATAAGCAAGAGATCTTTATCATCAGTTTCAGCTTGCTTAGTTGCTTGACATTTTCTTTAGAGGTAATAAATAGGATAAAAGCACTCATTAAGCTAAATGTGTTTATTCCAGATGACTCTCTTAAAAACAAAGGAAAACACTTTCTAAAAAATTGTTACAAGAACTGTTTGAGAGAGATGTCAGGCACAATAGGAAAATTATTTTTTCATGGTTTATAATTTTGTTTTAAAAAACTATACATTTTTTAGTTCTAAAACATAGGTAACATAAAAATTAACTCTTAGGGGTTTTTGTTCCTAGATTTGTACTTCTTTGCATATACAAAAAGTAGATTTAATTCTCCAAAATACTACAGTGATCTCTGAGAAGAACAAATTAGAATCAGATTATATGGCCGCATCTTCACAACTCCGTCTTACAGAGGTAAAATTTTTGCCTTTACTTTTTATTTTGAGGTTCTAACCTCAGACTGGTTTGAAAATATATATCGTGTCATCACTAGCAATATATAGTTTGTTGTTTTATGCTATTTAACTTACAAATTTAATGCATCATGTTGATGAGGAAGTAATACTTAAAATACTTAAGACTGGTTGAGTAACTTCAGCAGTTTAATCTTTTGTTAATATCTGACTGTGAAATGATAAACACAGAAATACTGGGTGGAGGGGAGAGCATGTGATATACCATATTAACTTAAAACCGGAAGGAGAGCTGGCAATAAGATGGTAGTGGCAGTGGCATAGTTTTTGAATCTCCAAAATCTTTTCCCAAAAACAGAAGAGAAGCTAGAATAATATAACAACAAACCTGTGGACAACACGTATAACAAAACTAAGTTTCAGGGTATCCATGTGGGCATACTGCAGTACTATTCTGACGCTAACCATCCTGGTCACTATCAAACTGTATACCATAGGGGCTCGGTTCCCAAAAAGACCACCCTTACTTCAGACACCGTCTTCAAGTTTAGGGGTCTCCAGGTCACTTGTATTTCTGACCAACTAGCTGCAAATTCAAGAGTTCCTATGACCCCCACTCAGGTTCAATAATTTGATAAAACAACTCAGAATTCGAGAAAGCACTATTCTTAACGATTATGATTTTATTATAAAAGATACAATCAGGACTAGCAAAATTAAGAGACACAGGGCAACCAACATTTTGGAGGTTCCTAAACTCAAAAGTTTCTTTACTCTTTTCTTGTGCAGTTAGGGTACATCACCCTCCTCACACATCTCCTGGTTCACCAACCAGTGGGCCCTACCAGGCTTCAGTACTCGGGTTTCTTATTGGGGTTTCATTATATAGACATGGTTGTTGATTGAATCATTGGCTATGTGGTTGAGCTTGATCATCAGCCCTCTTCCCTGGAGTTTGGGAAGTTGGGCTGAAATCATGTGGCTCAAAGACATGTGTATTGCTCAAATCATACAGTTGATCTTTGTGGCATTTTCTATCCCCATCCTGAGTCATATTCTTAGCATTAACTCAGGAGTGATCTAAGGGGCTCACGAGTAATACAGACTTTCCTATTGCTCAATTCCAAGAACTTTAGAGGAACCAGCAACAAAGCCCAGTCAAATTCTTTATTATACAACACCTGTGAACTCCAGAATACAAGTGCGTAAAATAAATCAGCAGCAGCATCAAGACTAGCATGGTATCAGCAAGGGAGGGCTCAGAGAATCCAGATATCAGACTGCCAGCATCCTGATCATCTCTAAAGGTCTCATTAGTTGTAGAACACTTAGAGATCAATTTGAGAGCAGCTAAAACTGAGAGGCAACTTTATAGACTTCAGAAAGGTTGGATAGTGCTGGGGTGATCTAGCCCTGTGAACTCTCAAACTAACTGATACTCCTTTGCAGAACAAAACTTCTTACTGAAGAGAACTAGAGCTACATGATAAAGGAGATCATAAAATATATATTCTATAGTTATAAGTCTGACAATGTAACTAAAGCACATTTCTCTGAAAATGCAAGAAGGGAGATAATGCAAGTAAAATAGAATATATTTACTGATTGTCCTATAGGTATTTTCAGGAAATAAAAAGTTATTACTTCATATTAGATGTTTTGGGAGAGGAAAATAAGAGAGATATTCAAAATTATTTATAGTAGGGAGCCAATAGATAGTATCCCCCAAAACTATTAAGGACATAAGGATATTATATAAGATATTTGCATAATAATAAACTTCAGAATAAAAATAAAAGTCTTCCTAAATACCAAAAAGATACACAAAGACAAGAGACTGGCAGGGCAAGAAAATCACATAACTAAAGACTAGATATTTTATTTACAGATATAAGAGACATAAAAACAAATATGACATAAAACAGTGGCAGAGCTAAGGTCAAACATCAGTCATATTATTAAATGCAAATGGATATAATTCACCTATGAAAATATTTTTTGGAAGTAAATTCCAACACTGTGCAGAATGTGAGAGGTACATCTAAAAGAAAGAGATTGAGAAAGCTTTAAAATAAAAGGATGGATGGGTGCAAGGGATCTTTTTGGTGATGGAAATGTAAAATTGGACTGTGGTGATGTTTACATAGCTCTGTAAATTTGCTAACAGTCATTGAATTGTACACTTCAAGTGAGCGAATTTTATGGTATGTAAATTATACCTCATGAAAACTTACGTAAATGGATGAGCAAAGGTGTACCAGGCAAATGGAAATACAAATTTTAAAAAGTTTAAATATCTCAATATGCTGCTATGCAGTGATATATATATTCTTAGGTCAAAAAAGAAAGGAGAGAAAACTTTATAGTATGTTACTATCAAAGAAAGGATCAGGGAAAGTGATTACTTTGACTTTATGTTGGCTTATTTAAAAATTACAATGATAAACCAGAATCTTTTTTTTTTTTTTTTAATTTTTTTTTTTTAGCTGGGGGTAGGAAAAGACAAGGTTAAAAGCTACACTCATCTAAATAGATCTTATATTTTTTCCACTTTGGAACCATCTGCCAGCAAAACTAAATGAAATTTTCCAAAAAGACAAGCTTAGTAAAAGCACAGTGAAACAAATGCATCTAACTTTGTTTTGAGTTAGCAACATAGCCTAACAGAGAAAAATTATTCCAAATGACTATAAAACACTGTAATGATTCTAAGGGCAAAAAAAAATTGCAAAAAAAATCATGTACTGTTTTCAGTAATCATAATGTTAATATTTGTAATGTTATTCTGAAAATATTATAGAGTAAAGCAAACAAGTAGTTACGTTAATGTAATTACAGTTTTTCAGCATAAGAGAAAAGGGATTCAGATATAAAAGAAGATACATAATAAAACCTTAAAGCTTTTAATTTGAATGTAAATATCGGAATGAACTCACAATGTATTTTCTCAAAAAAACAAACATTTCCTAGCTTTGTCTACTAAAAAGACCTAGATTATGACTTCTAAATACTATTTTCCACTAAAGTGGCCCACTGGAGAAATGGCTGATTTCAGGTCCAGGAGAAGAAATGTTTATATAAGATTAGCCATGATCATCTTTTCATAACAAAAGTCAAAGAAATTATCAGAGATGACTTGGTTATCAACAGGACCCAGGAGCCTACATGAAGAATCGTATACCCGCCATACATGAAGAGATAATAGATAGAAACTTATCAAAAATGTCTAAATGCACAAGTTTATAATGATGCTAAAATAAAATAATATTGGTCACTTTGGAGGATACTGGGGAACTGGCTCTTGACTTTGAAAAATGGTTAGAGAATTTTGCATTTATCCTGAAAATATGTCTAAATGCACAAGTTTATAATGATGCTGAAATAAAATAATATTGGTCGCTTTGGAGGATACTGGGGAACTGGCTTGTGACTTTGAAAAATGGTTAAATAGAGAATTTTGCATTTATCCTGAAAATAACAAATACATGATGAAGAGAAGTTTATCTTTAAAGAAGTAATTTATAAACAATAAAGGAATTAGGCTGTTACTACTTTGCAGCTGCTAATGAATCGGATTACATTAGTTTCCAGCATCACAAAAAGATAGCCAGATATTTACATGTACCCTAATGAAAGGACACACCACCACTGTGGAATAGGGTATCTCTTCTCACACTGCTAAAAAGAACTACCTGAGACTGGGTAGTTTATGAAGAGGTTTAATTGACTCCATTCCACAGGCTGTATAGGAAGCGTGGCTGGGAGACCTCAGGAAACTTAACAATTATGGTGTAAGGTGAAGGGGAAGCAAGCATGTCTTACCATGGCAGAGTAGGAGAGAGGATGAGGGGGAAATGCTACACGCTTTTAAACAACCGGATCTTGTGAGAACTCACTATCACAAGAACTACAAGGGGAATCCGCCCCCATTATCCAATCACCTCCCACCAAGATCCTCCCTCAACATTGGGAATTACAATTCAACATTTGATTTGGCCGGGGACACAGAACTAACCATATCATTCTGCCCCTGGCCCTTCCGAAATCTTGTGTCCTTTTCATATTTCAGAACACAATCATGCCCTCCCAGCAGTCCCCCAAAGTCTTAACTCATTCTAGCATTAACTCAAAAGTCCAAGTACAAGTTGAATCTGAGACAAGGCAAGCCCTTTCCACCTATGAACCTGTAAAATCAAAAACAAGCTAGTTACTTCCAAGATATAGTGGGGGCGCAGGCATTGGGTAAATACCCCCTTTCAAAAAGGGAGAAATCAGCCAAAACGAAGGAACTACAGGCCCCACACATGTCTGCAACCCTGCAGGGCAAACATTTAAGTCTTAATGCTCCCAAAAAGTCTTTGACTGCATGTCTCACATCAAGGCCACACTGATGCAAGGAGTGGGCTCCCAAGGCTTTGGGCAGCTCCACCCCTGTGGCTCGGCAGGGTTCAGCCCCCACAGCTGCTTTCATGGGCTGACATTGAATGCCTGCAGCTTTTCTTGGCACACGGTGCAAGCTGTCAGTGGATCTACCATTCTGGGGTCTGGAGGACGGTGGCCCTCTTCTCACAGCTCCACTAGGCAGTGCCCCAGTGGGGACTCTGTGTAGGGCCTGCAACCCCACATTTCCCTTCCATACTGCCCTAGTAGAGGTTCTCCATGAGGGCTTAGCCCCTGCAGCAGACTTCTGCCTGGACATCCAGGCATTTCCATACATCCTTTGAAACCTAAGCAGAGTCTCCCCCAAACCTCAACTCTTGCCTTCTGCACACCCACAGGACCAGCACCTTGTGGAAACTGCCAAGGCTTGGGACTTGCACCCCCTGAAGTAATGGCCTGAGCTATATCTTGGCCCCGTTTAGCCACACCCGGAGTGGCTAGGATGTAGGGCACCATGCCCTAAGGCTGCACAGAGCGGCAGGGCCCTGGACCTGGCCCAAGAAACAAGTTTTCCCTCCTAGATCGCCAGGCCTGTGATGGGAGGGGCTGCTTCTGACATGCCCTGGAGGCATTTTCCCCATTGTCTTGGCTGTTAACATTTGGCTCTTCTTTACTTCTGCAAGTTTCTGCAGCCTTGAATTCCTTCTCCGGGAAATGGGTTTTTCTTTTCTACTGCATGGTTGGGCTGCAAGTTTTCCAAACTTTCATGCTCTGCTTTCCTTTTAAAGTTCTAGTTTCAGGTCACTTTTGTTTATGCAAATGAGCATAGGCTGTTAGAAGCAGCCAGGCCCCATCTTGAATGCTTTGCTGCTTAGAAATTTCTTCCACCGGATGCCCTAAATCGTCTCTCTCAAGTTCAGAATTCCAGAGATCTCTTGAGCAGAGGCACAGTGCTGCCAGTCTCTGCTAAAACATAGCAAGAGTGACGTTTACTCGAGTTTCCAATAAGTTCCTCATCTCCATCTGAGACCACCTTAATCTGGACTTCACTGTCCATATCCTTGTCAGCATTTTGGTCACAACTGCTCAACAAGTCTCGAAGTTCCAAACTTTCCCTCATCTTCCTGTCTTCTTCTGAGCCCTCCAAACTGTTCCAACCTCTGCTTATTACCCAGTTCCAAAGTTGTTTCCACATTTTCAGTTATCTTTATAGCAATGCCCCCACTTCTCTTGTATCAATTTTCTGTATTAGTACATTCTCACACTTCTATAAAGAACTACCTGAGACTGGGTAATTTATAAAGAAAGGGTTTAATTGAATCACAGTTCTTCAGGCTGTACAAGGTGCATGGCTGGGAGGCCTCAGGAAACTTAAAATCATAGGGAAGGTGAAGAGGAATCAGGCACGTCTTACCATGGCGGTGAGAGAGAAGGGGGAAGTGCTGCACACTTTTAAACGATCAGATCTTGTGAGAACTCAGTATCATGAGATCAGCAAGGAGGAAATCCACCCTCATGAGCCAATCACCTCCCACTAGATTCCTCCCCCAACATTGGGGATTACGGTTCAACATGAAATTTGGGTTGGGACACAGAGCCAAACCATATCAAATAGTCTTATTAAAAAAATCAAATTGCAGTCTAAGTCGCTAAAACAGGGTTTCTCACCTCAGCATTATTGACATTTTAGAGTGGATAAATTTTTTTGTGCTTTTTAGAATGTTTAGCAGTATTCCTAGCCTCTGCCTGTTAGATGTCAGTAGTACACACACACATACTTCACCCCAGTTGTTACAATCAAAAATGTCTCCAGACATTTGCCCCCTGGGGAGCAAAAGTACCCCCAGTTGAGAACCACTGGTCTAAAACTACCAGGTTACAATAAATTCAGGACAGGAAGAAATATGTTAAATAACACTGAGGAATACAGTCAGCAAAACCTAGAATATAAGGAACTCTGTAGGATAAATAATTTACTTCAGCACTGTCCAGTAGAAATACAGTGTAAGCTCTACATGTAACTTTCTTTTTTTTTTTTTTTTTTCAAGACAGAGTCTTCACTCTGTCACCCAGGCTGGAGTGCAGTCTCAGCTCACTGCAACCTCCGCCTTCTGGGTTCAAGCGATTTTCCTGCCTCAGCCTCCCAAGTAGCTGGGACTAGCAGGCATACCACCATGCCCTGCTAATTTTTTTGTATTTTTGGTAGAGATGGGGTTTCATTTTGTTGGCCAGGCTGGTCTCAAACTCCTGACCTCAGGTTATCCACCCACCTCAGCCTCCCAAAGGCTAGGTTTATAGGTGTGAGCCACCACACCCAGCCTACATGTAACTTTGTAGTAGCCAGATTTTAAAAAGCAAAAAGTAATGGGTTAAATGAATTACAATAATATATTTTACCCAGTATATCCAAAATATTGTCGTTTCAACTTATAAGCAATATTGAAAATTTACTAATAAGCTATTTTGTATCTCATAGTCTTCAAAATACTTTATACTTAAAACACATCTCAAGTCAGATAGTAAATTTTCATCAGAAATACTTGATCTGTATTCTGACTTTCTGAAACTGATAGTTGAAAAAGTTAGGTTCACATACCCAAGCTGTTCCATTTTCCAGTAGCTAGGAACAAGTATCAGTTTTTAATTTTAAATTTAAATTCAAATTTAAAATTCAGTTTCTTAGTTGCTTTAGCCACATTTTAGTGCTTTATAGCCACATGTGACTGGTTTCTACTTTATTAGACAGTACAGTTTCTAAAATACTTTCAAGGAAAAGTGGAAGGGGAAACCTAAAAGTTTAAAAGGACTTAAGAAATGTATTAACCAAATATAATGTGTATACCTTATTTTGATTCTGATTTAAACAAATCAACTACTTTTAAAAGGTAGAAAAAAACAGGGAGATTTGAATGCTGACTCAGTACTTGATAATAGAAATTATTGATAATGTTTTTAGGTTTGATAGTGGTATTATGGTTATGGGTTTTTTTTTTAAGCCTTTATCTTTTAAAGATACATTGCCACAATATTTATGAAGGAAATGATAGGCTGTCTGGGATTGCTTCAAAATATTCCAGAGAGAGGGCCATTTAGGAAGGGAGTATACATGAAACAATGTTGGTTATGAGTTGATAATTGTTGAAGCTGGATAATAGGTATGTGAAAGTTTATACCATTCTCTCTACTTTTGTATATGTTTGAAATTTTTCATTATAAAAAGTAAAGCTTCCATTCTTCGCGATGATGAAGTAACAGGAACCATATTTACTGTCTCACTGGAAACCACTAAAAGATGTGAGTATGTCAAATAGAGGTTTTCAGACATTGGACAACAGGCAGCACAGGACAGTGATCCTTGAGAGAAGGGGTAGAAAACAAAGTGAGCCCTATGATTGCCTCATCTTACTGCTTGGAAAGAGTTTCCACACCACAATGCACGTAGCATGACAGAATAACACTACAGATCCTATAGACATTAAAGGATATTAAGAGAATATGATTAAAAACCTCATGCCAATAAATTTGACAACTTTGATGAAATGGACACATTTCTTAACACTAAACTACCAAAGGTCACTCGAGAAGATAATAGGTGACTAGACTAACCTTATATTTATTTAAAAAATTTAATTTCTCATTAAAAACTTTACCACTAAGAGAACTTCAGTCCCAAAATCTTCACTGGTTAATTCTACCAAGCATTTATAAAATAATCCCAGCTGAGTGTAGTGCCTCACACTGTAATCCCGGCACTTTGGGAGGCCGAGGCAGGTGGAGCCCTTGAGTCAGGAGTTCAAGACCAGTCTGGGCAACGTGGCAAAACCCTGTCTCTACAAAAAATACAAAAATTATCCAGGCATGATGGAATGCACCTGTAATCTCAGCTAGCTACTCAGGAGGCTGAGGTGGAAGGCTCACTTGAGCCTGGGAGGTCAAGGCCACACTAAGGTGTGATTGGACTACTGTACTTCAGCCTGGGTGACAGAGTGAGACCCTGTCTCAAAAAAAAAAAAAAAAAAAAAGAATTAATACCAGTTCTACTTAAGATTTTCCAGAAGGTGAAGAGGAGGGAATACTTCTTGAAGCATTATATGAGGCCAGCATTACCTGATACTAAAAAGAACTACAGACTAATACCTATCATGAACATAGACCCAAAAATTCTTCATATAATGTTAGCAGGTCAAATCCAACAATATATAAAAAGTAATACATTGTAACCAATTAGGTTTTATCTCAGATGTATAAGGTTGGTTTAATATTTGGATATTCATCAATATAATTCAGCATATTAACAGACCGAAACTGAAAAACTAGATGATCATTTCAATATATACAGAAAAAATGTCAAAATTCAGCATCCCTTCATTATAAAAACTTCTTGCAACTGGGAATCGAAGGAGACTTCATCATTCTGATAAAGGATATCTGAAAACCAACAGCTCATATCAATCTTGGTGGAAAACTGTAAACTGTCCCCTTACAACTGGGGACGAGGAAAATGCCTACCCTTACCACTTCTAGTCCACATTGTACTGGAAGTTCTAGTCAGTGCAGTAAGGCTAGAAAAATTAAATGTATTAAATGTAAAAAAAAACCTCCAAACACAATCATCTTTATGGAAAATCTTAAGGAATCTACCAAAATGCTAATAGAACCATCAGTGAAAATTTAGCAAGATTGTAGGAGATAAGTTCAATATATAGAAATTCATTGCGGCCCCACCTACAAACAATGAACAATTGGCAATTGCAATTTTAAAACAGTACTATTTACAATAGCATCAAAAATGAAATACCTGGCTGGGCATGGTGGCTCATACCTATAATCCTAGCACTTTGGGAGGCCGAGGCTGGAGGATGGCTTGAGCTCGCAAGGTCAAGGCTGCCACGAGCTGTGATTTCACCACTGCGCTTCAGCCTCCTGGACGAGGGGATAAAACCCTGTCATTAAAAAGAAAGGCTTTGGGAGGCCGAGGTGGCCAGATAATCAGAGGTCAGGAGTTTGAGATCAGCCTGGCCAACATGGCAAAACCCTGTCTCTACTAAAAATACAAAAATTAGCTGGGCATGGTGGCACATGCCTGTAATCCCAGCTACTCGGGAGGCTGAGACAGGAGGATCACTTGAACCCAGAAGGCAGAGGTTGCAGTGAGCCGAGATCATGTCACTGCACTCCAGCCTGGGTGACAGAGTAAGACTCTGTCCCAAAAAAAGAAAGGAAAAAAATACTAGGGATATATTTAAAAGACTTGTATCCTGAAAACTACGAAAATTTGATGAGAGAAAACTTTGCTGAGAGAAATTAAATACATGGTGTTCATGGATCAAAAATTCAGGATTTCTTAAAATGTCATTTCTCTTCCAAATCTTAAATTCAATAAAATTCCCAGCCAGATTATAGAAATTGACTTATTCTAAAATGCAATGGACTTAGAAGAGCAAAAACAACTTTGAAAAATAAGTTGCAGGACTCCCACTAATTTTAAAATTTATTATGACATTACAACAATCAAGACATTGTATCTGTATAAAAGTAGATATATATGGATCAATGGAACAGAATAGAGACTCAAGACATCCACATATTTATGGTCAGTTGTTGTTGTTTTTTTTTTTTTTTTGACAAAGATGCCCAGGGATTTCAATGGGGAAAGAGTAATCTTTGTAACAAACAGTGCTGGAACAATTGCATAGTCATATGTAAAAAATGAACTATACCCTTACCTCGTATCATATACAAATGAGTCACAGACTTAAATGTAAGAGCTAAAATTATAAAACTTCTTGAAGAAAATGTAAGAGAAAATCTTAGTTACCTTGGTTTTGGCAAGGATTTCTTAGATAAAATAGAAAAAACACAAATTATAAGAGAAAAAGAATCATTGCATTCATCAAAATGAACAACTTTTGTTTTCGGTAGATGCCATTACAAAAAGGCAGGCTACAAACTGGGAGAATATATTTGCAGTACACCTCAGAGAGGACTTGTATCTAGACCAAGAGGACTATGCCTGTGGGCCAAATCTAGCCCAAGGTCTTGTTTTTGTAAAGTCCCTGTGAGCTAAGAATAGTTTTCATACTTTTTAAAGAGAGAGAGAGAGTGTGTGTATGTGTGTGTGTGTATAATGTGACAGAGACTTTATATGGCCCTCAAAGCTTAATTTCCTTATTGGCCTTTAAAGTTTGCTGACCCCTGATGGATGCTATAAAAATAATTTCAACTATCAATACAAAGAAAACCAACAACCCAGTGAAAAAATGGGCAAAGAACTTCACCGTACTAAAGGAAGTATATGAATAGTAAATAAGCACGTGAAAAGATGCCCAACCTGACTTTACTGGTCTTGGGTAGCAAAGAAAAAGTATATATATGAAAAAGAAAGATGTCCAACCTTATTAGTCAGTAGGGAAGTTTATATTAAAGGCATGAGTTAAACCATAGACTCACTAGAATTGCTAAAATTTTAAAAGACTGATCATACTAAATTGCTGAGAATTTGGAGCAACTGGAACTGTCATACGCCACTGGTGGGAATTTAAAATGTATATAATCACTGTGGAAAATCATTTGGGAGTTTAAGGGCTAAACATATACCTGACATATGAAATGAAAGAATATGTCTATGAAAGACTGGTACACAAATGTGTAACAGCTGTCTTTGTAATAGCTAAAAACTGGAAACAAGGCTGAGGGCAGTGGCTCATGCCTATAATCCCAGCACTTTAGGAGGCCAAGGCAGGAGAATCATGCCCAGGAGTTTGAGACCAGCCTGGGCAACATAGCAAGACCCTGTTTCTACAAAAAGTTAAAAATTTGCCAGGCATGATGGTGAATGCCTGTAGTCCCAGCTACTTGAGAGGCTGAGGTTGGAGAATCACTTGAACCTGGGAGGTTGAGGCTTCAGTGAACAGTGATCATGTCACTGCGCTATAGCCTAGGCAGTAGAGCAAGACCCTGTCTTAAAAAAAAACCAGCAACAACAAAAATGGAGGTTAATGCCCAGCAACACCTGAATGATTAAACAAATTATGGTATGTGGAATATTACTCTGCCACAATAAGAAATGAATTACTGATGCACACATAAATGAATCTCAGTGAAGCTGAGTGGAAGAAACCAGACCAAAAGAGAGCATACACTATATAATTTCAGAGCTTTTGAAGGTGATAGATATGTTTATTATCTTGATGGTAATAGCTTTACAGGTGTGTATATTTGTCAGAATTCATCAAGTTGTCTCCTTTAAATATTGCAGTTTATGATTCCTTGGTTACACCCCAAAAGTTAGGGAAGAAAACTGAAATGAGTTACCAAAAAAAAATTAAGTTAGAGTTTTATCATTTATTTCACTTGTCTTTTTACTAGTATTTTTATTACGTCATTTTAAACATATACAAGAATATGAAGAGTAACATAACATCCATGTGTCCGCTACCCCTCTTTAACAAATGTTAACCCTTGCTGTATTTGTTGTAGATTTTTAAACCTGTTCACGTATTCAGAGTCTCTTTTTACCCTTCCCCATCTATTATTCTACTTCACCAGAGTCTGTCACTCTCCGGCAGGGTTATGTACATGATTCACTGTAACTTAACTGCATAAATGTATTTGTTACATAAATGTGAGCTATATAGGGGTGCCTTTTTGTGGAAAGCATCCACAGAGGGTAGATTTTAGGAAATGTAGACATAGGACTGCACAGGTGAATGGAAAGATTAAATCAGAGTAAAGTAGCAGCTTTATTCTGAAGCCAACCTCTTCAAACCCTTTGACTTAAGAAAAAAACAGTGTTGCTAGCAGATAAGCAACTAGGAGCATGCAGGCACAAACACACATAGCCAAACGAAGCTGAAGATTAGGTTTGATATGCTAGGGCTGGGCAAAATCCAGAGATGTGGAAGACAAGAAAGTCCTCTCCCCCACTCCCCACCTTCACCAAGAACAAAGGAAGGAAAGGATGGCAGAATGAATAGCAATAGTATTCTAAATAGGTAGTCGGTGTCCAGCAAAAAGCAATCAAAGGTAAGTTCCAAATGGGAGTGAAGAAACTGAACTAGCTACCAGAGGAGAGCCTCATCAGGGCTTATTTCCTGGGCATGTGGGGAATGTCATCTGCTACTTTTTCATCTGTTCTATTGGTAAGTAATTGTAGAGTCCATGCTGAAGTTACTTCATTGATTGAGCTTATGAATGTGGTTGTTCCATATAGGAAATGTTGTTATAAAAGAGGTTTCATGAAGAAGTTGACCCATCAGGCAGATACTATTAATATGTGTAGCTTTAAATCCAGTAACACAATTGTATTGGTCCGTTTTCATGCTGCTGATAAAGACATACCCGAGACTGGGCAGTTTACAAAAGAAAGAGGTTTAATGGACTTACAGTTCCATATGGCTGGGGAGGCCTCACAATCATGGCGGAAGACAAGGAGGAGCAAGTCACATCTTACATGAATGGTGGCAGGCAAAGAGAAAGCTTGTACAGGGAAACTCCCCCTTATAGAACCATCAGATCTCGTGAGACTTACTGTCATGAGAACAGCACAGGAAGGACCTGCCCCCATGATTCAGTTGCCTCCCACCAGGTCCCTGCCACAACACGTGGGAATTCAAGATGAGATTTGGGTGGGGACACAGCCAAACTATATCAACAATACAATATTTGATTCTGGTGCCTGAAGTTTTACTTTTACATCAGTATTAATGAGAACTTAAGAAAACGATTTGTTTGTGTCATGTTTACAGAAGTATGAAATCAATGGCTTTGGAGTAAGTATGCTCTTAAACTGTAACCCACACCTGACACAGTGAGAGATACTCTTCCAATAGCCCTTATAGATGGACTGAGATTAGTACAGGTTGGCAGGGTGTTCTCTTCTGATCCATTTTATTAGTAAATAGGATAAATACTGTGTTTTGGGATTTGTTTTTTTTTTTTTTTTTTTTTTTTGGAGACAGTCTTGCTCTGTCACCGAGGCTGGAGTGCAGTGGCACAATCTCAGCTCACTGCAACCTCAGTCTCCTGGGTTCAAGTGATTCTCCTGCCTCAGCCTCCCAAATAGCTGGGACTACAGGCGAGCGCCGCCACACCCTGCTAATTGGCTAATTTTTGCATTTTTAGTAGAGATCGTGTTTCACCATGCCTGGCCTCAAACTCCTGACATCAAATGATCCACCCGCCTCGGCCTCCCAAAGTGCTAGGATTACAGGTGTGAGCCACTACACCTGGCCAAGAAATACTGTTTTGAGTAGAGCTGACTGCCGTGTTTCTGGAAAGTAGGAAAGTTTTTGGGGAGAGGGTTTTGTTTTTAATCAGTGAATTACTAATTTTTTTTTTTTTTAACCAAGACAGCCACTTTCAAATTTAAAGTTAAAATTCCTGTAGTTGAATGCATTTTGGTTATTCAGAAAGCACAAATAGCCACCATAACTCGTTATGTATTATTTTGATTATATTTTAATAGTGCATAATTTCTCAACACATTTGCTGTTTTGTTTTGTTTCCTTGAGAACGGGTTCTTACTCTCTCACCCAGGCTGAAGTGCGGTGGCATGGTCAACAGCTTGCTGCAGCCTGGAAATCCTGGGCTCAAGCAATCCTCCTGCCTCAGCCTTTCCAGGTATCTAGGACTACAGGTGCATGCCACACACCTGGCTAATTTTTTATTTGTAGGGATAGTTCTCACTATGTTGCCCTGGCTGGTCTCAAACTCCTAACCTCAAGCAGTCTTCCCACCTCGGCCTCCCAAAGTACTGGGATTACAGGCATGTGCCACCATGCCCAGCCATTTGCATAATTTTAAAGTTAACTGGAGAAACTTAGCACATTTTGATTCTCTTTTTGTTCTTGTTCCTTTTCCTTGCCCTTTGCCCAATTTAGCCATTACCACATTACTAGTTCACCTCTTTCTAACTATCACGGCTACCACTCTGTCTAGGCATTAAGTCCTAATAGCTGTGGCCTCACTTTTTATGAATTTTGCACTCGTTTAACTGCCAGAAAAAAAAAATTGTGCTGATTTTTATATTCTGCTGCAGAAATCTACAGCTTTATAATATTATACATCATCCAAAGCTTTACAGTAGTCTTCTAATGTCTACTTCCAACTTCTAGCCTTTTTTACCTTGGTTGGCTATTCCAGTGTTCCTACCATTGTTCATAACCTCTGTATCTTTCCCGTATCGTTTGTTCACCTTTTTCATTCTGAGTCCATTGCTGCTTTTAAGACCAGAACTCTTCCTTGACACACATAAGTAACTTTACTTAATACTACCTCTGACTTTATTTTGCATTTCCTCAGCAATATTTTACACCACTCTGTTTTTCTTATTCATATGTTGATTTGAAAGTTCTTAAATGATCTGAGTGTACCTATAGTTCCAACTACTTTGGAGGCTGAGATAGGAGGATCACTTGAGTCCAGGAGTTCAAGTCCATCCTGGGCAACACTGTAAGACCTTATCTCTAAAAAAAAATAAAATAAAATTTTTTAATGCTTTTCATTGATAAATGCTTTACCAGCCCTTTTGTAAGGTTCTTTCATTTCTTGTTGTGCATACTTAATAAATGTTTGTTGCTGTCTGATCGTAGTCATTAGCCACACATTTGAAAGAGTCAAGAATGGGCTGGGCACGGTGGCTCACGCCTGTAATCCCAGCACTTTGGGAGGCCGAGGTGGGTGGATCACGAGGTCGGGAGATCGAGACCATCCTGGCTAACGTGGTGAAACCCCATCTCTACTAAAAATACAAAAAATTAGCCGGGTGTGGTGGCGGGCGCCTGTAGTCCCAGCTACTCGGGAGGCTGAGGCAGGAGAATGGCGTGAATCTGGGAGGCGGAGCTTGCAGTGAGCCGAGATCACACCACTGCACTCCAGCCTGGGCGACAGAGCGAGACTCCGTCTCAAAAAAAAAAAAAAAGAGTCAAGAATGATGACTAAAATTATGTAGTAGAATAGGTGTATGATAGTTCACTTTCTCTTTTACCTACTCTTGTTTTCTTCTCATGTTTGCTGCCATTTACCTGCACATGATTTTTATCTATCTCATCTGTTCCTGCTATGCAGCTTCACTTGAACCAAAGAGAAATTTTTTTTTCCTACTTGTCCCTTTGAACACATGGCAGGTTGCTCTGAGGAACTATTGCTACCACTTGGTTTTGTCCTTTTTTCTTTCTTGAAAATAAATTCACAAAAGAAGATTGACACAAAATTTCAGGGGAGATTGTATTTATGAGGGGACCGTGGAGTTTGATACTTTCTCAGATTTTTGGAAGGTAAATAGGGCAACAGACCTATAAAACATCCCCTGAAAAAGGTAGATGGTGGGAAGCCTCTCTTTGGTAATGTCACTAACTTATGGGCTATTTTTAGGACAAATTAGTAAGCTGTGTGTGAATCCAAATACAGAGGTCGATAAAAATTTCTTGTTATTTCGTTTTTGACCATGGGCAGGTTTCCTAACCACTCCAAGCTTAATCATTCTCTGCAGCCATAAGTATGATACCTACCTAATTTGGAGGGATATTATGATATTCAGTTTAATAATATATATCAAGATGCCTAGTGTGCTGCTTAGCATGAAGCCAGTGTTTCCTTTAAAAGTGTAGATTTACATCAGAATTAATATTAGTTATAAAGATGGAAAGTTGTTACATTTATTTGCTTATTCTAATACCAAATTTAGGAGCTCTGTGCTTTTCATCTGACCTCTCTTCTGCCTACCTGCTTGCCACTCCCTCAAAAAAGAACTGTTTCAGAGGAGACTTTTTTTTTTACTTAGATGAAATTTTGAAGAAAACATTTTACAAAGAAATAGTATTATTCCCATTATTTTATTGTTTATGATTAAATTAGTTTAAGTAGAATTTATGGTCTTGTGTATTAAAAGTTAAGATTATTATTCTAAATTTCTAGCATTACATTAAAATTTAAAGTTGACTTTCTAAATGAATGATTTTTATATTTTTAAGTGTGTATTCTGTCTGGTAACTAAAACAAATGGTTAACATTTGAATTTGAAATCAACTAAATTGGAATGATGTTTTATTAAAGGAAAAATGAGGGAGAAATGTGTTAATTTACAGCTAATGTTTTAGTAAAAGTTGATGATACCTAGAACTTAATTTTATTCATATAGAAAATGGTTTTCATTTTATTTGATTCTTATTTTAATGAACTGTTACTAAAATAACAGTTTTAATATATACAGTTTTCATAAGAAATTCTGTGAATAATTCTTACTTCTTCCACAAGAGGGCCTTCTTAGAAAAGCTTTTTCTTGTTTAATGTCGAGGTATTTCTGTACAATTTCCATGAGAAGTGAACTTTCCATAAAAAGAATTTTAGAAAAAAAGATAATACTTACAAATTTTTTCTAGGGTATATAACTACAAAGTAATCTTTTTTGAGATGTTAGTGGGGGATATTTTGTACATTTCACTCATTTCTTATCTTACATCTTAAACAGATGGAGTATTTTCTATTCTCTATTAACTATTAAAGGCTAGACTCTAAGCAGAAATGTAGATAAAGCCTTTTCACTAGTCTGACTTTACAGCATTATCTGATATAATTATATATGCCTTCCCACTTCTACCCTTAAAAAGCTCAGCAAGAATTGTGGTTTTAAAAACAAAAAGCAAAACAAGTGCCATGTGAAGATCTCTATCACAAACACATATGTATAGAATATTTTCTCAGATAAATATTTTATTACACATATGCCACCAAACAAACTATTAAATGAGGTTTTGTCTTTCTAAGTCCAGAGCTTCAAATTATCAACTCATTGATACTTCTTTTCCATAATGTTCTAATACTTTATTTTAGCAAAGTCCAGAGGAACAAGAATCAGGAATAGAAGAAATTAGGAGTATTTAGTTTCTATCCAGCTGCTCCTTGTTTTGCATTTGCCTGAGTACAATGGTCCTTAGCAGAGTAGGGGTGATTGGGAGTCTTTAACATTTTCTTTTATTTCTCTCAAGCTATAGGGACTGAGGAATTTATTCAAGGAAACTATAGTACTAAGTGGTTAGTATAAAGGATTGCTTGCATTTTCAGTTTGGTCCAGTATCTATCCTTTCACTTTTCATAACTATTGTCTTGGTTTAGTTTATTTGCTATCAAACCCATGTGCATAAAAGTCACCTGAGGGCCCGCTTAATAATACAGGTGTCCCCAGTTAGAATGGCATTCATTAAAAAGTCAGGAAACAACAAGTGCTGGAGAGGATGTGGAGAAATAGGAACACTTTTACACTGTTGGTGGGACTGTAAACTAGTTCAACCATTGTGGAAGACAGTGTGGCAATTCCTCAAGGATCTAGAACTAGAAATACCATTTGACCCAGCCATCCCATTACTGGGTATATACCCAAAGGACTATAAATCATGCTGCTATAAAGACACATGCACACGTATATTTATTGCGGCACTATTCACAATAGCAAAGACTTGGAACCAACCCAAATGTCCAACAATGATAGACTGGATTAAGAAAATGTGGCACATATACACCATGGAATACTATGCAGCCATAAAAAATGATGAGTTCATGTCCTTTGTAGGGACATGGATGAAATTGGAAATCATCATTCTCAGTAATCTATCACAAGGACAAAAAACCAAACACCGCATGTTCTCACTCATAGGTAGGAATTGAACAATGAGAACACATGGACACAGGAAGGGGAACATCACAGTCTGGGGACTGTTGTGGGGTGGGGGGAGGGGGGAGGGATAGCATTGGGAGATATACCTAATGCTAGATGACGAGTTAATGGGTGCAGCACACCAGCATGGCACATGTATACATATGTAACTAACCTGCACATTGTGCACATGTACCCTAAAACTTAAAAGTGTAATAATAATAAAATAATAAATAATAATAATACAGGTGTCCAGACCTCAGCCCCGGAGATATTAATCAAGTAGATCTGGAATGTGCTTAGGCCATTCCATATCCCCCACCCCCAGCTGTTTTTTGTGCCAACCAGAGTTTGAGGGTTAGTGAAAAGAGCAAACCAGACCTGTTTTATTTCTCAGAAATCTGCTAGTTCCGTAACCTTGGGCAAGTTTCTTAATGTGTCTGAGCCACATCTACAAATAGAGATAACCCTTTTCTTTAAGATCATAATTGGGATTAGAACAATTAACAGGATAGTGGTTGTAACAGTGCTTGACCTACAGAAGACATTTAGTAGATGAGATACCTTCCCTGTTGCATGTGAAATTTTTGCAGTCTGGCCCTTGTCCATTTTACCAACTCTGATCTTTTACATCCTTACAAATTCCTCTCCTCCAGCCACATTAGATTACTTGTTTCTTAAATAAGCAGGTCTTTGAGGCTCATATGCCTTAAAATTCATAATCACCTGTCCTTGGAATGTCATCTGCTGTATATGTTCCTTATTTCTTGTCATTTAAGGCTGTTAAGTTGTCATAGCTTCTGTGACCACTCTGACCTTCCCTACATACATACTCTGTCCAATCTGCTCCTGCTGAGAGGTGCCATGCTGTAATGAAAAGAGCATGTGTCCTGTAAGCAGACAGGGATCTGAATCATGACAGTCTCTAACTAAATGTGTGGGCTTGGGCAAGTTACTTAATTCCTTTCAGTCTCTTTTTTTTTTTTTTAATGCGCTAAATGAGGATAATATTACTGTGCAGTGTTTGTGAGAAATAAAGGGAATAATGTATGCGAAGCACCTAGCCAAGGGCCCAGCACATAAGCATTCGGTAAAGAGTATCTGTTTCTGTTATGATAATGATCCTGTGTCCTTATTCACCTTTCTGTGACCAATGCGGATTATAATACTGGCATTTAATAGGTTCTCAGTAATTATTTGGTGAAGGAATAAATAGGTCCATGAATAAATAAATACATGGAAGGTACTTGGAAAACTATCAAGCATGATTTAAAGGTTCTAACTACATTTGAGTGCTGAGTTTTGTCATATGAAGCCTGTGTACTGTGTATCTCAAATCTGATTATAATATAATTACATGACCGGGCCTGGTGGCTCACACCTGTAATCCCAGCACTTTTGAGAGCCCAAGGCGGATGGATCACTTGAGGCCAGGAGTTGGAGACCAGCCTGGCCAACATGGTGAAACCTTGTCTCTACTAAAAACACAAAAATTAGCCAGGCATGGTGGTACACATCTGTAATCTCAGCTACTCGGGAGGCTGAGGCGTGATAATCACTTGAATCTGGGAGGCAGAGGTTGCAGTGAGCTGAGATCACGTCACGTCACTGCACTCCAGCCTGGGTGACAGAGCAAGATTGTCTCAAAAAAATAAATAAATAAGTAAATAAATAAATAAATATAATTACATGGAGCTAAGCTAGACTTTCAGGAAAAGGCAGTAAAATTTAAATTTTACACCTCTTATGGATTAGAGAAATGCCAGGTTATTGATGTGCTGATGTATTTTAAAGTTTAAGTTCAAGTTTAACCTTTATAATAAAAAGAGTCATTATTTAAGAAACAGTTTCAGATAATTTGATTATCATTATAATCAGAATTCAACAATATTTAATATGTGGTAGTTTAATAAAACATCCCTCTGCTTTAACATTAACATTCAAATTTTCAAAATAAATTTTTTTAATAGCAACATTTCATTGAATTGGATGAAAATAGACAGAGATTATTGCAGAAATGCAAGGAACTTATGAAAAGAGCTAGGCAAGTATGTAACCTGGGTGCAGAGCAGACTCTTCCTCAAGAATACCAGACAGTAAGTATAAAAAGTATATAATGCTACAATTGCCATATTTAACATTTTTAAGATTATGGAATCTTAGCCATTGTAACAGGCCGTGAAAAACATGATGTGTCGTAAAAAATAGGGAGTTTTTCCACATTTTTAAACTGAATATATATATATATATAAAATAATGTTGCTTAAGAGATCAATGGTATTGGTACTATAACATTTATTCTTCCAATACAAATGCCTTTTAATGGGTACAGTTGGAACATATATAGTTTTTCATGGAAACATTGTACCAGTAATTGGTATATCAGAAATAATAAATAGAATATTTTAAAAATAAAGGGAAAATGAAAATGTTTCCCTGGAAATTGGGGTGTTTAATTAGGGTTCAATGAGAGCTGAATATTTAAGGCTAACATCTGCCAATAAGAAAAGGAAAAAAGAGGTCTTATTTCCATTATATTTTTTATCCTGACATACCACTCAGTAAAATTAGGAGATGCTGCCCTTTAGTCACATTCCACCGTTAATTATGTACCTCTGTGACAAGTGGGGATGATACTTTGCCTAGATACCTATTCAGAATAATGTCAAAATGAAATTAGAAAATAAGTTTTAAAATATCTAGTATTGGTGTGTCTTTAAAATTCTTAATTTCAAATGTTATCTATTTCAGTAGATAATGAAATGGCTACTAAAGATATAAACAACTGGAAAAAAATTAATGGATTATAATTTTCAAATCCTCAATTGATTTATTTTATGATATCAGACACAGAAATCACAGAGAATGGATTCGACTAATTGGATACATACTAGGAACTTAGTAGATATCTTTAAAACAAATTGAGAAGCTTGTTTCTAAAAACAGTAGAATGTCTTCAGAATACATTGTGTTGTTATAAAATAAATATAAGTACAATCTACTAATTTTTTTTTTCAGAAAAAGCATGATTCTATTCTTGATAAGTCATACTGTTTTTGAATCAAAATTAGGAGATGATTATATTCATTAAAATGTATTAATTACCTCTTATATGTCAAGCATTGTACAAGACAGACATACTTCCTTCTCAGCTGAAACTTATATTCTAGTCTGGAAGATTGGGTAGATGAAAACACAAATCAAAAATCAGATAATGTCAGATAACAAGAGATGCTAAGAAAAATAAAACAGGGTGAGGAGATGGAGTGACATGGATGGGAACTTGGTCAGGGAAGCCTCCTTTGAAAAGATACCATTTTATAACAGTCCTGAATGAAGAGAACAGATCAGTCAAGTGAAGATGTCAGGCAAAAGTATTCCAGACAGAGAAAATAGCTCAGACAACGCCCAAGACAGAAGTATATTTGGGATGTTTCAGAATAAAAGGAATCTCATTGGGGTTAAAAATTATCCAAGCAGAGAAGAAGGCAGAAGCCAAGATTATGTAGGCCTTGTAGACTATACAAGCAATTAAGGTTGTATTCTTTTGGGATGGACTCCAGTGGAGGATCTTAAATGGAAAAGTGACATTACTACTTTTATGAACGAGCACTCTAACTTTTCTTCTAGATGGAGGATAAAGTAGGGATACAAGAATGGAAGCAGTGAAACCATTTAGAAGGTCATTTCTTTGGACCACGTAAGAGATACATGATGGCATGAATTAGGGTGATAGCACTGAAGAGAGAGAGGGAGAAGTTGACAAGTCTTAGGTATCTTTTAGTGACAGAGCCAGCAAGACTTGCTGATGGATTTGACATGAAGGATGAGAGAGAGAACCCCTAAATTTTTCACCTGAACAAATTACGATGCCATTTACTGGAATGGAGAAGATTGAAGGAGAAACAGGGTTGCTTAAAGTGATAGGGAAGGTGGGTGAAATCCAGATTCTGTTTCACCATCTTAAATTTAAGATGCCTATTAGAGTCAAGTGAGGATATCGAGTAAATAAATGTTGGACACATGAGCTTACATCTCAGTAAGTCAGAGATTCAACAGAGGAATATTTGAAGGTCTATAGAGGTTGAACTGCTTTCTAAGAGGTTAAAATAATAAGTTTAAGATATTAGATTAATATGTCAAGATCTTTTTCAGGGTTTCAGGATTCATTTTGTACCATGTAGTATATAGCCTTTGCAGGTTGTGCTAGGCCAAACAATGTACTGATTGCCTCCCCTCAAAAAAAAAAGTATATGTTCTAATTTGTCCCCATGGCATGGACTCAGAAGATAGTACTGTGGTGAAATTCAACTGTCAAAGTAATTAGATTCTCAGGATGCTTTTTTAGTTCTTCATAAGTGCAGTATAAAGTTCTAACTTCTTGCTCTCTTTCAATGCCCCACATATTCTGGACCCATTCTACCAATTCAGCAAGTACCCACCATTCCAAATGGACACAACTCCTCACTCCCCATGGTATGCAGTACTCATTCTTTTTTCCCAAGCTCCTGTTTTCCCTCTGCCTTGCTCCTCCCTAGCCATTTGCTTTAAGGCCCGGAGATGAATTCTAGGCCTTTGAATTCTCTTAACTCTCCTGTAGCATGAACTGATACTTCTTTTCTCTAAATTCCTAGCCTATATGATATGTACTGCTTGTTTTAATACTCAACATCAATACATTGCCTTAAAGTGTTATCCAGTACATACATTTTGTTTTCTTTAAAGTACAAGCTTTTGAAGGCAAATGACCCTGTTTATTATTCCTTTGTATTCTTGTGTGCCAGCATGCTGTTGAACAGATAGATAACTTATTCAGCAGATTATTTTTCTTTTAACTATTTGAATGGAACTGTTTTCATTGTATCTATAATGACGGGCAATTTTTTTCTTAGGTTTTCCAAGACCTTCCAAACACATTGGATGAAATTGATGCTTTATTAACTGAAGAAAGATCAAGAGCTTCCTGCTTCACGGGACTGAATCCTACAGTATGCCTGTTTCTCTATTCCCATTCTGCATCCAACCACCACCACCACCCTCCCCATACACACACATACACACACAGAGTTCCCTCCAGTACTTGCCTCCCACTCTGTACTAGAGCTCTTGGTAATAATAAGCTAGACAGCAGGAACAATGTACTTTAAATGCCAGATTCTGAATCTATTAGAATTTTAAATAGATTCTTCCTAAGGAACACAATGTTCTGTGCCTTTTCTTTATAAAAAGAATAGTTGGGCTAACCTGAAATACTGCAATGTCTATTTTTTCAAGGATAAAAAATGTCACTTTCAGTATGTAATAAGAGCATATATTATTTGCATACAAACAATGCAGCACAATTGGCATTTTCATTTAATGTTTTAATCAATGCAAAATTGTATATAGTTTTATCCTTTGGTAGATTTATCTTAAAGAAGTTTTTTTTTCCCCTGCCAGATTGTTCAGGAATATACAAAAAGAGAAGAAGAAATAGAACAGTTAACTGAGGAACTAAAGGGAAAGAAAGTTGAACTAGATCAATACAGGGAAAACATTTCACAGGTAATTTTTTAGTTTTTAATCTTTTTATCATGTGATTATTAATGAAATGGGAATGTAGAATAATGGAAAATGAGATGACATGCTTCTAAGAGAAGTGTGTTATGCCCAGACTGATACTGATATAAAATTTACATAAAATTGTGTGTCAGAATATAGTAATACTGCTTTTAAATTGTGTTTTTATATTGCCTTTATTTGTAGGTAAAAGAAAGGTGGCTTAATCCTTTAAAAGAGCTGGTAGAAAAAATTAATGAAAAATTCAGCAATTTTTTTAGTTCCATGCAGTGTGCTGGTGAAGTTGATCTCCATACAGAAAATGAGGTAAAATTGCATTTGAAATAAATAATATTTCTGGCAAATAATTTTAATTATATGCTTAAAGTACATATAAATTATTTATTTACTTTTGAGTTATATCTGTGAAAAGTTTTGTTTACCAAAATGTTGAAAGAAAGGAGAAAACCACCTGTGGGATTCCATTAGGGTCACTTTTTTTGGGGGGGGTTATGTTTGGAATTAGTGACTAATACCTTGTAACTCTTTTTATACATCTGAGTAATGGTTATTCAGTTGTATTGAATAAATACGTTATAAAGCTACCACAGCTGGAGTTAGAAGACTCAAACAGATTAGTTTGAAATATAGTGTATATCAGTGTCTTTTTTTTTTTAATAAAGAATTTAAGAATTCATGGTCAGGTGTGGTGGCTCACGCCTGTAATCTCAGCACTTTGTGAGGCTGAGGCAGGCAGATAGCTTGAGCTCACGGGTTTGAGACCAGCCTGGGCAACATGGCAAAATCGCATCTCTGTAAAAATACAAAAATTAGCTGGGTGCGGTGGTATGTACCTGTGGTCCCAGCTACTCTGGAGGCTGAGGTGCAAGGATGACTTGAGCCTGGAAGGTGGAGGTTCCAGTGAGCCAAAATGGTGCCACTGCACTCCAGCCTGGGCAACAAAACCAGACCTTGTCTCAAAAAAAAAAAAGAATTTAAGAATTTATAAGAATGGAAATAGTGGGAAATTTGCTACTAATTTCTTGTGCTGTAAGTTTATGCATTGCAATTTGGGCTAAAATTAATTTTTCTTTAAGACAGGCAAAGGCCAGGTGCTGTGGCTTATGCCTAATCCCACTTTGGGAGGCCAAGGCAGGAGGATCACTTGAATTCAGGAGTTTGAGACCAGCCCGGGCAACAGAGTGGGACAGAGACTCTGTCTCAAAAAAAAAGTAACTACTAGAAAATTGAAAATTACATATGTGGGTTGTATTATATCTTTCTCTTGCTCAGTACTATCTTAGACCTTAAAGCTCTATTCAATTAATAGATAACCTTTAATTAGTAAGTTTCATGTTTTTCGTTTTGGTTTTTTGAGACAAAGTCTCACTCTCACCCAGGCTGGAGCGCAGTGGCGCAATCTTGGCTCACTGCAACCTCCACCTCCTGAGTTCAAGCTATTCTTCGGCTTCAGACTCCCAAGTAGCTGGGATTACAGATGCCTGCCACCATGCCCGGCTAATTTTTGTATTTTTAGTAGAGATGGGATTTCCCCATGTTGGCCAGGCTGGTCTCAAACTCCTGACCTGAAGTGATCCACCCCCCTCGGCCTCCCAAATTGCTGGGATTACAGGCATGAGCCACCACACCCGGCCTAATTAGTAAGTTATGTATCTCATTTTTAAGGTAAATCTGAACCTGACATAGAAGTGCCATCAATAAGAATAGTAAACCTTAGAGCATCCTCAGTTTTGGCAACATTTATAAAACACTAATGTACTCATTACAACAAATATTTATTGAGCACCTATTACGTGCCAGGCTTGCTTTTTGCTGAGTATTGTGTGTATGTATGACTTAAGTTTTCAAAGTATATGTGTAATTCCTACCTTGTTTTTTTCCTTCTTAACCGACTGAAGAAGTTAGGGGGATTCTTGGCCCTCTGCAGTTACCATACACAACCACTTCTCTAGCACAAGAGAGCATGACACTCCATTATGTTCTAATTGCTTTCACCTACAGTTTAAGAACCTAGCATTTTGGAACTAGAATAGATAGTGCTTTTTGAGGACAGAGTTCCTCGCTCAGTAATTTCTAAAAACTCTTGGGGAAGCCTACTAAACTTGAATAGAATGGTATAGAGGAGGAAAATGTTAATTTAATCTGAATAATTTCCTTATCTAAATAGTTCTTTGAAAACCCTTAAAGCTTTTAGATAGTAACTGTTTGCTTAATATTTATTATTTTTAAAAATACATATATATTTATTGTTACATATTTAAACTAGTGTCACTAAATTTTGAGTTCTTTACTCTTACTCAGTTAATTCAATCCATTTTCAAATAATAGAATGACATTACCAGAGGAAACTCATTTTTCATCACTTTTTAAATGTTTTATAGGAAGATTATGATAAATATGGAATTCGAATTAGAGTCAAATTTCGAAGTAGTACTCAACTGCATGAATTAACTCCTCATCATCAAAGTGGAGGTGAAAGAAGTGTTTCTACCATGTTATACTTGATGGCACTTCAGGAGCTAAATAGATGTCCATTCAGAGTAGTTGATGAAATCAATCAGGTATGGTGATTGTTCTGTTACTTGGATCTTCTTATATCCTGTAACAGGAATAAATGTAATCATTATTGTTGCCATTGTTTAGGGAATGGACCCAATCAATGAACGGAGAGTGTTTGAAATGGTTGTAAATACTGCCTGTAAAGAAAATACATCTCAATACTTTTTCATAACACCAAAGGTAGGTAAAAAGTAACCTAAAAGTGGTCATATACTCAGAAATCTCCTGTGACATAATCATACAGTTTTTGTCCCAACATGCACATATTAGCAGGAACACTCCCAAAAAAGGAATTTAAAAGGTTAACAGTAATATTTACATTATTAAAGGGACAAATTCCAGTGTCATGCTTAATCAGAGGAAGAAAGGTAGGAGGCATATTATTATGTTCTAAAATTGAGATTGTCTCATTTCTCTTCTAGAAAAGGTACTCTTTCAGCACTGAAAGATGAGTGGGGAATACAACCCTTAAGACTCTGGCTCTTCATTTTCCCAAAAAAGCCTCTCTTGTCATATACTGCCCTTCCTCTTTATTTGCCACTAGTACTAAGCTGGCCCAGGAGAAATTTAAGTATCCCAACATCTTCTATTCACAGGTTAATTCTGATAAAAACAGAATTATCTTTGTAGATAATTTTTCATAATCTAAAACCATTGCAATGGGAAATTTTCTTTTGCTAAATCTAGTGCTGTGAGTAAATTACAAAGCATATGTATTCAAAGATATGTTTTTAATGTAACCAGATTTTTTCCATTTTAAGTATTCATGAAAAATTTTGGCCAGGTGCACTGGCTCATACCTGTAGTCCCACTACTTTTTGAGGCCAAGGCAGGTGGATCACTTGAGCCCAGGAGTTCAAGACCAGCCTGGGCAACATGGCAAAACCCCATCTCTACAAAAAAAATACAAAAATTAGCTGGACGTGGCAGCATGCGCCTATAGTCCCAGCTACTTGGGAAGCTGAGGCATGAGGATCGCTTGAGTCTGGGAGGTGGAGGTTTCAGTGAGCCCAGATCACACCACTGCACTGCAGCCTGGGTGACAGAATGAGACCTTGTTCCAAAAAAAAAAAAAAAATTGTTTTTGCCCATCCTACATTCAAATTTTTATTAAATAGTGTCATCTGTCTTCTTTTTTTCAGTAGATAGTCTTGTGGAATAGTCACATCTGTTAATACCCTACTGCTTGCCAAATACCTTAGTCTACAAATGTCCCTGTTACACACTTTTCAGGATACCAGGCTATCAAAGAAGTTGCTTGAGAAGTGTTTATAAATAAAAAGTGAAAGTATCTACCCTAGGAAAATTGTGGAGGACATACTCTTTTCCAAGGTCTGCCAAGGAAGTTGAATAATCCCAGTTATCCTGTGAATCTAGAGGGCTGGATTATTCCTTATTTTGATTGTTCCTTAGGCCAGGCTACAGGTATGCTAATTTAGGTAAGGATTACAGTCTGGCAAGGTTTATATTGAGGTGTTTAAGAGCTTCTTAAGAGTCTTATTGGCTGGGGACAGTGGCTCACACCTGTAATCTCAGCACTTTGGGAAGCCAAGGCGGGCAGATCACCTGAGGTCAGGAGTTCGAGACCAGCCTGGCCAACATGGTGAAACCCTGTCTGTACTAAAAATACAAAAAGTTAGCTGGGCCTGATGGTGCATGCCTGTAATCCCA
This sequence comes from Homo sapiens, assembly GCF_000001405.40. Taxonomy (NCBI): domain Eukaryota; kingdom Metazoa; phylum Chordata; class Mammalia; order Primates; family Hominidae; genus Homo; species Homo sapiens. The sequence continues at coordinate 70,351,963 of NC_000009.12, forward strand.
GCTACTCTGGAGGCTGGCTGAGGCACGAGAATCTCTTGAATCTGGGTGGTGGAGGTTGCACTGAGCTGAGATCGCACCTCTGTACTCCGGCCTGAGCAGCAGAGTGGGAAAAAAAAAGTTTTATTAATATTGCAAATAAAATAATACATTTGACTGTACACATGTAAGGTTGGAAAACTATACTTCTCAGTATATAGCTTATATGACAATTTGTTTTAATACTTACAGCTCCTGCAAAATCTTCCTTATTCTGAAAAGATGACAGTTTTGTTTGTCTACAATGGCCCTCATATGCTGGAACCAAACACATGGAATTTAAAGGCTTTCCAAAGGCGGCGGCGCCGTATTACATTCACTCAACCTTCTTAATAAAAGTAAAGAGAGGGAACTTGGGAATTTTTTTTGTTAAATTCTGTTTATAAGTATGGCTCAACTGAATAAAAGGAGATTCACTAAAACGAAAAGCAGTTATTTTTGGAAACCTGCTTTTAAATACAAATAGGTTGATAATGGAAACTATAATGACCTTTCCAAAATAGCAGCTGGTAGTAAAAGTTAAGTCTTCTTCAGTCTTGGTTGAACTTGAGTTCTTGGCACTCTGACCATGAGTCATTCAGTTCTCATGTTAAAATGTACTTAATATTACAAATCAAAGGTACAGTGGAAGAAGGGTTAATCACAAGAAGTTACTTATATGGTAGCCCTGAGCTTTAATTGCAGAGTAACTTTAATTACTTTTAGAGCCTAAAGATGACTCTAGAGCCTAAGTCCTAGTTTCTCCCAATGTTATATTTAATTTTAAAAAATTGATATGAAAATGTCTAATGTATAGTAATAATTTATGACAGATCTAGTCATTTCTTCCTATTAAAAAAGATTACCTTATCTCCAGTAGGAAATGGAATTTTATGGGCCTTTAAAAGAAAGTTTTATGAAACTTGATGCTATAATTTTATTGGTATTTCAAGGGGAAAAAAGCACTGGGGTTCAAAAATGGTAGCAGAACTGCTTTGAAATGCTGCAAGGTGGCCACTAGATGATGCAAAATACAACCAAAAGATTGACTGAGAATAAAATTAGGTGACAAGGGTTTTTAAAGAATAACCTTTTAAAGTGTGGGGGCAGGGGTTGCTTTTTTTTATTTTATTTAAAGTCAATTATATTTTACATCTTACATTTCTAAAAGCATTTTATAATTATTTTTAGTAAGATTTTTCTTAAAATTTCATATACTGGTTTCTACAATTTATATTTGAAATTTCTCAGTGTTATGTAAAGAGTGATGGAAAAGCATTGATTTCTTTAAAACCGTAATGTTTTTAGAACTTAAGCCTATAGGGCCTTTCTTACAATGTTGATGTACCCATTATCTTAGAAAATCTAGTTTAAACTGTTTTCTTTCACCGCAAAAGAATTAAATGGGAAAATCATTTGTTTATCTCTAAGTTATACTAATTAGTAGAACCAAACAAATTATCTTCTTTTAAAAAATAAATCTTATAGGAAAATAGACAGTCCAAAGTCATGTCTTTGAACAGTGGATTGGATCTGTGCCAGTAATGACAAAATTATTTTTTTGACTTGCTTGCCTGAATAAATTGAAGAATTGCTTTCAGTTTGGGTTTTGTATATTCTTAAGTAGCCATTGAAATTTATATTCTTAACTAGGTCAAAAAATAATGAGCCATAAGTTTATGTCCTCTCACTTAGACATTTTCTCTTTAAAAAGGTATTTTCTTCTTTATAAACATTTTAAAAGAGCCTTCCCTTCTTAAACTAACTCCAGTGCATGAAGTGTGAAAATATTTTAAAATGACATTTTTACTAATATGAGCAAGTCATGTAAACATTGAAGAACTTGGTAACATATTAGTAAATGGATATTACCAAATGTTTTCATCGTTAATTACTTTGCGTTCCACCAAAATATCTTTACTAAAATGTGCTTGGTGTAGTTTGTTTATTGTCTAAATTAGTACCAGTCATCTTATTTCTGCAAAATGAGTATCAATGTGAAAAAGACACGTGAAGATTAAGCATGTTTGAAAATAAAATGGTCAATTACATTTCAATTTACATAGGCCAACAACTGTTCCATACTTTGTTTGTAAACATTTAATTTCTCTACTGGACAAAATTAATATTTGGCTTTACATTGAATTTTGAGCTGTGAAGAATAAATTATGTATCATTTTAGCATATTAAACAGTAGTAAGTCTAGCACATAGTCTCAGCCACTTAAAACAAAAGTTTTTTTGTTTGTTTGTTTGTTTGTTTTTTTGAGATGGAGTCTCACTCTGTTGCCCAGGCTGGAGTGCAGTGGCGTGATCTCGGCTTACTGCAACCTCCGCCTCCCGGGTTCAAGCGATTCTCCTGCCTCAGCCTCCCAAGTAACTGGGACAACAGGCGCGTCCCACCACACCCAGCTAATTTTTTATACTTTTAGTAGAGATGGGGTTTCAGCATATTGGCCAGGCTGGTCTCGAACTCCTGACCTTGTGATCCACCCGCCTCGGCCTCCCAAAGTGCTGGGATTATAGGCGTGAGCCCCTGCACCCGGCCAAAAGTTGATTTTTAATTACATAAAAATCGTAAAAACTTCTAGTAAAAACTTGATTTGGTGAATACAGTTATATTTAAAAACCTTAAGGTGACAAGCATTTTCTATGCCTAAATCTTCATTGGTTTGCCTGGAAAGAGTCTCTGTTAAAAGATTTTCCATATTCAAAGTAAAAGGAAAGATTTCTTGCTTTCTAATTGTCTTTTGGACACATGCCTATTTTCTTTGAGGTATAAACCTTTAGATGTGAAAAATGTAATTTCATTCTGCTATTGTGTGTGCTTGTGTGTGTGTAATTGAAAAAACTGGGAAATCCTGCTTTGTTGGTAATAAATCAATATTTTTATATTCTTTTGGTGTATGTTATTTTAAGTGAGAACTATTTTTTATACTCTGAACCTTATTAAGAGTCATTTTGGTTTTCAGATTTACTAAAAAAAGGTCTGTTAAGTACCCACATTTACAAAATAGTGTTCAGCAGTCTATTAGTGTTCGAAAGGGTAGAAAATTTAGTCCCTTTTCTGCCTGCAGTGAAATCACAGTCTAATAGAAGCAATAAACACTCATGAAAAAAAGGTTTAAACCATTTAAAGAAGCCAAGTTACAAGGCCGAGTATTCATCAGAGAGGCTGCAACATAGGTTAACTGTTTTTATGTTTAAACACTATGTTTGCTAACATGCCCAATAGCCAATTTTCACTTATTACTCCTTACATTAAGCTACTATATAAAGTAATTTTTTTAAAATATATTTTTGAGTCAGGCAGACTTTCACTTACAAGTTACTTGATAGTCTCATCATTGGTGAAATGAGAATCATACCTAATTCACAGAGTTGTTGAGAGGAGCAAATGAGATCGGGGCCTATTGGGACACATAGCATTATAGTGAGTACATTATTAATGTTTATGTATCTTCTCATATTTTAAATCTTGAAAAATGTACTGTGAATTTTATACACCCAGGTCTGAAAATTCTAAATAATGTGAAAGTAGAGATTATTTTGTAGTCTATTGATAAATAGTTCAAAGGATGCCAATACCTACAGACTGAGCATTGGGGAGTGCTGATAGTTATTTTTATAGATCTTGTTACCTTGTTAAATTCAAATATAAGTTAGTCAGATGAGCTTCTTTAAAGATATTCCATCTCATTATTTTATATTGATATATAATTTGGAAATTTTATAATTAATAGAATTTGCACATTTGGGAGATATGACTATGTTGACAATTTGGGCTTTTTATTTCCACCAAAAAGGTTAGGTATGGGGGATTTTATTTATTTTTTAATGTTGAATTATAACTTTATTGCTGCAAAATAAATGACTGGTGATTGGCTGGAAGATTTAGATATTTTCAAAAAAGCCAGCTTTGTATAATCCCAAAGAGAGAGAGCAGGTCTCCTCTGGTTAGCTTCATTCTAAGCTGTGCTAAGAGGACTTGGTGAAGCTGAGGGCAACCTAAAAACAGCTCTGGCCCTGGCCCTGGCCCTGGCCCTGCCTTTATCAGAGAGGCTGCAACGTAGGTTAGTTATTTTTAGGTAGGTCAGAAACACCTGAAAGACGTTCTCCTTCCACAAATAGTACCTTACCTGTCTGACCATGCTTTTGTTAGTAAACTTTAATTTCCTTTTGCCTGAGGAGACTGTTACACGCTCTTGGCATCCAGGGTCATGCGTTTAGAGTGAAGGTTGAGGGGAAAGGGTGCCAAGAGGGTCACTTGACCATTTCTGCCAAATTTAAGGAGTGGGTTAATGAATTCCAGTGCAGGAAAGATTTGGGACAAGCTGCCCAATGAATGTTATGATAGAATGGTAAATTTTACATTCCTTTCATATTATTTAGAATTTATTTTAAAAAAGAGATGAGGTCTTGGTATATTGCCTAGGCTTGTCTCAAACCAGCCTCAAACCTCTCTCGGCCTCCCAAAGTGCTGGGATTACAGGTGTGAGGCGCTGCACCCAGCCTAGAATTTTAGTCCCAGTGATCTCTGACAGTGAAATTCTGTACCATCAGAGATTAGTTGTTAGATTTAGGAGGGACCTTCTGAGTGATTTAGGCCATCCCCTTCTTTTCAGTCAGGAATCATGGAAAGAAGTTATTTGATAAGTTTTTTGTTTGTTTGAGACAGAGACTTGCTCTTATTGCCCAGGCTGGAGTGCGATGGTGCAATCTCGGTTCACTGCAACCTCCTCCTGGGTTCAAGCGATTCTCCTACCTCAGCCTCCCGAGTAGCTGGGATTACAGGTGCGCACCACCACGCCCAGCTAATTTTTTGTATTTTTAGTAGAGACAGGGTTTCACTATGTTTGCCAGGCTGGTCTCGAACTCCTGACCTCAGGTGATCTGCCCGCCTTGGCCTCCCAAAGTGCCGGGATTACAGGCGTGAGCCACTGCACCCGGCCCCCAGCCCCTAAAGGAGATTTTTTTTTTTTTTTTTTTGCTTTATAAGTATTTAAATCTACATTGTCATATATAACAACTTTGTACTGTTGATGGAGAAACAGGGACTTAAAAATGTTGTCTTTCAAGTTCTTTTTTTATTCTTTTTCTTTAAGACTGTTTATTGCTTTGGTTACCCAGGCTAGCCTCAAACTCCTGGCCTCAAGCTATCCTGCCTCAGCCTCCCAAAGTGCTGAGATTACAGGCCTGAGTCACTACGCCCGGGCTCAAGTTCTTACTGTTGGTAAATGGCAGAGGTGAGACTGAATAACCAGGTCCAATGGATTGTTTTTTTTCTTAGAAAATACCATCATGCCTTGCTATCAAATATCAAACTACCTTGGCTTTTTGAGTCGTTGGAGTTATTACATAAGCAGTCCCTACTTCTGTAATTAACTTCCTTGTGGGTAAGATACTGCTTCTCCAATACGCCCCCAAATTAGGGTACAGATTTCTTCTACTGTAACAAAGACCAAAATATAATGTATACAAGATAGTTTATTATTAACAGAACATAAGCATGCTGGGGCTGATAGGCCGACTCCTCTCTCAACTTCTGTTGGTTGCTCTTCTCTCCTCAGGAACCTGTGTGTTCCCTCTCATAGTCCAAGATGGCTGATTTAGTTCTTGCCAACATACCTGTATCCAAACCATCTAAAGGAATAAAGAGCTGGCACTGTAGCTTATGCCTGTAATCCCAGCTATTCCGGAGGCTGAGGTAGGAGGATCACGAGGCCAGGAGTTCAAGACCAGCCTGAGCAAGATGGCAAGACCCTGTCTCTTAAAAAAAAAAGAGAGAGGGACAAAGGGAGACTGTGACCACTTCTTTTAAGAGCATGATCTGCAAGAGGTACACATTTTACTTTTGCTCATGTCCAGAACTTAGCTACATAGCCTGAGCTAGCTGCAAGAGAGAACTGAATATGTCATCTGTAGCTGTATGGCTATGTGTATACATAAACTCCAGCCACCCTGATACACAATGAGAGGGTGAATATTGGAGGACAGTCAGGAGTCTGCCACAAGACCCAAGAAATAAGTAGTTACCCTATGGCCTACTGACAGTGTCTTCAAAGCAAGGACCTGGTAGCTTTTCCATCACACAATAAAAATCCAGAGTCATCACAGACTTCAGGGTTCCTACTTATTAACCCTGTCTGCCCCATCTGAAGTAGCACCCCTGCCCCACTCTGCTGTCTTACTATGCATTCTTTTTCTTCATAACCTTTGTCTCTACTTAACCATGATATATTTTGTCTTCTCCATTAAAATATAAGTTCTCTGAAGACAGAGACTTGGTTGTGTTGATTGCTTCCAGCCCAGAGCCTAGAAAAATGCTGAGTACGTAGTAAGGACTCAGTAACTGTAGCATGAAAGAATGAATGCTCTTTCTCCCAACACCGACAGTGATTTGAGCATATTCCATTATTCATTTAATCCTTATTTACCTGTACTGTAAGCAAAGCACTATACTACATAGTTTGAGGAATGAAAAATATGGCCTGCATCTTATTCCACTCTGAAGAAAATCTACCAAGTGCTATAAAGTGGATCACAAAGACACAAGACAAATTTCAAAGTGCTGTAAATGACAGATTGAACACTACTGGAATTGAGAGGGATTGGGATCTACCTGGCATCTGGAAGGCTTCCTGAAGTTATAAAATGTGGGTATTCACAGTGAAAGAGGGAAAAGCATGCAGGCAGGCTGTCATAGGGTACTTAATAGGAAGTAGAAAGGTTAAATATTTTTTAAATATTTAAATAAACAGCCAACTGATCAAAGACAGTCTGATCATGGGCAACTCAGGGTTTTGTTGGTAAAAGACTAACCAAGTTTAATGTGGATGAGAGTTAGCTATTTCTCCACAACCATGTTAGCAGGTTACAATAAAAGTAAGTTTAGGTCAAATTCTGCCTCACATACAGACATTTGTTAAACATCTATCACAAGCAAGCACAAAACTGTTCATTATAACTTGTTTCGTAAGCATGGTAGAATTCTAGCTCTTTATCATTTGGGTTAATTTGATCACACATGAAAGGTTCACTTATACCAAAGGTGATGACATTCCCGAGGCTGGTTATCCTTTTTTTTAAATTATTATTATTATTATTATTATTATTATTATTATTATTTTGAGATGGAGTTTCCCTCTTGTTGCCCAGGCTGGAGTGCAATGGCACGATCTTGGCTCACTGCAACCTCTGCCTCCCAAGTTCAAGCGATTCTCCTGCCTCAGCCTCTTGAGTTGCTGAGATTACAAGGCATGTGCCACTATGCCCGGCTAATTTTTTGTAATTTTTTAATAGAGACGGGGTTTCACCGTGTTCACCAGGATGGTCTTGCTTTCCTGACCTCATGATCCACCCGCCTCGGCCTCCTTTAAATGAGCATGAAACAACTAGAAATCCTTAGACCTATTGTCGGATCATAGGACTCTTAAGTGTTTAGGCTTTAGAAATCACCCCTAAGGATGTGGGGGATATTGGCCTTCCTGGATTCTTAAACCCAGATCATGAAATAATGGGGACTGTCTGAACATTTTAACCACTCTATTAATACATATCTTGAAAACCTCTAATTTCTCAGAACCCATTTTTAACATTCTTCATGCTTATTACAACCATCAATTTAATAAAAAACCAATTTCTGATATTCATGGTGCTAATTAACAAAGCTGCTGTGTGCTATTAATCAATATTAGCAGGACTTATGATAGCTACCACTCTAGTATGGGCTTTACGTGAGCTACTAATTAGGGCAACTGACTGCACTAGTAATTTAACCTAGCATGTAATATCGTGCTTCTTATGCTGGAATATTTTAATGGTTTATAACAATGGCTAAAGACAGTAGTAAAAAAAATAATAGGAAGGTAAGTAGCCCCTAGGGTGGGGCTAGGTAATGGAGGACAAGGTACAGAATTTCCTCTTAGCTTTAGAGTTTTGTTTTTTGTTTTTGAGAGGAATTGCTCTGTTGCCCAGGCTGGAGTGCAGTGATGAAATCTCGGCTCACTGCAACCTGCACCTCGCGGGTTTAAGCGATTCTCCTGCCTCAGCCTCTTAAGTAGCTGGGATTATAGGCACCTGCCACCATGCCTGGCTAATTTCTCTCTTTTTTTTTTTTTTTTTTTTTGAGACCAAGTCTCGCTCTGTCACCCAGGCTGGAGTGCAATGGTGCGATCTCGGCTCAATGCAACCTCTGCCTCCCGGGTTCAAGCAATTCTCCTGCCTCAGCCTCCTGAGTAGCTGGGATTACAGGTGCATACAACTACACCTGGCTAATTTTTGTATTTTTGGTAGAGATGGGGTTTCACCGTGTTGACCAGGCTGATCTCGAACTTCTGACCTCAGGTGATCCGCCTTCCTCAGCCTCCCAAAGTGTTGGGATTACAGGTGAGAGCCACCGCACCTGGCCCACCCAGCTAATTTCTGTATTTTTAGTAGAGACAGTGTTTTGCCATGTTGGCTAGGCTGGTCTTGAACTCCTGACTTCAAGTGATCTGGCTCGCCCTCCCAAAGTGCTGGGATTACAGGCGTGAGCCACCACACCTGGCAGAGTTTTGTTTTTATCTTGTTTTTTAAGTGGCAGATTAGCACAAGTCGAACTTCAGTAAGATTCATTTATTTGATTGTCGGATTTGGGGGAGGAGGGATGGAGTGTGTGAGAAAGAAACAAAAAGCAAGTAGATGAATAATAGAACTGTTGCCCTGCTAAGAACAGAAGTGGAGGAAAAGTACAAGAGCTATTATGTTGGTGCAAAAGCAATTGCGGTTTTTAGTAATGGCAAAAACCGTAATCACTTTCACACCTAACATTTATATGTAGAATATATAAAAATATTGATTCTGCCTCTCATTTGTGTAATGGTTGGGCTTTAGCATATCTCCTTTAATTTTTATAGGAGCTTTAGAAAATGGATATTCTGGCTGGGCGCGGTGACTCACGCCTGTAATCCCAGCACCTTGGGAGGCCGAGGCGGGCAGATCACCTGATGTCGGGAGTTCAAGACCAGCCTGACCAACATGTAGAAACCCCGTCTCTACTAAAAATACAAAATTAGCAGGGCTTGGTGGCGCATGCCTGTAATCCCAGCTACTCAGGAGGCTGAGGCAGGAGAATCACTTGAACCCGGGAGGTGGAGTTTGTGGTGAGCCAAGAACACACCACTGCACTCCAGCAGCCGGGGCAATAAGAGTGAAACTCCATCTCAAAAAAAAAAAAGAAAGAAAAGAAAATGGATATTCCTTTCCATTGAGGAAGATGGTTCAGAGAGATTAACTTGACTTGTCCAAAGTCACAAACCTAGTATATGATCCTGGAACTGAGACTCAGAGGCAGGCAGTGTTCTACACTGAAAAGAGCATAGGGAATGGCAAGATTCCACAAGCTGGCAAGCTTGTAGTGAGAGATACACATGCACTGTTGGTGTAAAATTGCTAAACATCTCTAGTGAGCAGTTTTGCAATGTATTTTAAGTGACTATCCCCTTTGATCTAGCAAATCCACTTACATATTACCTATTTTAACTCGCAGATATTTCCAGGCCTATGTGTGAGAATATTAAGTTCAATATTGTTGAAATAACAATAGATTGAGAGCTAGTTAATAAATTATATTGCATATACCCATTTAATAAAATACTATACAATTATTAAAGAGTCTACTCTTTATGGACTGATAGGATCAGATCCAAACCATATTAATAAAATTAGCAAAGTACAGAACTGTGTATGTATTTTTTTAATCATTTGCCTTTAAAAAGAAAATTTATACACACACACAAACACACACAGAGATAGATTTTCCATCTCTTGAAAGATTCAAAGAAACTAACAGTGATTACCTCTGGGGAAAGGAACTAGGTGACTGAAGAACAGGATAAGAGGAAGATTTATTTTTCACCATATATGCCTTTTTGTATCTTTTAAAAGATGTACCTTATATTTCCTTTTTTTAATAAAAGAGCATAGGAATTGCATTCAAAGAGAATTTAATATTATTATTATTGTTGAGACGGTGTTTTGCTCTTTTTGCCCAGAGTGGAGTGCAATGGCATGATCTCAGCTCACTGCAACCTCTGCCTCCCGAGTTCAAGGGATTCTCCTGCCTCAGCCTCCCAAGTAGCTGGGATTACAGGCACTCACCACCATGCCTGGCTAACTGACCATGGCCAAGTTATTTTCTAATTTAATGTACCATGTTATAGAACATATGAAAAGAAACAAAGTCTCATATGAAACCAACACTCAGACACAATTTAACTTGGGTATAATTCTTCCTGGTCTTTAAAAAAAAAAAATCCTCATTTTTTTATTTCAAAGTAAACAATTTAATTTTAAAATATAGTACAGCATTCATTAGCCCCTGTAAAGTAGAGTGATTTATTGATGAAGCTTTAGAATAATGAGTAGAGAAGTACTTATATATTTGCCTATTGTTCAATAAGTGCACCATATTTTCCTGCACAGGTCCATGAATTCTCAATGCATCCTTTCTGGCTAATATCATATCCCAACCTGAGAAGAAAGAAGCAACACGGTTACTACTTCAAATTCTATAGCTCTTGGGAATTTGTATTGAAACAATATAGGTTATCTTGGCTATGCAGTTCCCTAGTGCTATTTATTTAATGCTAGTTACATTATTACTCCTGACTGTGCATCATACAGTGACTTCCAATGACGCTGTCAAAGATTGTTACCATGCTTCATTGATGATGAAGACAAATGCAAGTCTTAACCAGAGTATGCAGGAAGATATGAATCCTAATTCATTTTCTAGTCATGTTAAATTTGCCATTTGGAATTTTATCACATAAAGGTAGAACAACACATTTTCCAACAGCGCCTTCTCTTGAGCTCTTTAAGCCATAATCACTGTTGACCACCCCCCTACCTTCCACATACTGCCAGGAGAAAGAAGGATAAATCAGGGCCCCATGGGCAAAGTCAGAGTGGCAGCCCCGTTCACACAAGAAATGTCTGTCCCTTGTTGGCACGACTTAAGGCCAGCCTCAGAGGACACGATGTGGCCACACAATCAGAGGCAAGATAGAGCCATCAGTTGATAGAGCCCGTTGGCATTGTGCAGCAAAAGTCTCAAAAGCCCTAGAAGGAGGCGGCCAGGTCAGCCCTGGAGGACTGCCTGATACAGAGCGCAAAGCCTGTAAAGGAGGGGGCACTGAGTCATGGGGCCCAGGGCAAGTTACCCACTTGCGAAACAGTCCAAATTGATCTGGACTACTCACACTGGCAGTATTAAAAAGAAGAGAAATGTGCATTGTTGTTAAGTCACTTTCTTATTTGTTCTGTTACAGTAGTGCAGAAATATTGTAATTAATATGCTCCCCTATATCAGATATTACCAACGTTTTTCATTTTCATACTCTGATAAAAATGGTACTTTATTTTTGCTTAATTTGAACTTTTTGTTAGTAAGGTTGAGCCTGTATTTATGTTTCATGATCATTTGTGTTTCTTCTCTGAATTGCCTATTAATGTTCTGTGCCCACTGTTTTCTACTAGGGACTTTTTTAGGTTAAGTTTTAAGAGATATATATGATATCCCCTATAAGGTGACATTGTACGACACGCAATATAGGAGGTAGCTGTGTGTCTGCAGATGGTTCCTGCCGGTGGGTTCATGGTCTCGCTGACTTCAAGAATGAAGCCGTGGACCTTCGCGATGAGTGTTACAGCTATTAAAGGTGAGTGTTACAGCTCTTAAAGATGGCGTGGACCCAACGCGCGAGCGGTAGCGCCAGCGGTAGCAAGGTTTATTGTGAAGAGCGAAAGAACTAAGCTTCCACAGCGTGGAAGGGGACCCGACTGGGTTGCAGCTGCTGGCTGAAGTGGCCAGCTTTTATTCCCTTATTTGTCCCCTCCCATGTTCTGTTTCTGTCCTATCAGAATGCCCTTTTTTCAATCCTCCCCACCATTGGCTACTTTTAGAATCCTGCTGACTGGTGCATTTTACAGACTGCTGATGGATGCGATTTACAGAGTGCTGATTGGTGCATTTTGTAGAGCGCTGATTGGTACGTTTTACAAACCTCTTGTAAGACTGGAAAATTCCTGATTGGTGTGTTTTACAATCCTCTTGTAAGACAGGAAAGTTCCCCAAGTCCCCACTCAAACCGGGAAGTCCAGCTGGCCTCACCTCTCAGCTGTCTGCCCTCCATATCTTTGATGAGGGAGATCCAGTTGGCCCTCTGTATCTATGGGTTCTGCAACTGGGGATTCAACCAACCACAGATTAAACCAACCACAGATTATTAGTTGTTCACTGATTTATTTTACTGAATTGATAGTGTACACTGGAGCATACCATAAAAAAACTAAAACTAATATGAGCTCATTTCCAGTAGTCCATTCATGAAATCCTATAAGTACCATCATACTTAATGGTGAAAATTTGAAAATTTTTTTCTTAAAATCAGGAACAAGAAAAAGATGCTCACTTTTTTTTTTCTTTTCTTTTTTTTTCTTTTCTTTTTTTTTTCTTTTTGAGATGGAATCTCACTCTATCGCCCAGGCTGGAGTGCAGTGGCGCGATCTTGGCTCACTGCAAACTCTGCCTCCCGAGTTCATGCCATTCTCCTGCCTCAGCCTCCTGAGTAGCTGGGACTACAGGCGCCCACCACCGCACCCAGGTGATTTTCTGTATTTTTAGTAGAGACGGGGTTTCATTCACCATGTTAACCAGGATGGTCTCGATCTCCTGACCTAGTGATCCACTCGCCTTGGCCTCCCAAAGTGCTAGGATTACAGGCGTGAGCCACCATGCCCAGCCAAGATGCTCACTTTCAATGATGAAGATTCTAGGCAGTGTGACAGGCAAGGGGAAAAAAAAAATCCATTTCAGGAAAAGAAGGAATAAAGCCATCTTTTTTTTTTAAATGACATGAGAGAAATTTAAAAAGACCTAAGTAAATATGAGTTAGTTTTAGGGGTTTTTTTTCTAATGGTATGCTCTAGTATACATTATCAACTCAATAAAATAAGGTAGTAAAAAACTAATAACAACTCTTGTAGAAAAACTGATGAAACCTATAAAAACCCTACTAGAACCAATAAGTGAGTTGACTGAGTTTGTGGGATACAAGGTCAATATACAAGAATTAACTGTACGTCTATAGACTAGCAATAAAAAATCAGAAATTGAAAATAAAAACATTATTATTTTCAATGGCCTAAAAAACATGAAATTACTAGGAACAAACCTAACAAAAGATAGGAAAAACTTACACACCGAAACCTACAAAACATTGAGAGAAATTAAAGACCTAAGTAAATGGAGAGAGACACCTTGCTCATAAATCAGAAACTCAATACTGTTAAGATATCAATTATCTCAAAATGATCTCTAGATTCAACGCAATCCAATCAAAATCCTAGCATGCATTGTTATAGAAATCAACAAGCTGATTCCAAAATTGATATGGAAATTCAAAAGTCCTAGAGTATTCAAAACAACTTTGAAAAAGAAAACAACGTTGGAGGACTAACACTATCAGATTTCAAGAATTATTAGTAAAAACTCAAGTAATCAATATACCGAAGGTATTGGAATAAAAATAGATAAATTAATAGAACAGAACCAACAGTCCAGGCCAGGCACAGTGGCTCATGCCTGTAATACCAATACTATGGGAGGCCAAGGCAGGTGAATCACTTGAGCCCAGCAGTTCGAGATCAGCCTGGGCAATATGGCAAAACCCTGTCTCTACCAAAAACTACAAGAATTAGCCAGGCATGGTGGCACATGCCTGTGGTCCCAGCTACTCGTGAGACTGAGGAAGTAGGATTGCTTGAGCCTGGGAGGAGGAGGCAGTGAGCGGAGGTTGCAGTGAGCCAAGATCATGCCACTGCACTCCAGCCTGGACAACCGATCGAGACACTGTCTAAAAAAAAAAAAAAAAAAAAAAGTCCAGAAACAGATACACACACCTCTGAACAACTAATTTTCAAAAAAACTGCCAAAACAATTTAGTGGAGAAATGACAGTCTTTTCATCTGGAACAACTGGACATCCATATGTCAAAAAAATGAGCTTCAATCCAAATTTTGCAACATGTGTAAACTAACTCAAGCCAGGCATGGTGACAGGTACCTATATTCCCAGCTACTTGGGAGTCTGAGGTAGGAGGATGGCTTGAGCTCAGGAGTTTGAAGCTATCTTGTGTTATGATCATGCCTGTGAATAGCCACTGCACTCCAGCCTGGGCAACATAGTAAGATCCCATCTCTAAGCAATAATAATAATTCAGATCATAGACCTAAATGTAGAAACCAAACTATAAAACTCCTAGAAGGAAACAGGGGAAAGTTTTTGTGACCTTGGCTTTGCAAAGATTTCTTAGATATGATGTCAAAAGCACAATTCATAAAATAGATTGTTCAATTGTATTTCATCAAAATTAAGTAAACTTCTGCTCATTGAAAGACACTATTAAGAATAAAAAAAAAAAAAAGAGCTACCGACTGGTAGAAAATAGTTTCAGAGCATATATCTGTATCCAGAATATATAAAGTACTCTCAAAACTCAATAATTTAGAAAATAACACAAATTTTAAGTGAGCAAAAATTTTCAACAGAAAATTCACCAAAGAAGATACGCAGATGACAAATAAGCACAATAAGAAGTACTCAACATCATTAGTCATTAGAAAAATGCAAATTTAAACCATAATGCAATATTACTACACACTCCCTAAAATGTCTAAAATGTAAAAGATTAATAGTACCAAGTGTTGACAAGGATGTGAAGGAACTGGAAGTCTCACACAAGGTTGGTGGAAATGTAAAATGATACATACAATCATTTTGGAAAACAATTTGCCAGTTCCTTAAAAAGTTAAATATATATCCATCATAGGATACAGCTTTTCTATTCCTAGATATTTACTCAAGAGAATTGAATGCATAATTCTGTGCAAAGATTTTTTCATGGATGTTCATAGAAGCTTTACTTGTTAACCCCTAAATGAAAACAAACCAAATATCTGTTAATAGATGAAGAGATAAGCAAGCTATCGTAAATTCATGCAATGGAATATTGCATGGATAATCTCAAATAATTATGCTCAGTAACAGAAGTCAGACCCTTCCACCCCCCAAAACAGAATATGCTGTTTCATTTCATATATCTACAATTCTAGGAAATGCATACTAATTTATAGTGACAAAAATTACATCAGTGATCACTTTGGTTTGTGGCAGACGGAATGAGAAAAAATGTGGGGGAGCAGAGCTATTTTATTTTATTATATTTATTTATTTATTTTTATTATTTATTTATTTTTGAGATGGAGTCTTGCTCTGTCACCCAGGCTGGAGTGCAGTGGCACCATCTCGGCTCACTGCAACCTCTGCCTCCTGGGCTCAAGCAATTCTCCTGCCTCAGCCTCCTGAGTAACTAGGATTACAGGCACCTGCCACCACCCCCAGCTAATTTTGTAGTTTTAGTAGAGACAAGGTTTCATGTTCAGAAAGGCCTGTGCTGGGCCCTGTGTGACTGCATGGTTGCATACACACGATGACAGTCATAAATCTTCATCATGGTTCTTGGAACTAAAGAGGAAAGTTTGGAGTAACGTATTACATGGAATATCTTTTGTTGATACTACTTCCTGGGAGTCACCATAAGGCTCTTTTAATATAGAGTAAGCAAAAACCCAGACCCAAAAATCCTCTAGAAAATATCCTCGCCTTTAAAATTCTAAATGACTCATTTGTCATCATTGTAGAGGGAGGAGAACAATTTCTCAGCTGATCATAACCCATAGTTGTTGTGAGGTTAGAGCCAAAGTCTAGTCTTACAAATCATTCCTCTCTGACTACATAAACCGGGGAAGAAGAATGCCGAGATTAATGAATTAATTACCATGTGTCTCCTCATGGAGATCAGAAAGTTAATTGCTTCTTTTTGTCCTTCTTATCAGAATGTGGAAATATAAAACTACTCTGTATAAGATTGGATTCAGTTTACAAAAATAAGCCTGAAGCCTTTGAACTCAGGGGGCCCAGGTGGAGAGATTCTGTTCATTATCTGTCCTCCTGCCTCCAGCCTGTGCCATAGACTCCAAATGGATGAAAGCTCTGTATAGAGAGGTTGTATTACCATGGAGTACAATATCTGTCAGATTTGAGTAGAGGTGAACACAGTGGAGGAGAATAAAGAGAGAGCTGAGTTCTGTCTCAGTGAGCACGACAAAAGGCCGATGAACCTGTCAGAGGGCAGAAGTGGACCCCAAAGGCTTGTTCCCGCGGACTTTGCTGGTTGACTGTTCTTTGCATTAATCTGGAATCATGGCGCACCATTACTCTTTTCATGTTGTGATATTCTCTTCACATTCTCTTCCTTGCTCCTCAATGCCAAATGTGTGACTTTTCAGAAACAAAATATTGAGGAATTTAAAGTGAGCATGCTGTAGCAACCAGTGAGATGCATGGAAAATCATAAGCTGTTGAAAAACTGGGATTGGGATTTGTTGCTGGGGGCATAAATTTTGTGTGTACATCCAAAGAATACTCCATGCTCTGAGACTTAGAATATAGTCATGTTGTGTGAATTTATGAATTATATTGAGTAGAAAATATATATATATAGTCATTTGACATTAAGAGACAATGAATATATAAGTGTTTGACTGGACTGGCCAACATAGTGAAACCCGTCTCTGCTAAAAATGCAAGAATTGGCCAGGCATGGTGGTTGGTGCCTGTAAGCCCAGCTACTCGGGAGGCTGAGGTGGGAGAATCGCTTGAACCCAGAGGCGGGGTTTGCAGTGAGCCGAGATCACGCACTGCACTCTAGTCTGGGCGACAGAGCAAGACTCCATCTCAAACAAACAAACAAACAAGCAAAAAACACATAAATAAATAGTTACAAAAGCAACAAAAAAGTGACAATAAAATGACACTGTTAACTGGAGCTATTTGGATATGTGTTGTTTTTATTTTTTCCATTTATTGTACTTCTCTCTCTCACCTTAGAAAAAAAAAAGGTTGAAAGATTGTGGCTCTGCCAGACGTGGTGGCTCACACCTATAATCCCAGCAATTTTGGAGGCAGAGATGGTAGAATCACTTGAGCGCAGGAGTTCAAG
Source organism: Homo sapiens (assembly GCF_000001405.40). Lineage (NCBI taxonomy): Eukaryota > Metazoa > Chordata > Mammalia > Primates > Hominidae > Homo > Homo sapiens. The sequence goes on from NC_000009.12 coordinate 70,369,082, forward strand.
GTCAACCTGAACAACATAGCAAAACCTCGTCACAGGCCATGCACAGTGGCTCACGCCTGTAATCCCAACACTTTGGGAGGCCGAGGTGGGCGGATCACTTGAGGTCAGGAATTTGAGACCAGCCTGCTCAACAGGACAAAACCCCATCTCTACTAAAAATACAAAAATTAGCCTGGCATAGTGGCAGGCGCCTGTAATCCCAGCTACTTGGAGGCTGAGGGAGGAGGATCCCTTGAACCCGAGAGACGGAGGTTTCAGTGAGTCGAGATCCCACCACTGCACTCCAACTTGGGTGACAGAGCGACATTCCATCTCCAAAAACAAAAAACAAAAGCACGACAACAATAAGCTTTTGGTCTTGTCAGGAATAAGCCATAAAAATTGATCATTCTACTGAAAGTTTTGGTTTTTTCTTTTTGAAGAAAATCTATTAAAGCTGTCTAAACATGAGAAAAATGCTCAATAGAAAATGTAGGAAGTGGCAGGGCACAGTGGCTCACACCCGTAATTCCAGCACTTTGTGAGGCTGAGGCCGGCAGATCACTTGACGCCAGGAATTCAAGACCAGCCTGGCCAACATGGTGAAACCCTGTCTCTACTAAAAATACAATAATTAGCCAGGCATGGTGGCACATGCCTGTAATCCCAGCTACTCAGGAAGCTGAGGCAGGAAAATCATTTGAACCCTGAAGGCAGGGGTTGCAGTGAGCCGAGATGGCGCCATTGCACTCCAGCCTGGGCGACAGAACGAGACTCCTGTCTCAGAAAAAGAAAAAGGAAAAAAAAAAAAAAAAAGGAAGGAAGGAAGGGAAAAACAAAGGAAGAAAGAGAGAGAGAGAGAGAGAGAAAATGGAAGTGTTGATAAATAGACAAAGTAGCGTATCTGACTGAAAAAAATATTAAGTAACTTAGAGAACAAAGTGGCTGCTTTAAAAAAAATTTTTTTTTTAACTTGTAGGTTGGGTGCAGTGGCTCCTGCCTGTAATCCCAGAGCTTTGGGAGGCTGAGGCAGGAGAATCACTTGAGTGCAGGAGTTCAAGACAAGCCTGGGCAACATAGTGAGATCATGTGTCTACAAAAAAAAAAAAAATTTAACCAGGCATGGTGGCACATGCCTGTAGTCCCAGCTATCAGGATGCTGAGGTGGGAAGATCTTGAGCCCAGGAGGCTGAGGCTGCAGTGAGCTGTGATTGTGCCACTGCACTCTAGCCTGGGTGGCAGAGCAAGAAAAGAAAAATGGAAATCTGTAAAAGTGAACAGATGTTATCAATATGTGAATTAATTGTAGGAAATGTTGACTGTTTTTTCTTACCAGTTGGCTCTTAGGCAATCTACTTGAAAACAGATTAAAATTTTAAACAATGAAAATGTTGTGGTCGGGTACAGGGGCTCACGCCTGTAATCCCAACACTTTGGGAGGCTGAGGCGGGCAGCTCACTTGAGGTCAGGAGTTCGAGACCAGCCTGGCCAACATGGTGAAACCCCATCTCTACTAAAAATCCAAAAAATAAATTAAAAAAAAAATTAGCCGGGTGTGGTGGCAGGCACTTGTAGTCCCAGCTCAGGAGGCTGAGGCAGGAGAATTGCTTGAGCCTGGGAGGCAGAGGTTGCAGTGAGCTGAGATCGCGACACTGCACTCCAGCCTGGGTGACAGAGCGAGACTTTGTCAGAGGGGAGGGGAGGGGGAGAGGAAGGGGGAGGGGAAAGGGGAGGAGGAGGGAAGGGAAGGGAATTTTGCTTAATTAGCAGAATAGGTATAAATAATTTAAAACAATTCTGTTCTATTAAAATGAACAAAATAGTCTGGGGGGATAAATCCAAGGTTCATTAAAATTACTATGTCCCCCACCCCACATTATATTCTAGAAAAATGGTCAAAAACGACTATTGGTCAATGAAACTACAATTTTTATTTAACTTACCATAGATAAATTAGATACCGCGGCCTAAAAAATGTGACATCTGGCAGGGCACGGTGGCTCATGCCTATAATCCCAGCACTTTGGAATGCCCAGATGGGAGGATTGATTGAGGCCAGGAATTTGAGACCAGTCTGGGCAACATAGCAAGACCCCTTTCCTACAGAAAGAATACAAAATCAGTTGGGCATGGTGGGTCATACCTGTAGTCCTAGTTACTAGGGAGGCTGAAGCAGGAGAATTGCTTGAGCCTAGGTGTTTGAGGCTGCAGTGAGATATGATTGCACTACTTCACTCTAGCCTAGCCTACAGAGCCAAACCTTATCTCCAAAAATAAATAACTAAAAAGAAAAATGTAGTTTTTTAAAAATGTGAATCAGAGATTTGAAATAATCGGTTGTTTTGTTATTTTGACACTTTTCCACCAACTTTGTGGTAGAAATTTATACCAAATTTGTGACAGGATTTGTGCTCAAAAGTTACCGAAGTCTAACAAACTAGCTTAAGCAGAAAAAGGAAATGTACTTAAAAACATAACTGGGCGCCACTGCACTCCAGCCTGTGCAACAGAGTGAGACTCCGTCTCAAAAAAATAAATAAATAAATAACTCGGCTGGGCACGGTGGGTCACGCCTGTAATCCCAGCACTTTAGGAGGCTAAAGCAGACAGATCACCTGAGGTCAGGTGTTCGAACCCAGCATGGCCAACCTGGTGAAACCCCGTCTCTACTAAAAATACAAAAATTAGTCGGGTGTGGTGGTGTGCACCTGTAATACCAGCTATTTGGGAAGCTGAGGCAGGAGAATTGCTTGAACCGGGGAGGCAGAGGTTGCAGTGAGCTGAGATTGCACCATTGCACTCCAGCCTGGGTGACAGAGTGAGACTCCATCTCAAAAAATAATAGTAATAATAAATAAAACAAAAACATAACCGGGATATCCAGGGATGACAGTGGGCTCTGGGAACAGCTTTATTCAAGGCTTCAAATACTGCCTTCCAGGCTCACGCTGGTTCCATGTGTCAGTTCTCCTCTTCTCTGTATGTTGCCCTTTTTTTCTCCTGTGCACGCAGTTTTCTGTGCCAAAAGATGGCCATTTGCAGTTCCAGACTTACACAGTACAACTCAGCAAATGTAGCAGACAAAAACACTTCTCTTTCCCAACATTGGTGGGCTTGTCTGAGTATCTGGCGGGGGACAGCATATGGAGTCCTTAGAGAAAGAGGAGTAGCCACAGTATACTGAGATCAGCAACACAGTCAAGAGACTGGGCTGGGTGCAGTGGCTCACACCTGGAATCCCAGAATTTTGGGAGGCTGAAGTGGGAGGGTCACTTGAGCCCAGGAGTTTGAGACCAGCCTGGACAATAGAGTGAGACCTTGTCTCTACAAAAATTTAAAAAATAACCATGCCTGGTGGCGCACACTTGTAGTCCCACTTGGGAGGCTGAGGTAGGAGGATTGCTTGAGCCCAAGAGGTTGAAGCTACAATAAGCCATGCTCAGTGCCACTGCTCTCCTTTATTTTCCTTGTTTTCTTTCTTTCTCTCTCTCTGCAATTCTTTATTTTCCTTGACATTTTGGACACACTTGGGAGGCCTGCCCTGCTGTCCCCAGAAAACTCATGTAAGGAGGAAACATTGCTCTCTCCTCAATGTATGTGTGTGGCATCATCTTGACATCAGAACCAAATTTTGGGTGGAGGGTCTATCCTGCTCCTGCAGAGTGTCTGCAACCCCTAGCATGGAAGGATGTCTTGGTCTCTCTCCTTCATGGGCTGCCATATGAGTGCTGCCTCCAACTCCAACACATGGCATCCAGCCTGGGCGACAGTGCAAGTCCCTATCTCAAAAGATAAAAAGAAACTAAGAGCCTAGAGGAAAAGACAAGAGTAAACAAATGACCATAATTTTATAACGTTGTGTGCTACGGGAGCCCAAAAGAATAAGTGGCTGAATTTTTGTTCTAAAATAATTTTTTTTTTTTTTTGAGATGGAGTTTCACTCTTGTTGCCCAGGCTGGAGTGCAATGACACGATCTTGGCTTACCACAACATCTGCTTCACAGGTTCAAGTGAGTCTCCTGCCTCAGCCTCCCGAGTAGCTGGGATTTACAGGCATGCACCACCACGCCCAGCTAATTTTGTATTTTTAGTAGAGACAAGGTTTCTCCATGTTGATCAGGCTGGTCTCGAACTCCTGACCTCAGGTGATCTGCCCGCCTCGGCCTCCCAAAGTGCTGGGATTACAGGCGTGAGCCATTGTGCCTGGTCTTTTTTTTTTTTTTTTTTTTTTGAGAGGGAGTTTCACTCTTGTCACCCAGGCTGGAGTACAATGGTGAAATCCCAGGTCACTGCAACCTCTACTTCCTGGGTTCAAGCTATTCTCCAGCCTCAGCCTCCCAAGTAACTGGGATTATAGGCTCCTGTCACCATGCCTGGCTAATTTTTGTTTGCATTTTTAGTAGAGACAGTGTTTCACCATTTTGGTCAGGCTGGTCTTGAACTCCTGACCTCAGGTGATCCACCCACCTCGGCCTCCCAAAGTGCTAGTATTACAGAGGTAAGCCACCGAACCCAGCCCTTTGTTCTAAAAATTAATAGATTTAGTCATTCCACAGTGTATCCATATTTCAAAACACCATGTTGTATACACCATTAATATGTACATTTTATTTGCCAAAGATAAATAATAATTAGCCAAAAAAAAAAAAAAAACAGTTTCAATCTGCCATGGTTAATATCAATGATTCATCATCTGAGTAAATGCATATAATCCTTTGAACTTAATACATCATTTCTCTTAAGTATAACAGTTTCTCTTGAAAAGCTCTACAACTTACTGTCTCATACTTCCGCCTTACTCTATCTCATTATCATTAGAAGATGAAAAGCTCATCCTAACTTTTTACAATGAGCAACATTGTCTACTTAGTATGGTTTCCCAAAAATGCAGTGGGTTTATTTTTTCCTTGTGTTCATGTGTACATTATCATCATTAAGATTGCAAATTGTTTTTGCTGTCTATGCAGGATCTAAAAAAAATTTTTTTTGCAAATTGCACTGGAGTGGGGTCAGAGTGAAGGAAAGCAAAAGCACTAGGAAAGTTAAATGCCAATTTCAAAAGAAAACTTTAGGCAGTCTCATTCAAATATGCCTTTTGGAGTATATATAAAAATCTCAGATGTTCAAATTGCAGAGCACTTAAAAAGCAAGTATTTAAATGTTGAGGCATTCCATCATAGGATTCTGAAGTGAAGCAAATACAAACGATATATTTTGATAATAAAAATAAACACAAATGAAACATGCATAAAAGTTGGTTTGTTCAGGTAAATTCCTTGGAGGCCAATTGGCATTTCAATGGGTGGTGATAACAGAAAATGATTTTTTAGTATGCCCAAAGCTGATTGCCTTAACACCAACATAGAAACACAGGAGGTGATTGCAAGCTTTTAAAAAGTTACTTTGATTTCTATAGAAAAAGAAAACATATTTTTAGCCATTATCTAAGGCACTTAGGAACAACAAATTGCACATGTGGATCTCAACTCAGAAAGACGGAGAAACGAGTCATTTAACATGCACTTATCCGTGGCTCCCCTAAATATGTGGAGGGTAGTTGGAATCTTGGACAGCATAAAACACGATATAATGAAATTACTAATTATATCCTAGGAAACAAAACAAAACAAAAAAGCTTGAAGAAACTACAAACAATTTAGCACTTCCTCTATGGGAAGATCCCTATTTTAGAACGGTTCTGATTTGTCAAATTGATTTAAACATGCCAAACAGTGAAGAGTGGCCTAGGCAGGGGTATACAATCCCTGGGAGCCGTTAAGGAAAAAGACTCCTCCAGAGAAGAGGCTCCAAAACTGGAGGGGCTGAAGTGAGTTAGGAAGAGCTGGAATCCGGCTACTTTAGGAAAACGGAAATTCTGCAACATTGGATAGATGACAGCTAGTAAAAATGCAAAGATACAAGACTGTAAGGCTTTTCCTAGGATGAACAGAAAGGAAGCTTGCTCTAACAATGGGTAAATATGGCTGTTTAGAGCTGGCATCAGAAGGAAACCTGCATATCTGAGTCTCCAAGGAGTGTGGTTTTTCTGCCTGAGACAGCCTGAAAACGACATAAAGGTTTCGCTCAAAATAAGCCAATCAAGTTGGGTTTTGTGGTGATTATCAGCACTCAAAACACAGTAGAGAGGTACCACTTGTACTTCAGTGGCTCCGGCCCCTTATGTCCTCTTCTCATGTGTACTGCTTTGTTTAGAGTTAGTTGCGTTTAATAAAGACTTTTTTACTGGCCGGGCGCGGTGGCTCAAGCCTGTAATCAGGCACTTTGGGAAGCCGAGGCCGGCAGATCACTTGAGGTCAGCAGTTGGAGACCAGCCTGGACAACATGGTGAAACCCTGTCTCTACTAAAAAACACCAAAAAAAAAAAAAAAAAAATCAGATACTCAGGAGGCGGAGGCACGAGAATCACTTGACCCCGGGAGGCGGAGGTTGCAGTGAGGGGAGATCGCACCACTGCACTCCAGCCTCGGCGACAGAGCGAGACTCTGTCCTGGGGGAGGATAAAAAGATTTTTTGCTTTTATAGAAAAAGCATAATGGAATAAATGGTGTGCTAGATTTGCCCTCCAATTATTTAAACTCAGTGTAAGCCTGATTTATGCAGCCAAAGCTGGCAGCGATTGCAGTCTCTACCAAAATACTCATTACCGTAGGTGAAAGGAGAAAAAAGTAATCTTTCTACAGAGGCTCTACCTAAGGGACTCTACATCCCTGTTCCTGGGGATGCCTTTTGCAGTGTTAAACAGAATACCGGCAATTAGTATGGACCATCTTACCTACCTACAGGTAAATGAGAAGGTGAAGACGACCACACTTCACCAGAATCCTCGCATTACAAAAGAATCACAGGGTCTTCTCAGGTGTTTGCCTATAAATCACTAAATAGGGGAGGCTAATGACAGAAAAAAAAAATCCTACAGTACTGCTGATTAAATATCAATCAGTACAGAAGCAAAATACAAAAACAAAAATCAATCAGGACTTAGAACAAAAGCAAATAAAAAATTATTTTAAAATGGAGATAACCAACCTAAAAGCTTAATAATAAAAACATTTTAATAGTCAATGTGGTGGCTCCTAACAGGCAGGCAGAGAATACAGAAGGAAACATGCAATCTTAGCTGTGCCAAGGTTTGTGAACCCAAACCTATCACAGAATTCGTAGGAGTTGAAGAAATGTGATGGAAATGGAGATTTATTTTTATTAAGAGACAGGGTCTCGCTCTGTTGCCAAGGCTGGTTTTGAACTCCTGGGCTCAAATGATCCTCCCACCTCAGCCTCCCAAAGTGCTGGGATTACAGGTGTGAGTCACCGTGCCCGGCTGAGATTTCAAAAATTAAGCCTTCAAAAAACATTATTTTGTGTACTTTAAAAAAAAATGCAATCCAATGAGCAACATCTTTCTTATCTTTGTTTTCACTTCTGGGAAGCAGAAACTTTCTTCTTTTTAATGCTAGCCTTCAAGAAACACTTATATAATAGATTGCCGAGAGCTGAGGTTAGTTTCTTTGTTTGTTTGTTTTTTGTTGCTGTTTATTTTCTGCAAAGGACCAGACAGTAAATGTTTTAGACTTTGAGGGCCAAAAACTAGTGTGTGTGACTGCAGCCACAGGCAGTAAGTGTATAAGAAGAGCTGCATTCCAATAAAACTTCGTGAACACTGAAATTTGAATTTCATGTAATCTTTATGTATTTGACATATACATATCTTTTTATTAAAAATATTTTTATTGCTTCAACCATTTAAAAATGTAAAAACATTCTTAGTTCACTAGCCCTACAAAACCAGACTATAGGCCAGATTTCACTTGGGGCTGTAGTCTGCAGACACCAACAGTCATTTGTATAAGCAAAGGCTGATGTAAGAAAATTGCACCCATTCAAGAAAGAGAAAATGGGTTGAAACTGTTACAATTCATTGAGGACCATATTCACTCAATGTGAGAAATGAAAAGAACAAATATTTGTTGGAAACCTAGTGTTTCAAAACTGTTAGCCTCGTGTAGGGGCATTGAGCTAACAGTTTATGTATTTTATTGATTTACTCTTCACAATGATGCTATGGGATATTACACACACATATCCACACAAACTGAGTCTCAGAGAAATTAAATAGCTTGCTTGGACCTGGTACCCAGCTAGGATTTGAACATGGGTCATGATATGATTTGGATCTGTGTCCGCACCCAAATCTCATGTTGAATTATAATTCCCAGTGAGGGAGGTGGGGCCTGGTGGGAAGTGATTGGATCACAGGAGTGGATCCTTCAAGAATGGTTTGGCACCATCCTCTCCATGGTGTTCTCCTGATGGTGAGTGAGCTCTTATGAGATCTGGTTGTTTAAAAGTGTGTAGTTGGCCAGGCGTGGTGGCTCATGCCTGTAATCTCAGGACTTTGGGAGGCCGAGGCAGAAAGATCACACCTGAGGTCAGGAGTTTGAGACTAGCCAGGCCAACATGGCAAAACCCCGTCTCTACTAAAAATACAAAGATTATCCGGGCATGGTGGTGGATGCCTGTAATCCCAGCTACTCAGGAGGCTGAGGCAGTCTGAGAATCACTTGAACCTGGGAGGTGGAAGTTGCAGTGAGCCAAGACCATGCCATTGCACTCCAGCCTGTGTGGCAAGAGCAAAACTCCTTCTCAAAAAAAAAAAAAAAAAAATAGTGTAACACCTCTCCCCTCTCTCTGGTGCCTGCTCTGGCCATGTGATGTGGCTGCTCCCCCTTTGCCTTACACCATGATTGAAAGTTTTCTGGCTGGGCATGGTGGCTCACGTCTGTAATCCCAGCACTTCGGGAGGCCGAGGCAGGAGTGTCACCTGAGGTCAGGAGTTTGAGACTGGTCTAGCCAACATGGCGAAACCCTGTCTCTACTAAAAAATACAAAAATTAACTGGATGTAGTGGTGGGCACCTGTAACCCAGTTGTTGGGAGGCTGAGACAGGAGAATTGCTTGCACCCATGAGGTGGAGGTGGCAGTGAGCTGAGATCGCGCCACTGCACTCCAGCCTGGGCGACAGATCAAGACTCATCTCAAAAAAAAAAAAAAAAAAAAAAAAAAAGACAGTTTCTGAGCAGATGCCAGCACCATGCTTCCTGTACAGCCTGCAGAGCATGAGCCAATTATACCTCTTCTTTATAAATTACCCAGTCTCAGGTATTTCTTTATAGCAATACAATGTGAGAACGGCCTAACACAGGTTGGTCTTTTGAGAAAACCCTAAATGATATCATCTGACTTAGGAAGAATTGAGTTTGTAGTGAAAACCAGGAGTAAAAACTGCATTCAACTCTTTACTTGAGTTGAAACTCAAGAAGCATCTGTTTCATTGCCAAGGTGAACAGAGGCCACATGAACTAGAGAACAGATGAGAGATATCAAGAATTCGCTGCTCTGCCAGGGCAGCAGCCACAAAGGCCACCCCAAATCAACCCAAATTGACTTCTGGGTGTGACCCCATAGTTGGGCAGGTTAACTCTCATACAAGAGCTAGTGGCTTCATATTGCTGTTCTAAAATATGGCATTTATGCATGACTGCATTGGTATTGCAGAATAAATAAGTGAATAAAATATCACATTTACATTGACTTCTGGGCATTTCCTTTTTTCTCCCTTTTTTTAGAAGTGTAATATATACTCCTTTTGTAGAAAACTTAGCATAATATAGATAAGGAGTATAAATTTAAAATTATCCCTAGTCTTATGTGTCAAAATAATCACGGTTAACATTCTTGTGTAGTATCCTTTAAATCCTTCTAGCCTTTTTTTTTTCTGAGCACATATACGTGTTTTAAAGTGAGACTATACTGGGTAAGCTGCTTTTTATATAAATATATTGTGAACATATTTTTATGTCATTTCTCAAAGTCTGATTTTCATAATGTCTCTAAAAACAAACAAACTAGGGCAAAATGACCATAGTCAAGTAAGTTTGTGCGATTCTGCATGCTACGTCAGCCCCTGGGATATGAATGATGCATACTGGATCACAACAAAGACTCTGCAAAGAAATTCAGTAGAGAAACTTGGTTCACCTCGCCTACGTATCCCACACTTATCTAATCATAGGATCCTCCTATAAGGTAACATTTACAAAATCAATGTACTACAGAATATCCGTGGTGAAAAGCTATTCTACACCATTTGTAATGGATGCATACTATTCTACTGGTATTTATTTATTTATTTATTTATTTATTTATTTATTTATTTGAGACAGAGTCTCACTCTGTCGCCCAGGCTGGAGTTCAGTGCACGGATCTCAGCTCACTGCAACCTCCACCTCCCGGGTTCAAGTGATTCTCCTGCCTCAGCCTCCTGAGTAGCTGGGATTACAGGCGCATGCCACCATGCCCAACTAATTTTTGTATTTTTAGTAGAGACGGGGTTTTGCCATGTTGGCCAGGCTGGTCTCAAACTCCTGACCTCAGGTGATCCACCTACCTGGGCCTCCTGAAGTGCTGGGATTACAGGAGTGAGCCACTACACCTGGACCCTACTGTAACCATCCATGAGAACTGAACATTGATATTGTTTTCAAATTTTCACTATTATAAAAAATGCTACCATGTACATTTTTTTGCAGCTAAATCTTTGCAGACTTTCATGATAATTCCTTGGGCATGCAATTGCTTTGAAAAGTAGATGAACATTTCTATGGTTTTTAAATTCTTACGGCCCAATTATCTCCTAGAAAAGTTGTGCCAGTTTGGATCCCCACTAGCAATATGTCCTTTTCCCCCAGTTCTTAACCAAAAGGGTGTTTTATATTTTTTAATCTGTACCAGCATAGGCAGATAACTGTACCTCACTATTTTATAATACATTTCTTTGAAAGCATAGCAAATATTTAAGAAAAGTTTATTGGCTGTTTTTATTTCTTATTTTATAAAATGTCAATTTATATCATTTGCCAGATCTTTCTAAATATGTGTTCATTTTTTCATATTGACTTGTAAGTTATAAAGACATTAATCCTATTAATGGGCATTTTTCCATATCCATATCCATACTTTTTAACTTTATTTAGGCTCATTTTTCATTTATAATAGTTTCACATCTTTAATAGTTTCTACCTTTAGTTTTGTGCAAATGATGATTTATGAATCATGATTTATTAATCTTCACCTATATTTTAAGTGTTTTTATCATTTTACTTACATCTTTAATGTGTGTAGAATTTATTTTGATATACAGTGTGATATAATTTGAATTATTCCTAGAAAATATTTTATTTAAACAAAATTTAGTAGATAATACATGTATTTCCCCACTGATTTGTGATGCCACTTTTTTTTTTCTTTAGATGGAGTCTCACTCTGTTGCCCAGGTTGGAGTGGAGTAGTTCTATTATATCTCACTGCAGCTTCACACTCCTGAGTTTAAATTATCCTCCCACTTCAGTCTCCTGAGCAGCTGGGACTACAAGCGCACACCACCAAGCCCACTTTGCTGCCTAGACTGGTCTCGAACTCCTGGCTTCAAGCCATCTTCCCACCTCAGCCTCCCAAAGTGCTAGGAGTACAGGCATGGGCCCTGCACCTGGCCACCACTCTTATAAAATATATTAAATTTTTATGCTTTTTTTTTTTTTTGAGACGAAGTCTCACTCTGTTGCCCAAGCTGGAGTGCAGTGGCACAATCTTGGCTCGCTGCAACCTCCACCTCCCAGGTTCAAGCGATTCTCCTGCCTAAGCCTCCTGAGTAACTGGGACTACAGGCAGGCACCACCACGCCCAGCTAATTTTTGTATTTTTAGTAGAGACAGGGTTTCACCATGTTGGCCAGGCTGGTCTTGAACTCCTGACCTCGTGATCCACCTGCCTCAGCCTCCCAGAGTGCTGGGATTACCGGGGTGAGCCACTGTGCCCAGCCGATTCTTATACATTCTTATGTCTTCAAAATAGACTGTAATTTCTGATAGGGCACATTCCCCTAAGTTACTTTTCCTTTGTAAAATATTCTTGACTATTCTTGTAGGTCAAGAGTTAAACTATGAATTAAGAATGTTTTCCATTATTTGGGTGAATCAGGATGTTTTCCATTATTTTGTATGGTCTTTGTTCTAACAGTTTTTAAAACATTTATTTATTTTTTTTAAATATATTTTTAGAGATGGGGTATTGCTCTGTCACTCAGGCTGGAGTGCAGTGATGTGATCACAGCTCACTATAGCCTCAAGCTCCTGGACTCAAGTGATCCTACGATCTCAGCCTCTCAAGTAGATGGAACTACAATTATGTGCCCAGCTAATATTTTATATTATTTTTTGGAGAGAAAGGATCCCACTTTGTTGGCCAGTTTAAAACTCCTAGCCTCAAGCGATCCTCCCACCTCAGCCTCCCAAAATGCTGGGCTTACAGGTGTGAGCCACTGCACCTGGCCTCTAATCTTTTAGAGAAATTATTGGTTCCTTAAAGATTTGAAAGATGTTGTCTATATAATCTGGGCGCTGAAGTTCTCTGATATTTGTCAATCAAAAAATTAGTTCTGTCTATACAACTGTACCACCCATCAAAACTCTTGTCAGTTAAAAAAGTAGTTTTCAGTCTATACAACTGTACCACTCACAAAAACTTTTCTAGGATGGTTTTAGAGTCATTCTATCAAGATGTCCAAAATTATTAGTTGATTTTATCTATAGTTACACCTCTCTTCTCATTCATAATATAGATTTAGATTTTCTCTTGTTTTTGTTTGGCTTTGTCAAAAGTGTGTCTATTTTATTGGTCTTTTCAAAGATCCACTGCTTGGGTTTATATGTTAATCTCATTTTATTATTTTCTCATGCTTTTCCTAGATACTGTTCATTTTCAAATATAAATTGATCGCTTGGCTTATTTTTATTTTTTCATAGATGATAATGAAGCATATGAGGCTCTGAATTTTTCTGTAAGTACTGCTTTAGGGTATAGGGTATATTATGGATATACTGCTTTTTCTATTGTTTTAAACAGATTATAATTTGTATTTTCTGTTTTGATCTAAAAATTATTTTAAGACAGTATTTCAATCTCTACTTTTTTAGTCTTTCAAAATTATCCTTTTGTTATTAATTGCTCACTTTATTGCCTAGTGATAAAAAATGCAATCTTTTTTTAGAGACAGTGTCTTTCTCTGTCACTCAGGCTGGAGTGCAGTGCGTGATCGCAGCTCATTGCAGCCTTGAACTCCTGGACTCAAGCCATCCTCCTGCCTCAGCCTCTTGAGGAGCTGTGACTTTGCTTTTGATCCAAATTGAGATTCTAACTTTTAGTAGGGGGTTTAAGTGGCATGTGCATTCTATTTTCCTTCGTCTTATTTTGTCTTTTTCTTGTGCCTCCTCTTTTTCCTGGCTTTTGCTGTATATAAATAAGTCTGCTTTTGTTTTCTGCAAACTATGTAAGAATTGACTATACTTCCTATTTATAATTTTCACCTCACGATTACTCCTCCCCCTCCCTAACCAGCTGTTTATTTCCGCCATTCTAATAAAATGGCTCTAATCAGTCACCAATAACCTCAGATTCCTAAATTCAGGGGACGCTTTTCAGCACTGGTCTTACTATACTCCTCAATGCCATTCAGCACAGTTGACTGGCCCACCCCCCACCTTACTCAACAGCCCTGCAATTTTCTGGGTTTTGTTTGTCCTGTTATTTCCTGAGCTACCTTTCTGCCTCCTCCTTCTCCTCCTCTTTGGTTCTAGGCTGTAACCACTTCTTCTCCCAGGTGATCTCATCCACTTCTTTGGCTCCAGTTACTGTTAAATATGACGATGACATCCAAATTTCCAGTCCAGTCCACTTCTTTTGAGATCTGAACTAGTACATACAATCGTTCTCTTGACATTCCCAGTTGACAGGCACTGCAACCTCAACATGTCCAAAGATGAACCCATGCCCTTTCCCTCATCCACCCCCTTCTTTCCCCCTTTCCTCCATCCTCACCACTCTGCAGTAACATCTACCTGTTGCTCAGGCCATAGACTTGAGGGTCATTACCGGACTTTTTTATGCCTTACCCCCGACATCCTAACATCACCAAGTCCAAATGACTCTGCCTCTGATGTATTTCTTGAAACTATTCACTTCTTTCCACTGCTAACCTTCGGGTCTGGAAAACCATCATCTTTTGCCTGGACAAATAGAAATCTCCTGGCTAGTCTCCCAGCTTCCACTCTTGTCCCTCTAAAATCCATTTTCCCTGGCACTCATAAAGAGCTTGCTGAAATACAAGTGGGATCGTAGCATTCTTCTGCTTTAAAGCTTCCAACAGATTGCCCCTCCCCTTAGAATCAAAATCAAACACCGTTTTACAACCTGCAATACGTGGCCCTTGTGAACTGGGCCCTGACAACCACCCCAGCACTTCCCTTCCCTTCTTGTCCAGTTTATATTCCAGCCACCCCACTGTTATCCTGTTCCTCCAAACGCTGGTCACATTCCTGCCAAACTCCTTCCACACTCCCTACACATTTTCTGAGGCTAGTTCCTTCTTGTCATCTAGGTCCCAGCTTAAATGTGAAGACCCTCAGGGAGTCCTTCCCTGCCTCCTCAATCTGTAGTAGCCTCTCCCCACCCTCCAAGTCACAATCACATCACCCTATTCTATTCTCGCCACTATGCTTATCCCTATCTGAGAGTACATGGATAATCTGTTTACTATTTATTTCCCTCTACTAACAGAAACTCCCTGAACATAGGGTCCTTGTCTATTTTTTCACCTTTGTATCCACAGTGACAACAGTGCCTGGCATGAATAGGTGTGCTCAATAAAATGGGTCAAATGAATGGTACACTCCAGTAAATCCCTTGCTGCTGTGATGCAGGCATACAAAGATGCAGGGTTGGATTCAGCAGATCCAAATTTAAACACTGTCTGTGCCACTTATTAGATGTGCCTCTTGGCAAGTTATCCAATCCTCAATTTCCTCATCAGAAATATGTACATAATAATAATTATCTACTGTACTGAGCTGCTGTAAGGATTAAATGTGAAAAACCTAAACACCCAACGCCATGAGTAGTTTACAATAAAAGCTTAATTAATACATAATAGCTAGTACATGTCTGCATAAATCTCACACACACACACACACACACACACACTTTGATGCTTGTCTTTGCTTGGTGTTATGTTTCTACTGTTGAGCCAATGAAACCTCAACTTGTGTGTTCTTATTAATATCGTATCTCAAGAGCACAATCTGAGCTTACAACTTTCTCTGACCAGTTCCTAGTACACCCTGCACAGTTATGAGCTCTAAAAGCCTCTTAAAGTGATTTATCTCCCAAAATATAAATATTCCCCTCCAGCATAACACAATGGTTTCAAGTGACCTCTATTGCATCTACTTCCTCAGAGGTCTGTGAATAGTAAATACACACAAGTCTATATAACTATTGCATGTGTTGAAAGGTACAGGGTAAAATCATCTTTGCACTCATCCCAAAATCCTGCGAACACAGGTTAAAGAAGTAACTTTCATTATGGTGAAATAGCCCCCTTTTACAACACATAATGGCTAGAACAATTCAGTCTTTATCATTTATTATTTTTATTTGGACAACATATATACATATGTACAAAATACCTACTGTCAGAATCCTCTTTTATAATTTCATTTGATTTACAAAAACGGGACAGCAAAATAACTTAGGTCACTAATACTGTACAAAAATAAAACTGATTAAACAGTTGTAAAGATCAGTATCTTACAGTGTTACAGATCATCTGATGTGAAAGAACATCTCAATCTATCCGAGTGATGAGTACTGTGCTAAATCTATCTGCAAACTGACAAACTAATCAGTTTCTGTAATTGTAACTACCAAATAGAATTCTCAAGAGAAGCATGATGTGGAGCTAAACCTTAAAGCCAGGGCATCATTCCACAATGGTGAAGGGCTTTCTTCTTCCCTAACCAAAGAGAGGAGATATCTTAACTCTAAAACTATTAAATTTTCCAGAATATGACAACTACTTACAGTATTAGATAAAACAACTTTTCTTTCTTTTTAAACACCTGCAATAGTCTTTCAAAAATTCAGTTTGGTTAAAAAAGTAAACAAAAATTACTATCCTGCATTTGGATTTTCATAAGTTAAATCCATGGTCTTTTTAATATAAAAAGTAATTGTTTCATAGTTTTAGTGTTCAATGAACTCTAGTAGTCCTATTTGAACCATATCTTGATATAGTAAATCTAATTAGAATGCTGGTTCCTGTTTTGTGACATTTTAAAACAGGATTTAATCACAAAGAATAAAAAGGCTTGAGTTTATACGTTACATTACTATAACATATAAGAGAATATCAAATGTGTGTTTGTCAACAACTTGAAAAGGCAAGTAACAACTTTTTTGGGAAGTAAATTGTGCATTTTTTTAAAACAAGTTGCTGCATTTATATCCATCTAAGTGCTTGACAAAAGCCACATTTAGATTTACTCCTGAAACTATAAAGATTGTCTTTCACTGACTTTGCTTTGCTTTCTTTCGTTTCTTTCTGTGAGGGAAAGATGACTTTTTACAAGTTAGCAAGTTGCTAGGCAACCCCAAACTCCTCACTCACTAAAAGGCAGCGTGCAGAGTATCATAAGCAGAACCATTCCATGAGCTCAGTGAGAAATAGGCAGCCTAACCTATTTCGTATGGAAGAACAGATGTCCTTAAAACTTATTTTGGACACAGAAATTAAAATTTGGTTTAAAATAAGTGTTTCAAAAATCTGAAACAGAGGTAGAAAGTGTTCTTTATTTTTCCTGACATGTTTTCTCGTGAGAAAACACTTTCCTTTTTATCCCATGGACTGCTCCCAGTCCCTAATGTTAAAAGCAGTTCTCTTTATAGAACTACTAATACAACTACGTTGGTTAAACAAAAAAACACTGTGCTAGTGATGGCTGTTGTATTGGAAGTTGGAGTCAGCCGTGACCCGCGCCCACTGCAGGAGCCCACACTGATTCTGAATCAGAAACGAGTATGGGTCAGGTGAAATAGGTAGGCACCCTATGTTTACACATTTCAGAGCGCAAGTATAAACTAGAGTGCACCATAGCTCCCTGTTTTAAATATCAGATAAAATCATCAGAAAGCGTTACTTCTGAAGAAAAAAAAAATGTAAACATTTCCCCCATGATCACTGCTGACTCCCCTCATTTGAGGTCTTAACTACGAAAACTCA
This sequence comes from Homo sapiens, assembly GCF_000001405.40. Classification (NCBI taxonomy): domain Eukaryota; kingdom Metazoa; phylum Chordata; class Mammalia; order Primates; family Hominidae; genus Homo; species Homo sapiens. The sequence continues at coordinate 70,386,249 of NC_000009.12, forward strand.
GTTCACTTTTCTGGCCTCATAAAGGCCACAGTTAAGTTTTCAGGTAAATGGCATAGATGGATGTAGTGGTTTCAGCCATTATAGACACCTAGATACAAGATATATTAGTGGTGAGGCTATTGATGTAAAAGATACAGTGATGTGATTTCATTCCTAGTATTCCATGTTGCCTGCATTCTCCACAAGGGACGATTTTGCAGAGTCTCCTCTGAAATCATTGTGGTATTTTCCCTTGGTGTTCACTAGTTATAGGGGTTGATTTTTCTGTTCCTATTTCAGCTCCCTTTCCTTCTACATAACTCTTGCACCTGAGAGTGGGAGTTTTGTAGGAACACAGGAAGGAGACCAACAAACCTTTTTCCCCAAAAAATAGGTGTTTCCAGATCTCATTACTGTTATGCACACATTCAAATAAAACCCAACAGAGTCAAAAGCTCTCTCCCCTAGTGGCATTAGGATACAATAATGATGTTAACTAAAAGCATAGGAAAATTTGGAAAAGTTAATAGAGTTAAAATTCTGTTGGTTCTTTTCTTTTTCTTTTGCAAAACACTACCCTCCTTCTCCTTCAGCATCTGTTGTGTATATTCTGCCCTCACATCTCTGCCATGATTTCTTAGGGAAACGTGTATATTGTAAAATAAGCAGATTATAACGTGGTGCCAAACAGAACATCTGCTTCTATCCTCAAAGCATGTATTTAACTTATTCATCCTCTGCATTAGAAAATAAAAGTGCAGCTTATGTTCAAAAAGTACAACTCATACAAAGCAAGGTTTAAAAGTTCTGTACTTAGTGTAACCTTTCAAAGGTTTGTCTTGATTAGTATAAATTCAGACTCTGCTTACCCATTGACTATAAGTAACTGTTTTTTGTTTTCAAGTCTTTAGATGACAGATCATGCTGGAGTAGATGTGCTCTTGCTTGCATAAAGACAGCTGTGCTATGGCGTTTTTTTTTTTAATCTCAAAAGTTAACGTGATTCAAGAGAGTGGTTTTGCTAAACAAACTGAAGCACACTCGTCATTACATTAAAAGGTAAGAAAACAATTCTGAGAGACAGCAAGCATAAAGGGCCCAGAATCACTGTGCGAGGCCACAGGTCAACTCACCCAGCGGACATATGTACACCAGTGTTGAATCTTTAAAATTCTACCCCAGTCTTGGCCTTACCCCCCTCCCCCCCACCCACTCCCTACCCTCCCCCGCAAAAAAATAAAAGGAGAAAAAAAAACAAAAACAAAAACCAAAAAACCCAAAAGCATTTGCCTTCCCTCCAACAGTCAGAGACGGGTTCAGAGAGTTGCCTCTTCAAGGGGACCGAGTGTTGTTGACTTTGATCTTAGGCTACAATGTGCTTTTTAAAAACAATGCAGGGAGAGGAAAATCAGAATATTGACCAAAGAGCAGTGACTTCCTGTGCCGTCAAGTGTGCCTCTTCTGGGGCTCAGTTTTCACGCGTCTGTTTCCTGGGAGTACTTTTCTCCTTTCGGGGTCCATCCCTCCCTGGCTTCCACGGGCAGCACCTCACAAAGCGTTGGCCAGCGCCTTTTTCGATCGCTTGATCATGCTGGGGTGGAACTCGGTGTGCCGCCGGGCGTGCTTTGTGAGGTGGTCACTCCTCATGAAGCGCTTCTCACACAGCGGACAGCGGAACTGCTTTTCCCCAGTGTGGGTCCGGTAGTGGCGGGTCAGCTCGTCTGAGCGGGAGAACTTTTTAAGGCAGTCTGGCCACGTGCAGGGAAAGGGCCGTTCACCTAAGAGAAAGGAATCAGAAAGGATACAGCTCAAAGAACATGAAAAAAATTCCGAAGGGCGGTCATGGTCAATAGTCCCTACGACTCAAAGGATAAATCCCTCGGAGATGATTATTATGTGTCCCCCTCCCCAAAATCCCTATGTTGAAGCCTTAACCCCCAGCACCACAGAAAATGACTGCATTTGAAGTTAAGGCCTTTAAAGAGGCAACTGATGTTAAACAAGTTCATGAGGGCAGGCCTTAATCCACGACTGGTGTCTTTATAAGAGGAGATGAGGACACAGACATGTGAAGACTAGGGAAGACCTTGGGAAGACAGGGATGAAGCCACCATCTACAAGCCAAGGAGAGAGGCCTCCAATGAAACGAACCCGTCCCCTGCCTCTACCTTGGACTCCCAGTCTCCAGAACTGTGAGGAAATAAAGTTCTGTTGTTTCAGCCACCCAGTCTGTGGTTGTGTGTTATGGCAGCCCAAACTAATACAATGAGAAAGTTGCTAACATCTCTAAGCAAATGAGCTTGCCATTTGGTACCCTATGGGTCCCCTGGAAAGTATTTTTTCTGTTTTATTCCACACAATTGCTGGTTTCATAAATTCTTTCAAGAGTAAAAAAGCTGAGCCTTTTTGCTAAATTTCTTGGTGTTGTAGGATGGAAAAGAATTGGCATTGGGTCCAACCAGCCTCCTACCTGGAACGAGCATTTCTCCCTGAGCTCCTGAGTGCAGGGGCCACTCAGCATCTGGTTGTTCCTGAGCATCTCTGTCACATCTTTTATTGATATAAAATCTGCCTTCCTGCAAAGGCCATACTTTAAGTCATATTGTCTTAACACTAGAAGTAAGTTTGTGCCAGGTGTGTAATCCCTCACGCCTGTAATCCCAGCACTTTGGGAGGCTGAGGCGGGCAGATCACCTGAGGTCAGGAGTTAAGAGACCAGCCTGACCAACATGGTGAAACCCCACCTCTACTAAAAATACAAAAATTAGCTGGGTGTGGTGGCGTGCGCCTGTAGTCCCAGCTACTTGGGAGGCTGAGACAGGAGAATTGCTTGAACCCAGGAAGCGAAGGTTGCAGTGAGCCAAGATCATGCCACTGCACTCTAGCCTAGGCGACAGAGTGAGACTCTGTCTCAAAAAGAAAAAAAAAAAAGAAATGTTTGTTCCTTCTGCCACATCATAATCCTTTAAATATCTGCAGACAGATATGTCTTTCTTTAATCTCTTCTCCCATTTCCAAACAATTCCAGTTTCTTCTATATTCCTCATAAAAGATGAACTAACATTGTTCTAAGCATAAAGCTAAGGGCTTCCCGTGCCCTTCTCACTGAATTTTCACAAGCACTCCACAAGGTTGCCCCATTTCACAGATGAGAAAACTGAGACTTGGAGGGTTAAACTCTGTACTCAGGGTCACATAACTGGAAAGCAGAGTAATGAACTGGCCCTGTCTACCAAGGCCCGTGCTCTTGGCCACTTGGCTGTCCTGACTCCTGGGGGTCCTGGGGACTTGACAATTTCCACATCCCTCTTTCCGATTGCTTTCCTTGGATTCACACTAATGTCTGTGTCCCACTGAAAATGCAGCTAAGTCCTGCCTGCCAGATGTTATCAGGCCAGCATCCATAACCTCCTGCTGCTCCCCACCCCACAAGATGAAGGCAGGGGAGGTGAAGGCCATGTCTGTGTTTGGGGAGGACATACACAGGCAGACAAGCAGACGAGCTGTTGAAGATGAGAACCACACTTGTTCCACTTATAAGTGACTGCCATCGCCCTGGCTCCCAAGAGCCTGCCTCTGCCTACTCTTCACACCTTTCCAAGCACAGCTGACAATAGCTGCTGCATAGACAGAGGACACACAGCCTCCTGGTTTCCGCAGAACTCTCCAGACACTCCTTGGCTAGGTGTGAGGAGTGAATATTTTCTCACTCCTGTCCCGGCCTTCCCAGAACCCATAGAGAAACTGCAGAGGCTGGGAGCTGTCCAGCGTGGTGCATTTGAGTCATCCAAAATTATTCATTCTATTTTCCCCAGCGTCTCTTAACCTGTGCTGATGAGATGCAGAAATATGATAAAACAACCAAATCTATCACCTTTGTGATAATCTATTCATGATGAAGGCTCTCTGCTGTTTTCTAAGCAGAGCAATAGTCATAACAACACCCTGTACAACGTACTTTTCGAGGAAACCCAATGTGGGTAAAACGAATCTGTAGCAGTTGATTCTCTATGTGCAGATCTACGTATAAACCCTTATGGAGCTCTGAGCTGAAAAGCTACGGCAGCAAAAGGCAATAGCAAACCAATGAATGCTGGGCCCTACTCAAGGTGGATAAGAGCTAGGGTTATTGATGCATTTTGATGCTCGGGGATGGGGCTGCAAAGAGGAAAAAAAAAAGAGTTTCCCGTGAAAAACTCAATAAAGACATGGAGTTGAAAACTACACTTCTGCAACTTCCATTAGATAAACAGGATTTTAACCCACTTCAGCAGACTTTTGAGCAAAAGTCAAAATACAGATTGTTACAACCCCATCAAGGCTGAGCTTCTTGAGGCAAAAATAATGTCATGTATGACTTTTGTCCTACTCATGGTGCCAAGCATTTGGTAAATGCTCAAACTTTACACACACACACACACATACACACACTCTCTCTCTCTCTCTCTCGTCCTCCTCCTGGTCACTCACATTGAAATCTGCTCAGATATTACTGGCTACTGGAGAAACCTGAGCTATTGCAGAATTAGACTGCAGTGAAGTCCTCTTTAACCCCAGTGAAGCAGTTATGGGGGAAATGTTTTTCTAAACATGTTCTATGAAAAATATAACAAGGGGTCAGAACTCATAGAATGGTTAAGTTGCAAAAAGCCAAACCAAACCAAAACAAAACGCCCTCTCTGCTCGGTCCTTTTTGGAGCCCTTTCTCCACTCCCTTCTGATGTGGCGGTGAGGAAAACAATGAAAGGAAGAGCTCAGTGTTTTCTCAATGCTTGTTAAGACAAAAACTCATTAGAAGTGGTTTTCTTGGAGGAGTGCTAATGTGGCTTAGCCTCCTCACTGGCATGTGTACTCATTTCTTTCAAGTGAGTCATGAGAGGAGGGGGTTCATTTAGTTGGGGGATCTGTGTCCACTGTGGGGAAAATGGACCAGAAGACCATTCAGCTGTGGGCTAGGACTGGAAAAGGAGTAAGATACTCTCGCTGTGTTAGGAAGATGGCTTTCTAGAAGTGACCATGGAAAACTGGCATGAAGCCATCAGAATAGGAGAACTATTAAGTTTCTATGCTTGTGACTTACATATATTTCAAGTGTAATCAGGGTTTGTTCCCACTGAATTCACTTTCGACCTAGCTGACAGTGATACTCTCTTGACTGCCCCTTGGAGCTGTCATTTTGTGATGGTTCTCCTTGCTTCTAATCCAAGTGCTGTCATTGACCTAGCGTCCTTATCCCTGAAGTGTTTCACAGAGAGCAGAGAGGGACACCCACAGAGCCCCGAGAAAATCAAGAGCAAATAGAAGCTTCGTTAGACTCATGTAACTTGTATAATTCAAGTTTACCATTTTTACGCATTTAAAAAAGATCTGCTTGGAAGTGAGTTGCTAGTATAAAAGGCCCGGGATCATTTTGATTTATCTGGCATCCTTTGGAAAACTTTAAAAACTTTTTGGTCAGTGATCTAAATCAGGGGCTAGCAATCCACATCCCACTGGCCAAATCTGGCCTGCCATGAGCTAAGAATAGCTTATACCATTCTTATATTCGGTTTTTACCAAGTGGTTGAAAAAAATTAAAAGAATATTTCATGACAGGAGAAAGTTATATGAAATTAAAATTTCCTTGTCTGCATATAGTTTTATTGGAAACAGCCATGCTCATTGGTTTAAGTATTATCTACAGCTGCATTCTCAAAACAGCAGTGTTGAGCAGTTGCCCACAGAGACTGTACAGCCTGCAAAGCTGAAAATATTTACTATCAGGACCTTTTGCAAAAAGTTGGTTGATTCCTGATCTCAATCAAAAGACTTGAAGCTGGGTGTGGCGTTGCACACCTATAATCCCAGCTACTGGGGATGAGGCATGAGAATCGCTTGAACCCGAGGGGCGGAGGTTGTGGTGAGCCAAGATCACGCCACTGCACTCCAGTCTGGGCAACAGAGTGAGACCCTGTCTCAAGTAAATAAACAAATAACAGAGGACTTGAACTTCTAACTGGCCACCAGAATTTGTAAATTCAAATGTCTTCAGGAGCCAGACACAGGTCGGGGACAGGGTGGGAGCAGGTGCATTCAATCATGGATCATAATGGATTCCATGGTGAACTGAACAGGGTGCTTCCCCTACTTAGAGGCATTCAATTTCAACATTATAAATTATGGTGCCACCCAGTGGTGTGTACGCAGGCTGGATTCTGCTTAGGGACCTACAATTTGTAGCCCTTTGAAAAATCTCCCACCTTTTTAATACAGTGGAGAGTTTGGATCTAACATGCCATGATGTTGAATCTAACATCCCAGCATATAAGTTAATGACAGTCATATAATAAGGTATTATTTAGAAAATGATAGATGTTTTGCACTTAAGAAAGCATGGAATGGGGAAGTCACATGTAGACGAGAACAGAATTAAGGCTGAATGGGACCAGAGATGATCTACAGAGGAGGAGAGGACTGGCCTAGAGAGACGGTCACTCCACCTTCGTCTGGCAGCCTGGGGGAAACCAAGTCAGGCCCTCTCTTTGAGGCTCGGTGCTAAGGTCTAAAGGAGAATGGTCAGCCTTCACGCTGAACAAATCACACAGCAATGCAACTATCAATTAGAGAATCTTTAAACCTGTCTTTAGTATTAATGAGAGAGTTACCATCCTCCTGGGGATAGGGAAAAAAATACCCAACACACTTGTACCACTGCATTATTTCTGGCCTTCACAGGAAAACACACCCAGAGGCAGTGACACAATAAACTCCACTTTACTGGAGCAGAGCTGTTAACAGCACAAGTTTCTCTGAGTTCTCATTATTTATATACCACTCCCCGCCCCTTTCAGTAACAAGCTAAGCACCTCTTGCTGACTGACTCAGCTCAGAGTATAAAATAAATGTGATCAAAAAAGCTACTGAACACTGCGCACAATGTGTAAAAGACTTCCTTTGCAGAGACAGTCATCAGGCCTCCAGAATTCTCCTGGGCCTACGGAGGGTGCAAGAACAGTGGACTGGGGCCCCCTGGCTATGTGCTTGCCTACTTAGCACAAAAGGACACTTGCTGCTTTTGAGAGGGAGCCTCCTCGACTGCTGATTAGTTGATGATGCCAAATGAAGCCCATTTTTTTGTGGGCAGTCCTGAAACGAATGGAGGTGAGTTCTCCATAGAGAAGACAGAGACCGGGTACTTGCCAAGTGCCAAGCTTGCTCACTGGACATAGGCAACCCTCCCCAGACTCCCTGAGCTGTCCAGGCTGCCACTGAAGTCCTGCCTGGGGTCAGGGAGGCCTGCCATCTGAATGTCGTCTCTTTCCTACCTGGTTCTTCTCATCTTCCCTGCCCCACCCAAGTCCAGGGATGGGTCTAACTTTAATGGAGACAGGAAAGTCAAAAATACAAAATCAAAAGCTTCCATTGCATCTAGCAAAAGTAAACCAATCTGGTAAAAAACAAATCTAAGGGATTTAGGCCTCCTTTTCAGAACAGAGCTCAAACAGTGCCAATTAAGAATTAAAGTTTCTTGCAGATGTAGAAAATCAAGACTTCTTCTAGAAGAAAAATAATGCTCAGCCGCTCAAGATGGATCACTTGAACACAGAAGTTCAAGACCAGCCTGGGCAATGTGGTGAAACCCCATCTCTACCAAAAATACAACAAATTAGCCAGGCGTAGTGGTGCTTGCCTGTGGTCCCAGATACTTGGGAGGCTGAGGCGGGAAGATTGCTTGAGCCCAAAGGTTGAGGCTGCAGTGAGCTATGATTGTGCCACTGCACTGCAGCCTGGGTGAGAGTGAGACTGAGACCCTGTCTCAAAAAAAAAAAAAAAAAAAAGAGTGGTTTCTGATTGCAAAAACAGCACTAGGATTCCATAGATAAAAGAAGAATTTGGGCTGGCTGTGGTAGCTCACGCCTGTAATCCCAGCACTTTGGGAGGCTGAGATGGGAGGACTGCTTGAGCCCAGGAGATCAAAACCAATCTGGGCAACACAGTAACACCCCAACTCTACAAAAGAAATGTAATTTTAAAAAGGACAATTTGATATTATTAAATCATACTGATATTATTCCCCCATTTAACAGCTCATACACACACACACACACACACATTTAGTATCATTTAATATCATATACACACTCTTATCGTGTACAAAATAGTATATGATAAAATTGAACAACCATCCCTAATAAAAGCTTTCAGGAAAATAAAATAATTCCTCAGCAGTATAAAAGATCAGCTCTGAAACCTTTCCTCTGCAAGGTCAACAGTAAAATAAAGGTAGTATAACTACTAAAGTCTAGCCCAAAGCATAAATGGACACCCGCTCCCATTGCTATAATTTAACATTTTCCAGGAAATACTAATGAGTGCAATTAGATAAAATAAGAAGTAAATGGTGAGAAGAAGGGGGGGTTATAAAATAAGAATTATTTGCAGTTGACACAACTTTCTCTTTGAAAAAATTCAAGATAACTGAAAAATCTAATCTAAATTAAAGGTGCATTCACAGATGTAACTGTACAAAAGAGCACTGGCTTTCTTATATGCCAGCCATAACCAGTCAGAATAAGCCTAACAATAAAAGTTCAGGACCTTGGTGAAGAAATGCATAAAGCCTCAATATAAAAGAAAATGAACAAACAAAATGCTTGCCATGCCTTTGGATGGTAAGGCTCAATGGTGTGAATATGGCAATTCTGTACAAATTCATCTACGGAATTAACACACACCGTAAGAATTTCTTTTTCTAGAACTTGACAAAGTTATTTCTGAAGTTCATTTGGAAGAATAAACATGCCCAACTTGCCAAGAAAATTTTGCGGAAGAACAAATAATAAGTGAGCACTTGCAATACTAGTTATTAAAATGGATTATTAAAGCTGTAATAATTAAGATAGTGAGATAGCAGCACAGGAAAAGACAAATCAGTGGAACAGAGTAGGGTCTGAAAATAACCTTAAGAATCTATAGGGATTCTGTACATGGTAAATGGGGTATTTCAAATCAGTGAAACAGAAAATGTTTAATTCAGTAAGTGGCTTAGATGTCAGGTAAAAGAAAAAAATTAAATCTTAGTCCCTACCTCATACTTTTCACTCAAATGATTTCCAAATGGGCTATAAATGTAAATGTAAAAAATAAAGCCATAACGATAAAATATAGGTGAGCATTTTTAGAATCCTGGAATAGAGACTTTCTAAACATGAAACCAAAAGCAAAATCCTACTTGAAGGATAGTTTTGAATACGTAAAAATGTTAAACTTCTGCATGTTAAAAATATATATAAGTAGAAAAATTTAAGAATCAAAATAAATTAAAAGAAATTGAAGCATATGACAAAATGTTAAAATCTGTAACACAGAAAGGACTTGCAAATCAAAAAGGAACAGCCCAACTTAATAAAAGTGGGCAAGGATGCAAATAAATAATTTATAAAGTAAGAAATACTGGCCAGACGTGGTGGTTCATGCCTGTAATCTCAGCACTTTGGGAAGTCGAGGCAGGCAGATTGCTCGAGCCCAGGAGTTTGAGACCAGCCTGGGTAACATGGCGAAACCTCATCTCTACTAAAAATGCAAATATTATCCAGGCTGTGTGGTGCACACCTACAGTCCCAGCTACTCAGGTGGGAGGATCACTTGAACCAGTGAGACAGAGGTTGCAGTAAGCTGAGATTGTGTCACTGCACTCCAGTCTGGGTAACAGAGCCAGACGCTGCCTCAAAATAAATAAATAAATAAATACATAAATAAAATACTAATGACCAAGAAATAAATACGAAAATATTTAATATTTCATACAAAAATATATTCAATCTCACAAGTAATCAAAACATGCCAATTAAGACACCAGCAAGATATCTGTGAGGCTAGTGAAAACGTTAAAAAATCTGTTCATACCGACCACTGGTGGAGGCATGAGGAAACAGGCCCTCTACCACACTGGTGGGATTTATAATTAATCCAGGGCCATCTGGCAATATTCTCCTGCAGATTATTTTTGGCAATTAATTTGATAATAATTAGATAGAGACATGAAAAGGGATACCAGCATTGCTTATGAGAGCTAAAAGGTGGTAACTTAAATGCTCAAAAATAAAGGGCTGGTTTAATACATAAAGTATATCCTTACAGGGGACTAATATGTACCTGTGAAAAAGGTACCAGACTGTTATATAATGAAATGGAAAGATGTTAGCCATACACTGCTAACTGAGAAGAACAATGTATGATCAGCTGCATAAGTGTGTGAATATATATGGAGAGAAAAAAATCCTGTTGCCCACAAAATATGGGCTGGCTGAGGTGGTTCATGCCTGTAATCCTAACACTTTGGGAGGCTGAGGCAGGAGGACTATTTGAAGTCAGGAGTTCAAGACCAGCTTGGGCAACACAGTAAGACCCCATCTCTACTACAATTTAAAATTAAAAAAATATTAAGTAAAAAGAATATATACAAAATTTGAACAATTACTATCTACCAGTGAGGAGATAAAGAATAACTTCTACTTCCTTTTGTAATTTTTCCCTATGTTTTCTGATTTTTTAAACAGTGAGTATAAATTTCTTTTATGAGAAAAAGTCAGAAAAAGTTATTTTAATATTTTTTAAAAGTCTTACAGAAAACAGCGATACATCTGAGTTTAAACCATTCCACAAATGGCTTGATCAAGAATATATTCCAGGCCAGACATGGTGGTTTATGCCTGTAATCCCAGCACTTTGGAAGGCTGAGGAGGGAGGACTGCTTGAGGCCCAGAGTTCAAGACCAGCATGGGCAACATAGTGAAACCTCATCTCTTAAAAATTTTAAAAGGAATATATTCCATGGGCATGGAAGTGGAGGGCAGTAGGTGATTTACTTTCTATTGAGAAATTACTGGGACACTTCAGTAAGTGATCCATGACCAAAGAGAGAAGAGTCATTTTGTCTTCTTCTCAAACTAATTGTCAGAAAGTCAGAAACTTCCTGGCCCGGTGTGATGGCTCACACTTGTAAACACCTGTAATCCAGCACTTTGGGAGGCCAAGGGGGGTGGATCGCTTGAGGTGAGGAGGTTGAGACCATCCTGGCCAACATGGTGAAACCCTGTCTCTACTAAAAATACAAAAATTAGCCAGGCATGGTGGCACATGCCTGTAATCCCAGCTACTCGGGAGGCTGAGGCAGGAGAATCGCTTGAACCCTGGAGGTGGAGGTTGCAGTGAGCTGAGATTGCACCACTGCACTCCAGCCTGGGTGACAGAGTGAGACTCTGACTAAAAAAAAAAACAAAACGGAGAAAGTCAGAAACTTCCTGAATATACTACATCTGTCTTCTCACTCCTCTATTTCCACCTCTCCTACTTTTTCCATATGTGAAAGGGACATGGCCCTCTTATAAGAACAGACAGGAACCTTCCTTCAGAGGTGGAAATGCACAAACAGTAACAGTAGGGTTGCCCAACAAAGGAGTGTCCTTGTTAGAAAGCAGGTGAGAGGAGTCAGATCATGAAGAAGTGCAAAGATTTGAGTCTAAGAAAGCATTCATGGACCAGACTGGTGGGGAATGCATCCACATAGACCTGCCCTGACCCTAGGCCTCAAGCACCCCATTTGTCCATCACCATCTGGCTTCTCTCCTCACCAAAAAGCAATGTCAACATGCAGGTACGAAACATGAACAGTTGCTTTTTTCCCATTCTCCATTACCCTCATGTGCAGAACCACCAATACACATTACGGAAGAGGTGTGCAGGCCATTCCTGGGTACAGAGAAGTCCACATTTTTCTGCATACATCATTTCAATGAACACTGAACTCAAAAATCATTCATTCAAAAGTCTCCTGTTTATCAGAAATATTGCTTTGCATGTAGATGTTCTGAACGAATAAAAATGTTAAATAGGCTTTGAAAGAATAATCCTGCCTGAATGCCATCCCATCATATTACTACCATTTGCTTCTGACCTCTCACTGAATCCTGCTTGTGATTTGGCTTCCGTTTATATTGTATTTGTTGATACAACAGAGACAGTGTAGGGCTTAGGTGTGAGATTTTACTTCCGGATCTCTGTGTTTATCTGTAGAAAGCAACTTGTCCTATGCTTTAGGTTCTGAAATGAGAAGTGGGTGTGTGTCTCTGACATCTGTATGCAGCACTTCCTCATTTAAGCATGTCAGAGTCTAAGAAGCAAGCATATCCAAATATCGTGCACACATTCCCAACCTCAGCTATCTGTGAGACAGCACATGCAGTTCCAGCAGACCTCAAACAAAAGACAGCAGATAACAGAATTTTTTTTTTTTTTTTTGAGATGGAGTCTTGCTCTGTCACCCAGGTTGGAGTGCAGTGGCACGATCTCGGCTCACTGCAACCTCTGCCTCCCGGGTTCAAGCAATTCTCGTGTCTCAGTCTCCCAAGTAGCTGGGATTACAACAGGCACCTGCCACCATGCCCAGCTAATTTTTGTATTTTTAGTAGAGACAGGTTTTCACCATGTTGGCCAGGCTGGTCTTGAACTCCTGAGCTCAGGTGATCTTCCTGCCTTGGCCTCCCAAAGTGCTGAGATTATAAGGATGAGCCACTGTGCCCAGCTGACAACAGATTCTTGCCTCTTTAGGTTCTTGATTCAGCAAAAACTATACATTTTCTTTTTCTTTTTTTCTGTGAGGCAAGGTCTTGCTCTGTCACCCAGTGACGTGATCTTGGCTCACTGCAGCCTCAACCTCCCAGGCTCAAGTGATCCTCCCACCTCAGCTTCCCAAGTAGCTGGACCACAGGTGCATGCCACCACACCCAACTAATTTTGTTTATTTTTTGTATAGTCAGGGGTCTTACTATGTAGTCCAGGCTGGTCTCAAACTCCTGGGCTCAAGTGATCCTCCTGTCTCAGCCTCCCAAAGTGCTGGGATTACAGCCGTGAGACACTGCACCTGGCCAAGAGCTGTCTTGAAGTCTCAGTTATATGGCCCTGCCTGAAAACTAAAAATAGTGCAGAGGCAAAATGTGGACCCTAAACATAAATTTTTAACACAATGAAGATCTGCCTCTTGGTGTAGTGTGATAAAAGATCATAAAAGTCAGAGTAACAGAATTTAGAGGTGGATGAAATCTTAGGGATCCTCCAAAGGCCCAGAAAGATGATGCAACCTCCCCACAACCACATAGCTAGCCCTTCAAAGACCAGACCCTGGCCCAGACTAGGTAATTCCTGCCATCCCAGACTATGCTGCCTTTGTTCAGCTATTTGTGGGAAACATAGATAATAAATATCTACCTAGGCATTAAATATTGAACAAGATATAAATGCCTAATGGCAAAGCTATCCCAAGAACAGATTCTTTGAATCTTTGCAATTTTGGTGATTTTTATCACCATGGAATTCAAACCTGTCATGTTTTAGATGAAGCCAACTCAGAGGGCAGATGACGTGCCCAAGGACGCCCTGCACAATAGTGTGTGACCAGATTAAAACCAGGTTTCAAATTGCTCCTTCAGTTTTATGCACAAAATGAGATTAGATGTGAAAGAAGAGCCTGGACTCAAACTAAAAGCACAGAGACTGACCTTTCACAGTGCCTTTTTTTCCAATTCTCTGCCTTCCAGGCCCTTCCTTCCAAATGCATTGCCTCAGGGGGATCAGACATAGTTTAGGATAAATAAGTTGCCACTGAGCTTTAATTTTCAAAGTAGCATTTAGAAAACCTAAGTCCTTGAGCTTAAAAAAACTCTCAATTTGCCAGATCTTCCAACCAAGACATGAGGGGCAGAAAAAGAGAAAGAGCTGGTAGGACTGTATTAGAGACACAGAGGTCTCTAAGAAATATCCAGGTCTTTATTCTCCTTGTAGAGACAGCCTTCGAGACATGCCTAGAGGAAGTGCCTTATACAAATAAGGTCCTCTTGGAAGCCCCACACAGGCCATAACACCTGAGGAGTTGGGGAGCTACAGCTGAGAGGGGTCTCAGTGTGCGCACCCTTCTAAAGTGCAGGGTGGGGAAAAGGACTGTGTTCCTGAGCCCAAAACTGTGCTGTTGGAGAAATCCACAGGAGGACTGGGTCACAGTGCAAGGATCTAACACCCAGAGCCACTGATGTCAGCCTGTGAGGATGGGGACACAGGCAAGTGCATGACAGACGTCTCAGTGGACATCACCACAAGGTCAAAGGACAGCATGCAACATGGATGGCTCTCCCACGAGGCTGAAACAAGAGATGAGCCCCATGCCCACCAAACAGAAGATCACTCCCAGGGAAAGGAAAGGCAAGGGACCCCGAATTAGAGAGAGAACCCTGATTTTGCAAACATTTAGCCAAAAGAGAATACAATTTAATGCAGAAGTAACTGAGACCCTGAAATGCCAAGAAAAAGATTGTCCCCCAGCAGCAGAAATGGAGAGACTGATGCCTGATTAGTCAACACGTACTCTACCTGCTAGGCTGTGGCATTCATAAGGACTCATGGTGAAAAGTGATGCCACTCCAGCAAGTGTTTCCATCCAGGTTTTTCCCTCTGGGCTCAACCTCTGCACACTGTATGCACACCACAGTATGGCTGCAGTGGCCATAAATCCTACTCATACATGCCACATGGGCCACCAGCAGCTTTTCAAGCTTTTAACCCTTCTACTCTTGGGATGGAGTGAGCCACTAAGTCACATGGCTTGATGTTTGGCACCAAAGACCACAAAGAACTGCAGGTCAGAGCTGTCCACCCTTCACAAAACAGTCCCCACTCAACCCTCCCCCTGAGATCTCAGAAAAGGAATATAGTCCCCTCTTTGGGCATGTATTTCTAGAGGGTGTTTTGAAATTTAGGAGCAAGCAGGGCTTTGGGAAGAAATGCCTCGGGTTAGGCTGGGTGTTAGTGACTCATTCCTGTAATCCCAACAGTTTGGGAGACTGGAGCAGGAGGATCACTTGAGGCCAGGAGTTCGAGACCAGCCTGAGCAATATAGCGAGATCCCATCTCCAAAAAAAAAAAAAAAAAAAAATTTTTTAAATTAGCTGGGCATGGTGGTGCGTGCCTGTGGTCCCAGCTATTCAGGAGACCTAGGTGAGAGACTGCTTGAGCCAAGGAGCATGAGGATGCAATAAGCCGTGATTGCACCACTGCACTCCAGCCTGGGTGACAGAGTGAGACCCCATCTCAGGAAAACCAGCCTGGCCAACATAGTGAAGCCCTGTCTCTACTAAAAATACAAAAATTAGCTGGGTGCGGTGGCTCATGCCTGTAATCCAGCACTTTGGAAGGCCGAGGCCGGTGAATCACTTCAGGTCAGAAGTTCGAGACCATCCTGGCCAACATGGTGAAACCCTATCAACTACTAAAAATACACAAATTAGCTGGGTGTGGTGGCGGGCACCTGTAATCCCAGCTACTTAGGAGGCTGAGGCAGGAGAATCACATGAACCTGGGAGGCAGAGGGTGCAGTGAGCTGAGATCGCACCACTGCACTCTAGTCTGGGCAACAGAGCAAGACTCCTTCACAAAAAAAAAAAAAAAAAAAGAAAAGAAAAGAAAAGAAAAAAAATTAGGCTGGCTGCAGTGGCTCACGCCTGTAATCCCAGCACTTTGGGAGGCCAAGGTGGGTGGATCACATGAGGCCAGGAGTTTGAGACCAGCCTGGCCAACATGGTAAAACCCCGTCTCTACTAAAAGTACAAAAATGAGCTGGGTGTAGTGGCATGTCCCTGTAGTCCCAGCTACTCAGGAGGCTGAGGCAGGAGAATTGCTTGAATCTAGGAGGCGGAGGTTGCAGTGAGCGAGATCATGCCACTGCACTCCAGCCTGGGCAACAGAGCGAGACTGTCTCAAAAAAAATAAATAAATAAAAATAAAATAAAATAAAATCAATTAGAAAAGAAAAAGAAAAAGAAATGCCTCAGGTTAGAGAAAATAGCCTATGTTTTTCACACTGGGAACCCCCCGCTTCAGTGGGATAATGCTCACTGAACAAGCATTTTGGGGCTGGCCATGAGTATGGATTACAATACGAGAGAAAGCCAGCTGTTTGGTTGTCATTCTGCTTATTTTCCTTAAAATGGTAATGGTACAAAACTACTGTAGAATTACAGAGCACAGGGAGTTAAGTCACTTTTATGTGTTTTTGTTAAGTTGTTTTTAAGCTCTACTTTTTGCCTCTTATGATTTATTACAGTGTTTTTCTTGGGCATTGTGCACACTGAATACACTTCTGAATCCCAGTGGGAACTGCCATATAAACAGCTCGTCTTTGCATAGACTAGGCTTTTACCTATTAGCATATAGGGTAATAAATGTTCCTGTAAACATGATTTGTTTCTCTGGACATTAAAATGGACAGACTGGAATTAAAACCAAGTCAATGGCTTTGAAGTTCACCCTGCTGCTGTTATACTTGTTCCATGTGAGGCTTTTATTATTGGCTTCTAGAACATCCACTCAGGAGGGCCAGTGGGTGTTTGCCTAAGCGTATGTAATACCTGTCAAAATCATCTATCTTCTGCAAAGACCCTTCTGTACATTCACTTATGGCCTATCTTTCGGGTTGAACTCCAGAGATAGTTCGGAGCTCCTTCCCACCAAAAGGAAGAAAAATATATAGAAAAAAAAATATCGTACTGTTTGCCTCTCATTTTGTCAAACTCTGTTCTTTGGAAAATCCTGTTGGTAGTTATAAATGGGATGATAGCCGGGCATGGTGGCTCACACATGTAATCCCAACACTTTGAGAGGCCGAGGCGGGTGGATCACCTGAGGTCAGGAGTTCAAGACAAGCCTGACCAACCTGGTGAAAACCCATCTCTACTAAAAATACAAAAATTAGCCTGGCATGGTGGGGTGTGGCTGTAATCCCAGCTATTCGGGAGGCTGAGGCACCAGAATGGCTTAAACCAGGGAGGTGGAGGTTGCAGTGAGCCGAGATTGTGCTGCTGCACTCCAGCCTGGGCAGCAGGGCGAGACTTTGTCTCAAAAAAATACAAATAAAAATAAATAACTAACTAAATGGGATGACAGAGAGAATGGGTGTTGGTTTTGCCTGTCTGGCATTTGTTCCCTTCTGGATAATAAATAACACATTAAATTTCCTTTTGGCAACAACTCCTTCCCCATTCTGGATATATGTAGTTCCAGGGAGGGTGACCCCACACCTCCAGACCCAGAGATTGGATGTGACCCAGTCGTGCCACAGTGATTCATTTCAGGGATGGGGCACACAATCTGAACTAGTCATGGAGCTTAAAGCCTGGAACTTTTGCTGGAATCTTTGGGAATGGAAAACTGTCTTTCCTTGGGGTTTGCTTAAGTGGCAGGATATGAGTCTGGAACTGCGGGCAGCCATCTCACCACTATTTGGAGACAGCCCCCACCAACCCCATGAATGAGGCTGTAGCAAAAGGCAGCAAAACTGAGCCATGGAGAGGCAGAAACTGAGTGCCTGTATCCACAGACACCGAAATGAGAGCTACCCCTAGATGTGTTTGTAACCTGAACCAATAAAGTTTCATTTTTTTTATTAAGCCAGTCCCTGTTTGGATTCTGTTGTCCTGACTAATACAGCTTTGGGCCCACAACCAGGTTATTTTTCAATGGGAAGGAAGCAGCTTCTGGATAACTATGGAAAATACAGAGTAGGTATGGTCAGAGTCCAAGATTTCTGCTGACACTCCTAACCGAGGTTCATGAAAACCAACCATAAGCCAGAGTCAGAACAACAAGAGTAGACAGCTGAAGACTGGTGGCTCTGGGACCAAACCCAAGAGAACCACGTAAAACACAGGGTCTCTTCCCACTGGCGGAAACTCAAGGGGTCCAGATCAGCAAGCATTCATGCCCAACTCCACCCACCTAGAGACAGACTAGGAAAATTCCAGTGTAACCTTGAACTACGTTAACTAACTCCCAGTCTGATTCCTCCTATTAAATGAGAAGAACAGCACCTTTCTATCTCACAGGATTGCTGTGAGTTTAAATGTGACAATGCATGTAAACCATTTAGCTTGGAACCTGACATATAATAAATGTTAGAAATTGTCATTATTATCACTATTAGCCACAAAATCCAAAGTGCCTGGTACCAGCATTTTACACAGCTTTTTGCATGTAAGTCACTCAATAAATAATTTAAGTGAATGAGATGGCTGGGTGCAGTGGCTCATGCCTGTAATCCTAACACTCTGGGAGGCTGAGGCAGGCAAATGGTTTGAGCTCAGGAGTTTGAGACCAGCCTGGGCAACATAGTGAAACCCAGCCTCTACAAAAAATGGTGTGCATCTGTGGTCCCAGTTACTTGGGAGGCTGAGGTGGGAGGATTGCTTGAGTAGGGGGTAGGGGGAAGTAGGCGGGGAGAGTGCAGAGGTTGCAGTGAGCCAAGATCCTTCATGCCACTGCACTCCAGCCTCGGTGACAGAGTGAGACTCAGTCTCAAAATCATAATAATAATAATAATAAATAATTGAAGTGAATGAGGCAGTGCTGGACTAATCTGGAATTCTAAACAAAAATTCTAGGAATCAAGGGCTTCTGGAACACACACATAAATTCTTTATTTTTAATTATAATGGTGTGCTAAATGATTTAAACACCTCATCTGAATTAAGCTTCATAACAACTTCATAAATATATAATTACTGAGCTCCATTTTACAGATGAGAAACCTGAGGCTCAGAGAAGGTAAGTAGAGCCTGAGTTGTCATAAATAGAATGGTGGAGACAGGATTCAAAAACCCATGTCAGAAGGACCCAAAAGCCTGTGCTCTGACGACTCTATCTACTGTCTCTGTACTGAAGGTAAAGGCCCCCTCACATTCCAGTTCCTCAGTTTGACTGTTCAATATGAAATAGGTCAGGCCTTACTCTTCATTTCTAACTGCCTGTCTTATGAAAGCTAGCTCTCTGGAAGACAGAGATGGTGAAACATTTTCTTCTCCCTCTATTTCTTTGGGCCAAGATGATCTGTAATTTTGCTCCCGGTTCTAAAATGTCCAAAACTCCCAAGAGAGACTTTTGTGTTTTTGACCATTGCCTATTCCACTGGTTCCCACTTTGGTTCAAGTCAGGCCCTTTGGGAGATACTCCCTTCCACAAGGACGGAGGCTCAGCTTGGAAAAATGTTCAAACTTCATTGAATACATAACACCACTGACTGCATTTCAAATCCTTGTCACTAATTTTGTATGGCTTAAGCTCCCGTCTCTTACTTTAATCTATTTAAATAAATGTCCTCACTTTTTAAAAAGACTCAATCTGGCCAGTTAAGGATTGGCCTTTCTCCTGTTCAAATTCTCCTAGATTCCTTTCTCCTGTTCAAATTTGTGATCATTCTCAGTTTCATTAAAAAATAAACAAATTCAAAGGCCCAGCAGCAGCAGCTCTGGCTTAGATCGTGAGCAAACTGGTTCTCTCAGCTCTAGAACCTTTAGATTTCAGATCCAGGTTCTTCAATTCTCATCTCAGGATTCCAAAGTCAATTATACCACACTAGAAACTGAGATTAAAAGAGAAGGCTTCGGGCACACCATCAAAAAGGCTTTGGACACACATGGCAATGAATGGCCTTGGAAGGTCCCATGTATTTAAAAAAAAAATGGGTGCTTCTCACTCCCTCAGGGGGGATCACATTCTTATGAATAATAATGTTAGTCCTATTATTTGCTGAGGGGACTGCTTGACACTGGGATAAAACAAATGTTTACTCGTGGCCTTAATGCATCAAAAAGGTATTAAAGTTTCAGGACGATTCCAGGTAGGGAGTGGTAGGAAACCTCTCAGCAGCTCTGCCTTGGGCTGTTAAAGAGAGTGCTGCTCCCATAAAAAGGGCATAGGCCACCCCAGCTCACTCCACCTCTGCCCTTTCACTTGGTTAATTCCATGAAGCAGCCCTTTAAACTAAGGTGAAAAAGAAAAATGTTAACCATAGACTGAAGTCCCAGGAGAGCAAGTGGGGGGAAAGAATTCAAATGAAAGTACTGCAAAGAATTCAAAATGAAGGAAAAATTCCTAGGCACCCGCAGAGCCAAGCTTGAAGCTAGGGGCTTTAGCATTTTCTGCTGACAAATGCTTCCAACTACCTAGTACCCTCATGAGCTGGTGAGGCTCTGGGAGATTACACAGTATGACCACTCACATGCTAGTCAAGGCAGATAGGCAGCTTTTGAAACCTGGTGGTGTGCTTCAAAGCCCTTCAAGTCCCCCCAAAACATTTCAAGAGAACAATCCCCATCTCTCTGAGAAAGGGTGGGGATGTGCTTTCTTAAAGACAAAATGATGGATGTGATGACCTCCCAAGGTCACTTCCAACCTCCAAGTGCTATTCTTTTGATACTAACAACTGCTGCCACCAAGTGCTCTGAGTTAGGCCTAGGCCTGTGACTAACTTTCAACAAAAAGTGGGGCGGAGAAAGAGAGCCAGGATTGCTCAAAGACCACTGAAAGAGGATCTCACTTCTTTCCCTTTTTAACCATCTGTGGGGTTTTTTTCTTCGTCTTCCTTTTGCCCCTCCTTTCTGCGTGTGTTGCATAGAAACAGAAAGTGCCTTTGTACCAATTACTAGGCACTAATTTACGCTCTTCAGTGGGCGCTGGGCTTGCTGGAGAAACATTAGGAAAAGGTGGGAGGGTCGGATGTGGGGGAGGATTCTAGCAGTGGAGGAAGGAATGGCATGCTACAAGCTTTTTCTCCAAGCCTGAGAACAGCCAAAGGGAAAGAGAGAGAGAGAGAGAAAAAAAAAAAAAGAACACGGAAGATTTGGAAGTCAAGACTAACAAATGCGACAAAGCTTTTTTTTTTTTTAATGAAGAATGCTAATGATCATAAGGCATTCAGAAATCAAACTGATGGGATAGAAAGCAGGCTCCAACTAGAGCATGTCAGATTGTTTTAGGGGCTTCTGAAAGAGTGAAGACTGGGAAATCATCCGCCCACTTTTCTTCTCAATGAACTTACTAAGGAAAACCATTGTCAGCCATTTTCCCAATATGTCATATGATGTTTCTCCCTGGGAAGTTCAATCTGGGAATTTCCCACAGATGTTGCAGAATGACTAGTCCTTGGGATAAGCGTCAACAATTGAGACAGGAATGTAAATCTGACCCTCATGTTCAGAATCCAAGAATTCATTTCCCTGAATCCAAGAATTCATTTCCCTCAGCTTACATCTTTGTGTCTGAAGGTAATGGGGTGTCACCATCCAAGTGGCACTGTATTTACTCTGGTACCTCCCTCTCTCACCCAGGAACCCACTTATACCCCTCCCCTCTCTCTTCTCACCACGCACAGAAGATGTGAGAGGAAAATCAAGGGAAACAGTGTGCGTACTCTGTAATTTGACTCCACTTATGTTTTCTATCGTGAAACTGTAATCTTGCCAGCAGAAGATTCTCAGAGGCCCCCCGACTGTCTTTGCTAGGGCAGATAGATGGAGGATGACACAGGACAAATGGGAAATGAGGAAAGAAAGGCAACTGGGTGGCTCCTACCTTGTGACTAGCAATAAGAGCTATAGGGTCCTAACAGCCTCCAGCCCCAGGGTCAGATTTCTGCAGAGAGCTTGGGCTGGGGGCTGAAGAACAGTCTGGGCATCTTTCACTTGATTCAAGGGAGTTTTACCCTCTTGTCTAAAACCCAGAAACAAACCCTATAGCAAACCCTTGCAGCCTTAGAAACCCATCCTCTATAGCTAGAAGCCATGTGTATGCAGCCTTTTGCATAGATTGTTATTCTTCCCTAACAGGATACTTGATATCACTCCTATTGCTGAGTGGGGTGAGGCAGTATCATCTCCCAGGGGGCAAAAATTGGTTCTGTGACAGGTGAAAAAAGTCTTAGCTATTACAACGATTTGTCGCCTTCGGAATGGGGCATAGTCCATAAACAGCTCAAGTGTATCTGTGGAATTAAAATGTAATGGGGGAGGCCAGGCGCAGTGGCTCACACCTGTAATCCCAGAACTTTGTGAGGCCGAGGTGAGCAGATCACTTGAAGTCAGGAGTTCGAGACTAGCCCGGCCAACATGGTGAAACCCTGTCTCTACTAAAAATGCAAAAAATTAGCCGAGTGTGGTGGCACACACCCATAATCCCAGCTACTCTGGAGGCTGAGGCAGGAGGATCAGTAATGGAGGGGACAATTATGGAAAAAGGGTAGAGAAACAGTTACCTGTGCAAGCCCCACTCAGGCCTAGTTGTACATCTATGTTGGATGAAGCAAGTTGGGTTATGAAATGCCATTCCACATCACTCTGGGGAGCCCTCTGGAAAGAAGAATGGGGTAGAGAGAATGTGTCCCTAAGGATCCAGGTACAGGGCTTCCGTTCCACTCATGAAGAGAAGAGATGGTGGTAAGGGCTGGGCAGGGCCTACTTAATGGGCAGCCCAGTGAGCTAAGGCCCCTTAGTCTAGGGCAAGGCCTTGCTCTGTCCCTAAGGCCCCACCTCCCAGGCAATGAAGTGAGTTTTTCCTGATACCTCCGATGACATCAGACTCTCCTTGACCAAACAGTTGACTCCAAAACCTTTTACAGTAATTAAGGGAGAAGAGTGCAAGAAGCTCAGGGCAACCTCATGCCTTTAAGCAAAATTCCCACCTAAGTTAGAGTTGGCTAGTGATGGACATTCCTAGAGGGACCAAAAAAATCTGTTTTCCATATTGGAGGACAACTTCTACTACAGAGGCTATCCAGGTCCCTCACACCAAGTATGCCAAGGATCCCAAGAATGTGTTCGAAGAGGCTAAGGAGCAGAAGCCGCCACTCCGGGCTTTTGTAGCCCCCACCTCTCCTGGTTTTTTATGTGAGCCTCCTTTTGCACTATATATATATATGTGTATATATATATACACATATATGTATATATATATATGTGTATATATATATACATATATGTGTATATATATGTGTATATATATACACATATATGTATATATATGTGTATATATATACATATATGTATATATGTATACATATATATGTATATGTATATATATACACATATATGTATATATATGTATACATATACATGTATATGTATATATATATACATATATGTATATATATATACTGAAAAATATTTTTTCATAGAACTGGGGTGTCATGGTTGGAATTTGGGGTTTTCTGATCTTCAGAATCCTATAACCAGTGTTATCAAACTCAACCCATTGTCACCACTTGGCGATAGCTGACTTAAGCCCCTCCAAAAAGAGAATAAGATGGCACCTGGCACAGAAACAAGGCCTAAGGTTTCTGTCATCCAGATATCAACCCAGCATGATTCAACATCAGCCTGTTCTGATGACTTCCGAGCTGGAATTAGAATGTAGTTGTTTCCTTATAACACTGCCTTTACCACCCGCCCCCCAAAATCTGCCCATACTCTATGTGAAAGGTATCCACAAAGTCAGGAGACTTAGGATAAACTTCATGTTAATTACATTTTCAAATAATATGCTTGATATATTTTCATATAAAATACTCTAATAGTTCTAAAATTAATCTGAAACAGTACAAATAAATACATCATAAAGTGTCCAAAAAGTCTGGAAACAGGAAAAATAGTATATTTGTTGCATCTTTTGTTTTCTTTAGATTAACAATGGATCCACTGCTTAAACTTTAGAGGTATGTCACCTGAAAAGATCTGGTCTGGTTGAAGAAAAACAAACTGAACATACTATTTGAAAATGTAAATTAACATACTGCTTAAAAATAAGTTTATCCAGTGTTTCCTGATTTTTAAGGTGACGTTCTGTACATTATACACAAACCACAGGACCCAGCATTTCTCAAGGGGTTACTGTGTGTGGAACCCTACCAAGTGCTTTATAGATGTTATCTTTGCACAAGAACCTGTGACTTGAGGATAGTAGCCCTACCTTGTGGATTAAGAAAGTGAGGCTTAAACAAAGCAGAGGTTGCAAACTTAAATGCCAAAAGAGATCCTGTAAATGATTAAAATACGAGGTACTGCCCCATATCATGATCAGTTCAAGCCAATTGTTGCTAGGCAAGAATTCAGGCCCAGTTTTGCCAGATCTTTTGATTTTTCCAGACAAGCCAGAAATCTGGATTCATGCTATAATCCTCTGATTTTTAGATGTTGGTAACTAATTAAATTTTTATAAACCCTGTGTTGGCCAAGCCAAACAAATCTGCAAAGCAAATTCAGCAGCAAGCCTCCAGTTTGCAAACTCTGAATTAAAGTAACTTCCTTATGGTCTCAAATGAGAAAACAATAGGACAAATCAGAACCCAGCTTAGCTGGCCTCAACTGTGTCGTTCCTCCCAGCACACTACAGAAGTAGCAGCACTGAATTAGAAGAAAATCTGTTTGAATGATTCAACTTCTAAAGCTGGTGTAGAAGTGGTCTATGAAGTGGCAGCTGTATGTGTCTCTATAAGGAAGTGAGCAAGCTGGAGGGTTTCTTGAGGGAATGTTAGCAGCACTAAGCAAGGGGGTGTGGCAGGGAGTTTAGCTCCTAAAATCTTCACAGAATGCAGACATTCCAAATGCCATCTCTGCCCACCTTCTTGATTTAACACCAGCAGAAAGAAAATTAGAAAAGCTCCTTACCCTACCCTAAAGTCAATTTAAATTGAAGTTGTATCTGAAACTTCCAAATGCATGAGACCTCCAAGTCTCTTATTTAAAGTAACCTTAACACATACCTCCTCTAGCAGGAATACACTTCCGACAATATTAACCCAGGCTGAGGTTTTGTTCAACCATGCACTAAGATTAGAGATCCCCAAAACATAGGCACCTGCAATCACCACATCCCTAGGTTCAAAGCACTGACTGTAGCACTTAAAGCTGAATGAACATCTCACTTCGTTTTCCACTCCTGACTGGGAAAAAGGTTCTCCTGAAACAGCTGAGCCGAATGACTTGCCTTATGGAGAATTAAGGAGCAGCACGCATGCACGCACACAGAAGCAGCCATTTCTATAAATGCCTGAGAAAAATCACTCAGCCGAATGGCCCAGAACGCTGGAAACCCTATTCCTGAGTCGGACAGACTCTGGCAGCTCACAGAGGAACTGCAGGCCTCCCTGGCTGCACGACTGGGCAGCTCCCTGAAGGAGAAAATGCCTTTGCTCAAGGTGGCAGTGGGTGTCGATGGGAACAACTGAACTCCGGGAACATGGCTGACACAGCCAGGCCCGCCCAACAGCTGTTGGTGAGTAACACCCTCCAGTTAATATACCCCTACTTCACCCCCAGAGCCACACTAAAGGTCACATCCCCCAACACAGGCACATGCCTTTCAGCAACCTTACAGATACAAGCCTTAAAATGTGCTGTTTTATGGCAACCTAAATGATGACCCCAAACAGAACCTGATTTTGCATTAACCATGGAGGAAATTCAGTCTGATTCCGGTGCCAGCAGCCACCTCCACAAGAACAAGTTTCCAAAGGAAATGGAATGAGAAGCAGTTACGTGGCCTTTCTTTTAAAAAGGAAAGCAAAACAAAACAAAAAACCCCAATCAAGTATCATTTTTTTCCATGTATCATTTTTAAACCACAGGCCCAAGACCTCATCTTAAAAGTATCGAGGTATTACACCAAAAAATGACAACACTTTTCCAACTAACTCCAACAATACCCTCTCAAACACGGTGTCACAAGACAGAGGCAAAAGGCTTATCTGAGAGGACCAAGCCCCGCTACCTCTGAATGGCGCTTGTAAAAGAACCATTCCGAAGATGGTCAAGACAGCATGTCCAAATGTGAATGCTTTCCAACTTTTACCGTTCATGTTAAACACAACCAACAGAATTGGATGACCCAGGTCCCTGGAAGTCTCCAAAGCCCATTTTAAAAGGCAGATAGATGTCTTTCTGGCCACATTCATTTGTACGGCCATGCCTCTCACCCTCCCTGGGAGGAACTATTCCCTGAGGCCTCCAGAACCGCCCAACATTCATTACCAAGCCTTGACCTCCGGCAAGGACCACACCTCCCTGCAAACCGCGATTCAGGGGTGGAGGGTGCGACCTAAGTCACATGGCCAAAAAAAAAAAAAAAAAAAAAAAAAAAAGTCAGCTCTGAAACCTGGCTCATCAGGAGGACTCATGAGTGAAGTTAACCACCATTACTTGATCAGACTCCTATGCTGCCTGAAGCCGGGTTATTTTAAACCTCTCGGGGGACTCCCAGCCAAATTTAAAACCACCTTGGCAAGCCCAAAAAAGTAGCAGGCATCCAGTTAAATGAGTCCTTAGTCATCCCTAAAAGGCTCGAAGTAAAGTGCGCCGCGTCCCCCCTCGGTTTCAACCACTTCTCTGCAACCCGACAAGAGAATTAAATAAAAGATACGCCATCTGACTTCCCCGCTGCCAGCGTCTCCCAGGTGGGGTGGCCCCACCGTCGCGGGGTGCGGGAGAGTCCCGGGGGCGGGGCGGGACAGGGGAGGGGCGGACACCACTCCCCGCGAAGCCACGCACCGCACTCGCTCTGCCCGCCAGTTTAAGGCTCTCCGTGGCTCCCGGAGGCCGGGGACAATTAAGGAGAGAGTGAGCTTTCCGCCAATGCACATTTAAATTATTTAAAGAGTTAAACCGCATCTTATCCAACATGTTTGCACCCTTTCGGCCGAGTGCAGTGTCCCGAACGCCCAGGAACGCTGCCTGGCCAAAGGTTAACTAACCCCAGAGCTCCGGGGGAGAGGGCGACGCCGCTAACCTGTATGCACTCTGTAATGGGCTTTGAGATGGGAGGATTTTCCATAGACTTTCCCACAGCCACTGTAGGGGCACTTGTGCCTCTTTTCGGAGGCGTGTTTCCCCTTCGCAGCCACTCCAGGATGGAGGAGGGAGAGCGGGCTGGGCGCGCTGCCAGGATCCTGTCTCTCCTCCGGGCTGTGGGAAGGACTCGACCCAGATTCGGTGGTCACGTCGCTGTCGGATCCCATATCCTCATCTGGACTTTCCAGACTGTCGCTGCACACGGAGGGGGTCTGGATGGGTCGGTACTTGTTCAGGTCCAACAAGCTCTTGGCGATGGTGACCAGTGTGCAGTAATCCTTCCAGGTGTCCCCCGGGTCACCGTGCTCCTTGGTCACCTCGCGCTCAGGTAGTCGCAGCCGCTCGGCGTCCGGAGCGACCCCATGCTCCGGCACCGCAGCGCGGTTCGAAATGGAAACCAGACACTGGGCAGCCACGAAGTCCATGTAGGCGGCCGCGGACATGGTGCGGGCGACGGCAGCCCAGGCGGCGCGGACAAACTTGGCGGTGGCTGCGGAGGTTCGGCTCGCCCTGCCCTGGCCTCGGACGACGAGCGCGGCGCGGCGCGGCACGGCGCGGCGGCCAAGGGGGCGGGGGCGCGGGGCGCTTCCGACTCGCAGGAGCGCCGAGGCGACCTCAGCCCCTCATCTTTACGTAACCGGCAGCGCCTCCGCACGCAGCATCCACGGCCCCGGGCTCCGCCGCGCCGCCGCCTCTAGCCGCCGCCCCTGCCCCGCGCCGGCCGCGATCCCCCGACGGGCGCGCCGGCCCCTCTGAGCCGGCTCCCTTGGAAAGATGCCACACGTGGCGGTCGCAAGTTTATTCGACTGAAAACGCCCCCGAGGCGCTGGGAGAGGAAACTGCAAGAGAGGTGCACGCCCTCGGCCGCCTCGCCGTCGAGCCAAAGCCCCAGGACATTCACCCGATCACCCCGACGCGGGTGGCGAGGGTCCCGCCGAGCGCCAGGTCTAAGAGACACTTTTTCCCGAGTCCACTGACGGCTTCTGAACCCCTGCTCCGGCCGGTCCGCACCGTTCCGGCATTCTCTTGCTCAGTAACAATTTCGCAGAATCCCATCACGTCACAAACCAAACCCCCTCCAATTGGCCAGTGGGGAGGGTGATTCAACTCTGTTTACTTTCTCCCCCTGCCAGTCAGAACGGCCTTCGGTGGAGAGGTGCGTCTAGAACTGAGGCGTGCGGCCAATCCGACTGTTCCGTTTCGCTGCCTCGTGCTACCCCTACAGCCTCGAACACTGACATTTAAAAGGGTAACAGCTGGGAGGCAGGGAAGGGGCAGCCGCACACTTTCGGAGTGCCTCGCGGTCCCGTGGCCGGTCCGGGCCTCCTGGCTCACGTTCCAGCTTGCGGAGCTTTGGGACACATCTTTCCTAGTCAGTTGCGCTCGTTCCTATGGCAAAAGAGAACTTCAGCTTCGGTTTTCCAGCTCCCAAACAGTTAAGTGACTTCCTGCAAACGCTACAGTCCCAGCAACCAGCCTTCCAATCAAAAGTAAGTTGGTTGATGTCACTGGCATTGGCTCGGCCAATCACAAGGGCGTTCCGAAAGCAAGCGCTCGACACTTGTAAACGCGAAGAGCTGTAGTGAAACTGGACACATCTTTGTATTTTGTGTTGCTGGTAGTAAATTTGAGTTATGGATGAGAGGACAGGGGTGATGAATAAATGCAGTGTGAATCTATAATTAAAAAAACCCCATTATGTCAGGATAAGTCCAAGAATAAACACAAATGAGTAAGAATTCGTTTTGTTATATATTTTTTGGATGCAGCATACTTTGGGGCAGATGTTTAAAAATTCTTCCATCCAATACATTAACTATGACCAATTCATCTTAAAAATGCAGTGCTAACAAAAGTTCTGGTTTTACAGCATAGCCTTTTTACTGCCTGAGATTCTTCCATTGAAACATCCCATCTTTGCTTGTCATATCTCTTAATTCCTCTACTTCTCTGGTGCAATTTAGTCTAAATAAATTCTTTTAGCTTTATTTGGAGGCTATTTTTAACCCACTTTCAGAAAAACGGAGACAAAAACCATTCATTTGTGTAACTTTTATAAAAAACCCACCATTCTTAGCTCTTTTTCTTTCCAGAGCCCCTGCATGGTTTTTAGGACATGTTTCTCTTCCCTCACTTCACAAATGTGGAAACTGAGTTACAGAGAAGTGACTTATTTATCTTATTAGACAGATAATGATAGAACTCAATAGAAACCACAAGTCTCCTGATTTCTAGCTCTTTGTGCTTGCAACTAAGCCCTTTTGGTTTTGTGAAATATTAACTGTGCAGAACAGATTTTTAGGGACTGGAACAAGCTGGAAATCCTTAGCCATGGAATACTGTGGCATTACTTGGTCAACAATTAGTATGGGTCTTGGAGTCTGATTAACTTGGTTTACCCCTCCGTCTGAATTAACGATGTGGTTGTTTTCCATCTTGATAGCTAGAAAAGAATCTAGGGCTAGTTCTTTTTGCAAGAGGCATACTGTCAGCACAATTCATTAAAAATAATTCACTTTCGTGAATGTGAGAGGTACCTGATTCTATGTGATGCAGATTCGGTGAGTTCCAACCCTGACCCCCCACTGGCTATTAACCTTTGTTAAGAGAAAGTTACACCAGGTTCTGGTCTCCGAGGCAAGGGTCTCAAATTGACTCTACCAATGTGAGATCTACAGTAGTTTCTTTTGACTTTGTTTTTAAAGTGGTACATCAAAAATAATAATAATAAAAAAAAAGTTAGCCAGGCGTGGTGGCTCGCACCTGTAGTCCCAGCTACTCAGGAGGCTGAGGCTGAAGGACTGCGTCAGCCTAGGTCAAGGCTGCAGTGAGCCCTGATTACACCACTGTACTACTCCAGCCTGGGCAACAGAGCAAGGCCCTGTTTTTTTTGTTTTTTTTTAAATCATAACTAAGGGTGGCTCAGGTAAGTAAGAGTATAATAGATTTTAATTAAAAAATAACAAACCTGACAAGACCAGTTCAATAAAAGTGTACAGCTTAAAAAAATAAAGAAAACAACAACAAAAATATTAAAGTGGTACAGGGAAGATATTGCAGTAGGTGACTGCAGGTGGAAGAAAGGTGTAGATAGGGGATACTGGGCAACCAAGAATATCATCACCATCAGCATCATTATCACCGACCCCTTTCATGGAGGGCTTACTCTGTGTCAGGCCCTGTACCAAGCACCCTGCATGCATCCCTGTAAGGTAGGTATACAGTGTATAAAAAACTCCAAGCCATCTTGGAGTTCTTGCATTTTTAGAACTTAATCTCTTAATTTTAGAAAAGAATTCACTGAAGCCCAGGGGAGTTTGCCTACTTCATGATTTTTCTGGGACAAATTTTGTCCCCTAGGATACACGATCACTTAGAAATTGCACCTTTGCCTGCCTCAAGGCCCAGTGCATATACCAGCGGGATCTCTCCAGGATCTCTATGATCATGGCCTGTACAACCCCTCAGACTTGCATTTTAACTGGGATTGTACTGGTGAAACAGACTGCTCGGGCCTGGACATCTATAGACAGCCCTAGGACCACCATCATCATTATTCCAGAATAGAGGAAAAGTCTGTATCTTTCCTTGAAGATTATATAATCCAGGAATTTGAATACATCAGTCACTTTAGGTTTTTTAAAAATATAAACTTTTCCCTTCCTTACTCCTTGCCAGCTTTTCTTTAATTCCCTTTAATTTCACTTTGTTTGAACTGGACATAAACACTGAATTCTCCAAACTCACTCATTTCAGAGTTACAAAAGAAAGTAATGAAAGAAAACTGAGATTTCATCTACATGAATTTCTCACACATTTACAAACATAACTGCTGCTTGACTTGATTTAGAATATCTTTTTAAACCCAGCAATTCTAGAACTGTAGAATGCTTTCTCTTTTTTCTCCTTTTCCACTCATTCATTCTCCAGATATTTATGTTCCTGGCAATGAGCTAGGCATGGGGGAATACAGAAATGAAAAGAGACTCTGTCCTCCATGAAGTTTATATGTTAAAAACGTATATATAAAATAACATATCAGCAAATAATTATTTCTATGTCAGGATTTTTTTCTTCTATTTTCAACAGTGAAGTTTCCTTGGGGGTGTTGGAATGCGTATTATAATAGTTTTATGATTAAAACCGGCTTGGGCTGTTTTGCCAGCATGTGGTTGTCCCAATTAAATGTTGGCAAAATAAATGATCCCAAATTAATATGAATCATTCCTAATTAAAATAATTTATCACTAAAGTATATATTATGCCACATAAATGTAAGAGGGCTGTTTTCCCCCAAGTTAGTCTTTGTAAATACACATTTTCAAAATCCAAACAAACCAACCGGAAGGAGCATGAAAATTCAGACTGTAAGTGTGCTTCTAGTTTATGCTTTCCTCTCTAAATTCTGCCTAAGAATTTGCTTTATTATCAAAGTTCTCAAAACAATGGCTTATGGGCCTGTAGCCAGAACATATCAGCCTTGTTTTCTGTGCATCCTAAAATAATTACAGTATTATCATTATTAGCTCTAATAAGAAGTAGTGCCTACAGTCAGCTGTTTCAGCGTTGTAGACCACTGTGAGGAGCTGGCCTTTGGGTCTGAGATAAACTCTAACCTCAGACAATCTCTGGGAGCTATTTCCTTATCTGTAAATTGATGAGATTAGATTAATAAATCTCCAATAGTTCCTCCCAAACTCCAAACACTCAAGGGATCTAAAACAAAAGAAAAAAAATCCTAGAGAAAAAAACTGGGGCAAGACTTGGGTTCTTTAAATACCATCTCATCTGCTGTACATCTACAAATACTGCTCTTTATGGCAGTGAAGGTCAGAAAACCTTAAATCAACATTTAATGGGTAGCAGACACAAATATAAATGTGTTCAAAATCCCTTCCTTAATTTTATAGTCTCGATTTTTCTTTCTTCAAGCTGGTTTGTAGAAAGTGGAATGGGGGTTCAAATAACCTATTCTTTTTCCGTGGTAAATTGTATTATTTTATTTATTTATTTATTTTTGAGACAGTCTCGCTCTGTCGCCCAGGCTGGAGTGCAATGGCACGATCTCGGTTCACTGCAACAACCCCCGCCTCCAGGGTTCAAGCGATTCTCCTGCCTCAGCCTCCCCAGTAGCTGGGATTACAGGCATGCGCCACAATGCCCGGCTAATTTTTGTATTTTTAGTAAAGACGGGATTTCGCCATGTTGGCCAGGCTGGTCTCGAACTCCTGACCTCAGGTGATCCGCCCACCTCTGCCTTCCAAAGCGCTGGGATTAACAGGCGTGAGCCACCGCGCCTGGCCCAAGGTAAATTTTTCACCCTAGCGGGGAGTAAGGTACTTCCTGGCATATGCAGCACAGATTCCCAGGCCCCTCCCCTGGAGATTTTTATTCAAACTGTGCCCCAAGGCAGGGTTTCCCCACCTTGCAGGGTGGAGCTAATCACCTGGCGCTCGATTTAAAATACAGATTGCCGGGTGTCACCCCTGCTCAAGGACCAGGGAAGTTCAGGCTAAAATCACACTCTGTAGGTATTGGGTTCTGCCAGTTCTGGCTTTTCTCACTCTTTCCTGCTGGGAGGGGTGGACCGTGCCGGGCAGAACTGCCAGCCTCCAGGCGGGAAGGAAGGAGGAGAACAGATGGCCCACTGGGGGTAGAGGATCACGTGTTGGACCTCATTCTGGGCTGCATCCAGACCTCTCCCTTTCAGGGCCCAGCCCCTCCAGCTCCAGCGACCCCACCTAGGCACACGGAACATATGTGGAGGAAACCAGTGTTCATTTTGTTGAAAGCAGGGGAATTAGAGAAGGAGGCGAGCTTGAGGAGGGGAGAGGCTAAAGGGATAAAGCTTCCAACAATGGCGATGTTCCTGGATTTTGAAATACAATCAGGTAAAGCCCGATCTGGTGGAACGCCCGTGGCCATAATGACAGCTAACACCCAGGGGCTGGAGGGGGAAGGGCGCTCAGGCAAGCGCGAAAACTTGCACGCCGCCCTACTTTGCTCCCGCCCCACTTAGCAGCCTTCCGCAAAACTCCAGCCCTCTCCTCTGCAGCGCAGAAAGGCCGCCCGTTCATGCATATGCAGGAGGATAAGTTTAGCTCGCAGCCCCCCGCGCTCCGACCGGCCCAGCGCGGCACTCGGTGAATCACCCGCGCTCGGGGGCGGGCGCTCGGCTCCGGCCGCGGACTGGCGGGCGACTCAGCCACTCGTGGACCGCGCGCCCCGGCCTGGCATCGCCCTTTTAAAAAGTCTTCCGCAGGCGGCCGCCGCCGCAGCAGCCTGAGGAGGCGAGTTCATCTGAGGACAGTCCCAGTTCTCAGAAATCCCTTCCCTGCTGGAACATCAAGCTCCCTTTACTGCAGTTGAACAAACTGCCCTAGATTGGGGGACCAGGAACCCGCCCCAAACTCGTGCAAGGAGCTCCGGGCGCCCACGCCCACGTGAGCTAACCTTGAAATTAGCCCCTGCACCCGGGAGCGCGGGGGTGGGAGTGGGCGGGGACCGGGGGGGAGCCCCGCGCGGCCCAGGCCCTTGCTTTGCGCTCTCCGCGTGCACGTACCGCCCCCGCCACCCTGTTTCATAACTCTGGCGGTGTTGCATTTTTTTTTCTTTTAATCTCCCGGGTAGATGGGTGTGGGGTTCCTGTGTTGGGGAGAGGGCAGGGCACCTTGGCCACCTTCCATCCCCCACGCCCGCGAGGAAGAGGAAAACCTGCCCTGCGGTCCTCCTAGGAACACTGCAGAGTAGGGTGTCGAGATGACATCAGCTTCTAAACATAGCAAGCACCGCACCCCAACTCCATGGGCTGCGGGGGTGGGGAGGGAGTGGGGGAGGCGGGTGCTGCTGTCCCCGGGCGGGGCGTGGCGGGCAGGCCGGCCAGGCTGTGCGGGAGGAGATGACTTTGCAGGAATTGCGCTCCCAGAGTTTGCCGGCAGATCTCTCCCGCGATGGCCCGGCCAAGGGGTTAGGAAACATTCCTGCCATTCCGTGCTCTCCCCTACCCCACAAGAACCACACGCACGCACACACGCACTCTTGGATCGAATGTGCCTTTATTTATAAATCAATCCAGCCCCAGCCCAGGTTCGGTCCGGTCCCGGGAGCACCTGCGCCCCGCGTCTGCCTTCAGGCTAAGCCTGCGAGGGGTTCGGTGTGGCCCTCCCAGTGAGTCAGAATGGGCTGTGTTTCCTGTGGTTGTTGTGGAACAGTTTGTCCTTTTTACTCTCCGCCCCCCCCGCCCCGTCTCCACCCCCTTGGTAAATATAGCGCTCACGTTTCATCATCTCTTTGTCCAACGAGTGCCAGACACCCCGGCCCGCGGCCCCCGCCGCCTCCCTCCTCCTCTCCGCTCGGTTACCTCGCATAACCTCGCGCGGGCAGGCACCGGGCAGCAGCTCTCCCCGCGGCCGCGCCCGCCCGGCACCCAGCGCTTCCCGCCGCAGCACACCCCCAACCCATTCTCCCCTCCCCTTCTTCCAGTTCCCCCTTCTGTACGGCCCCCATGCTCTTGTCCCACCCCCTCTACTCGGCGTCCGGGTACTGGGTCGAGACGTGTGTAGGTGTAGGGAGGTGGATAGCCCTTTTCCGAGCCGTAGGCGTCACCCCTACGCCCAGGCCCAGGCCCAGTGCTGGATCCTGCACTTTCCCAACCTCCCCCTCCCAAGTTCCAAGGTTGCCCTCTGTTCCCCTCCCAAGCGCAGGTGACAAGCTGCTGAGACAGTGTCTGATTCACCGACAGCTGAACCAGCTACTGGTACTTGGAGGTGGGCGTTTGCTGAACTGTTTTCCTCCCACCTCCCCCAACCCCCTACCCCGGTGGGGAGCGGGCTGGAGGGTCGGAAGAGGCAAGGTGGATGACAGCCGAGAAGTGCGTGCCCGCTCTTCCCTCTCTCCCTCCTCCTCCCAGTTTCATTTCCACACATACAGCCACCCACCGGGGACCGGAGGCGGCTAGTGTTCTCTGAACGCCGGGAACTGGCTCTCTCTGTGGTCTCCTGTTTACTTCCCTCCTCCTCTTTTCCCCTCCCTTCTCCCCGCCCCCATCTCCCGGCGCCGCTTCCCGCCCAGAGCAGCTGGGAAACCTGCAGCTGAACACTGCAGTCATGGGACTTCCCTGGCCCCGAGCTGTGCCCCAGGTTTGCCCTGTCCTGTCCTGCCTTGCCCTGTGTCCGCTTTTTGGGGGGCACTTATTTGTCCTGAAAAGGGTCTTAAGGCTCCCTATCCAGGAACGTGGAAGAGGTGACTGCTTCCCTCCCCCTTCCTCTCCTCCTGACTCCCCTGCCAGCTACCTTCCTGTGGGGGCCCTGCCTGGCTGTCTTTTTTGGCCAGGATTCTGGGCCACCCCCACGAGTGGCCACCTGTCCAGGGAGAAGTGGTGAGACAGCTAACGGTGTGTAAGAACTCTGCATCCAGGATGCTGCAGAGCTGGCTTCTTTGCCATCACAGACTGTCCTGTTCGTAACAGGGTGCCCAAAATTCTCTGCCGACCAAGGTTTTCAGGCAGAACCCCAAAACCTGCTCCTAGGGACACACCCTCTCCTTATGGAGTCTGGCAAAACCTTTCCTTTCAAAGCTTGCTTCACAGCGGGGAAGAATGCAGGCTCTCTCCCTAAGTAAGCTGAATGAACAAAGGACTCCAAGGAGGCCGTGGGGGTTCCAGCTCTGGGTGCCGCCTGCCTGAAGTTCACCCCATTTAAAAACCACCTCTTCACCACCACCCTCTGCTCCACTGCCATGGTTACCAGCTCCCTGTCCTTCCCAGCACAATGTTGCACAGAGGCAGAAACAAACAAGGACATTTAAAATGTTCTTTTAAATACCCAAAACACTGCCTTGGTATTTTGGTAGCAGAGAAGAGGGAATAAAAGTCCTGACTGTTTGCTGGTTTCCTTCTGACCCCACGACCCTGAAAAAATCCTTACCCTGGATGGCCTCTCAGCTGCCAAAAGAGGGAAGGAAGCTTGGTGAGATACTAGAGAGTGGAATTCAGAACAAACCCTTGGCAGGAGAATTATTCACCAAGATAGACTCTTCTTTCTTCCCCCTCCACCCCAGCTGCTTTGAAGTACCTGCCATCAGACTATACCACCTCCGCTTTGTGGCTGTCATCTGCAGGCTCTCCTGCACTCCCCCTCATTCCCCGAAGATTCTAGCACCTGACTCACAGTCCCCCACCTCCACCCAACTCCTATTAACATTTTTGGTGAATTTAGCATCCCAATAGATTAATGACCTATCTGAAACCCTGGTACCTGAACAGCAATCATTTTTTTCCTCCACCCCACTGTCACATGGGTATCTTCAATCTTTTCATCACCAAATAACAGCACCACCTCCGACCATCATCCTCCTTCCTGACCAACACTTCTTTCTCTCCCAGCTTATTTGCTCAAATAACCACATTTGAACAATTCTTTGACCCTATTTTGACTTCCAGTCTACTTTTTCACTGTCTGTCATTGACCTTTCATTCTTACATCTCTCCTACCCACCTTAAGATTTCATGGTCTTCCACTATATCATTCTTTCGCATGCACCTCCCCCTACTCTCTCATTCCTGGGACCATCTGGCCAAACTCTTGATTCTGTCCAGCTTAACACACTGGACAAAAATGACAGGGCTAACTGTTGTCACTCTAAATTTATGATCATACATCTCAAGTGGGCTCTCAACACTGTCCGTGTGCATTTCCCTCGTCAGTTTACTTTCCCACACGCTGAAATGACTATATTGCACCTTCTCTCTTCAAACTTCCAACACCCCTCCCTTCCTCACTCTGAGCTGAGAAACTTGCTGCTTATTTTACTGAGAAAATAAAAGCAATTTGACAAGAACTACCTCCTCTTCCCACCATCATATCTTCCATCCTGCCTACCTTTCCACCCAGACGCTGCCTTCTCTCTTGTCACCTGATATACTGTTCCTGCTCCTGTCTAAGGCAAATCCTTCCATGTGGCACCAGGTTCCCTTCCCCTCTAGGCTATTTAATGACTGTTTCTAAAATTACCCCATCTCCTGCTTATCAAGTTGTTGCTCTGTTCTAAATCATTCACTTCAGCACAAAAAAGTGTCCTCCCTCCTGTCTTTATATGTATACTTCTGCGTCTGTGCCCCCTTGACCCCATATCCTCCTGCACTGTTACTCCATTTGCCATCTTCCTTGTATGCAGACATCTCAGAGTTACCTCTATGTACTGTCTATATGTGCACACCCCCTGTTCTCTTTTTATATTTATTTATTTATTTTTGAGGCGGAGTCTCACTCTGTCGCTCGGGCTGGAGTACAATGGCGTGATCTCGACTCACTGCAACCTCTGCCTTCGGGGTTCAAGCGATTCTTCTGCCTCAGCCTCCTGAGTAGCTGGGACTACAGGTGTGCACAACCATGCCTGGCTAATTTTTGTATTTTTATTAGAGACGGGGTTTCGCCATATTGGCCAGGCTGGTCTCGAA
The DNA here is from genome assembly GCF_000001405.40 of Homo sapiens. Classification (NCBI taxonomy): domain Eukaryota; kingdom Metazoa; phylum Chordata; class Mammalia; order Primates; family Hominidae; genus Homo; species Homo sapiens. Next base: position 70,423,377 of record NC_000009.12, read on the forward strand.
CCCCTGACTTCAGGTGATCCACCCGCCTCAGCCTCCCAAAGTGCTGGGATTACAGGCATGAGCCACCATGCCCGGCCCTCCTGTTCTCTCTTGATCTCACACCAATCAGACGTTCATTTCTGTCACTGGACTGAAACTACTCTTCTCAGGATCACGGATGACCTCCATGATGCCAAGTCTATTGGGCAGTTATTTCACTTCACATCACAGCAAAGAAGACTAAGGAGTGGACAGTGAAATAGAGGAAAAGAGAGACTATGGTGTCCTAGGAGCCAAGTGAAGAAAAGGAAGAGAGGTGGATTCCTTCTTTTTCTTCTTTGCTACTTTCAGTTCTTCTCCTGGCTTTCTCTCTCTCTTTTTTTCTTTTCTTTTTTTTTTGTACAGAGTTTCGCTCTTGTCACCCAGGCTGGAGTGCAGTGGTACAATCTCAGCAGCTCACTGCAACCTCCACCTCCCGGGTTCAAGTGATTCTCCTGCCTCAGCCTCCTGAGTAGCTGGGATTACAGGCATGTGTCACCATGCCTGGCTAAGTTTTCTATTTTTGGTAGAGATTGGGTTTCACCATGTTGGCCAGGCTGGTCTCACACTCCTGACCTCAGGTGATCCGCCTGCCTCAGCCTCCCAAAGTGCTGGGATTACAGGCGTGAGCCACTGCTCCCGGCCTCTCCAGGCTCTCTTAAAGTCGAGTTGCCCTGGAGCCCTGTCCTTGTTTCTCTTCCACATCCATACTCACTCCCTTCCTGGTTTCATGCAGCCTCAAGGCTTTAATATCTTCAGGGTTGGTTCCGTGGTTCACACCCATAATCCCAACACCGTGGAAGGCCAAGGTGGGAGGATTGCTTGAGCCCAGGAGTTGGAGGCTGCCATAATCTATGACTGCACCACTGCATTCCAGCCTGGGTGACAGGCTTTAATACCTTTTACATGCCAGGGTTGACCCAATTTTTATATTTTTATCTTCAATTCACACCTCTTTCTTTCTTTCTTCTTTCTTTCTTTCTTTTTTTTTTTTGTTTTTTTGTTTGTTTTTTTTTTTTTTTTTTTGGAGTCTTGCTCTCTCATCCAGGCTGGAGTGCAGTGGTGTGATCTCAGGTCACTGCAACCTCTGCCTCCTGGGTTCAAGGGATTCTCGTGTCTCAGCCTCCCAAGTAGCTGGGATAACAGACGCTTACCACCATTCTCAGCTAATTTTTGTATTTTTAGTAGAGACAGTGTTTTGCCATGTTGGCCAGGCTTGTCTCAAACTCCTGACCTCAAGTGATCCACCTGCCTTGGCCTCCCAAAGTGCTGGGGTTACAGGCGTGAACCACTACGCCTGGCCCACACCTGTCTCTTGAGCTTCACACGTGACCATCCAACTATCTAGTCATCATTTCCACTTGAATATATGATGGACATCTCCAACTCAACATATTAAAATTGAACTGTGATCGTTCCCTCCTAATGCATGGCTCTATTGGCAGCTTTTCCCATGTTAGATAGAGACACTCCTGTGCTTCTAGATGCTTAGGACAAAAGCCAATGAGTTATCCTTCATCTCTCTTTTAAATGGATACCCATACCCCATAGCCAATCATCCATCAAGAACTCCTGTTAGTCCTATGTTCCAAATATCTCTACAACCCGGCCCTTCTCACCTTCACTGCCATGCCGTGCCCCTTCCTCTCTTGCCTCGATAACTGCAGGAGCCTTCTAGCTGCTCTGCCTGCCTCCACCCTTGACCTTGCTTCTCTTCTCAACACAACTGCTAAGAGCTAAGTGCTCTTCTTAAAATACATGTCCGGTCACAGCACTCTTCTGCTCAAAACACAGCCGTGACTCTAGTCTCACTCAGAAACTGCTGCTGTCCTCACAGTGGGGTAAGCCTCCTTGTGAGCCCAAAAGGAGACGTCCTGATCTCCCCTACCGCACTCCATTCCTCACTCCGCTCCAGCCCCACTACCCGCCTTGCTCATCCGGGAATTAACCAGCTGGACTCCTGTCTTACAAGCATTCACAGTGGCTCTTCCTTCTACCTGGAATGCCCTTCTCCAAGATCTCAGCGTGGCTCACATCCTGACCTTCGCTGAGCCTTTGCTCACATGTACCCTCCTAAGAGAGCTCTGTCCTGGTTGGGAGGTACTCCTGGATCTGGAGGTGGATCTCCTTCTCCTGAGTCACATGGGGAAGGTATGGCGGATGGGATATTCTTGGAAAGGAAGAACTCATCCTTCTTCCCACTAAGCCTCTGCAACCAACCCACCGGTCCTCTGCAGCATGCTCCATCCACTTCATTCACCTTTTCTCTCCATGGTCACGAGAGATGAACTTGCTTTATGCTTAAGTCTAGTCTTCAGTATTACTGGGGACTTCTGGTCCATTTCTCCTTTCAGTTGGCCAGCAGTTTAGAGAATGAGGAGATTTATTCTTTTCAGTTTAAATCTGGAAAATACTATATAAATGTAAGCCCTGGTATGTTCTCATGAGGAGGCACTTACTGAGGAAGTGCATAAGCCCAAGGGTCAAGCTGCCTGGACTCTAGCATTTCAGTTCTGTCGTATGTCAGTTCTATGAAACTGGGCAAATTACTTAACTGCTTTTAAGGTTTCTTCATCTGAAAGAGGGTAAAAATAGGGCAGAAATACAGTGTTGTTGTGAGTATAAAATGAGATAAATCATATAAAACTTACGGTAGAGCACCTGGTATTTAATAAACACTGCTTTGGTTTTGATTGCCAGGAAAGCTAAGCTGAAGACAAGGACTTGGGGTCAAGTGATTTATTTGGGAGGTGATCCCAGGAAGCAGGAGTGAGGGAGCAGGAAGCGTGACACAGGGAAGGAAGAAAAGCCAATATTTGGGAGCATTATTTTTTCTTTAATTTCTTTATTTTTGAGATGGAGTGTCGCTCTGTCACCGAGGCTAGAGTCCAGTGGCACGATCTCGGCTCACTGCAACCTCCGCCTCCCGGGTTCAAGCGATTCTCATGCCTCAGCCGCCCGAGTAGCTGGGATTACAGGCATGCCATGCCCAGCTAATTTTTAGTAGAGATGGGGTTTCAGGTGATCCACCCGCCTCGGCCTCCCAAAGTGCTGGGATTACAGGTGTGAGCCACTGTGACCATCAGGAGCATTATTGAAATCTCTGATATAGAAATGCTTCTCAGAATTGTCCATCCCAAGAATGGGAGACAAAGGGATTTGCCCTCCAGCACTGGGCCCTCACTGATGAAGGGGTGCTCCAGGAGTTCTGTCCCTTGCACTAGCTTCTCATACCTTTGGTAAAGTCCCTGGGGCAGAAAGTACACAGTGGAGGGGGGCGTCAGCCAGAAATCTACACTCTCTCGGCAATCTTTAATGCAGCTGTGGCTGGAATTGGAGGTGGGTCAGAGCACGTGAAGACATTGAAAGTATCTGTTACAGATGCTTAATATATTTTTTTCTATTTTTATTTTAACTGTTAGATGAGATCATTTAATTCAGTACTTCTCATACTTTACTGTGCATAAGAATCACCTGGGGATCTTGTTAAAATGCAGATTTTGATTCAGTATGTTTGGGGTGGGCCAGAGTTCTACATTTTAACAAGCTCCCATGTGATGCTAATACTAACGGTCATCAGACCACTTTTTAGCAAAGATGTATTTAACTGATGCACATTTATCAAGCACCTTCTATATATCTTTGTTACTGTGCTAGATACTAGTGATAAATGTTGTGAACAATACTAGGCTGAATAATGTCTTCCCAAAGATATCCACATCTTAATCCCCCATCTGTGAATGTCACCTTAGGTAGTAAAAGGAATGTCTCAGATGTAACTAAATTCAGAGTCTTTGTTTTTCAATGTATTTATTTATTTAGAAATGGAGTCTTGCTCTGTCGCTCAGGCTGGAGTGCAGTGGTGTGGTCTAAGCTCACTGTAACCTCTGCCTCCCAGGTTCAAGTGATTCCCCTGCCTCAGCCTCCCGAGTCGCTGGGAATACAGATGCCTGCCACCACGCCCAGCTAATTTTTGTAGTTTTAGTAGGGTCGGGTTTTGCCGTGTTGGCCAGACTGTTCTCGAACTCCTGACCTCAAGTGATCCACCTGCCTTGGCTTCCCTAAGTGCTGGGATTACAGGTGTGAGCCATTGCACCCGGCCCAAATTTTATTTTTAAAGATGGCATGTTGCTCTGTTGCCCAGGCTGGTCCCAAACTCCTGAGCTCAAACAATTCTCCCTCCTCGGCCTCTTGAAGTGTTGAGATTACAGGTGTGAGCCACTGTGCCTGGAGAGATTATTTTGGCTTATTAGAGTAGGCCTGATGTAATCACAAGATTTTATAAGAAGGAGGCGGGAGGCTGGAGAGAGAGAAGATGCCATACAGCTGGCTCTGAAGATGGAGGAGGAGCTGTGAGACAAGGAATGAAGGCAGCCTCTGGTAGCATAAAAGGCAAGGAAACAGGCTCCCCTAGAGCCTCTAAAAGGAATAAAGCTCTGCAGACACATTGTAGACGTCTGGCTTCTAGAGCTGTAAGGTAATATGTTTTTGAGATTTTAACCCACCAAGTTTTTGGTAAGTTGTGACATAGCAATTGAAACTAATATGAGTGTGAACCAAGTGAGGTCTTTATCAGGATATGTTAGGTAAAGCTATGGTAAATATGTGGGTGAAGATAAAAGACTTTTTAAACAAGTTTTTTGAGACAGAGTTTTGCTCTTGTTGCCCAGGCTGGAGCACAATGGTGCAATCTTGGCTCACCAAAACCTTCACCTCCCACGTTCAAGCGATTTTCCTGCCTCAGCTTCCCAAGTAGCTGGGATTACAGGCATGCACCACCATGCCCGGCTACATTTTTTTGTATTTTTAGTAGAGCCGGGGTTTCTCCACGTTGGTCAGGCTGGTCTCGAACTCCCGACCTCAGGTGATCCGCCCACCTTGGCCTCCCAAAGTGCTGGGATTACAGGCATGAGCCACTGCGCCCGGCCAACAATTTTTTTCTTTTTTTAATTTCTTTTTTTTTGTTTGTTTTTGAGACAAAGTCTCTCTCTGTTGCCAGGCTGGAGTGCAGTGGCAAGTGATCTCGGCTCACTGCAACCTCCGCCTCCTGGGTTCAAGTGATTCTCCTGAGTAGCTGGGACTACAGGTGCGCACCACCACGCCCAGCTAACTACTGTATTTTCAGTAGAGACGGCATTTCACCATGTTGGTCAGGATGGTCTTGAGCTCTTGACCTCGTGATCTGCCTGCCTCAGCCTCCTAAAGTGCTGGGATTATAGGCAGGAGCCACCGCACGCGGCCAACAGCAATTTCTTTAAAATACATACTAACTAGTTAAAACCTAAATTATAACATTGTTTTGTGGGGTTTATAACAAATAAATGCACTATATGTGACCATCATAGTATAAAGGATAGGAGAGGGGTAAATGGACTTTTACTGTGATAACAAATTTTCTAAATGGTATGTGAATGGTATAATATTAACTTTAAGTGGACATATTGGATGTACAGCAAATTAATGACTACCATGGTATATCTTCCCAAATAGTTCACAGTGTGGTAGAAGACATCTGTCCAAATAATTACAACACAATGTGGTATGTGCAACATGAAAAGTTACGCAAAGAGCTCTAGGATTCCAAGGAATCAGTGATTAGCGCCGTTTGTGGGTAGGTAGGTAAAGGCTTCCCAGTAGAAGTTGTATTTGAGCTAAGTTGTGAAGGATGATTAGAAGAGGAGAAGAGAGGCATCCCACATTTGGCAAACAGCATGAGCAAAGAAGCGAGAGCAAAATGGTACGGAATGTGTCAGAGCACCAATCATCATCCAATTCTACCTCTGGGAGTGGTAGGAACTATAAACCTGTCAAGAAGGGCCTTGGCTTAGTTTGTGCAGCTATAACAGAATATCACAGACTGGGTAATTTATAATAGTAGAAATTTGGGCCAGGTGCTCATGCCTGTAATCTCAGCACTTTGGGAGGCCAAGGTGTGCGGGTCACTTGAGGTCAGGAGTTTGAGATCAGCCTGAGTAGCATTGTGAAACCTCGTCTCTACTAAAAATACAAAAATGAGGCCGGGCGCAGTGGCTCATGCCTGTAATCCCAGCACTTTGGGATGCCGAGGTGGTTGGATCACGAGGTCAGGAGATCGAGACCATCCTAGCTAACATGGTGAAACCCTGTCTCTACTAAAAATACAAAAAACTAGCTGGGCGTGGTGGCAGGTGCCTGTAGTCCCAGCTACTTGGGAGGCTGAGGCAGGAGAATTGCTTGAACCCGGGAGGTGGAGTTTGCAGTGAGCCGAGATTGCACCACTGCACTCCAGCCTGGGCGACAGAACTAGATTCAGTCTCAAAAAAAGAAAAAAAAAGAGCCAGGCGTGGTGGCACATGCCTGTAGTCCCAGCTACTTGGGAGGCTGAGGTGGGAAGATCACTTTAACCTGGGAGGTGGAGGTTGCAGTGAGCCGAGATTGTGCCACTGCATTCCAGCCTGGGTAACAGAGTTAGACTCCATCTCAATAAATAAATAAGTAATAGAAATTTATTGTTCACACTCCTGGAGGCTGGAAAGTTCAAGATCAAGGTGTTGGTAGATTTGATGTCTGGTAAAGGCTTGCTCTCTGCTTCCAAGATGGCATCTTGTTGCTGTGTTCTCACTTGGGGGAAGAGTGGAAACGGGAGGAAGCTCTCTGAAGCCTCTTTCATAAGGACACAAATCTCATTGACTAGGGTGAAGCTCTCATGACGTAATCACCTACTAGAGGCCCCACCTTCCAATACCATCACCTTGGTGATTAGGTATCAACGTAAGAATGTTGGAGGGAAATAAAACTTCAGAGCAGAGGGATAAGGGCAAAGTTTATATAAGAGCATCTAGGAAAGCCTTTCCTCCATGCTGAGAATCAGTTACATGCAGGGAAATTCTGTTAATTGAGCCACTTTTCAGGTCTCCTGTCTTGGAATACAGTTGCATGAGGATATGATATTTAGATTTGTTATGAGCATGATTAGAAAGTCAAGAGGATTTCTGAGATATCAACCCAGAGCGCTGTCATCTGTTAAGTATTGCCAGCAATGACCTACTTCTGGGCATGTCATATGAGAAGAAATGTACTGTTTGTGTTTAAACCATTGCTGGTTGAATGTTCTATTATTTGCAGCCAAAAGTATTCCTTAAAGATATATAGATTGATCAATTGATTGATTTTTTTTTTTTTTTTTTTTTTTTTTTTTTTTAGATAGAGACGGGTTCTCACAATGTTGACCAGGCTGGTCTTGAACTCCTGGCCTCAAACTATCCTCCTGCCTCCCAAAGAGCTGGAATTACGGGTGCCAAGTCCTAACAGATACAGTTAGGAAGAAAAGTTTTAGTAGATGAGTGGGGGCATTAGTCAAACTCCAATGACCTGAGGTGTGAACTGGAGTAAACACATATCATCAGAGACTATGGCATGAGTTTTCAAGAAGTTGGCAGGTTAAGGAGAATAGCAGATGTAGGGGTATATCGAGGGAAGGAAGATGATGGGAATAATTTTCTAGATTGTACATACTTGAATATGTTTCAATTGAGGGGAAGGAGCTAGTCATTGGGAAGAAATTAAAAATATATGAAGGATGAGATCATTGATAAAACAAGGTAGAGAAGGGAACAGAGTCTCAAGGACCCAGGAAGGAAAAGGAAAGCCATGTTTTCCTTGGAGGTAGAAAGAAGGATATGAGCCTAGGCTGGGTGCAATGATTCATGCCTGTGATCCCAGCCCTTTGGGAGGCTGAGGTGGGAGGATTGCTTGAGCCCAGGAGATCAAGACCAGCCTGGGCGATATAGTGAGACCTTGTCACTATTCATTTTTTTATTTATTTTTTTGAGCCGAGTCTTGCCCTGTTACCCAGGCTGGAGTGCAGTGGCATGATCTCGTCTTACTGCCACCTCTGCCTCCTGGGTTCAAGTGATTCTTCTGCCTCAGGCTTCCAAGAAGCTGGGATTACAGGCGTGTGCCACCATGCCTGGCTAATTTTTTGCATTTTTAGTAGAGATGGGATTTCAACTTGTTGGCCAGGCTGGTCTCAAACTCCTGACCTCAAGTGATCCACCTGCCTTGGCCTCCCAAAGTGCTGGGATTACAGGCGTGAGCCATCGCACCTGGCCTATTTTATTTTTTTAAAAGGATGTGAGCCTAGCTGAAAATTTGGAGAAGTTTGGAGATGGAGAAGAGAAAAGCCATGGGAATTCATGCCTAGTGGCATCTGTTTTCTCTGTGAAGTCGGACTGGAGCATGGTAGCATGTGCAAGTGAGGTGATGGGGAATATGGCGGAGGACATGAGTAGAGTGGCAGGGGTTTGTCTGGAATGCCTGTCACTGGGATGAACCACCTTATTTATATCTCCTTACTCTGTGCCTGGCACATGACACGTTCTGTTTGTCTGAAGAATGAGTTGACTCCATATGAGTAATAGCATTGTTAAACACTAGAACATATTCCTTCTATCTAACCATATTTTTGTGCCCATTAACTACTCTTCATCCTCCTCCCCCACCCTTACCCTTCCTAGCCTCTGGTAACCATCATTCTTCTCTCTACCTCCATGAGATCAACTTTTTTAGCTCCCACATAGGAGTGAGAACATGATATTTGTCTTTCTGTGCCTGGCTTTTTTCACTTAACATAATGACCTCCAGTTTCATCTATGTTGCTGCAAATGACAGAATTTCATTCTTTTTAAAGGTTGAATAGTACTGCATTGTGTATATGTACCAGAGTTTCTTTCTTTCTTTTTTCGAGACAGAGTCTCGCTCTGTTGCCCAGGCTGGAGTGCAGCAGCATAATCTCGGCTCACTACAACCTCCACCTCCTGGGTTTAAGTGATCCTCCTGCCTCAGCCTCCTGAGTAGCTAGGATTACAGGTGTGCACCACCACACCCGGCTAATTTTTGTAGAATTTTTGTATTTTTAATGGAGACAGGGTTTGCTGTGTTGGCCAGGCTGGTTTTGAACTTCTGACCTCAAGTGATCTGCCCACCGTGGCTTCCCAAAGTGCTGAGATTACAGGTGTGAGCCACTGTGCCCGGCCTGTTGGGTTTGTATGTCTTCTTCAGATCATTTGCCTGTTTAAAAATTAGATGAATTATCTACAATGAACTCAAACAAATTTACAAGAAAAAAACAAACAACCCCATCAAAAAGTGGGCAAAGGACATGAACAGACACTTCTCAAAAGAAGACATTTATGCAGCCAAAAAACACATGAAGAAATGCTCATCATCACTGGCCATCAGAGAAATGCAAATCAAAACCACTATGAGATATCATCTCACACCAGTTAGAATGGCAATCATTAAAAAGTCAGGAAACAACAGGTGCTGGAGAGGATGTGGAGAAATAGGAACACTTTTACACTGTTGGTGGGACTGTAAACTAGTTCAACCATTGTGGAAGTCAGTGTGGCGATTCCTCAGGGATCTAGAACTAGAAATACCATTTGACCCAGCCATCCCATTACTGGGTATATACCCAAAGGACTATAAATCATGCTGCTATAAAGACACATGCACACGTATGTTTATTGCGGCACTATTCACGATAGCAAAGACTTGGAACCAACCCAAATGTCCAACAATGATAGACTGGATTAAGAAAATGTGGCACATATACACCATGGAATACTATGCAGCCATAAAAAATGATGAGTTCATGTCCTTTGTAGGGACATGGATGAAATTGGAAACCATCATTCTCAGTAAACTATCGCAAGAACAAAAAACCAAACACCGCATATTCTCACTCATAGGTGGGAATTGAACAATGAGATCACATGGACACAGGAAGGGGAATATCACACTCTGGGGACTGTGGTGGGGTGGGGGGAGGGGGGAGGGATAGCATTGGGAGATATACCTAATGCTAGATGACACATTAGTGGGTGCAGCGCACCAGCATGGCACATGTATACATATGTAACTAACTTGCACAATGTGCACATGTACCCTAAAACTTAGAGTATAATAAAAAAAAAAAATTAGATGAATTTTTTTTTTTTTTTTTTTTGCTATGGAGTTCTTTGAATTTCTTACATAGTCTGCTTATTAATCCCTTGTCAGATGCATGGTTTGCAAATATTTTCTCCTATTCCGAAGGTTGTCTCTTCACTCTGCTGATTGTTTCCTTTGCTGTGCAGAAGCATTTTTAGCTTGATGCAATCCTATTTATCTATTTTTGCTTTTCTTGCCTTTGTCCTTGACGTCCTACCCAAAAAATCTTTGCCCAGACCAGTATCCTGAAGTGTTTTCCCACTGTTTTTCTCTAATAGTTTCATAGTTTCAGGTCTTACATTTAAGCCTTTAATCCATTTTGATTTGATTTTTGTATATGGTGAGAGATGGGGGGTTTAGTTTCATTTTTCTGCCTATGGTTATCCAGTTTTCCCAGTGTAGATCTTCCTATCAGTATGGAGAAAACAGTATGGAGGTACCTCAGAAAATTAGTGATAGATCTACCATGTGATCCAGCAATCTCATTGCTGGGTATATACCTAAAAGAAAGGAACTCAGCATTATCAAAGAGAGATCCATGTGCCCATGTTTATTGCAGCACTGTTCACAATAGCCAAGATATGGAATCAACCTAAGTGTCCATCACCATTAATTGAAGATATTGTCCTTTCCCAACTGAATGTTCTCAATTGAAAATCAATTGGCTGTAAATATGTGGATTTATCTCTGGGTTCTCTTTTTTTTTTTTTTTTTTTTTTTTTTTGAGACAGAGGTGTGAGCCACTGTGCCCGGCCTGGGTTCTCTATTCTGTTCCTTGGTCTTTGAGCCTGTTTTTATGTTAGTATCATGTGTGTTTTTTTTGTTGTGTTTTGTTTTGTTTTTTTTTGAGGCAGAGTCTCACTCTTTCACCCAGGCTGGAGTGCAGTGGTACAATCTTGGCTTACTGCAAACTCCGCCTCCCGGGTTCAAGCAATTCTCTTGCCTCAGCCTATTGAGTAGCTGGGATTACAGGAATCTGCCACCATGTCCACCTAATTTTTGTATTTTTAGTAGATATGGGGTTTCGTCATGTTGCCTAGGCTGGTATCGAACTCCTGACCTCAAGTGATCCACCTCGGCCTCCCAAAGTGCTGGGATTACAGGCATAAGCCACCATGCCTGGTCTATGCTGTTTTGACTACTATAGCCTTGCAGTATGTTTTGAAGTCAGGTAGTGTGATGCCTCCAGCTTTGTTCTTTTTGCTCAGGACTGGTTTGGCTATGTGGGGCCTTCTGCAGTTCCATATGAATTTCAGAATTTTTTTCTCTGTTTCTGTGAAGAATTTCACTGGTATTTTGATAGCACATATTTTAAAAACACACGCTTGTTTTTTTTAAAATCTATTTTTTAGCTAAGAAGTTTCTATGAATGTTTTCTACATTATTTTATATTCTCCTACCCTATTTAAAAAATATCTTTAGCCAGGCACAGTGGTGTATGCCTATAGGGCCAGCTACTTGGGAGGCTGAGGCAGGAGGATTGCATGAGGCCAGGAGTTTGAGGCTGCAGTATGCAATAATCACACCTGTTAATAGCCATTGCTCTCTAGCGTGGGCAACATAGTTAGATCTCCTGTCATCTCTCAAAAATAAAAATAAAATAATTATCTTTTGTATAAGTAAACACTCATGTGGGTCAAAATTCAAAAAGTATAAAAGGATATGTAATGGAAAATTTTCTTCCCAACCTTCTCCGTCAGCTATCTAGATGCCTTTTCCAGAAGCAATCAAATATTACTATTTTTTCTAAATCCTTCCCAAGATATTTTATGTGTATCCAAGCAAATACATATATTTTCCACATTTATACACAAATGGTTACTAAAAACCATTCTGCACCTTATTTACTAACATATCTTTTTTTTTTTTTTAAAAAAAATGGAGACGGGGTCTCCTGGTCTCACTGTGTTGCCCAGGTTGGTCTTGAGCTCCTGGACCCAAGCGATCCTTCAGCCTCGACCTCCTAAAGTGTTGGGATTACAGGCATGAGCACCCAGCTTATTAACATAATAATATATCTTCAGGGTAACTACATGAAGGTCCTCTATATATTGACCTTTGATATATTGTTTTCTCATGTTTAATGCTGCCATAGAACTCTGATGTAAATATACCTTAATTTATGTAACAAATTTATTAACAAACTGCCCAACATTTAGGTTACTTTGTGTCTTTTGGAATTTCAAAAATACTTCAGCAAATAACCTTCTTTCACATTGGGGCAGCACACCTGTATGATAAGTTCTTGAAGTCTGATTGCTGAGTTAAAAGGTCCATGTGTTTGTAATTTTGATAGATGTTGTCAGATTGTCTTCCTTAGAGTTTGCACAAGTTTATAGTCCTACTAGCAATGTATAAAAGTGCCTGTTTCTCCATATCCTCATCAATGAGTATGTTAAAAATGTGTTTGAAGCCAGGCACAGTGGTGTGCACCTGTAGTTCCAGCTACTGGGGAGGCTGAGGCAGGAGGATCACTTGAGCCCAGGAATTCAAGGCACTAGGATTGCACCTGGGAAAAACAGCCACTGCACTCTAGCCTGGGCACATAGCAAGACCCTGTTCCCAAAGAAAAAGCTTGAGCTTTGCCAATCTTATTGATAAAAATGGCATTTCAGGGTGCTTTTAATTTTCATTCTTTCATTATGGGTGAGATTGAGAATCTTCTCATATTCATATGCTTGAGAGCTTTTGGTATTTCCTTTTTCATCTATTTCCTTTGCCTGTTTTCTTTTGGATTGTAGGCTTTTCCCCTGTAGATTCTCTCTATATTAGGATCTTGGCGCTTTGCCTGTGGTATGAGTCACAAATATTTTTCTCAATTTCTGCCATTTAACTTTACTTACTGTATTTTAGCCATGCAGTTATTTCCCCCTTCTACAATAAGATATGCAGAAGGTTTTTTTTGTTATTGTTGTATTTATTAATTTTTTATTCTTCTGGATATTATTTTATAATTGGAAAGGCCTTCCACATACAAATAATAATTGTCCCATGATTTCCTCTAGTGCCTTTGATTTCATTATCTATTAAAAAGTGTTTTTTCTATGCCGGGTGCTGTGGCTCATGCCTGTAATCCCAACTGTTTGGGAGGCTGAGGCAGGTGCATCACCTGAGGTCAGGAGTTCGAGACCAGCCTGGCCAACATGGCGAAAACCCGTCTCTACAAAAATTAAAAAAATTAGCCAGGCATGGTGGTACACATCTGTAGTCCCAGCTACTTGGGATACTGAGGCGGGAGAATCGCATGAACCCAGGAGGCAGAGGTTGCAATGAGCACAGATCATGCCACTGCACTCTAGCCTGGGTGACAGAGCCAGACTCCATTTAAAAAAAAAAAAAAAAAGTTTTTCTAGTATAATTAGTCAGGATGTACCCAACTTAATTTTCTCCAAATGACACCCAGTTGTCCCAATCCCATGTGTTTATTTATTTATTTTTTGCATTTTTCGCAGAGACAGTGTCTTGAACCCCTGGCCTCAAGTGATCCTCCTGCCTCAGCCTCCCAAAGTGCTGGGATTACAGGTGTGAGGCACCGTCCCTGGCCCATACGTTGATTTTATTTTTCACATGTACTATCATGCCATGTCTGAATAAAGACACTTTTTCTTCTAAGCTTTATGTCTTTCTTTTTCTTAGCTTGTATTTGCTAAGACCGCTAGTAAAATGTTGACTAGCGTGGAGGTAGGGAGCATTTTTACCTTGTTTTTGATCTTACCTGAGAGCAAACAGCAAATGACTGATTGGGTATATCTTATCAGATTGCTCTCCACAAAGTTTATGCCAGTTTGAACTCCTCTGCAGTGTATGGAGTTGCCTAAGAAACCATAACCATTAAGTATGATGTTGGCTGTAGGTTTTTGTAGATATCCTTTATCAGATTGAGAAAGTACCCTTCTATTTCTAATTTGTTGAGAGTTTTTACTAAGAATTTTTGACAAGTGCTTTTTCCATGGAGATAATCATACTTTTTGGGGGGCTTTTATTCTGTTAATGTAGTGAATTATATTAATGATTTATTATTTTCTTTTCTTTATATTTTAGAGACAGGGTCTCGCTCTGTTACCCAGGCTAGAGTACAGTGACATGGTCATAGCTCGCTGTAACCTCAAACTCCTGGGCTCAAATGATCCTCCTACTTCAGCCTCTCAAAGTTCTGGGATTACAGGCATAAGCCACTATACCCAGCCTTAATTTATTTTTGGAGTTGTTTTTTTTTGTTTTTTGTTTTTTTTTTTTGTGAGTCAGGGTCTCACTCTGCTACACAGGCTGGAGTGCAGTAGTGCACTCCGGCTCACTGCAGGCTTGACCTCCTGGGGCTCAAGCCGTCCTCCCACCTCAGCCTCCGTAGTAGCTGGGACTACAGGTGTGTGCCACCACATCTGGCTAATTTTTGTATTTTTAGTAGAGATGAGGTTTCAGTATGTTGGTCAGGCTGGTCTTGAACCCCTGACCTCAGGTGATCTGCCTGCCTCGGCCTCCCAAAGTACTGGGATTACAAGGATGAGCCACCGTGCCTGGTCCTAGCCACTTATTTTTGAATTTTTGAAAATTAATAATTAATTGTATTTATTTATTTTTGTTTTTATTTTTGAGATGGAGTCTTGCTCTGTTGCCCACGCTGGAGTGCAGTGGCATGATCTCAGCTTACTGCAACCTCTGCCTCCTGGGTTCAAGCTATTCTCCTGCCTCAGCCTCCTGAGTAACTGGGATTACAGGTACCTGCCACCATGCCCGGCTAATTTTTGTAGTTTTAGTAGAGACAGGGTTTCGCCATGCTGACCAGGCTGGTCTCGAATTCCTGACCTCAGGTGATCTGCCCACCTTGGCCTCCCAAAGTGCTGGGATTACAGGTAGGAGCCACCGTGCCCTGCCTAGAATGCACTTCTTGACAATCCATTTCTTTGGATTAAAGCATAGAGCCTGGGCTGGGTGGCGGAGGTTGGAGTGAGACAAGATTGTGCCATTGCACTCCAGCCTGGGCAACAAGTGTGAAACTGTCTCAAAAAAAAAAAAAAAAAAAAAAAGCATACAGCCTGTAGGTGATTTTCTATAATTACATGTAAAGGAAGCAATTCATTCATTCATTCATTCTTCAACAGATTGGGTCTCCCCGCTGTGTCAGCATTGGGCTTGGCACTGTGGATATAATGGTGAACAGAGCACACATAAGCCCTGCCTTCCCAGATCCCATAGTCTACAAGGAGAGGAAAATAACCAATTGCAGTAATTGTGATTAGGGCTGTGACAGGAGAATGCAAGGGTGCTGGGAGGAAAACATAACATCTTGTCAGAGGATCAGGGAGAACTTGAGAGCTAAGCTGAGGAGGAGTTAGCTAAGCAAGCAGGGGAAATGGGCGGGGGATGGATGTTCCAGGAAGAGGGAACAGCAAGTACAAAGTTCCTGAGGTGAGAGATTATGCTGCATGTAAGGAACTGAAGGAAGTGACTCACAGGAAGGCAGCCGTAGAGAGAGGGGAGGCTGGGAAGGAAGGTTCTGGGTAGAACTTATGGGGCTTTGAATACCCATATTTGTGACTTTTATCCAAGGGCAACAGCAAGCCATGTGGGTCTTTAGTCAGGAAAAAGATGTAAGATTAATATCTTACTTATTTTTAGACAGAGTCTTGCTCTGTCACCCAGGCTGGAGTATAGTGGCACAATTTTAGCTCACTGCAGCCTCCAACTCCTGGGCTCAAGCGATCCTTTTGCCTCAGCCTCCCTAGTAGCTGGGACTATAGGCAAGCACCACCACACCTGGCTAATTTTTTTTGTAGAGACGAGATCTCACTATGTTGCCCAGGCTGATCTTGAACTCCTGATCTCAAGAGATCTTCCCACCCCAGCCTCCCAAAGTGCTGGAATTACAGGCTTGAGCCACTGTACCCAGCCAAAATCTGTGTTTAGAAATACCTCTCTGTCTGTAAGCTGAATTGAAGGGCACCAAGGAGCAGAGATAAGAGTCCAAAACAGAGATGGAAGTAGCTCGGAATAGGAGAATGGCAAAAAGATGGACGAAGCATGGGAATCCGATTTGGTGGATAAGGGCAAGGGAAGGGATGAGGATGACTCCTGGGTTTCTGGCTTGGACAATGGTGGAAATCACAAATCTATAGGTGAGGAGGAAGAATTGGGTTTGGAGGAGTTGAGTTTGAGATCTCTGTGGGACCATCACGTAGAGTTGCCTAGTAGAGAGTTGGATAATTATTAGCCACTAACTGTTCACCTAAAGTTACTTTATTGCAGGTTAGCAGCCTAGCTAACTTACAGAGTCCTAAAGGAATAAGATATAAGTATTTTTACTGAAAGAGAGGGGACTAAGCAAAAGCCTTGAACCATCTCCCGCTACCCCGAATTCATATGCCCACTTGAAGTCCATCCTCCTGGTTGCAGGAGATGTTTCTCCCTGTTTTGTTAGTATAGCATTTGTGTCATTGCTTCTTAAGTTTCCTTTTTCCTATCATTTTCTCCTATTAGATTTTGCGTTCCAGGTAGGATATGTGTTCAATTCATCTTTGCATTTCCAGAGCCTCATAGGCTGCCCTGAACATAGTGTATTCATCTCCCACCAAATGACTTTAATTTGTGCATTATAATTCTGCTACCAAGTCAAAAGCTGTTACATAAAAATAAAAACAGCTCTATTCATTTTAATGGGAAAAACTGTGCTCTATCCCACTCCAAGATACCAGTTTTCACAGACAGAAAAATAAATCAATAGAAGAATGAAAAAATTTAATAAACAACAGTTGGAAAGTTAAATATAGGCTGGTTGCAGTGGCGTGTGCCTGTATTCTCAGCTGCCTGGGAGACTGAGGTGGGAGGATCCCTTAAGCCGAGGGTTTGCTCAAGACCATCCTGGGCAGCATAGTGAGACTCTGTCTCAAAAAAGAAAGTTAAATATAGTTTATACATAAAAGGTAACATATTAAACGTTTATTGTACTTACTCTTTTTTTCTTCTTTTTCAATTTCTCAACCTTTGGGTTACTTTTGCACCATACTGAACTAAAAATAAAATTATAGCACAGAAAAATATCTCTAGGGCAACATAAAGCTAGAGGTGTGAGTGCTTTGAAATATATGGAAACAATGCCTGTTCCCAGCAGATCAAAGAGCCATAGATGACGCTGCCTCGCAGTCCTTTCATTGGGCATATGTACACACAAGAAGACATCTTGAGTTTAACATCTTGAGTTTAACCTAACATGACTCACAACTTAAATTTATTCCAAATAGTATTTTCTAAAATAAACAATTGTGTCAAAGAAAAAAAAAAGGTGAGTGGGTTTTTGCTTGAAATCCCAATGAAGAAATATTACTTCTGTTCATTGTTTATATAATGAGTTTTTGAGTAAAAAGACTGTTAACTAAAATAAAAAAGGGAAGGGAAGGAAGGAAAGGGAAGGGGAGGAAGGAAAGGGAAGGGGAAGAAGGAAGAAAAGGAAAGAAAATCACAAAATGGCATATCTTTTGGAGAGCTTTTATGGTGAAAAATTGCTAACATGTAAGAGAAAATATAAAGATGAGTAAATCCATGAAACAGTAACAGGCTAGGAATAACAAAACAAAAAAAGATGAGTGAATGATTTGGTAAATGAATGAATGCTCAGTAGGGCTCCCTGTCAATAGGAAATTTTGTTCTGTTAGAGAAGGCTTAGAGCTCTGGGAAGCATGTAATGTTGGCGATGATGAATACCAAAAGGAGGCCGAGGCAGGTGGATCACCTGAGTTCAGGGAGGCTGAGGCAGGAGAATCCCTTGAACCTGGGAGGCGGAGGTTGCAAGTGAGCCGAGGTTGTGCCACTGTACTCCAGCCTGGGCAACGGAGCACAGCTCCATGTCAAAACAAAACAAAACAAAGAAACAGGGTCTCACTATGTTACCCAGGCTGGTCTGGAACTCCTGGGCTCAAGTGACCTGCCCACCTTGGCCTCCCAAAGTGTTGGGATTACAGGCGTGAGCCATGGTGCCTGGTCCAAAATGGACATTCTCATTCCACCTTTTAGTCTTGTATTTTAACTCATTCATTTATGATGATTCCTCTCTAACTTTTGCACCAAAATATCCCAACAGTCCAGAGGAGTGAACTTGTGAGATTCTAAGGGCTGAACTCAAAGGAAAACAGCAATTTTTTTTCTCATTTCTTTGAAGAGTGGTGCTTTATTATAAAAATTCATATGGCTTTAGTATTCTATCTGCATTTGTTTTAATATAAAAATAATTTTCTTCTTATCAAAATTTAATTGTAAAATTGTCACCCCAGGAAGACTTGGTGGATAGTATTTATCTGGTAGCTTTTCATGTAGCTCCCACCCCATTGCTGCTACATTACCACATATTCCTAATTTGGGATGCATATCCTTGTGAGTTGAAAGGTAAATCAATATTTGAATGTTTTTTTAACATTTTAAACATGTATTTACTTACCAGTAGTTCTGTTCCTCTTTCTTTGACTGGAAACCTCAGGGAAGGGTGATTCTACCAGACAAAGGGATCATTAAGCAGTGGGTCACTGAGGTCAACCCTGTGATGGTAACTGGCCACCACCACTTCAATGGTCAGGCACATAATTAGTGGCAAAGCTGAACAAATGTCCCCCACTTAAGGAGGACATGTGGGCCAACAATGAATGTTTGCAGCCCTACAAAATAGAGGTTTTGAGTCAACTTCTGGCATATCTCTGCCGCATCTTTGAATATTAAAATTTTCCATGTAGACAAAGACTTCTGCATCTTGAGGCCTGGTACAAGAATTAGCAGGAGACTTCTGTCAAGACTGTATTATAAATTTATGCTCCAATCACTATCTTTGCTTCAATGATTCCAATAATAGACAAACTATAAAATGAGAAAACATAACAGACACAGCCATGCTAAAAAATAAGATAAGGCTGGGAGCAGTGGCTCATGCCTGTAGTCCCAGCACTTTGGGAGGCTAAGGCGGGAGGACTGCTTGAGCCTAGGAGTCTGAGACCAGCTGAGCAATATAGAAAGACCCTGTTTTTATTTAAAAAAAAAAAAAAAGATAAAAATTTGTCAATCAGAAATGCAGCAGAAAAATAGTAAGAAGCAATAGCTCAGCTTGGCCTTGGGCACAAAATCAAGCAGAAGCAGTTAATAAATCAACTCTTCCTTGAAATGTGGCCCTGAGTGTCCTGCCAGGCAGGTGATCAAAACCAGGTTCAAACCAGGCATGGTGGTACATGCCTGTAGTCCCGGCTGCTTGGCAGACTGAGGTAGGAGGATTGCTTCAGGCCAGGAATTTGAGCCTGCAGTGGGCTATGATTATGCTAGTGAATAGTCACTGCACTCTAGCCTGGGCAACATAGCAAGACCCTGTCTCTAAAAACAAACTAAAACAAAACCAAAAATATGTTCACTGCTTAAAACCAGGGCCTGGAGAGAGGCACTCTCTATCCCTCCACCTCTTTGAAAGGAGGGTCTAAAAGAAATGAAACTGACCACTCCCTAGGTTATATAAGGCAGAGTAGTGCTGTAGGGGGAAGCAGAAAGACCCTTTTGGCCAGGACCTAAACCAAGCCCCTTACAGCAGCATCACCAATATTATCCTAGGACATCTTTCCTGAGCTGTCAATTATAAAACCCAATTGTAGTTTGGGGATCCTGTGGGTCTGGGTTGAGGTAATTGCAAGACTGTTAGACCAGGAATGGTGAGGAGAGAGAACAGCAAAAACCTTCCATACAAAATAAACTTGCAAACCAAAAACTTCAGCACAAGAAGCAAACAAAAACTAAAGAAAGAAGAAACACAGTCAATAGTGGAGAAATTAATTCATTGCAAGTGACATAAAAATAGTAAAGCAATCTAAAAATGATCTTAGGCTGGGTGTGGTGGCTCACACCTGTAATCCCAGCACTTCGGGAGGCCAAGGTGGGTGGATCACTTGAGGTCAGGAGTCAAGACCAGCCTGGCCAATATGGTGAAACCCCATCTCTATTAATAATACAAAAAAATTAGCTGGGTGAGGTAGCACATGCCTGTAATCTCAGCTACTCAGGAGGCTGAGGCAGGAGAATCACTTGAACCTGGGAGGCATAGGTTGCAGTGAGCTGAGATCTTGCCATTGCACTCCAGCCTGGGCAACATGAGTGAAACTCCATCTCAAAAAAAAAAAAAAAAAAAAACTGTTGGGGGGCTGGGTGCAGTGACTCACGCCTGTAATCCCAACTCTTTGGGAGGCCGAGGCAGGTGGATCACTTGAGGTCAGGAGTTCGAGATCAGCCTGGCCAACATGGTGAAACCCTGTCTCTACTAAAAAAAAAATGCAAAAATTAGCCAAGCATCATGGGGGCATGCCTGTAATCCCCGTTACTTGGGAGGCTGAGGCAGGAGAATTGCTTGATCCCAGAAGGCGGAGGTTGCAGTGAGCTGAGATTGCACTACTGCACTCCAGCCTGGGCGACAGACTCCATCTCAAAAAAAAAAAAAAAAAAAAAAACACTTAAGATAAAATTTATAGCATTTGACACATTCAAGAAAAATTGAAAATAAATTATTGTACTTGAGAAGGTAAAGAGGGAATAATAGGGTAAATCTAAAGAAAGTGAAATGAAGAAAATAGTAATGATAAAGCTAAAATTAAATAAAATAGAAAATTAAGGAACCATAGAGGATCTCAGGAAGGCAAAAGCTGACTTTTTGAAAAGTTTAATAAAACTATCAAATTTCTGGCAAGATTAATCAAGGGATCAAAGAGAAAAGCATAAATAATAGTGAAATTATACCACAGATAGAGATTTTTAAAATTCACAAGTGATGAATATGAACTAGTTTATGATGTTAAATTTAAAAACTCACAGGCTGGGCGGGATGGCTCACACCTGCAATCTCAGCACTTTGGGAGGCTGAGGCTGGTGGATCACTTGAGATTGGAAGTTCGAGACCAGCCTGGCCAACATGGTAAAACCCCATCTTTACAAAAAATACAAAAATTAGCCAGGCATGATGGTGGGCACCTGTAATCCCAGCTACTTGGGAGGCTGAGGCAGGAGAATCGCTTGAACCCAGGAGGCAGAGGTTGCAGTGAGCTGAGATTGTGCCACTGCACTCCAGCCTGGGTGACAGACTGAGACCCTGTCTCCAAAAATAAATAAAATAGAAACTCTGACAGAATGGATAATTTTCTAGAAAAATATAACACATTAAAAGTGAATTGACAATAATTATCAGTAACTATTCAAGATAGTGGCTTGATAATTTAAAAAAATCATCACTTTAATGACACTAGACTCAGATAATTTTACAGGCAAGTTTGACTAAATCTTAAGAAACAATTTCTATTGTAAAACTATTTATAGAACAGCAAAATATAGAAAACTAATTTGCTGTATAAACCAAGAAAAATCTTTTTATACCTAATCTCAGGAATGACATAACATTACTTCCGCCACATTCTCATTATGGAAGGACATTACAGAAAGGTGTGAATGCCAGGAGGCAGGATTATTGCAGGGCATCTTACAGCCTGGCTACCAACCATCAGAATAAAGAAAAGTATGTAATTATCCTTATAGAGGAAAGGAAAACATTAGAGTTTAAAATGTATTAATAAAATACTTAGGAATAGAAGAAGTTTTTATACTAATAGTTTCTAAAAATCTATAAGAAACATGATATTTCATGGTGAAATTCTAGATGCTTTATCCTTAAAGTTAGAAACCAGACAAAAATGTTCCCTTCACTGCTACTAATCAAGATCGTAGCCTGGGTACAGTGACTCATGCCTGTAATCCCAGCATTTTGGGAGGCCAAGGCAGGAGGATGACTTGAGCCTGAGAGTATGAGACTAGCCTAGGCAACATGGTTAAAACCCCATCTCTACAATAAATACAAAAATCAGCTGGGTATGGTGGTGCATGCCTATAATCCCAGCTACTAGGGAAGGTGATGTGGGAGGATGGCTTGAGCTCAGGAGGTTGAGGCTGCAGTGAACTATTATAACTTGCCACTGCACTCCAGCCTGGGTGACAGTGGAAGACCCTGTCCAAAAAAAAAAAAAAAGTATTGTAGAGGAAAGAAGTTCTAGCTAATGCAGTAAGACAAGGAAAACAAAAAGGCATAGGAATGAAAAAGAAGAGGCATAATTTTCTTTTCTTTTTTTTTTTTTTTCTGAGACAGAGTCTTATTCTGTCAACCAAGCTGGAGTACAGTGGTGTGATCTTGGCTCACTGGAACCTCTGCCTCCCCAGTTCAAGTGATTCTTATGCTTCAGCTTCCCAAACAGTTGGGATTACAGACGTGCACCACCACGCTTGGCTAATTTTTGTATTTTTAGTAGAGATACGGTTTCACCATGTTGGCCAGGCTGTCTTGAACTCCTGGCCTCATGTGATTCACCTGCCCTCGTCTCCCAAAGTGCTGGGATTACAGGCGTGAGCCACCACATCTGGTCACAAAATTTTCAACATTCGACATGATAGGATTGTCTAAATAGAAAAATCCAAGCACACAATTAGACCTAATAATAGTTAGAGATACTAGTAGGTACACTTTCAACAGACTTACAGAAATCAAAACCTTTACTGTAAATCATTTAGTCTACATAATTGCTATAGTTTGGATGTAGTTTGTTCCTGCCAAAACTCATGTTGTAATTCGAGTTTTGATGTGGCAGTGTTGGGAGGTAGGGCCTAGCGGGAAGTGTTAAAGTCATAGGGGTGGATCCCTCATGGATAGATTAATGCTGTCTCTGTGGACTGGATTGGTTATCTGAGACCGGGTTGTTGCCCCTCACATTTGGTCTTTTTGTACATGCCCACTTCCTCTTCTGCTCTCTGCCATGAGTTGAAGCGCATGAGACTCTCAACAGATGGGCTACCAAATTCTGGATTGCCCAGCCCCCAGAATTATAAGCCAAAGAAACTTCTTTATAAATTACCCAGTCTCACATATGTTTTTCTTCTTCTTTTGGGCAACCCCCTGGATAAGAATAGGTTCAGAGAGACTTCCCCAGTCTCATGTGTTTTGTTATAAGAGCACAAAATGGACTAAAACAATAATTTTTAAAGGTCCCATTCAAAGTATCAAACAAAAATTGTAAGGTCCTGAGCTGGGTACAGTGGTGTATGCCTGTAACCTCAGCTACTTGGCAGGCGAATGGGGGAGGAACACTTGGCCCCAGGAGTCTGAGACCAGGCTGGGCAACATAGTGAGACCCATCTTAAAAAAATTATACAGTTCTTAAGTTTCAAAATATGTGTAAGAATGTTCTGGAAAAATGTATGAAACATTTCAAGGATCATAAAGATCTGAATAAAAGAAAACATAAACTAATATTATAGATGAAATAAGCCAATATTTTAAAGCTATCAAGTGGTCTAAATTCATCATACATTTAAGCCATTCCAAATAAAATCTCAGAGATAGCTTTGAACAGTGTCAGCTTAGCTGAGTAGGAATTTTGTTACCTAGACATCCCTTCATTGAATGGTTGTGGGTTAAGGTAAGCCATGAGAAAAAATTTTTGGGGAGATTGGAAGGTGGAGGTGAAATAGTAACCATTTTTATGCCCTGAAGGTCAGTATAGGGCCAGGCCCTGTTACAGCTCATGAAATAGCAGCTGGACCAGCTTTGTGTGGCAGCTCCATGAGGAAGGGTGCTGGCGTATCCTGCTGGTCATCACGAAGGTTGAGGATAGTGACAGACAGACATGGGTTTGTCCTTACAGGTTCCTAATTATTCGTGGTCTTTCCTATTCATCTTCTTTCCCTACTGCTGGCTCTGGTGACTTGAGGTCTGACACCAGACATGGAACCAATGACCTTGCATAAAATGTTTACCTTCCACAATTGTATGAGGTCTCAGCCCTATAATAAATCCCTTACCTATATCACTCGCAGTGGTTCTGTGTTTCTGATTAACCCCTAAACTAACACAATCCCAAACAGAAATTTCATTGAAATTCACAGGCTAAAACAAAAATTAATTTGGAAGATGAAGAAGCTAAGAATAAGCTAAGAAAATTTTGAAAAAAAAATTGAAGAAAATGGGAGGGGAAGGGGAGGAGTCTTGCTTTGGCAGATATCAAGACTCATTAAGTAGCTATTTAATCAAAAACAGTGTGATACTGGCAGAGTGATGAAGCAGAAAGACTAATAGAGAAGAATAGAGAGCCCACAAAGACTCCCAAACATACACGAAACATGACGTGTGATAAAAGAGACATTACAAATCAGGGAAAATGATGGCCTATTCCAATAAATGTTGCTGTGGCAACTGGATAGCTATATGAGAAAAAATTAAAATATGTCTATAATCTATCATACACAAAAATATATCTTAGAATAATTAAAGCTCTAATTACAAAAAGCAAAACTCTAAAATGAGTTATAGGAGACTATCATTCAGGATAGGGAAGAATTTCTATACAAAACACAAAAATTACAACTGTAAAGGAAGAGTTGATACACTTGACTATATTAAGAAATAAAACCCTTCTGAATGACAAAAGATACCCAACACAGTGTTAATATACAAATTACCTTTTGGGAGAATACTTTGCATTCTACACAATCAACAAAGGGTTAGCATCCAGAGTATGCAAAGAATATAAAGAACTCCTGTAAATAACTGAGAGACAACTTCCTAACCAAGAAAAAAAAAAAAAGGAAAAGTGAGAAAAGATTATGAACAGGCAATTCCCGGAAGAGGGTGATCTGAAGAAGAAAAAATATGTGAAGATGATCAGTCTTACCAGTAGTCATAGAAATGCAAACTAAAATAAAAATGAGATGTTATGTCACACTCATCAGATTAATGAAAATTAAAAGTCAACAATATTAGAGTGTAGAGAAAAAGTAAACCTCACGCATTGTTAGCATATTTTGGAAGAGCCATTATAGGGAAAATGTGGTAGTTTTTGTGGAAGGTAAATATATATGTACCCTATCACCAGGTATACACCCTAGAGAAATGAGGATTTCATTGCAGTATTGTAACAGCAAAAATGAAAACTGAAAGTCTGTCAAAAGAAGAATGAATAAATAATCAAGGGCTATTCGAAGAAAGAACATACCACAATTAAATGAATGCGCCAGGCATGGTGGCTCATGCCTATAATCCTAGCACTTTGGGAGGCCGAGGCAAGAGGGTCATCTGAGCCTGGGAGTTCAAGGATGCAATGAACTATGATTACACCACTGCACTGCAACCTGAGTGACAGATCGAGATCCTGTCTCTAAATAAATACCTACATGTAGCAGTATGGATAAATATTAAAAACAGAATGTTTGAATTTAAAAAAGCAAGTTTCAGGATCATATGTACTACCTTTTATGCAAATTTAAAAAATACCTCCAAATAATAGCAAATATTGTTTATACAGACACATATATATGTAGTAAAAATTTAAAAAGGGGTTTAAATGATAAACACAAATTTCATGACTGTGGCTACTTCTCAGGAAACAAGATCAGGGAAAAGTCCCATAAGGTTCAAGTGTAGATGTAACATTTAGAATAAAGATGCAAAAGTGATAGGGCAAAATATTAACATTTGTTAAATCTGTATGGTGGAAACTGGTTTATGTTACACCTTTTTGTAGGTTGACATTTTTTGTTATAAGACAAAAGAGAAAAACAAATATTAGTGATACTATGGACTGAATGTTTGTTCAGTCATCTCCACTATTGCCCCCAATTCCTATGTTGAAACCCTAATCCCCAGTGTGATGATATTTGGAGGTGGGGCTTCTGGAAGGTGATTAGGTCATGAGGGTGGAGCCCTCATAAATGGGATTAGTGCCTTGATAAGAAGAGACATGAGAGGAATGACCTCTCTCAGTCATGTGAGGGTATTGCTGTCTGCAAACCAGGACGAGGTTCTTCTCCACAAACAGAATTAGATGGTGGTGCCTTGATCTTGTACTTTTACCCTTCAGAACCATGAGCAATAAATTTCTATTTTTCAAGTCACCCAGTCTATGTTATGTCTTATAGTAGCCCAAGCTGCCTAGGACAAGTGGGCACCTGTGGCTTCCCCGCCAGCCTCAACTTCCTCCCAGAGACTCTGAGGCTCTCCAGAGAGCACAGGCACATTATCTGGTTTTACCACTCTGAGAGACTTGTTCTACGTGCCTGTTCTAAAAAACTTTCATTTGGAGTTGACATCGTAGGTTGAGCAAAATTGGGATCTGCTGAAGTTTCCAGTCCATTTGGTGGGGAAAAAACTCATGTATTTTGCCCACTGGGAATTTCCTGTCCTCCTCCAAGACTGGCCTAGGACAGGCTGTGGCTCTGTATTCCCTGTGGGCTTGGAAACCAGAATGTCAAGTACCTCGTGTGCAGCCACACTGCTGTGTGAGTTCAGTCTGCCAGGTCAGCCTGAACTCACCTGGGCCTGACAGCTATAGCTTTCTTGGTCCCAGCACTGCCTTGGTATAGTCAGTGCATGGGATGACATGACTTTTCTCTTCCTTGCAGCTGTCACCCATCACCCTTTACCTCTATTCTTACTGCCTCACTCAAAACAATCTGGAATTGAGAACTATTTCTTGTACTTACCATCTATCTTGAAAATAGATACGTTATTCTCCTTTCTCTTCCTTTTCTCTCTTTCTCTGTTTTTGCAATTGCTTCTCTGGTATTAGCCCTTGAGCTTGTTCAACTTGTGTGTCCACTTCTCTCTGCTCTGTCCCAGTGCTCCATTTTTTCAGATTCCTCTTTTTACTATACTGCTGTCTCTGTGGCTTCCCACTGCATGTAAGTGAAGATCTGTGAGAGCTTCCCATCCTGAAGACCAGTAGGAAAACTGGAGGGAACTCTGAGTATGAGCTTCACATGCATGGAGGTGGAAGAACGTGATTGCAAAACAGCCTTAGCATTGTAGGAGCTGCAATCCCAGGAGATGGTAGCCATTGAAATCTCGTATCACTCAGTGGAATTGTATTCAAGACTTTATTGAGCTTTCAATCCTACCTAAGGCATTCTATTGAATAGCACTGTTTCTGTTTGCTCATAAATTAGTGGGATTTGGGACAAGATGGTGTATGAAGCTAAAATAAAGGTTTTCTTAGGGGTGCGTGATGATTCCAGGAACGTTGTTTGGGTTACTTAAGCAAGGATCCTCAGCCAGCTCTTCGGTTTCCAGCCCCTAGAGTCCAGTATTCATAGTTGAACCAGCTTATGATTTTTTTTTCCCCATGGAGGCACCTCCCTTTTTGCAAAGTTTATAATAGGATTTTGGATTTACTGGAGACTAAGAATCTAATGACCTAAGAAAGTTGTATCTTGGTATTAGGCTGATTTTTATAAATTATAAATTAAAGTAGCCATACTGAGGTTAGCCATAGCCTAAGTTACATGAACAGGGGTTTAAGATGTCAGTGTTCTCATATTTCATATGACCATGCTGGATCTAAATGGAAATTTTGCTCAATGTGGCCACTTAAGGGAGAATATCACATCTGAGTTATTTAAAAAAGGCAGTTGTGTCTTCCCCTAACACTTTTATCCTTCCAGTGTTTCATAAGCATCTCTGTTGCCTGAAATGGAGGCAAACATTATCGCTGTCATGTCATGGATGCAGAGATGGTGCACAGACATTAATTGACTTTCACCTTGCAGGGCAGTGGCTGAGTCATTCAGGGTCACAGGTCTTTTTTTTTTTTTTTTTTTTTTTTTTTTTGCTGCTTATTCTATAGGACAGCATCACCGCATGGTCTTTGAGTTAAAACGTCTACTGCTGATGGAGGCAGTCTGTCGGTGACCTTGAGTAACTTTCACATTCTCTCTGGATGCCCGTTTTCTTGCTTTAAGTTTGGATAACAAACTCATACTTCTGATTTTATCCTTTTTAAAGAAAAATCAGAAATAATGGAACACCAGTGAATCTGAGGTCGGGGATTCCACATTATGTAGAAGCATATATCTCTAGGTCAGGAAGGACCCAAAAAGGGCAGCTGGTCTACTGGTCCTGAAATTTTGAGTCACAGAAGACTTAGTGAAGGAGTTAAAAAAAAAAATACACTTGCGGCCGGGCGTGGTGGCTCAAGCCTACAATCCCAGCACTTTGGGAGGCTGAGGTGGGCAGATCACGAGGTCAGGAGATCGAGACCATCCTGGCTAACACGGTGAAAACCTGTCTCTACTAAAAATACAAAAAATTAGCCAGGCATGGTGGCGGGCGCCTGTAGTCCCAGCTACTCAGGAGGCTGAGGCAGGAGAATGGCATGAACCCGGGAGGTGGTGCTTGCAGTGAGCCGAGATCACACCACAGCATTCCAGGCTGGGCGACAGAGCGAGACTCCATCTCAAAAAAACAAACAAACAAACAAAAAAAACTCTTGCTTGAGCTCCATCCCAGATCTACTGAAATGGAAAATACTAATATAGAGGGCCAGAATTCTGTAATTTTAAAAATCACTTTGTGTGGTCTGGTGCAGGTATAGAAACTGTGGCTTAAGTGGAAGCTTCCAAGTGCATGGGAGAGGGGACATCCTGTGGATTTGCTGAGGGGTCTGATGTGCAGTTTCAGTACACAGACCGTGGGACTAAAACTGCAACCTTCTTAAAGACAAGTGAGTCGATAAGAGATGGACTGGGCAGAGATGTTGGGAAACCCTGGACTTTGTTTTTGCCAGCGAGTCCCTGAGCTTAAGTGTGGAAGCTGGAAAGAATGCTGAATGGAATGAAGCTCAGTGCCAAATAGCTGGGTAACCTTGAGAAAGTCACCCCCCGTTTCTTGGTCTCAGTTTCCTCATCTGTAAAATGAGGGTATGGACTTGTTGATCTCTAAATTGCTTCTGTGATACTCGGTATTTATTAAATGTCCTTTTCAATGTGAAGATGGTATAATTTGAAAGCTGCTCATCATCTTAATTTTTTGAAATGCTTTCTATGGACCCAGTGCTTGTCCACCTGAACCTGTTTTCAGCCATGGGCCTCCCCAAGCTATGCCCAGCCACTGAGTCAGTGTGATTACCCATAGAACTCAAATCATTCCAAGATGATTCTCTGCATCTCAGGCTGGAAGAGCAACCTCTGAGAAGGTGAGGTTTGGAAGAAAAGGTGGTTTGGCTTGGAGGGAGTTAAGTATCCTACAAGACATCTCTGCTCTGGGTGAGGGTAATTCTATCTGCTGCCTGGTGCTTCAGAAGGTGACAGAAGAAGGCTCTAAGAACTGGCAAAGACAGAGCACTTTCCAGTTACCGTGCTCACCTTGCTGCTGGGTCATGGCCGCTGTTCACAGGAGAAGTGTGTAATTATAGTTGCTGGCACCAGTGTTGGCTGCTCAGGCCCAAGCCTGGCCAATGAGAAGAGGCTTAGCAAAGAAAGATGGCCTCTGCAGCATCGTCTTTGTAGGCCAGAAATGACCAGTATTCACCATAATTGGAAGGGAATTGAAAGGAAACAGTTTAGGTAAGAGAGCCCAAGGCTGAAGAGCCAAGTAATAGATTTTATTTTATTTATTTTTTGAGATGGAGTCTCTCTCTGTCACCCAGGCTGGAGTACAATGGCGTGATCTTGGCTCACTGCAACCTCCGCCTCCTGGGTTCAAGCCATTCTCCTGCCTCAGCCTCCCAAGTAGCTGGGATTACAGGCACACAACACCATGCCTGGCTAATTTTTGTATTTTTAGTAGAGACGGGGTTTCGCCATGTTGGCCAGGCTGGTCTTGAACTCCTGACCTCATGTGATTTGCCTGCCTCAGCCTTCCAGTGTTGGGATTACAGATGTGAGCCACTGCGCGCAGCCCAAGTAATAGATTTTTTTTTGGTTTTCTTTTGTTAGAGTTGATTAAATTCAGTGGAGGAAATATTTATTGAGCACCTAATATGCATCAGAAACTATGTAAGGCTTTAGAACTTCATAGAGAACAAGGTATGATCCATTTCTTTAGGGGACGATAATCTAGTAGAGAAGTTCTTCGTAAATAACAGACATAATATATTCATTATAGTCATTCTAGTGGTGACAGATAGCAAGGGAAGGAACTTCCAGCAGGAAAGGAAGGCAGATAAGGTGGCATTTGATGTGGCCTTAGCCTCACATTTGAGTAGAACTCTGCCAGGGGGAGAAGGGAATGTATGGGCCTTCCAGGCAGAGGAGACAAAATTAGCAAAGGCAAAAAGGTGCAGAAGAACATGATGTGTTTGGGAACCAGAAAGCAGGCTGGAGATGTGGGGATGATGAGCGCAGTCAGGGGAGAGGAAGATAGAAAGGCAGGGCTGTAGACCTTGCTAAGGAGCTGGGCTTAATTGCATGTATTTTGGTGTGAGTGTTAGGGGGCTAGTAAAGGGGGCTCTTTATTAAATAGTCATGTTTGTGTTTTTGAAATATTATCCTGGAAACCATATGGAGGGCAAATACGCAGAGGGCAAGAATAAAATCAGGACACATATTAGGAGATCAAGAAAGAGAGGCTAGAGGCTGGGCCATGGGATGGAACTGATGTCTGTCTGGATGTGGGCAGTGTGTGCAGTGTGTGTGAGAGGAAGGTTTTTTTTTTTTTTTTCCCAAGATATAGGGTCTTGTCTCACTCTGGTGTCTTGGCTGGAGTGCAGTGGCACAATCATAGCTCACTGCAGTCTCGACCTTCTAGGCTCAGAGGATCCTCCTGCTTCGGCCTCCCATGTAGCTGGGATTATAGACATGCACCAACATGCCTGGCTAATTTTTTTTATTTCATTTCATTTTTGTAAAGATGGGGTCTTGCTTTGTTGCTCAGGCTGGTCTTCAACTATTGGACTCAAGTGATCCTCCTGCCTCAGCCTCCCAAAGAGCTGGGATTACAGGCATGAGCCACTGCATTTGGCCAAGGATTATTCTTGGTTTTCTGCCTCAGATAAACTAGAGAAATACCAGTTTCTCCCTTTCCCCGCCCTCCCCCAAGTCCGCCTCAGTTGGACTGAGGTGGAATCCAGCTATCTGCTTTTATAACACCCAAATACATTTAGAGTAGAGTTTATTATTTTTTTTCACAGAATAGTTTTTATTTTTTTAAAAATTTATTTTTATTGAAGTAAAATACACATATATGATTTACCATCTTTACCATTTTTAAGTGTTCAGTTTAGTGGTAATAAATACATTTATATTGCAAAAGTTTATTTTTAAGTATTTCTTATGGAGGCCTCTAAGAACTCACTGTATCTTAAAGTGTGTTCCTAAACCACCTGCTCAGAAGTTATCTCACATGACTTTTATTATTATTATTACTTTTTGCAAATCCCAAGAACCTGCGAATTATATGACTTTTATAAAAGCAGATAGCTGCATCCCACCCCAGCCCAACTGAGGCAGACTTGGGGGAGGTGAAGGAAAGGGGGAAAGTGGTATTTTTGGAACTTACTAAGGCAGAAAACCAAGAATGATCCTTGGCCAGACACGGAGGCTCATGCTTGTAATCCCAGCACTTTAGGAGACTGAGGCAGGAGGATCACTTGAGCCCAGGAGTTCGAGAGCAGCCTGGGCAACACAGTGAGACCTTGACTCTATACAACAAACAAAAAACACCCCAGTTCAGAAATGGGGAACATCACCAGCATCCCCTGGAAGCCCCATCTATGTCTCTTGTTGGTCACTACCTTTTTTCCTGTCCCCTGGCCTGCCCCCAGCAGAACCACAATGAGGATTTTTTATTTTTTATTTTGTTTTGAGATGGAGTCTCACTCTGTTGCCCAGGCTGGAGTGCAGTGACACGATCTTAGCTCACTGCAACCTCTGCCTCCCAGGTTCAAGTGATTCTCCTGCCTCAGCCTCCAGAGTAGCTGGGACTACAGACATGTGCCACCACGCCCGGCTAATTTTTGTATTTTTAGTGGAGATGGGGTTTCACCATATTGGTCAGGCTGATATGGAACTCCTGACCTCAGGTGATTCACCCGCCTCAGCCTCCTACAGTGCTGGGATTACAGGCATGAGCCACCGTGCCTGGCCCACAGTGAGGATTAAAAAAAAAAATTGAAAATGTAGGCTGGCATGGCACGCCTGTAATCCCAGCTACTCGGGAGGCTGAGGCAGGAGAATTGCTTGAACCTGGAAGGCGGAGGTTGCAGTGCTGCTAAGATCATGCCATTGCACTCCAGCCTGGATGACAGAGTGAGACCCTGTCTCAATAATAATAATAATAAAATAAAGTTAAAAAATTGCAAATGTATATGAAATAAAATCAAATCTTCCTTTATTTCTCTCTTTCCAATTTAGATTATTTTTTCCTCACCTTCCTAATATGGTCAAGTGTAGGAATCCTAAAACAGTCTTTATTTCAATATACACAGTAGTAACAAAATGTGATTTGGGCTGTCCTTAGCTTTAATTGTGTCTATATAAACTAAGCTGTGGTGGTTTATCAATCACTTCTGTAGCTTTTTGTAGCTTTTACAGCTGTGAGCTTAGAGAAAGTCCATTTATCTTAAGAGAAGTATTTGCTTTTTTGTAAACAGTGGTGCGTATATCCTGAACCATTTAATGGGAGGAAGGAGAAGAGAAAAGGCTAAATTGTAGAGCCTGGAAGTTTAATGTTGACTTATTTAGGTTCTGGGAGTCATTAGAGGCTTGAAGAGCTGTTTAGCAGGCCCTCTTTTGGAAGCTGCTGTTTTTAACAGGCTGTTAGAGTTGCGGGCTCTGGCCTTACCTTATACATGCAACACTTTCATTTGTGGAAGAAAGGAGTTGTGTGGAGAGAGGGCCTGCTTGGATGAAAGACTGGATGACCCAGATGTCTGGTCAGGTAGAGTGAGCGGTGTTAGGAGAGTTTGGTTGGACGATGTTAGGTGTTAGGAAGATTTGGAAAGGCTGGAGAATTGGCAGGAAGGCAGCAGCCTCCCACCTCTGCCATCCTGAAGGCACGCTGGGCCCCACCTCTCCCAGTTCATGTCAAGGTTTACAAGGGTCAGTGTGTTTGTGCTGTACTTGGCATTTTCACAAATTACTCTGTAGTTGTTTTTATTATTTTTATTCCAACTGTTGCTCCGGGGACTTTCTGGCAGCCAGGACTTCCAGGCCAGCTTGGAATCCCTTGCTAATTGACTCAAGCCATGAAAAGGTGCCATCAAGGCTGCTTTGAACTCTTGCCTGTTCTAGCGCTGGACAAATCCCAGGCATGCACCATAGGAAAAGCAATAATGAGACTCACACCTCCAAGTTTACAGTGCAAAACTTTGCCTGTTCAGGTGTTAAGCGCAGGGGTGAGGTGCAAGCCCAGTGGAACCAGGTTGGAAGAGTAAACAGACCTTGAGAATGTGCTTCCTCCTGGGTCCTAAGCAAGGAAGCCAGACTAGGGAGGAGGGTTCACAGCATTTCCATCAAAGCCTGCAGTTAATAGCGTCAAGTTGACCCAAATAAATTCACAGATATCTGTTATTCCCTGTGTTTTCACTTCACACCAGTTCTCCACAGATGCGACTCAGCTTGGGGGAAACTTGCCAAGAGGTCTCAGTGAGATTTTTCCTGTGAAGCTATTAGTTTTACGCCACTTCATAGAGAGAAGAATATAAAAGTAACCTTAAGAAGGTCTAGGGTGAAGGGGTACCATTATCAGGATGTAACTGATGTGTATTGCCACTGAAACATTTTCTGGTTTCATATTATTTAAAAGCTATGGCAAAGGCACCGTCAACGGAACAAAATACTTATTGACTTTTGTGAAACATCCCCTGATAGTAGAGTTTTAAAAAAGTGTTATAGCAACTGTTGTGTGAAATTGACTCTTATCTCCTCCAGTATAAGGTATAATCAGACTATCTTTCATTGATAAATTTTAATACTTTAACATGGACCTAAATCCAAGCATACCCCTTAAAGTTATATCTTAAAGAAGGGTGTCTAGGCCAGGCATGTTGGCTCATGCCTATAATCCCAGTGTGTTGGGAGGCTGAGGAGAGAGGATTGCATGATGCCGTGAGTTCAAGACCAGCCTGGCTAACATGGTGAGACCCTTTCTCAGCAAAAAAAGAAATTTAAAATAAAAAGAAGGTGGTCTATTAGGTTTTTATTAGTTTAGCAGGAGAGATGAGTCAGTTGAAATCAGAAAACAGTGTGTTCACAAGGCTTGGAAAGATTGTCTCAAAATGTAATCCTGGTACAGGGTGTGGTGGGTGGGGAGCCATGGCAGATGGAAGCAAAAGCCATAAATTAAAACAGATTTAAGAGACTTATCAACTAAATGCAAGTGTAGACCTTGTTTGGATCCTGATTTGAACAAGCCAACTATAAAACAAACACAACATGAGATACTTAGGTGTGAACCCAAAAGTATCTGAGACAGGTCTCAGTTGATTTACAAAGTTTATTTTGCCAAAATTAAGGGCACGCCCATGACACAGCCTCAGGAAGTCCTGAGGACATGTGCCCATGGTGGTCGGGGTACAGCTAGCTTTTATGCATTTAGGGAAACACGATACATCCATCAATACCTGTGAAGATTTACATTGGTTTGATCTGGAAGGGCAGGACAGCTCAAAGTAGGGGGCCTTCCAGGTCATAAGTAGATTTTATTTATTTTTGAGATGGAGTCTCGCTCTGTTGCCTAGGCTGGAGTGCAGTGGTACAATCTTGGCTTACTGCAACCTATGCCTCCTGAGTTCAAGGAATCCTCCCACCTCAGCCTCCTGAGTAGCTAGGATCACAGGCATGTGCCACCACACCCGGCTGATTTTTTTTTTTTTAATATTTTTAGTAGAGATGGGGTTTCACCATGTTGGCCAAGCTGGTCTTGAACTCCTGACCTCAAGTGATCTGCCCACTTGGGGCTCCAAAGTGCTGGGATTACAGGTGTGAGCCACCATGCCCAGCCTAGATTTTAGAATTTTCTAATTGGCAATTGGTTGAAAGAGTTATTGTCAATAGATAGGAATATCTGGGTTATGATAAAGGGTTGTGGAAACCAAGGTTTTATCATGCTGCTGAAGCCTCCAAGTAGCAGGCTTCAGAGAGAATAGATTGTAAATGTTTCTTTTCAGACTTAAGCTCTGTTTTGATGTTAATGATGGAGGATATAATGGGACATGTTTGACCCCCTCTTCCATTATGGCCTGAACTAGTTTTTTGGGTTAACTTTGAAATGCCTTTGGCTGGGAGGAGGGGTCCATTTGGATGGTTGGGGGGGCCTTAGAATTTTATTTTTGGTTTACATAAGGAAATAAGTACAGGGATATTTGATGAAATTAAGGGATTTAAAAAATTTGGATAGTAGTAATGTTAAAAGATTATTTTTAAGAGATACGTATTACAGATGAGGTATTTGTAGATGAAATGACGTGATATCTGTGATATCTGAAATTAAAAAAATATATCCCAAAGTTTCAAGGTAGGGGTTAAATGTATGGGGGCAGGAAGGGAGGTTAGAGATGAAATAAAATTGGCCTTGATGATTGTTGAAGATGAGCAATAGATACAGGAGTGATGGGTTCATGATATTACTCTTTCTATTTCTCTTTATTTGAGACAGGGTCTCGCCGTGTTGCCCAAGGTGGAGTGCAGTGGCGTGATCATGGCTCACTGCAACCACGACCTCTCTGGCTCAAGCAGTCCTTCCACCTCAGCCTGCTGAGTAGCTGGAACCACAGTTGTGTGTCACCATTCTGGCGAATTTTTTTCTTTTTTCCAGAGATGGGGTCTCAACCATGTTGCCCAGGCTGGTCTTGAACTCCTGGGCTCAAAGGATCCTCCCACCTCAGTCTCCCAAAGTGCTGGGATTACAGACGTGAGTCACTGTGCCCAGCTCTCTCTACTTCTCTGTGTTGAAAATTTTTATTATGCAAATTTAAAAAGGAAGGACCTAAATGGATGCTTACCTCTGTTAACTTTCTTTGGTAGGGGAGGGAAAAAGTAATAAGGGTTTCCTCTCAAGTTGGGCATATAATTTTTACCTTTATTAAATTCATAATCGGACAAATCTCATTAGGCTCTTTGTAATCCTATGATTCTTTGAGTATACAATTCTGTTAAGTTGTGATCAGTTGACATACTGGTCATAATAATCATTAGCACTAGTCCCACACTGGGGTTAGAGGGGCAGAAAAGGAAGGGACTATTTGCTGACTTTTATGCCAAGGGAGGAACATGGTCTGAATATTTGTAATGGGGCGGGGATTGTGGGACAACAGAGTGTTATACTTCTGGGCACTTACATAAATGTGGGTGAGAGAATAGTTATGGTTTGTGTGGTAAAGCTCATTTTAAAGAAACTCTACCTCTGTATTAGTCTGTTCTCAAACTGCTATAAATAAATACTTGAGACTGGGTAATTTATAAAGAAATGAGGTTTAATTGGCTCATGGCTCTGCAGGCTGTACAGGAAGCATAGCAGCATCAGCTTCTGGGGAGGCCTCAGGGAGCTTACAGTCATGGCAGAAGGCAGCCAGGCTGTGCTCCATCCACCTTGGGCACATGTCAGCACCTCCTGAGGCTGTGTCACCGACATGCATCCTTAACTTTGGCAAAATATACTTCCTAAATTGACTGAGATCTGTCTCAGATTTTGGGGGTTCACAGTACCTCATGGGACTTAGAGGCTGTTGGATCAATAAAATGAGGTGCCATTTCTTTTATCTGACACTGTGAGCTTTGTGATCCATTAGCGCCTTCTGTCCATGGCAATTTAACTTCATGGAAATTACATATTTGTATACAAATTTCTTCTATTATACTGTGAACCCTTTGAGGTTAAGATTTTGTTTGATCTTAAAAATAAAATTGGCAGTTGGTGGCTTCCAATATGCTAGGCCCTCTGCCATGTCCTTATTAAGAAAGCTAAGATTTCTGTTTCCTTGGAGCTTCCGGTCTAGTCGGGAGACAAATCTTAAGCAAACTCACAAACAGGATTACAAGTTGTAGTAAGTGCCATGAAGCCAATAAAGGAAGAGAATATCAGGAAAAACTAGATGAATTAATAAAGGAAGGCCTTTACTAATTCTGTCTAAGAAAAGAAATTTGAACTGAGACTTGGAGGAAGAGGGTCAAGCCAGCATGTGAAGAGCTGGGCAAGGGTGATCCAGGCCCAGGGAATGGGATGTGCAAAGGCCCTGAGGTGGCAGAGGGCTGAGAATATTCAAAGAATTGAAAGGAGGCAGGCAGGATGTGGTGGCTTATGCCTGTAATCCCAGCACTTTGGGAGGCTAAGGCGGGAGGACTGCTTGAGCTCAGGAGTTCAAGACCAGCCTGGGCAACATGGTGAAACCCCATCTCTACATACAAAGAATACAAAAACTACACAGGCATGGTGGTGCTCATCTGGTAATCCCAGCTACTCAGGAGGCTGAAGTGGGAGGATTCATTGAGCTCAAGAGGTTGAGGCTGCAGTGAGCTGTGGTCATGCCATTGCACTCCAGCCTGGGTGCCAGAGTGAGAACCTGACTTGGGGGAAAAAAAAATAAAGGAGGCAATATGAAACCAGTGTTGTGGGAAAGGGAATTAAAATGTAGGAGTAGCATATAGGACCTTCTGGAGAAAAGTTAAGTGTTTTGAATTTTATCCTAAAGGCAATAATATGCCGTGGTAAGGATGGTAGAAAGAGACATTGGCTTTGTCTGGTTTCCCCTGGAAGAAGACCAAGTCAAAGTAGTCTGTTTGGGAGGTGGTGTAAGGAAGCATCAATAGAAGAGTGGGAAACTGAGGCAGGAGAGGGAAGAAATCCAACAAAGGATGAGTTATAAATCAAGTTATCACTGTGGATAACTGAAGCTTAATCCCTCTGAAGAGTTCTGGGAACCACTTTAGAATGTACCCCTCAAGTTATCCCACTTGAGTTTGAGAGAACTGGGATATGTATTTATTTGTTATTTATTTATTATTTATTTTTTTGAGACGCAGTTTCACTCTGCCGCCCAGGCTGGAGTGCAGTGGCACAATCTCGGCTCACTGCAACCTCTGCCTACCGGGTTCAAGTGATTCTTGTGCCTCAACCTCCTGAGTATCTGGGGTTACAGGCGCATGCCACTATGCCCAGCTAAATTTTGTATTTTTAGTAGAAATGGGGTTTTGCCATGTTGGCCAGGCTGGTCTTGAATTCCTGACCTCAAGTGATCTGCCCACCTTGGCCTCCCACAGTGCTGGGATTACAGGCATGAGCGACTGCACCCGGCTGATATTTATTTATTTATTTATTTATTTTGTTTATTTTAGAGATAGGGTCTGGCTCTGTTGCCCAGCCTACAGTGCAGTGGCATGATCATAGCTAACCTCAGCCTGGAACTCCTGGGCTCAAGCGATCCTTCCATCTCAGCCTCCCCAATAGCTGGGACCCCAGATGGGCACCACACCTTGCTAATTTTGTGTGTATATATATATATATATATATATATATATGTGTGTGTGTGTGTGTGTATATGTGTGTGTATATATATATGTGCGTGTGTGTGTGTGTGTGTATATATATATATATATATATTTTTTTTTTTTTTTTTTTTTTTTTTTTTTTTTTTGCAGAGACAGAGTCTTGCTGTGTTTTCCAGGCAAATTTCAAACTCCTGGCCTGAAGTGGTCCTCCCATCTCAGCCTCCCAAAGCGTTGGGATTACAGGTGTGAGCCACTGCAACTGGCCCAGAACTGGAGTATTTATACACCCAATCCTGTAAGCCATTGCTTGAGGTCTGGGAGACAAGAAAATGTCTTGTGAGGCACAAGCAGGTATTTCTAGCCTGCTGCAAGGGGTAGACAAAACAGCTTCTTTACCAGAGAAAATCTTCTGGCAAAGAAATATGGGTTCTGCTGTCGGAAGTCAGGTTAGTGAGTACTGAAGTGGTAAAGGTAAAGATATGTGGCAGATAGTGACTGCTGCAAACATGACCCAGTTTAGAAGTTAATACTTCTCTTTCATTCTTTCAGTGAATAAACCAGCAGACCAATTCAGAGCCCATTTCAGTGGTGCAGGTGAGAGGTGTTAGAGACCTGGACAAGGTGGTGGCAGATGAAGATGGAGAGAAGAGGTGGGTCTCAGATTTATGTTAGACATGGTATCCATATCTTGGTGATGGTTTGAACATGGGGCATGAGGTAAAAGGGAATTTCTGGCCTAAATATTTGGGTGGGCCATGGTGCCATTTACTGAAATCAGATAACTGGGAGAAGGATGAGTTTGGGTCACATATTATAAATGACATCAGTTGGCACAGTTGTGTGACTTTCTCCAGCAATGCTGAGCTGGCATAGGGGAAGTGGGTCTCAGATTTCATTCATAAGCAAAGGTTTGCTGTGTGTGTGCAATAGGGGAGAGAGGGCAAGGGAGTTGAAGACATTTACAAGGGAATGGTTAGCACAATGTTGGACTAAGGACTCTAAATTCATAGACAGGAAAATGAAAGCAGGAATGAGCAGTTGGTCACAGAAAAGATGGTGGGATGTAAGCTGGAGGAATAGGAGTGTGTGGTCTTATTCACCTTGGTAGACATAGCTCCTGGCACATAGTAAAAGCTCAATGAATATTTGCAATGAAGCTGAAGTAATTATATATATTTTATTTTTTTAGAGATAGGATCTCGCTATGTTGCCCAGGCTGACCTCCTGCCTCATGCATCCCTCACCAAGCTTAACAGGTAATTACTGACCTGAGGGTGGGTGATAGATTGAATCACACATTTCTCCAGTTCTCTAGTTCTTGGATTCAGCAGTCTTTTTGAGTGAGTCCTTTGTATTTCTCTCTTCAATTTCTTCCCCTTAAGGGTCAGCACACAAGAAATTCTCTGCTTCCAGTCTCCAGTGGGGTATAAATAA
The DNA here is from genome assembly GCF_000001405.40 of Homo sapiens. Lineage (NCBI taxonomy): Eukaryota > Metazoa > Chordata > Mammalia > Primates > Hominidae > Homo > Homo sapiens. The sequence continues at coordinate 70,463,034 of NC_000009.12, forward strand.
GAGTTTCTGATGCCCACTCCTGAAGTTACTCTGTGCTTGTGGGAAGGTGGATCTACTATGGACTGATCTCTGGATATTTCATTCATTCATTTAGCCATCCATTCATTCATTTATCTGTTCATTCAATAAGTCCTCACTAATAACCTACTACGTGCCTACCCTCAGGCTTTTGAGGTTTAGAGATAACAAAATGAATGGATGAGTAGATGGCCAAAAAAGTTTTGGTTATTAGGGAGCTACAAATAGCACCAGAGTTTCTGAATGTGAACTTTTTGGCTCTCCGCCCTTCATACACAGTTATATTGAGACTAAAGGAGGGAAAAAGCTTTTATTCTTTTGCCTGCTGTGTTGTTTTACAATTTTATAAAAATGTACAATGCTCTGAAGAAGCTCAGGCAGAAATAAATCTTTCTATGGTATCTAAAAATGTACAGATCTATCTCTCTAAGAGCCATGGTGGGGTCAGCAGTTGCGCCCCCGTAAAGAGTGGGTTGCAGAGTTTCACCCCTTTAACGTTTTTAAAGCCACTGAGGTGTTATTTTTTAGAATGGTTTTACCTATTTAAGGGTAATGCTCATCAACCCTTCTTCAGAATTTGTGCAATCTTCCATGAGAGACACGTCATTTAATTTCTAGAATCAGCCCTGTATATTGTTTTCCTAAACTGTCTGCCACCCCCAGGCAATCTGTGAAGAAGAAATCTCTCCTCAAAGTAAAGGAAACCAGGCTTTCAGGTACTTTACTGTTGCAGGCCGGAGGGGGCAAGTCTCAGAGGGATTCACTGAGTACCCAGCATGGTGGGGTGCATAATAGATGCTCAGCAGATTCTTGTTTGACTTACGGATTGACAAAAATTTCACGAGGGCTGCAATGTGTCCCCAGTGCCTAGTATAGGGCCTCCTACTTTGTAGGTGCTCCATGAAGATGTTTATAGAATGAATGCACAAGTGAAGATTACAGGGGAAGACTGAGCTTTGGAAATCCTGCAGTGTGCTCTAGAGTTGACTCATTTGATTCTTTGGAGGAAAAAACAAACTTTTTTTCCTCTCTCTACTCTCACTCAACACTGCACACTTCCATGGGGAGAAGTGTGTGTGGGGGTGGGGTGAAGAAATCTCTACATACCAAGCAACACTCCAGCACAGCCCTGCCGGGCATCCTTTACTTCAGTTCAATTAGCCACAGATGAAGGGCTCAGTCCCACAAGACTGCTTCCCACCTCACATGCCAATCTGAAATGGTCACCTATACTTCTGGTTTTGTTTGTTTGTTTGTTTTTGTTTTTGGGACAAGGTCTCATTCTGTAGCCCAGACTGGAGTACAGTGGTGCAATCATGGCTTGCTGTAGCCTTGAACTCCCGGGCTCAAGCAATCCTCCGACATCAGCCCCCCAAGTAGCTGGGACTATAGGCATATGCCACCATGCCCAGCTAATTTTTGTAGTTTTAGTAGAGATGGGGTTTTGCCATGTTGCCCAGGCTGGTCTTGAACTCCTGGGCTCAAGTGATCCTCCCGCCTTGGCCTCCCAAAGGGCTGAGATTACAGGCATGAGCCACCAGGCCTGGCCGTCGCCTATACTTCGGAACTGCTGACTGTAAATCATGGTTCTCCTTATCCCTCCTTAGGTTTGATTAATTTGCTAGGATGGCTTACAAAACTGAGGAAAACTCGTTTATCACTTTATTATAAAGGATATTACAGGGTGAGCGAGGTGGTTCACACCTGTAATCCCAGCACTTTGGGAGGCCAAGGCAGGCGGATCACCTGAGGTCAGGAGTTCAAGACCTGCCTGGCTAACATGGTGAAACCCCATCTTTACTAAAAATACAAACAAAAATTAGCCAAGCATGGTGGTGGGTGCCTGTAATCCCAGCCACTCGGGAAGCTGAGGCAGGAGAATTGCTTGAACCCAGGAGGTGGAGGTTGCAGCGGCCAGCCGAGATCATGCCACTGCACTCCAGCCTGGATGGAAGAGTCGCATAGATATGTAAGAAGGAGCATGGAGATTCCATGCCCTCAGGCACCACCCTCCAACCACCTCCACAAGCTCCACAATCCTAAAGCTTTCAAATCTTATTGTACAACAGGTTTTATAGAACTTTACCTCCAGCTTCTTCTCCTTTCTTTCCCAGAGATCTGGATGGAGCTGCAAGTTCCAGCCCTTAGATCACTTGGTCTTTCTGGTGACAGCCCCCATCCTGAGGCTCTCCAGGGGCCCTACCCTAAGTCACCTCATTAGCATAAACTCAGGTGTGATCCAAAGGGGCTTATTATGAATAGCAAAATACACTCCTATAACTCAGGAAATTATTCCAAGGGTTTCAGGAGCACCAAATATATTTGATATTATACCAGAATTCCCCTCTGGCTCTGAACAGTAATATGAAATGATTTTAGATTATTTTTGCTTGTGTTCTTCATTCTTTTGGGAAGAAAGGGAAGAGGTTAGGAGGCAGTCCTCCTCAGCCAGTACACCAATCTGACCTGCTCCTCCTTCTGAGATGGGAAAAGTTCCCTTGTCCCCCTCGCAGAGCATGCCATGGGGCTGTGACTCGCTTCTTCAGTGCCCCCCGCTGCTCAAACCTCTAGGGGGAGCAGGCAGATGAGCAGGTTGTGGGGCTCTGACCCCACGGCAGCGTCTGGGGGTGAATGTTTACAGCTCCTGAAGCCCCAGTGGGGCATGTGTTACAGTGTGCTCTTTTAGTTTTGCTATCTGTAGGCGGCTTGTGTTAATCAGCTCAATTAGACACTCTGCCTTATTGCAAGGACAGAGGGCTTTTCGTCTTGGGGTTCTTGCCTTAGTGTATCGGAAAAATTGCATCACATGTGGGCACAGTTAAGTGTTTTGAATTTTATCCTACATACAAAAATACATGGAGAATGAGTGCAGGGTTTTATTGAATGGTGGAAGTAGCTCTCAGCAGATGGATGGGGAGCCAGAAGGGGGACAGAGTGGGAAGGTGGTTTTCCCTGGAGTCTGTTGCTCAGTAGCCAGACTCAACTCCAACCACCCCGGCCAAATTCCTCTGGCTTCCTTGTTCCACCGGTGGATGGCCTGCCAGGGTCTGCTGGAGCCTGCCAGTATGTTCTGCCCGTGTGCTCCTCTTGACGTCCAGCTGCTTGTGTCTCTACCCACTAGGGTTTCGGGGGTTTTTATAGGCACAGAATGGGGGCATGGCGGGCCAGGGTCATCTTGGAAAATGCAACATTTGGGTGTGAAAACAGGAGTGCCTGTCCTCACCTAGGTCCGTGGGCACAGACCCGAGGGTGGCTCCCTCGCCAGGGACCCCACCCTTCTCCTCCCAGCACTTCCCTGCCCCTGCTCCTGTATCACTTCTTCATTCTCTACCTTGTGGAATGTGCCGCTTCAACCATCACTGAAGTAAAAATCTCCGGTTTAGTTGTTACTCCTTTCCTTCATGCAAGAGTGCCATGACCCAAACTACAGAGGGGCAGCTGTAAGGAGAGTGAGTACCAGAAAGTCAGGAGCACGGTTCGTGGGAAGAGGAAGAAGATCGGGGAAAAAGAAGAGCATCGTTTTATTTTTTTCTTTCTTTCTTTTTTTTTTTGAGCCAGAGTCTCGCTCTGTCACCCAGGCTGGAGAGCAGTGGTGTGATCTCTGCTCACTGCAACCACTACCTCCCAGGTTCAAGTGATTCTGGCACCTCAGCCTCCTGAGTAGCTGGGATTACAGGAGTGCACCATGACGCCAGGCTAATTTTTGTATTTCTATTAGAGACAGAGTTTTACCATGTTTGGCTATGCTGGTCTTGAACTCCTGATCTGAAGTGATCTGCCCACCTTAGCCTCCCAAAGTGTTGAGATTACGGGCAAGATGGAGTCTTGCCACATTGCCCAGGCTGGTCTTGAACTCCTGGATGCAAGCCATCCTCCCACCTCAGACTCCCAAAGTGCTGGGATTCCAGGCATGAGCCACTGTGCCCAGTAAAGAACATTATTTCCTGAGCCTTTCAGACAACCTCCGCTGTTACATGCAGCTTGGTTTGTCTTGACTCATGTTGGGGGAGGGCTTGCTTACCACTCATGATGTTGCTTCCATGTAGCAGGGCCTTCTATTACAGTAATATTCTGGACTTTCCGTATCCTTTGACTCACCCCTCCCAGGAGAAGATGGGTGACTTAATAGAATGATGAGTTTTGTAGAGGGAAGTGAGTTGTGTGGCTCAATTCCTCCCTCTCATGGGCCTGGCCAGCCAGCAGAGAGCCCCTATCCTGCTCTGCTCCAGTACCACTTACCTTTGCCTCTGCTGGGGGCCTGCAGGCCTCCAGAGCTGCCTGTGACTGGGTGGGTGAGTCTGTCTGATTCTGGGATTTAGTATTAGAAAGCTCAATCTCGCTGCACACCTACGGCCTATCTCCCCACCCAGCCTTTATGAGTAATACGGGTGGTGTTTCATCTCCATCTGCCTGACTCTTGTGACTGTCTCAATTGGTTCCAAGCTTGGGTGGAAAAGGGACTTCTTCAAATCTCAACAGCTGAAGTCTAGTACTTGAGTAGGAGTCGGGGCTGATCTGGTTGAACAGGCCAGGAAGAAACAGACTGCATTTCCTTGGCTCAGCCGTTACACAGTTTGCACTGGACAAATCCCATTTTCTTCTTGTGCCTGCCTTGAGGACTGCCATGCACTCCCTGACAGTTGCTGTTCCCTTCCCTCCATGGGAGGTTAGCCTTTGCTGCTGCTGTTTGGCTGCAGCAGCTGCAGACCTTTCTGCCAGCATCTTCTGCTTGACTAACACCATAGATGGGGAAGGAGACTTCAGGAACAAAGAGCTAGAAGAGCGGGCAGAGGCTGGGCATGGTGGCTCACACCTATAATCCGAGCACTTAAGAAACACAATTTAAGAATCTTAAGTCAGATCTTTCTATCACAGGGTTGCGGTGAACACAAAACCTTCTCCATACATGTCCCTGCCTAACCACAATTTAAGCACAGTGTTTTGTAAATAATGGAGGCCAAGGCAGGAGGATTGTTTGAGACCTGAAGTTCAAGACCAGCCTGGGCAACATAGTGTGACCCCTGTCTCTACAAAAAGTACAAAAATTAGCTGGGCGTGTTGGTGCACACTTATAGTCCCAGCTACTCAGGAAGCTGAATGAGGCAGGAGGATTGCTTGAGCCCAGGAGGTCGAGGCTGCTGTGAGCTATGATCATGCCACTGCACTCCAGCCTGGGCAATACAGCAAGACTGTCTCAAAAAAAAAAAATTCAATGTCAAAAGAGACAAGGATGAGACTGTTTTCACATTTCTACTGTCCTCACGGTTAGTTCTTTGAATCAAATCCCTCTTCCAACTTGGGATCTAATTTCCTTGGAAAGAGAGTATATGGAAAGCAAGAAGTTAAGGACCAGGGTCCTTTTTCTGACCACATTGCTGGCTGTGTGGCCTGGAGCACCACCCTCCTTCCTCTGCCTGAAATTCACTGCATATTAAGTACAGGTTGGGGGTGTGCTACATCGGTTCCTCTTAGTTTTGTAGAAGTACACTCTCACTAGAGTGCACAATCTATATTGAGTATGCACTGTGTCCTTGGCACTCTATTGGGTGCTATGAGGGACACAGGAGTGAGCCCTTCACAATTGCCTGGCATCTCTGGTAAGGGATGTCAGCTTCAAGCTTCGGAGAAGCTGCTTCCTAAGAATGGGACAGATAAAGTACTATGGAATTTTGATAAACCAGAACTGATCTCTAAAACTTTCTATTTAAGTCATCAAGCATTTACCAGACAAATTTCTTCAGGGGAGGGCCCCATACGACTCTTGTCTGGTTCTCACCTTGCCTATCCCAGGGAAGTTAGTGGATATGTATTGACTGTGTTGGCACCCATTATTTACAAAACACTGTGCTTAAATTGTGGTTAGGCAGGGACATGTATGGAGAAGGTTTTGTGCTCACCACAACCCTGTGATAGAAAGATCTGACTTAAGATTCTTAAATTGTGTTTCTTAAGTATTTACCTTGGTCCTGTTTTCTTTTCTTCTCTTCTCTAATGACTTCTTTTCTTTTTTCTTTTCTTTCTTTCTCTTTCTTTCCTCTTTTCTTTTCTTTCTTTCTTTCTTTCTTTCTTGCTGTCTCTCTCTCTCTCTTTCTTTCCTTTTTCTGTTTTCTCCTCATGTGAGCTTTTTCTCTCCCTCCAAAACCAGTCAGATGGCTACATCTAATGGGCCTGTGGTTCTCTTGCTAGAAACACAGCACTTTGTAAAACTTGTTTTGTATTAGATTCCCTTAAATGTCTACATGTGGCACATGAGCAGGAGGGCAGTGACATCCACAGAAGGCCTCAAGGCTGGAAAGGATGGTCTTCAAGTGTGAAGTGCCAAGTGAACAGCAGGGAGCTCTGCCCCAACTCTTGCTATGCATGGATGGGGACTCCTGAGGGGAAGGCAAAATGGCTCTTGGTCTCTGGTGCATGCATTTGGGTCTGAGCAGCACTTATTCCTACTATTGTTATTAATAATTTTTTTTTTGAGACAGAGTTTTCCTCTTTTTGCCCAGGCTGGAGTGCAATGGTGCGATCTCAGCTCACTGCAACCTCCACCTCCTCAGTTCAAGCCATTCTCCTCCCTTAGACTCCAGAGTAGCTGGGATTACAGGTGCATGCCACCATGTCCGGCTATTTTTTTTTTTTTAAATTTTAGTAGAGATGGGGTTTCACCCTGTTGGCCAGGGTGGTCTTGAACTCCTGACCTCAAGTGATCCACCCACCTCGGCCTCCCAAAGTGCTGGGATTACAGATGTAAGCCACCGTGCCTGGCCTGTTTGTTTTTTGCCTTGTTTTGAGAACAGGGTCTTATTCTGTTATTCTTAGGCTGTGTGCATTGGCACCATCATAGCTCACTGCAGCCTCGAACTCCTGGGCTCAAGTGATCCTCCTGCCCCAGCTGCTGGAACCACAGGCACACACCACACGCCCAGCTTGTTATTGATGTTTCTGATAATCTAGGCAGCTAAAATTTGTATCACCCTTAAGAACTTACAGACAGGACTGTAAGATGTGAGAAGGTATTAATATGGTCACTTACAGAGGCTCTGAGAGTCTAGGCCTTTTGACCTGGCCTGTTGACTCCAATCTCAGTGTTATTCCACAGCCCCAGAGTTTCAAGATAGCAAGAAGCTTCTCCTCCCTTCCCTCCATCCTCATAAGTCATCTGCCTTGGAGGACCTAAAGCCTTGGATTTTCCAGACTATTCCACAGCTTCTTGGAGATAAGCTCATGAGAATTGCCTTGAAACACACACACGGTGATTTTTGTGCTAGATACTTACTTTTTGGTATTTCCTGCTGGAGCTGGGCTTGGGTGGAGTTCCCTTTAGAAGCGCCAGAGTTTTCCTGTTTGTGCAGTTAATTATCAAAACCTTAAATAAACTCTGTTATGTGTTCAGAATAATAACAACTCAACAACTATTCATTAAGCACCTACTATGAGCCTGGCACTGTTCTAGCAGCTGGGGATACAACAGTGACCTCAGCCGACCCTGCTTTCAGAGAGCTCTCAGTCTGGTCTGGGACACAGATTAGTAAACAGGCATTTGCCTTCCACGTGGTAAATGCCATGAAGGACAAAGTCCAGGGTGTTGGGGACGGGAGGTGTGGTACAAATAGCAGGCAGCCAACCCAATCTCAGAAGTGACAGGGCTTGAAGGGGGGAGAGGGGTGTGTGGTGTGCCAGGAGAGACTTCCCAGAGCCAGAGACAGCTAAACTGCATGCTAGATATAAGAAACTATTTCTTGTAGAATCTGTTCTCAATTATCTGCAAGTAGATTATTCCGGTAACTTGCAAGAAAACTTTTTTCAAGTCTCTTTACAGTGGCTTGAGCATCTCAACTTCCTCTATTTATGCTGCACGTTAACGCAGAGGCATCCAATCTAATGTAGGTGGAGGCACAAACTGGAGAGCCTCCTTGCAGGAAGGTTTGGGATTAGGCGAATCACTGCATTTCCTGCTTGGAAAAAGGAGATGGAAGAAGTGAAGTTAGGCAAGATAAGCAAAGTGCTTCCTGGATACAAGTAATTCAGGTCTTTATAGGAAACTTTATTATTTCATTCGAAGTGTCTTTTTGGGATGTCAAGCAGGTACATCTCTGTTCAAATTACATAAAGCAACAAAACACATTCCAGGGCCACCAGATGTAAATGACTTGTGCATTATTCTCTTTTTAGATTTTCCTTGCCATTGTTTCCCTCCACTAGTACACATGATAAAGACCAACTTCTTGCCAAAAGAAAAAACGGGGTGGGGTTGGGGAACAACACAAAGGCTTCTGTGTGTCTGGTCTTTGCTGTTTCTTATGGTTAGTCTTGGATCTACTTTTGACCTCTTGGTCAGGCAATAAAATGCCTATTTGTTTAATTTTAAAATCAACTTTATTGAGGTATAATTTACATACAATAAGTGCACCCATTTCAAGCATATAGTTCTATGAATGTTGAACAAGTATACACCACTGTAAACAACTCCATAACCAAGACATTTATTATCTTTTTCTTTCTTCCTTCCTTCCTTCTTTTCTTTCTTTCTTTCTTTCTTTCTTTTCTTTCCTTCCTTCCTTCTTCCTTCCTTCCTTCCTCTTTCTTTCTTTTCTTTTCTTTCTTTCTTTCTTTCTTTCTTTCTTTCTTTCTTTCTTTCTTTCTTTCTTTCTTTCTTTCTTTCTTTCTTTCTTTTTCTTTCTCTCTTTCTTTCTTTCTCTCATTCTTTCTCTCGTTCTGTATCCCAGGCTGGAGTGCAATGGCGCCATCTCAGCTCACTGCAACCTCCGCTTCCTGGGTTCAAGCGATTCTCCTGCCTCAGCCTCTTGAGTAGCTGGGATTATAGGCATGCACCACCACACCTGGCTAATTTTTGTATTTTTAGTAGAGAGGGGGTTTCACCATGTTGGTGAGGCTGGTCTTGAACTCCTGACCTCATGTTCTGCCTGCCTTGGCCTCCCAAAGTGTTGGGATTACAGGCGTGAGCCACCACGCCCAGCCGATGCTGACATTTTCAACTTCCAATAGTTCTTTGGTACCTTTCGCAGTTGCCCCCATGCCAGCCCCAGGTACCACTGACTTGCTTTCTGTCACCATAGATTAATTTTGCCTGTTCTAGAATTTCCAATAAATGGAATCATACCATGAGTATTCTTTTGTGTCCAGCTCTTTTGTTTTTGAGATTCATCCTTCTTGTTGTAGGTATCAGAGTTCATTCCTTTTTATTTAAAATGCAGATTTTTGAAGTAGCAAACCAATTGCTCAGCAAGATGACCAGACCTAGGAGGTCCCTCTGGTCTAAAAATTCTATCAACTTGCACAGGAAATGAAGGCCTGAGAATTACATCAGGTTAGTACAGATCACATTGAAGAAGCAGCCGAGCACATGAATTTCTGAGCTCCAGGAGCCCAGGAGGACAGGGAGAGATGAAGCCCCGGTGAATGATAGAATATATTACAGAGGATGACAGGGCTATTTGTTCAGTTCCGTTATGAGCTCAGCAAAATGTGACAATCCTGGGAAATATAAATATATATTGCTATATTTATATGTGTGTTTGTCTCGGGAGGCCTGGCGGGGAGTGGTGGGTGGAAGAGTGGGTTTCCTGGAGGATTTGAGTAGGCAGAGATAACTGGGCAGAGCAGAGTCTGTGTCAGGCTGCATCGATACATATTCAATAAATAAACATTACAATGAGAGCTAATACTGCTTGAGCACTTATTATGAGTCAGGCACTGTGCTCTGTTCCTTACATGCATTGTTTCATTACATCTGTACCTCCCTATGTACCCTATGTAACCAGCGTCTCAGTGCCCTGCCCACACCCCCTTGTGTGCTCTTGCATAGTCCTGTACGCCCTCATTACTTTGTGCTGTGCACCCAGCAGCCAGCATCGTGGCTCTGTGTTGGAGGATGGTCCTTGAGCTACTAGAATTGCTTTGCTTCTCAGTATAGAGAGCAGAAGTGCCTGGGACTTCACCTGTGACTACCAGGTACTGTGGGACGAATGCTCCCAGCTCCCCATGTGACCTCTCCTGTCTCTGGCACACCTCTGCGTGGACTTTATTTGATTGTCAATGTTGCTTGGACGCCTCTCTTCCCTTCCTAGTCCCACTCTCTACCTCCTCTACCAGTTTCCTTTAAGGACACTTTTTGTTTTTTTCTTTGTTACCCAGACGAGAGTGCAGTGGTGCCATCTTGGCTCACTGCAACTTCCGCTTCCCAGGTTCATGTGGGAACACTTCTTTTTTTTGTTTGTTTTTGTTTTTGAGACAGAATCTCGCTCTGTCGCCCAGGCTGGAGTGCAATGGCACAATCTCAGCTCACAGCAACCTCTGCCTCCCAGGTTCAAGCCATTCTCCTGCCTCAGCCTCCCAAGTAGCTGGGATTACAGGCGCACGCCTCCACACCCAACTAGTTTTTGTATTTTTAGTAGAGATGGGGTTTCACCATGTTGGCCAGGTTGGTCTCAAACTCCTGACCTCATGATCTGCCTGCCTTGGCCTCCCAAAGTGCTGGGATTACATGCGTGAGTCACTGCGCCTGGCCCTAGGGCACACTTTTTTATAAATCACCTCATCATGAGTCCTTATCTCAGGACCTACTTCTAGGGACTCCACACTTGGGCAAGGTACTGTTAGTACAGTCATTTTGCAAATGAGGAAACTAAGGCTGTTACACACACACGCATCTCCATAACTCCTGCTCAGCCTCCAGATGAGCTTTCTCAGGCACCCTTCCCCAACCCATTTGTCTAGGTAATGTTCCTTGCTTATGTTCTACTTTTTTCTCTTTTTCTATTTTATTATTATTTTTGAGACAGGGTCTTACTCTGTCACCCAGGCTGGAGGGCAGTAGCATTACTATAACTCAGCTATAATGCAGCTTTTTTTTTTTTTTTTTTTTTGAGATGGGGTCTTGCTCTGTTGCCCAGGCTGGAATGCAGTGGCATGATCTTGGCTCACTGCAACCTCCGCCTTCTGGGTTAAAGCGATTCCCCTGCCTCAGCCTCCCAAGTAGCTGGGATTACAAGTGCCTGCCATCATACATGGCAAATTTTTGTATTTTTATTAGAGATGGAGTTTCACCATGTTGGCCAGGCTGGTCTCAAACTCCTGACCTCAGGTGATCTGCCCGCCTTGGCCTCCCAAAGTGCTGGAATTACAGGCGTGAGCCACTGTGCCTGGCCTATCATGCAGCTTTGAACTCCTGCTCTCAATCCTCCTGCCTCAGCCTTTTAAGTAGCTGGGACTATAGGCATGTGCCATCATGCTTGGCTAATTAAAAAAAATTTTTTTTTTGTAGAGACAGAGTCTTCCTTTGTTGCCCAGGCTGATCTTAAATTCCTGGGCTCAAGTGACCCTCTCTCCTTGCCCTCCTGAATTGCTGAGATTACAGGCATAAGCCAGGAAACCCAGCTACTCCGCTTATGTTCTCAGATTCTTCCTTGTTTCCCTTTATCTTGGTGCTAGATTTACAATGATCTGGGTGATTATCCCATCAATGACCATCTCCCCTACTAGAGTGCTGGCTCTGGGAAGCCAGGATCCATGTCTTTTGCTCTTAGCTGTATCTCTAGGACCCTGGCATAGTTTCTAGAACATAGTAATTGCTTAGTAAATATTGACTGACTGAATGAATGATCTGAAGTTTCTCCAGTTTCCTCACAGGCGCTCACTGGTCTCCTGGATAAATACTTTTCAGCCTTTGCTGAGAAATGGGCTGGGAATGCATAATATAAAACCCCTGAGAGGGACACAAGGTCTCCCTCCTACTGCCAGTCTTCTGGGGGTGTTTAGAGAGATGCAATGTCCAGGGCAATGTGACAGTATTTTACTCCAGAGGACCAAAATTTAGCAACTAGAAGCTGATTCTAGAGGGTGGGCCTTGAAAGTTATGTAGAATTTGAATGGATGATTAGGAGGAAATATGAAAAACATTTTAATGAAATACTATGTCATTTAAATACACACACATTCTGAATTAAATACACATTCTTGGATCCCTGTTCTTCTCAACAAAAGTACACTGAGTCTCCAGTTCTCATTAGGAAGCTGATAAATATCTATTTCCTTCTATTCCTGCCACAGTAACTCCCCAGCTATATAAAATTTACAAACTGCTTTGGAAGCATTTGTGGAAAAAAGTGCCAGAGCTCTGTATGTGATTATTGAAATAAATGCTGATTGAGAGATTTCCCAGGTGGATACTTAAAACAGACATGGGCACATATGTACACTCACACCCCACACACAGGATACTTTAGGCTGTGATCAATGGAGATAAATTTTCCCACCTGACAGTTGACTGTAAATCAATCAGTGGTTTTAATAGTCACCAGATTTCTGCTCCTGTTTGCTGCTGTCTCAGGCAATCATTCACCCGCTGGGACACAGGACCTCAAGGATCTTGGCTTTTTGTCATCACTGCACATGGAGACATGGTGCTTAGCAGCAAGGTAAATATTGTCATACTGCGTATGTGAGAGGCAAGAATAAGTAAGTCAGGACATCCTTAGAAAAGTTTATCTCTGGATCCCCACTTTCCTTACCAATAGACTAATAGGAAGTCATGAATTTCCCAGGTTTTTACCAAATCAAAAGATTTTCATGACACTGTATAAGCTGGAAAGTAGTTGAGGGTCAGTAAATATCGAATGAATAGTTTCGAAGGTGAACATGCACTCCTGATTTTTGGGTTAGATTCTTGAACTTGCCCCTCCTGACTTTATTATCCTGTCCATCAAGGTTTGCTTGGAGTTACTTGAACAAGCCAGGCTGTTCCACACCCCAGTACCTTTGCATATGCTGCTCTTGGTGCCTGGATTGGAATGCTTTCCATTAATCCAAGTGGGCTGAGGACATCTGATCTTTCGACACCTGGCACCAGGATTGTCTTTCATCTCCTTTATGAAGTTTTTATTGACTGACTCTCCCACACCCAGAATGAGCCACTCTATCCTGTCCAAATTTGATTGCACATATCTATTTAATAAGATGTGACTGGGACCTTTGGGAAGTCCCTGCTCACACCCTGTACCCACGTGGAAGCCATAATCAATGCTTCACTGCAGCCCACTTGCCCCCTTGCTACCTCTCAAGCCACCCCGAAAGCATTTCAGCTATGTGGATTTGACTGAAATGCTCACAAGGGAGAAAAGTGGAGGGCTTACACTGAACACCATATGGCCAAACTTTATACAAATCCCCGTTAAAAATCTTCCTTCATTCCCAAAGCCTTTTCTCCCACTGCCAGCTGCCTTATCTCCCCTATCCTTTCCAATCCTCCTCTCTCCACTCTCCTCCGGCTGCACTGGCTCCAGCCTCCTTCCACCCCTGGATTCTTCACCACTACCTCAATCCCATTTAGCAATTTAGTGCACTCACCCTTTCTCCTTCATTATCTGGCATGCTTGAAGCTTTAGGTTATGTTCATCAGATCTCTTTGAGATCAATCCCTCTTAAAAGACAAGGGTATTGTAAATAGGCAACACATATATTCTCCTCCTGCTAGAGACTGGAGCAACTTGAGGGCAAGAATCAAGCCTCATATACCTTTGCATCTCTAATGCAAAATATTTAAAATGTTTGTGAAATGAAGAAAGAAATAAAAGAATGTAGCCACCTATTAGAATCCATAAAGTTCTACTCTAATCATGGTTTTCTCCCGTTTGAACATTTTCTACGTCTTCTCAATTAATGCCTTGGCCTCAACTGCCATTTCTCCTTGACTCCAGCACTCTGCTCAGCAATGATGGACCTTCTTTCCCTTAAGCCCACACTGCATATTCTTTCCTTCAGGTGTTCCTTTGGGTTGTCCCTTCATGCCTGGAGTAATCTATGTCATTTATGAGGGTGATTGGTGGTGGGTTACCATCACCCTATTGAAATTGAAGGTGGATGTAACTCGTCTGGTCTTGCAGGTCCAGCCAAATCCTTCCCACTCTTCAAGACTCAACATAGGCCTTACCCCTCAGGATACTTCATTGAGGTCTCTAGCCCAGGCATGAATCTCTGTTGAGTCCTTGGGATATATATAAGCCTTGAAAGCACCCACTCTAAGGGCACTTAGTTATTTGGCTTGCTCTGTTGTGGAATGTGGGGGATGAGGCTTTGAAGCCATTCCTCTTCTCAGACTATGGTCATTATTAGGGCTATTCACCAAATTTTTCAAGGTTTCCTCCACTTCCAGACTTGTGGTAGGTTTGTATATAACTTGGCATTGTGTGTGGCCGATTTGCTTTGGCCAATGAAATATGAGCAGAATTGGCATGAGTCCCTTTGGAAAAGAAGCTTACAGGGGAAGAAGTGTTAAGAGCTGGTGAGCGATCGACCACACTTTCCTTCCCCTGGCATGGTGATTAGCAATGTTTGAGATATGTGGCAGATTGCCCATTAGACTGGGTCCTCGGGTGAGGACCCAGCTGATTCACAATGGGCATCTGGTGAAGGCAGTAAACATACCTTTTTTTCGTTAGGCCATTCAGATACAGAGGTTATTTGTTACTGCAGCACAACCTATCCTATTCAGACAGACTATAATTTCCTTGAGGGCAGGAGACATGCTTAACTCACCTTTCTATCCCCTATAGAACATAGTAGAAGATCTTGTGGATGTTCAATAACTATTGCTGATTATGTATACTGAGATAGGGTAAACTACATGAGACTGGAGAGTGGGACTTGGTCTCAGAACTTCAACTTGAGATCTCAGTCTCTAAAAAATCAAGATAAATATACAAGATGATTCTACCTGTATTCTAATAAGAGTCTCTGGAGCACAATTCTGAAAAACATTTTCTTTTGAAAAAACTTTTTTAAAAATGAAAGAAGATTCTTGCATACAGGGAGGCAGAATAGTGTAATCAAAGGAATCTGGGCTTTCAACCTTGGATAGACTTGGGTTTAAGTGCCAGCTCTGCCATGTCCATGGCTGCATGATCTCGGACAAGTTATTTAAGCTCTTTGAGTCTTGGTTTCTTATCTATAACAGGGATGATATCAACACCTACTCTACAGGATTACTGTGGGGTTGAAATGAGAGAATGTATGTAAAGTACTTGATACATTATGTGTGATCAACAAATGTCATTCTGTTAGGTCTTTGCTCCCACCAGGTGTGTGTGGGTTGGTGCAAACTCTTGCTTAATTCTCTGAGAACTCCCCTTCATTTACTCCTTCTGAGATCTTGGTTACATGCCCAGTCCCTGGATTTATTTAGCTTGGTCCAGGTCAGATCCTTAAGGTTTTGCATTTACTGCCCCAGGCACACTCTGGCCTGAGAAATTCCATCTACGACTGGCTGGAGTTGGCACTAGCCCTTGGCAAATAACTTCAATTGGGAGAGAAGTGTTTTTGAGACAGGCTCTTTGCTGCCAAAATTTTAAATAGGGCCTTCTGTGAGGGAGGTCTGGTCAGGGAAGTGAAGGGAGGTGATCTCCCCAGGGAAGAAAAAACTTAAGGCCAGGCATGGTGGCTCAGGCCTGTAATCCCAGCACTTTGGGAGGCCAAGGTAGAAAGAGCCCAGGAACTCCTCAAGACCAGGAGTTTGCTTGAGCTCAGGAGTTCGAGGCTAGCCTGGGTAACGTGGCAAAACCCCCGTCTCTACAAAAAACTAAAAAATTAGCTGAGCATAGTGGCGTGCACCTGTGGTTCTAGCTACTTGGGAGGCTGAGGTGGGAGGATTGCTTGAGCCCAGGAGGTTGAGGCTGCAGCAAGTCATGATCACTCCACTGCCCTCCAGCCTGGGTGACAGAGTGAGACCCTGTCTGGAAAAAAAAAAAAAAAAAGAATTTAAGATATCCCAGTGACCAGTTCCAAGAAAGCCCCACCTGGGCCTGAGCACTGGCTCTAATGACAGGCGATTGATTACTCTTTGAACTCTGGGATCTGTCAGTGATGGTGGCAGGGGAGTCTGCGAAATTATCCTCAGTGACTGACTCCTTGGGCCACAGGCTGGGGCATGGTGTGGTGGTCCAAGGGCTTGTGTTCTACTGGACTCTTGGACCTGTGAACTTGTGTTTAGGGGTGGAAGTATTGTCCCTGACTAAGTCCTTGAGGCCAGCTCCCTCCTCCTCTCCCATGTAGCTACAGCTGTGGTGTGGCATGGCCAACCTCCCCAAAGGTGCTTGTGTAACTTGTTTTTCAAAGTCTTGGCAGGAGCTCTGGTCCTGAAGTGAGAAAGGGAAAGGGTGTTTACATTCTGGAAGAACAGTTCTGAGAAGTGTCTCACATCAGGGCTGTCCCTGAACAATCCTTGTTCCCCAGTATCTCTGGAAGCTTCTTTTCCTATGGGATGGCTGGTCACAATCATAGAGATGATCTTGGACCTAGAGGAAACAAGCTTGAACATGACAGAAGGTAGGCAGTGAGGAAGCGCTGGTCTGCCACCCAGGGTTTGCTGCCCTGTGTAAACTGCCCTCCCTGGAAAGGTGAGGAAGCTCTCCAGGACAAGACTGTTGTTGCCCCAGTGCCTCCTGCCGTGCCTGGAATAGAGCACAGGGCTACAAACAGGTGCTCCATAGACATTCACTAAGTAAATAAATTGTGAAAATACGTGGGCAAGAAAACATTTCAGAGGTCACATTGGTGCAAATTCTTAATTGACACCAGGTTAACAGCTTTCTCTGAATAGTACTTACATTAATAATAACAATGGTTACTATTTATTAAATACCTAGTGTCTGCCAAGCAAAGGGAGATATTATTTCCTTAAATCCCACAATAGTTCTACTAATAGGTAGACTCTCCCCAGTTAATAGCTGACAGCGCAGAGACTCATGGGCACAAATCTGAGAAACTTGCCTGAGGTTCACCCAACAAATTAGGATTCAAAGCCACTGCCTAGGAGGCCCTGATTATCCTCTTTCTGTTTCTCTGTGAGGCCCCTCTGTGCCCTGCTCACCTCCTGCTGGTCTCTGCTCCTGCCACAGCAGCGGGGAAACAGGAACCTTTAAAGAAGGCTGAGGTGCAGTTCCATCCCTCCTGGGGCGGGCAGTTGTGCATTCTTGCCATTTTTTTCCTCTTGCAAATAGGCTTGAAGTCAACGTAGAAAGGGCAATGCAAAAGCAGCCCCGTTCCAGATGTCTGCTTTGTCATACTTTAAAACACCCACCCATATTCAGGCCTGTCCATCCTTCATTCTGGCAGCCCTCCCCTCCCGCCTTGCCACCTGTCTCCATACACAGCTTTCCCTTTTCCTGTCCTTCCTCTTCTGATGGGTGTGAGGGCCAGATTTCACTTCACTAGAACAACCTTGCTACTAGTATTATTCTAGGGACAGGCCCTGGCACAAAATAAACACTCGATAAGTATGTGTTGAATTGCACTTTAAATTCTAGACAAAGGAGGAAAAAGCTTTGGATCCAGAAGAAAATAGAAAAGCTGGGAGTGGGGGTTAGGGTAACAATGAACTTGATCCTCTATCCCCTCTTTCCTCCCTCACTGCCTCCCTCCCTAAGCCCGGGCAGCAATGTACTTAGTATTACTGCTGTCATCTGATTACAGTAACATCCAAACAGATTGAAAAGCCCCAATCAATGCCAGAGCTGAAGTGCACACGCAGGGGGTTGTTCCCTTGGAAATGTTGCAGCTGTAATTACTCTCCAAAGAGAAAAATCTAAACAACTTTCTTGACCCTCTGGGGAGAGGAAGTAACAATTGAACTACAAGGGGCAGAAAGTCATTTCTGACGTACCGTGTGCGTGTGTGTGTGTGTATGTGTGGGTCCCCACCTTCGCAGTGTACTGTCCAGAGATCGTCTTTGACAGCCCTGCATTCAAACGCCGGGCTGTGGGTCGGCGGCGTGGTGCCTGCTGCTGCCGCCGCGGCAGCTGAGATCATGCTGTTGATCTTGTTTTACACAGAGCAGCCCAGCCTGTTGTGCCAGTACAGAATGTTCTCTTCTGTGAACTGAGTTTGAACTTTTCCAACCCACTTTGTTTGAGGAACCACACAGACAAAGAGGGAAAAGACAGGGAAGATAACCCCCAAATCGTTGAAATCGTGGTGATCTCTCGGATTTTGGCCTAGACCATTTGCTTTTTCGCTACTCAAAATTGACCATCCCAAGCATTACACTTCCTGAAAGAGCAAAGCGCCTGTGATGTCCGTTTTCTAAGACAGGACTTGGCATCAACTTTGGAAATTAACGAGTCTGTCACTGTCTCTCTTCAATTTCTTTTTTTCTTCTTAGGTGTTCAGGGAGTAACGGTAATAAAAGTTATTTTCCTTTAAAGGAAAGGTAAGGCCCCTTGTGCTGGTGACTTCTCTCTCAGTTGTTCAAGCTATTACAATATTCCAAATAGTGTTCCCAGTTTGCTGTTATAACTGGAAATAATTGATTGTAAGGATTTTGGGTCACTGGCCTCCATATAAATGACCAATGAGAAAAGCTGTTAATGCTTGGTAAAGTAAGGTGGTTGGAAATACCTTTTCAAAAACCATCCTCATATAGCAAGACCCCATCTCAAGCAACAACAAACAAACAAAACCCACAACTTTCAAGTTAGATGAGGTCCACAGGAAAAAACAACCAAAAAAACCAAAGCCATCTTCACCTAGTCATAGGGTTGAGTCTCCAGTTGTTTAGGGGGTTGCTTGGACGATCTGAGTGGGAGACCTTTATAGCATAGACAGAATGGTGCAATGCAGTGATTTTCCAATGTACTATTATTAGTTTTTAATGATAGTGGATTCCTTTCTTTGGAGTAAAATTCACCAAACACTCACTGGTGAAGCAGGAAGAGCACAACTTTGAAGTGTGAGCTGTGGATCTGAAGTGTGAGGTGTGGGTTTGAGTCTCCTTCTACTTAGGGGTGCTCCTGTGATACAGGGAAAGTCACATCTTCCGAGCTTGATTGGTGAAAGGAGCATAAGGCTTGTCTTGTATACTTGCAGAGTCATCCGTAAGTGTCCAGTGTTATGCTGTTGCACCAATGAGAGATTTTTCTCCTAAATTCTCAGTTCTACCACCTGCTTCATAGTTTGGGGCTGCTGTCTTATGGTTTTTGCTGACTGCTGGTAATAAGGAAATCTCTAGAAAGGAGTCCTTACTCTGAGATGGGGCTAGTTCCCAGAGATTCCCTGTGACTTTTTTCTTTTTCTTTTTTTTTTTTTGGGATGGAGTCTCACTCTGTCGCCCAGGCTGGAGTGCAGTGGCACGATCTTGGCTCACTGCAAGCTTCGCCTCCCAGGTTCGCACCATTCTCCTGCCTCAGCCTCCCGAGTAGCTGGGACTACAGGCGCCCACCACCATGCCTGGCTAATTTTTTGTATTTTTAGTAGAGGGTTTCACTGTGTTAGCCAGGATGGTCTCGATCTCCTGACCTCGTGATCCACCTGCCTCAGCCTCCCCCTGTGACTTTTGTTGTTGAAAAGTCACGTGTCAACATGCCATCAGAATATTAAATAGTTCATTCATTCTATAAATGCCCCCCTGAATGCTTGCTATGTTTAAGTTGGTGACTGGAATCTAGGGGTTGAGAGATGAGTAAGATATGTTGACTGCCTTCAAAGACTTTATTGTCCAGTGGGAGAGGCAGAAATACATACTCACACACATGATCCATAACATAGTATTTAAAATGCAAATGACATCTGGGCATGGTGGCTCACATCTGTAATCCCAGCACTTTAGGAGGCTGAGATGGGAGAATCACTTGAGCCTAGGAGTTCCAGACCAGCCTGGGGCAACATAGTGAGACCCCCATCTCTACAAAAAATAAAAAATATAATATTTATAATACAAAGGAGGTTGATACATGCTCAGTAGAGATACACATAATAAACTCTGATGGTAGAGGAACAGGATGAGGATTCTGATACGAAGTTGAGGCAAGAGTAAGCTAACAGTAAAGAAAGGAATTATAGTCTTTGTCGTTAATAGAATTGCATGGTATATTTGGGTAATGATAAGTAGTTCTTGTGGCTGAATGGTTGGTAGAGTTATGTGGGAAGAAGCAAAAAAAAAAAAATAGATTGAGCCTAGATCAGGGATACCCACGTCCCCCTGTTGTGCCCCTTGCTAACCTTTCTTCCTGAATTTGAATGAAGCCTCAGAATTCTTCTCAACATAGTTCTCAATGAATCAGTTGGGATTGGCACTTGGGATGGAATCATTTGTCATTCCTGACTTGGGAGTTAAATCCCATGCTTACATATTTTATTTATTTTGGTTATTCTTGGGAGTTATTGCATGTTATTAAGACCAGAATGATATGAGAGAATGACACGATTCAGTCTGTTTTGGTGAGGTAGCTGATGGCCATGGGAAGGATCCATGGGAAAGGTGAGAGGCTGGAAACAGGGAGACCACTAAGAAGATATACAAATCATCTGAAATAGTACGAGTGGGAGGGAAAAGTAGACTGGACAGATGAGGCACTGGGACAGATAAATGACTCAACTCAGCAATGACAGAGGGAGAAAGAAAACTTGACCATAACTGAATTTTCTCACCTGGGTGACTGGATATGGTTTGGATATCCAAACCGTATCTGCCCAAATCTCATGTCGAAATGTAATCCCCAGTGTTGGAGGTGGGTCCTGGTGGGAGGCAATTGGATCATGGGGTCGGATTTCTCAGGAATGGTTTAGTACGATCCTCTTGGTACGGTCTTCACAATAATGAGTGAGTCCTCACGAGATCTGGTCATTTAAAAGTGTGTGGCACCTCTTCCCTCTCTCTGGCACCCGCTCTGGCCGTGTGATGTGCCTGCTTCCCTTTTGCCTTCCACCATGATTGTTTAAGCTTCCTGAGGCTTTCCCAGAAGCCGAGCAGATGCCAGCATCATGTTTCCTGTACAGCCTGAAGAACTGTGAGCCAGTTAAACCTTTTATCTTTATAAATTGCCCAGTCTCAGGTATTTCTTTATAGCAGTGCAAGAACAGCCTAATACAGTGACTGCTAGGAGAGAGGAGCCAAGAGAAGGAATACAGGACCAGGGTCTTTTACTTCTCTTTTTATAAAGGGAAAATAATGAGTTGGGTTTCAGACAGGTTGAATTTGAGGGGTCTATGGGACATCCATGGGGAGAATTCTAGCCATCATTTGGAAATACATATCTGGAGTTAAAAGCCAAAGAGGTAGTTCAGGATTCAGTCACACAGAGGAACCAATGGAAGCCTTGGGAGTAAATGCTATCACCTAGGATGAGAGCCACACAGGGCATTTATAGGCCTGAAAAAGGACAGCCAGGTTAGACCTTGAGAGGTGCCTAATGAACACCAGAGGAAGAGAATCTGAAAACAATTCCTAACAATGTGGAGTGTCGTTAGTTAAATCCAGACCTCTACTTCTGTGTCTGATTCTTCTTTAACATAGAGCAATGACTCACCTCAATGTGGCCTGTTGGTGTTTGAGAATGAACAACACAGGTAGCTTTCTCCTGTACATCATTTATGGGAGTGTTTCTCAAGATCTCCTGATAGTTGACCATGACTCACAGTGAGAAATATACTTTATTTTGGGACCAACAACATACATGTCTATATAATTATTTAAAGCAAAGGGCTTCATGAAACAATATCTACCTGTATCTTCTGAAATTAATGCAGATATGTTCTGTTTTATTTTATTAAAAAAATGCTAGTCGGGTCCCACTAAGTTGGTATCACAACCACTAATGTGTTTCAAACCCGTAGTTTGAAAGACACTGGGTTGAGGGACTGTGGTTTCTGGAAGTCCACTCTCCCTCTAGTGGTCGATATCTTTCAGGACAGACTCAGCTCAGCCTGAGGATCAGTGGAGAGGACTTAACCCCATCTCCAAAGGCCTCCCTTATGTGTTGGGATTTTTAGCTTTGGGAGGAAGTTTAGGTGAGTCCTACCAACAGGTTTACTTGTGATGTTCCCAGATGCAAATAATAATAATAGACTTTTATTGAGTCAGGCCCATTATATACATTATTAACACAATTAGTTTTAATACTAAGCCTCTGAGGGAAGTTCAATTATACTTTCTTTTTGCGGATGAGAAATAGCAAGGCTAAGAGAAAGAACTTGCCCACGATCACACAGCCAGTAAACGGTGATGCTGACATTCAAACTCAATCAGTTGGTTTGCAGAATCCAGTGCTTAATGCTATTCAGAAAACGTTCTGAAGAGTTGGACAGTGAGCTGTATCTTCCTTGGTTCACCCATGCTTCTGTGCCATGCCTTGCTAAGAGACTTCTGTGTCATTTAGCAAGGCGTAGTCTTTGCACCGTATGCTTTAGACCCTCTCTATGTGTAGCTTCCTCAAGTTTGAAGTTTCTTGGATAATCAAATATCTGACATGCTATCATGTCAGGAGCCAGGACAGGCAGGAGAGAGAAAGAGTAATGGGCAGGCAGGGGCTGCTGAAAGGGCCTCTGAAGCTGGGCTGGAAAAGGCAGTCTGAAGGGATGGAGTTTAGACCCTCATTATCTCCACCTGGCAGCAGCTTCCCCACTGACACCCTGCCTCCGTGCTCACCCCTAAGAGTCCAGCCCCCTCCGTGTCTCCGCCAGGCTTATCTGTGCAAAGCAGCACTGTCATCATCACTCTCCTACTTCATGCTTCCTGCTGACACTGCAGCCTCATCTTGTCCCAAACTGAACTCTTCTCTCTTCCTTCAGTGCCAGCTTTTCCTTTCTGCCCCCTCCCAGCATCTACAGGATACAGTTCTGGGTCCTCAGATGGCCACCCCAGACTCATGGTGGGCCCTCCTACCTTCCTCCACTCCTCTCCCATTATTTGCCCACGTGAAGCCCAGCCTGGCAAGTTTTCTCTCTGTCCCTGGATTCATGGTACTTGTCTGATCTCAGTGCTATGCCCACATTGTGACTTTTCATGGAACGCATTCCCCTCCCCTTTTCTCCCCATCCTTCAAGACCCAGTTCAGGCCTTACCTCTTCCCTATGGCATCCCCTCATTCCTTCCTTTATTTTTGCATCTTTGCTTTTATAGTTTACATTGATCATATCACCAAATACTGTGGAATATTTAAATAGTTCATGTTTTATGCTCTCAACTAGATTCATTCATTGATTCATTTTAAAACTATTTATTCAATTGCCTATTAAGTTTTGGGCACAGGAAATTTAAGGAGAGTGAGGGTAAGAATAGGTGTCATAACTCCAGGATCCACAAAGTGGGCCAGCACCGTCAAGGCAGTGGAGAGCTGTTGTTTTTAACCCTTTATTTCCATTCTCCTGGGAAAACACCCTGATTTTCTTTTGGTTACTCTATTCTAAGTCTTAGTCCTTGTGGTATGAGCAGCGCTGACCTTTCCTCCTTGAATGAGAAGTGGGCATGAGGCCGAGGCCTGGCCCATGAGAGAACTGCATTCCCTGGTCACAGATGTTGGTTCACAGATGAGTCTGTGACTGTGGCTAGGCCAGTGAGAACTAGCCCTGGGCTCTTGCTAGAACTGCCTGGGCTGTTAAGCTGGTAGGATGTGATCCTGGAGCTCTGGCAATTATTATTCTTATTTTATTTTTTTGACACAGGGTCTCATCTGTTGTCCAGGCTGGAGTGCAGTGGTGCGGATCTCAGACCACTATAACCTCTGCCTCCCAGGCTCAAGTGATTCTCATGCCTCAGCCTCCTGAGTAGCTGAGATTACAGGTACATATCACCACACCCGGCTGATTTTTAAATTTTTAATAGAGATGGGAGTTTCATGTTGGCCAGGCTGATCTCAAACTCCTGACCTCAAGTGATTCACCTGTCTCGGCTTCCCAAAGTGCTGGGATTACAGGTGTGAGCCACTGTACCCAGTCTCTGGCAATTATTATTACCACCACTGGGAGAGGGCCTGCCTGAAGATGAAGCCAACATGGAAGAAATCCTGAGAGTAAGGGAATGGAAAGCAATTGATTCTGGATAACAGCTTTTGAGCACTTCAATCCAGCTAATACTATACCTTGAAGCCAATACATTCTCTTATGGGTTACATTGATTTCTGTTGAGCTTCTGTAAGTCACAGCTAAAAGAGTTCTAATTATTGCAGTGTGTGCTTCATGCTCTATAATTATCTGCATCTGACTTGAACCTGTTCCCCTGACCCCAACTAGCCTAGACTGATTCCCATCCCAATTGAGGTTGGGTTGAGGGGCAAGATTAAAATAAATCTGGCCAGGCATAGTGGCTCACACCTGTAATCCCAGCACTTTGGGAGGCCGAGGTGGGCAGATCACCTAAGGTCAGGATTTTGAAATCAGCCTGGCCAACATGGTGAAACCCCGTCTCTACTAAAAATACAAAATTAGCTGGGTGTGGTGGTGGGTGCCTGTAATCCCAGCTACTTGGGAGGCTGAGGCAGGAGAATCGCTTGAACCTGGGAGGTGGAGGTTGCAGTGAGCCGAGACCACACCATTGCACTCCAGCCTGGGCGACAAGAGCAAAACTCCATCGCAAAAATAAATAAATAAATAAAAAATAAAAAATAAAATGAGCCTGGGGATGGAGGGACGATGAAGAGAGGTTGGTTAATGGGTACAAACATACAGTCAGATAAAAGAAGTAAGTTCCAGTGTTTGATAACACAGTAGGGTGACTATAGTTAACAATAATTTATTGTGTATTACAAAATAGCTAGAAGATAAATGTTCCTAACACAAAGAATGATAAATACTTGAGGTGATGGATATCCTAAATACCTTGATTTGATCATTACATATTGTATGTATGTAACAAAATATCACATGTACCTCATCACTATGTACAATTATGTGTCAAAAAAATAGTTTTAAAGAAAAGATGAAAGTAAGTCAATGGCTTTAGCATGGCTCTGGTCACAGACAAGTGCTGTTTTTTTTCTCCGCATTGAATCCTTCCCACAGAGCCTGGGGCCTGGTGCTGATATCCTCTTAGCATTCGGGGTATACCTGGCACTCCTGTGCTGGCTCATGTCAGCCTTTTATATAAATAGCCTGTATTGCATCTCTGAAAAGAAGGACAGGGCGCAGTGGCTCATGCCTGTAATCCCAGTATTTTGGGAGGCTGAGGTGGGTGGATTGCTTGAGCCCAGGAGTTCCAGACCAGCCTGGGCAATATGACAAAACCCCGTCTCTACTAAAAACACAAAATTAGCCTGGCATGGTGGCGTGCACCTGTAATCTCAGCTACTCTGGAGGCTGAGGCACGAGAATCACTTGAACCTGGGAGGACGAGGTTGCAGTGAGCTGGGTGCGGGCCACTGCACTCCAGCCTGAGTGACAGAACCAGAGCAAGACTCGATCTGACAAAAAAAAAAGAGGATAGGATCCTCATATTGAGCAAGATTTATAGTAATGTGCTTATAAGCCTGTAGTGGGCTTATAAACAGTAAGTGGCTGTGGTTAGGTTACAACAGAGAAAGGAAAACTTACTGTAGTCTTCATTTTAATAATGCCTGTGCATGAGTAGTGGCTTCTGAGTGTGTGTTTTATTTATTCTCTGATAAATTCTTACAAATCAATTGGCATATATTTAATAAGTACCAGCTATAAATTAGAGACCAAACCTTTTTAGTCATTGCACAGCCCTAAGCAGTAGCTGCTTAATTCATATTTTTGGTAATTAATTATGCTTCGCAGCCCTCAAATTATTTAGAGATATGATCGAGCAGAGGGAGTACAAATTTTTGGTTTCCAGTAAAGTACTCATCTTCACCCCTGGTTCAAGGAATGACCCAATATTCCTAAGCTAGTGGTAGGAATATTTTCTTTCCCTCCAGCATTTAGTCTCAGATTCTTGGAATGTTGTCAGTCTCAGAAGTCAGAGGTTGGGGAACATTTGAAAATGCTGTTAACAGAACAGATTATGCCTTGAACTAAATCACTTGTATGCCTCACCTTAAACGTTCCTAGGCTGCCCGGGGTGACTTCTTGTGCCTGCATTTAGTCTCTGGCTCAGGCTACACGTGGACACACCCTTGGATTAGCCCCAAATTGGAGCTTCTCCAGTTGAAGGTGTCCCTCTTAAGTGCTTCTGCCTGGTGAATATTTGGAATATTTCAGGTGCCCTCTCTGGCCCCTTTTACTTAAATCTTTCTGTAATAAAATCATAATAAAATAACTTCAGTGACCTTCTGCTAAGGAGCCCTAGAAACAGCTCTGGTTAGAGGCACTTCCAGAAGTAAGACCAGCCACAGTTCTTTATGGGGGATGAGTTGGGAAGGGCCATCTTATCAGAGAATATGATTTAATTACAGCTGCTTAGGAGCGAGACTTCCCATTCTGGCTAGTTCCTATTAATAAAGCTTAGAATCCTGAGACAGAACAACACCTTCCTTCCCCCAGATATCTCAGGAATCATTAGACTTTAAAGATCCAGCAACAATTTTATTTTTCCTCTAGTTGGGAGTAGGGAAGTGTGGCACTCACCTTCCTTTCTCCACTGGGGTTCAGCAGACACTGATTTTATGGCAGACTCAAAGGCAGTGTTCTCAGCCTTGGGGCACACTAGAATAACCTGGGGGCTTGAAAAACTATTGAGGTCAGGTGCTCACCTCTCAAGATTTTGAATTACGTGGTCCGGGCTATAACCTGGCATCGGGATTTAAAAATCTTCCCAGGTATTTATAACGTGCTATAGTTGTTTGATCTGATCAGGTCCAGGAAAAGAAAAAAGCTAAATCCAGACTTTGCTTAAACAGATCATCATTGCCTAAAATTGTTTTTCTATATGCCAGAGAATATGGAATAATAAGAAATATGACTTTGTAATAAAGACAGCTGGAAAATTCTTTTGATTGTTTTTTATTGTAATTGGGGAGAGTAAAAATCTTGACTTTGGCTTGGCCTGGTGGCAACTGTAATTCCAGTGCTTTGGGAGATGGAGGTAGGAGGATTGCTTGAGGCCAGGAATTTGAGACCAGCCTGGGCAACATAGTGAGATCCTGCCTCTACAAAAAAGTTTTAAACATACCTCTGTCCTGTCAAGATATCTTCCCCAAAGTGAAGCAAGTTTGAAATGAGTGAACATCAGCAAGTACCACCATTCTCAAATTTCCCTGCCTCCCATACTGTCTACTTGGTTTTCCTGTTTTGTGTGAGGAGTTACTAGAGTTGTAGCATATTACAGTAGATAGGGAGTGTTGATATCCTTGATTGTGTTCTCTTCAATTTGCAGGCAAGGAACCGAGGCCCAAAGAGTTAGAGGATATGCCCAGGGTCACATGGTCAAGTAGTGGTTGTAATGACATTCTTGATTTTACCCAACACCTAGTCCCTATTTCTTTCTTTCTTTCTTTCTTTTTTCTTTTCCTTTTTTTTTTTTTTTTGAGATGGAGTTTCACTCTGTCACCCAGGCTGGAGTGCAATGGCGTGATCTCGGCTCACTGCAACCTCTGCCTCCCGAGTTCAAGCGATTCTCCTGCCTCAGCCTCCTGAGTAGCTGGGATTACAGGCGCATGCCACCACGCCCTGTTAATTTTTGTATTTTTAGTAGAGATGGGGTTTTTCCATGTTGGTCAGGCTAGTCTCAACTCCTGATCTCATGTGATCCACCCACCTCCACCTCGGACTGCCAAAATGCTGGGATTACAGGCATGAGCCACTGTGCCCGGCTCTCTAGTCCCTATTTCTTTCTTCTCAGCGGAATCTCAGTTTGGGGTTCTATTCCTCTTATTGTGACTCAGAAGAAGCTGACACCATTTGCAGCTCCAGTATAGATCTTGGTTAGTCTAAGCCAATGAATGAATGTCATTCTCCTGCCATCTGCTGTTGATCTAATGGTGAGTACATGACCCAAGATGGATCAGTCAGACTGAAGGGGACGACTTATTTCCCATGCTTGAAGGAGAAGATTCTTGTTCTGTCTCTTGCATAAACCTCCATTGCCACTGGGAGCCATCTTTTCACTGTCAGGGGTCCATCTGATGCAGGTGTCCAAGCACAATTAGAGCACCGCTCAATGTCTACTAAGTGAGGTGTAATTCTTAGTACATTACACAGTTGCCTCACAATGTCTAGCAGGCTAGGCTACTCCATTGGGCATCTGGGCAAAGCGGCGTTCCTTAACTTTTCCAGGCTGCTGAGGAGAGATGGTGATTAGCCATATCATGGCACTGAGGGAATTTCTGTGCGTTAGTCTTTGGCAATTAAACCTTATGCTGTTCCCCAGTGCTGTGAGTGGCATTGCCTGTATCTGCATAAGACTAGCAAGACAGAAGAAGAAGAAACTACCTGACTCAGCCAAGTGACAGACAATGCAATTTTAGTTGCCTGGTGACACTTTTAGTTGCAATGATGTACTTTTTGTTTCAACTTGAGCTGCTTAAATAATAAAATATTGGCTCAAGTAAATAAAAAGTACTGGAGTGTGTGCCTAAAACCAGAGGTTCAAATGATTTCACGTGTACCCTGTCTCTTGGCTTCCCTATCATCCACATTGCCTTTCTCGCATTCCACATGGGGGCAAGACGGCAGCCAATGACTCCAGACACACCTTCTTCCATGCCTAAGACCAATGGAAGAGAGTCGGGCCTCCCTCCTGTCTCAAGTACTGCAAGTGTCTCCTCACCCCTCATGGGCTCTGGTTGGATTGCATGCCCATTCCTGAACTAGCCATTATGGCAATGCTTTGAATTTCCAGGCCTCAATTGCCTGTCTCTCCCCAGGCTGAAGAACATAAACGGAGATCGGCAGCATGTCCCCAGAGGAAAATCACTGTTCTGTTACCGAGGAGACAGGAAAATAGGCTCTGGCTGTCCAAGCTGATATACCTAGAAGCTTTTCTGAATGTGTAGTTTTTTTTTGTTGTTGTTGTTGTTTGTTTGTCTTGTGCAAAGAGCAGGGAATTTGCAATCAGAAGACTGAGATTTCAGTCCCAACTATCTGAGTCTCAGCTCCACAATTTTTAAATGGGAAAGGCTATCTTTACCCAGTTTGAACCTGGTATTGCTCTGAGGCTTGAATGAGATTCTGGATAGGAAAGTGTTATTTAAAATGATAAGGGCTAAACAAAAAAGAGGGATTGTTGTTATTACTATTATCATCTTTTCTGAGTTTCTCCCACTCATACTTTGGCTATGTGCAAGGTTCTCTTAGGCAAGACATGAAGATTAAATGCAGCTAGGCACAATAGCTCGTGTCTGTAATCCTAGAACTTTAGGAGGCTGAGGCGGGCAAATCACTTGAGCTTAGGAGTTCGAGACCAGCCTGGGCAACAAGGCACAAGAATTGCTTGAGCACAGGAAGTGGAGTTTGCAGCGAGCTGTGATCTCACCACTGCACTCAGCCTGGGTGACAAAGTGAGACTCTGTGGCAAAAAATCAAAAACAAACAAACAAATTAGTCAGGCATGGTGGCATGCACTTTTAGTCCCAGCTACTTGGGGGGCTGAGGTGGGAGGATGGCTTGAGCCTGGGAGTTTGCAGTGAGGTGAGACTGCACCACTGCACACACCCACCTGGGTGACAGAGGGAGCCTCGGTCTCAAAGAGTAAATGCATTATTAGCAATTAGGAAGACTTTGGCCAGTGTTGCTGTTAGCACAGATAGCAGCTTTCTTACAATCAGAAATAGACCTCTCCTTCCACCTCTAGGCAGTGCAGTCCCCAGGGAACATGGTTTGCCAAGTGGATAGCATCATTGTGCAAATAAAAAGTCATCCCTTCCTCTAGGCAGACCCACCTGCATGCTAGGGCACACAGCATTGTGATTGGAGTGCATGCTGGATTCCAATTGTTGCTACCCTTTTTGCAGGAAAGTGGGGCAGTTGGGAGAGGGGGGCTCTGTGCAGTGTACAACCTGCACAGCTCTGTACTCGGGGCCCTTACTTTGGTGGTAAATCACTGGGCAGACTGAACTCTGGAAGGCTTACTCCTCATTTTCCTGGCAAAGTGCAGCTACCCCTCTAAGACCAATGATCACTTTGCCTTTTTTGAGCCTTTTCACTTCATGCTGAATGCAGCAGTCTGTGCTGTCTTTCTTAGTTAACCACCCACTAGTGATCCAGATTCTGCTGGTCTTTTCAGATGTTCACCTGCATACCGTTCCAACCACAAGGAAGAATTCTTCCTTTTTAACTGTCCTCATGAGTGATTTTGCAGAGGACAGTTAACCCTTTAAGATAAATGCAATGCGTTGGTTGACTACAATTGGCTGTTGTTGGAAAGTCGGATGCTGATTTCTCCAAAGTGCCTGGGTAGAAGGGCTGAAAAGCACAGGCAGCTTCACCTCAACTGACCACCACTGTTTGCTATTCTAAATCTTCTTGGCAACAGCAACTCCGGAAAGAAATTATTTGAACTAGATCCAGCCAGCCTCCAGGGATCCCAGGATGCAATACGGTAGCCTTTATTTTACTATGACGGGAAGTCTTCCTATTCTTAAAAGATTAGCCTGCTCTTTAGTGAAAGATGGATAGTTAGAGTCAACAGGCGCTTGCGGGGTTGTGTTGTGATCGAGTTGCCCCTTGACTTCATCCTTGGAATCTTTTGAGTCATCTGAAACGCATAGCTCTGATGGAAACTTTTTAACATAATTTTAGCCAGGATTAACCAGTCACCATGACCTCAGTGATGTGGCTTGGGTGATCTGGGTCTCAGTTTAAGGCATGCTCAGGTCTCTTTTGCTTAGAAAACACCTTTGCACCGTAGCACACACGTGTAATCCCAGCACTTTGGGAGGCCGAGGCGGGCGGATCGAGACCATCCTGGCCAACATGGTGAAACCCCATCTCTACTAAAAATACAAAAACTAGCCGGATGTGGCGGCATGTGCCTGTAGTCCCAACTACTCAGGAGACTGAGGCAGAAGAATTTCTTAAACCCGGGAGGTGGAGGTTGCAGTGAGCCAAGATCGTGCCACTGCACTCCAGCCTGGCAACAGAGTGAGACTCTGTCTCGAAAAAAAAAAAAAAAGAAAAAACACCTTTGCTTGACACTACTGTTTTTACCTTGTATCTCTTCTTTAGACAGAAAAATGCTTGCTGCCTTAGCATCCATTTCCTCACTATCTACCTGCTTTCACTTCCTCCAAGTTGGTTGGTTTTTCTGTTTGTCCTCTTCTTCCCACAGATCCATTCTCGGCCCTTCTCTGGCCCCACTGGGCTCCCTTGCCCTTAGGTTACTGATAGGCTTCCCCAGTGGAAGACAGAGCAGAAGACTGGAAGGTGAGAGGGCAGTTGGATGAGGTGTTTGCTGCCTCTGATCCCCCAACGCAGCCTCATGAAGGGTTTGGCAGAGGCTGAGAGGCTGTGTTCCTCTATAGCCCTGATCCTGGTGGGGACAGGTTCGTCTATGGCTCCAGAATCACCACCCCTTGTCTTGGCTTTTCAGGCACAGAGATGGAAACAGCTTCCTGTGATTGTGTATCATGATCTCTTGCTGGTTTTCTTAATGCAGTCTACGCCCTATATAGTCCCTTCATTAAATTCAACCCTTTTGAGTGTCCATCTGTTTCCTGCCAGGATGCTAACTGAGGCAGCATGCGTCCAAAATAGCTCCCTGGAGGGTCGTCAGGACATCCGGAATGGGTACCCGTGAAAACTTCCCAGCCCTTTTCCTCTTTAGCCACTTCTGCTCAGATTACTTCCTCTTTGTCCTCTCCTGTTACTTAGCCTTTGAGATGCTGTTTCACCCTCCTAGCCTTCAACCTTTTCACTCATTCTCTGACAAGAACTATTATAAATCATCCTTTTATTTCCATTCCATCCTTCTCAGGTACATCACCCATAAACGAAAAGAATCTTCCTAAAACACCTGGAACCAATTCCTGGAGTAATCTCAGCTTGGCAGAGGTAGGTTCTGGATAGTCTCCATTTGCCCTCTTGAGGCACTCTTCATTCTTCTCCACTATGTTCTGAGCCTTGAGAGACAGACCTTTATGGATGCATCAAAGGGCTCCCTTGCTCTCTAATTACCTGTTGGTTCAGCCAGTTAGGAAGCACTGGAAGGAAACCAGAGGGCAAGGGGAAGATGCAGTTGGGGTATTGCCCAACCAGATGGGTAGTGGGTTGGTAGTGGCCACGTTTCTTGCCTGTAGACCACAGGTCCTTCCCTAGAGCTACCACCACTTTCTCGCTTTCCCTGCTGTTGCTAGCCCTGTGGGCTCTCCTCAACCTGCCCACCACTTTGTAAATAGTCCTGCCCTCTTAAACTCTTCTGAATTACCTCCATGTGAGGGTGTGATCCATCGGCTTTCTGTTGGGATCATGACAGGTCTTGGGGACTCAATCAGAGCTTTCAGTCAAGATCTGTAGACTCTCCCTTTCCTCTCACTTTGGGAGCTCCCACGGCTTTCTAGTCACTCCTATTACAACTTAGTCTAGTTGGGCTGAAAATTTAATCTCATATCTGATTTAATTCTCTCTGCTCAAGGGTAGGGATCTGAGGAGGAGAGCATGATGTAATCTTTCACTTCCTGCTCCCTCTACCAGGCATCTTTTTTTGTGCCTCGTACAAAAAAAGGAGGAGAAAGGAAAGAGACACGTCTCTCTTTTCATAATGAGCTGCTGAAGCAGTTTTGTCTTTCTTGTTTTCTAATGTCTTTGGCTAAGAGTGAGGGCTCATTAAGTCTATCTAGGAGGCAGGAGTCCAAATGCTAATTGTTCCAGGTTGGGTTGTGAGCTAGGTAATGCTGTGCTCACAACCTCCAAATTTGAAGTACTTAGTGCAACAAAGGCTTACTTCTCTCTCACGCTACGTGTCCACTGCACGTATTACCGTATCAGGGACTCAGGCTCATGGGACATCGGCCATCTTTAACATTGCCAGACTCTGTACCAGAGGGAACAAGAGCTCACAGAAGATCTTGTATCGGGGCCAGAGTGACTTATACTTGCATCTTGTTGGCTAGAACTAGTCATGTGGCCTCACTCACCCAGAAAGGCACCAGGAAGTACAATCTTACTGTGTACCTAGAGACCCTAGAGATAGGGTCTTGCTATGTTGCTCAGGCTGGTTTTGAACTTCTGGGCTTAAGCAATCCTTCTGCCTTGCATACTAAGGTGCTAGGATTTTAGGTGTGCACCACTGTGCCCAGCTACCAGCTACTGTTTTCTTAAAAGACAATTATTGTGGTAAATTACACTTAACATTAAATTGCCAATTTAATTATTTTAGAGTGCACAATTCAGTGGCATTTAGTACAATCACTGTGTTGTGCAGCCATCACTGCTATTTTGTTCCAGACCATTTTCATCATCTTAAAAGGAAACCCCTCCATGAAGCAGTCACCCCCCATCCTCCCACTTGCTCTAGCCCCTGGCAATCACTAATTTGCTTTCTATCTCTATGAATTTGCTTATTCTGAATATTTCATATAAATGGAATCATACAATATGTAGTCTTTTTTATCTTTAAGCCCAGCTATTTTTTCCAAGTTGTCCTCCTGACCCACAGGAAGCTGACACAATATTGTACCAAGTGGTGGCAACATAGGTTCTCCCAGGTCCCCTCTCTCTCCACCTGTTGTCACTCTTATTTCATTTTTCCTGGCTCAGAAGGAGATAAACACCTGCTGCCTAAGCAGGGAATGGATTTCCTGCCTCTCCTCTTTCAGGTTCCTCGATCTCCATGTGTGCGTCTCCTGGAGTCCTTGTCAACACCAGGGGAAAGAGGGTGTATATCCCTGGCTGCCCAAAGGAGGAAAAGCCACTATGTTTTCCCAGGCTCATCTCTTCTGACTCTCTGACCCCTGCCCAGCAGAAGTGCTCATATAGTTTGAGGTGGTGGCATTCTAATGGGACCCATCAATAAACCACAGGGGCATGTGGCATCTGGCCCCATATTTTTTGTCTTTTTGAAAGAGGGTATCACTCTGTTGCCCAGGTTAGAGTGCAGTGGTGTGATTATAGCTCACTGCAGCCTCCAACTCCTAAGCTTAAGCAATCCTCTCACCTCAGCCTCCCCAGTTGCTAGGATTACAGGCATGTGCCACCATGCCTAGATAATTTTATTTTATTTTTTTGTAGAGACAGGATCTTGCTGTGTTGCCCAGGCTGGTCTTGAACTCCTGGGCTCAAGCTGTCCTCTTGCTTCAGGCTTGCAGAGCACTGGGATTACAGGGATGGCCCAAAGTGCAGGGTCTGGCCCCACTTTTTTTTCACCCCTTGTGTTCTTCAGCAACTGCTGTTTTCAGCCATGGGCCAAGTACTAATTGTGCTAAAACAAGAAAGGTCTTTTTGTTGTTGTTGTTGTTTTTTTTTTTTTTTTTTTTTTTTGTGAGATGGAGTCTTGCTCCTATCACCCATGCTGGAGTGATGGCATGATCTCAGCTCACTGCAACCTCTGCCTCCTGGGTTCAAGCAATTCTCCTGCCTCAGCCTCCCAAGTAGCTGTGATTACAGGCATGCACCACCACACCCAGCTAATTTTGTATTTTTAGTAGAGACAGGGTTTCACCATGTTGATCAGGATGGTCTCAAACTACTGACCTCAGGTGATCCACCTACCTACGTCTCCCAAAGTGCTGGGATTACTGGTGTGAACCACCGTGCCTGGCCAAGAAAGGTCTTTTGATACTTTCTTACACATTCTGATAGTGTTCCTCCTCGGTTTAACAACTTTCCATGTCTCTCTATTATGAATGAGATAAATTCCAAACTCTGGTCTTAGCATTCAAGGCCCTCTTTACACTGGCTCCAATTGAGTTTTCTAGTTTTCTCTCTCTAGCTTTCCTTTCAGGCTGGCCAGCACACTCACTGGCCCCAACAAGGCCTTGAACAATTTCGGTTGGGGTTCTTTACTCATCCACACTGACCTGGGGTGCTCCTTCTGTCTTCCTACCTCTCCTCCCAGCCTCCCTGGGTTCCCAGCCTCCTCTGCCCTTGGAACTCCGCAGCCTGGTCTGCACCTGTTGGTGGCATCCAATGTTTATGTCTCATTTTGTGCTGGGGTGGGGTGAGTAGCTGAATGTCCCACTGATTGCAGCCAGCATGAAGGTTCACCGGCCCACCCCTCACCCCATGTGTCATCAGTAACGGAAGCTAGCAGAGCCAGGCAGAAGCAGGCTTGGCATACAGAATCCAAATATTTTCCTGATTGGTGATGAGGTATTAGGAATATGTGAAGAAGTGACTGTGGATAACTCAGCCATCTTCCAGGGACAGCTGCCCAGCTCATACTAGGATGGGGATTGGGAAGAGATGATCATAAATTGTCTGCTAGAGGTTCTTTGAGGTTGACCCAGAGGTACATTCTGTTATTGCCAAGTTTGGATGGAGGGGTAAGAAAAAGGCAGAGCAGAGAGGGAGCAAGAAAGGCAAACTGGGGAGGGAAGATGAGACAGAAATAAAGAGAAAAAGGCAGGTCAATGTGGGGAGGAGGAAACTGGAGGGGGATGGATTTGGGGATCCTAAATCTCGCTTTTCTCAAAGGAGAAAACCCTGTAGAGTGGCTTCTACTATTTCTATGCTTGCTTTCTACTCCAGGCAGGATATACAGCCCCCATGCTGCCCAATGCCCCAAGTTGCCTGCGTTGATTGATCAAAAAGCAGCTCTAGGCCGAGGTGATCTTCCTTGGTAATCTCATCTCTGTGCTGTGCATGCTTTTCTTTCTGTGTTTTTGATTTAGTTTGTTTCAGTGGGAAGGGCTGATTTACACCTTGAAGGAATTATTCTGAGTCTTAGAGAAATAACCAAAAGGAAAGAGCTAAAGAGCGGCTGCCACATCCCAAGTGCCTGACCTTTGTCAGGGTGGCCTAGAGTCACATTTTGTAGCAGAAGTTCCCTTTGGGCATGCAGCCACCTGGAAGTGGGCATGTCTCCTTTTAGGGTCCCCAACTAGGCCTCTCTAAATCAGGCCAGGCTAGCAGCATTCTGTTTTGAGGCATTTTGACTTTTACAAATCTGTAGCTCCCTTAAAAGCAAAGGCAGATGCTGCAGAAAGTCCTGACCCTTGGGCTTCTCTAAGGCCTGTGGTTTGACTTGCATTAAGGTGAGGGTGGCCTGCTGGCCCCGTCTCTGCACTCATTCCCATTCATGAGCACTCCTCACCTGGCCTACTGTAGCAAATTTCCAAGAAGTGTTCTTGCCTTTATACTCTCCCGTCTACTTCATTCTATGTGCAGCTGCTGGGTTAGTTCTGTTAAAGATCCCCTCTTATCTTGTTCCTTCACTTAAAAATCATCACTGGCTCCCATTGCTCATGAAATAACTAGTTTGTGCAATCAAGTTTCTCTGCTTACTCCAGAAGGTACAAACCCCATATACTCTTCCATTCTTCCCTGAGGGCAGGCTGGGGAGCTGGGGAGAAGTGAAGGACCACATGCTGGGGCCCTGAGAATCTACGCATATCCCATTCCCAGTTCCAGAGGGTACCACTTGGGTTGCTGGTGCTGAGACAATCCTGTTTTTTTGGCATCCTTTATACTCGGGGTTCCCTCTTTTTGCAGGCTTTCCATCAAGCCTTTTAACAATGTTTACTTATATGTTGTGGTAAAGGGAGGCTCTAGATGATAACAGTAAGTTTGCAAATAACAGTAAACCAGTGATTCTTGGCCTGCATGCTATCACATCCCTCCTCCCATATCCATGGCAGATGTGCTGAATCCGTTTTTGCCCACTGAGCCCAGCTGAGGCCTCAGCCTTTTCAACACTACTCCAGGCAGTCATTCCAATCAATCGAATTTGTCCAGTGAGATAAAATCTATTTGTTATCCCTGTACTCTACTCTTTCAGGGTGTGAAGCATCAGACCTTGTTGTTTGATGGATTTAAGATTGGATATAAGAAGACATGGACAGACCCTTGAAGTCGACCCAGAAGTGGCAGGAGAGCTCACAAATTTTGAGATAATCATATTTTGAGATTTAACCAAAGTTTCTCTGCTTCTGCCCCTAACCTGTCCCTGAATCCAGACTAAAGACATTCTGCTTTTATTCTCTAGATGAATGAATGACTTAGCAAAAATGCAGAGAGAAAGCTAAGAGTCTAAACAGACTTTGAAACTGCTGGTGGAGATGGGAATTTGAGAAAAAAAAGAAAAGCTTTTGAGGTTCAAAAGCTTAAGTTTTGGAGTTTCAAAAGCATGCCTCCTAAGGGGATTCAGGGCATAGAGAATATGTGATGAGTAGAATGAAGAACAAAAACAGGCAAACACTGAAAAGTACCCTAGAGTGGAGTTGGAGGGGGAGAAAAAATATTGGTTCCTGTGCCCTGAACGTCCCTGGGCCAAGTCTGCGTGAGGAACAATGGAGCCCCAGGTAGGCTGGGGAAACTGAGGCACAAGGGACATGATAGTGGCGTGGATGGGACACAGGAGACTGTGGCCATGAAGAGGAACTGGAATAACATAGCAGAGGACCAGTATGGAGGTGACATGAAGGACCTGGTAGACCCTGCCCCTGACATCTTGGGAGCCCTGAGGAAATGGAAATCTACAGGCATCCTGAATTTACTGAGATTAAATTTCTTCCATTGAGCAGAATGGGAGCTGAAAAGGGCACACTTCAGCTGATATTTGTACACATGACACATAGAAAGACATCATGCAAACTATGATTATGAGGTGACACTTTTGTTCTCTTGAGACAGGGTCTCACTTTGTCTCTCAGGCTGCAGTGCGGTGGTATGATCACAGCTCACTATAGCCTCGAACTCCTGGACTCAAGCTATCCTCCCACCTCAGCCATGCCACCATGCCCAGCTAATGTTTGATTTTGTAAAGACAAGGTTTTGCCATGTTGCCAAGGCTGGTCTCAAACTCCTGGGCTCAAGCAATTCACATACCTCGGCCTCCTAAAGTTCTGGGATTACAGGTGTGAGCCACTGCACCTGGCCTGAAGTGACACTTTCTAGGTCTTTGTCGTGGCCTGGCAAGTATATTGTTGGTATACACCTTTTCTTAGGAAGCATCCAGCTCACTGCAAGGGTCCCCTGTATCTGGAATTCTGGGTGTAGATCTGGTCACTGCCCTTCAAGAAGGACCTGCTGTCTCTGGAGAAGGTTCAAAGATGGCTAGAACTGAGAGAAGCAGGAAAATTGGGGGGCAGTGCTGATACACAGCACAGCTGTGAGATTATGACCGTGGCTGAGAATGAACAAAGCTGTAAGGGATTTAATCAGAGTTGTCAAGGGTGAGGGCTGGGCCCCATGGATTGCTCTTGAAGCCCTGGAGCACTATAAATACATAAACTAGGCCTACTGCAAATGAGGTTGGAGGGAAGAAAAGATATTCCAGTTCACAGAAGATAATATACCTCTAGGACTGTTAACCCTTTAGCAGTATACAGGTTAGAAATATAAATATTTTTTAAAAATGGATTAGATTGGGGCTTCCTGAGCTTGAGATTATTGGCTGTATGGGATCGATACTTCTTTATTGTGGAAGGCTGTCCTGTGCATTGTAAGATGTTTAGCAACATTCCTGGCTTCTACACATTAGATTATGGTAGCATCTCAGCCCCTGCCCTGACCACAGCTGTGATAACTGAATATATATTCAGATACTGCCATGTGTCTCCTGGGGGGCAAAATCACCCCTAATTGAGAGCCCTTGTGTTAATATAATGTTCCCAAAGGATGGATTACACAATAGAATCATGCAAATAGAAAGTGGGGCCTGTACTCTGGAAATACTGCGTTAAAACAAGCTAAACAGAGCATTTTATTTTTAGGACCGCTCAGGTCTGCAACATGCCAAATGCCATGGACTGAATGTGTCTTCTCCAAATTCCTATGTTGAAGTCCTAACCCCCAAGGTCATGGTATTAAAAGATGGGGCTTTCATAGGTGATTAGGTCATGGGGGCATAACCCTCAGAATTGGGATTAGTGCTCTTATCATAGAGGCCCCAGAGAGCTCATTTGCTCCTTTTACCATGTGGGGGCACAGCCAAAAGACAGCGGTTTATGAACCAGAAAGCTGGCCCTCACCAGACACCTAATCTGCTGGTAACTTGATCTCGGACTTCCCATTCTCCAGAACTGTGAGAAATAATTTCTGTTGTTTAGAAGCCCGGTAGTCTGTGGTATTTTGTTATATTAGCCTGGATGAAGTAAAACAGCCAGTGTACACTTTAAATCTCTGAGAGGGAACATATGGGATTAGCATGCATTGAATATGCTCTGGGCATTGCTACATTAGATACATTCATGGACTATAAAACATTAGAGTTAATAGTAATGAAAATGTCATTAGTGCTTTACAGATGAAGTGTCTGCCAAATAGACTTGTTTTTTCCTTATTACAATCCTCCAAGGTAGATATAATTATTTCTTCTTATAGATGAGAAAACTGGGACTCAGAGAATTAAAATATTTGCCCATGGCAACGCAGCCAACAGATGGGGAGACTGGGACATGAACTGGTTTTAGATTCTCAGTTCTATGTTCTTCATAGGGTTCTGTGCTGCCCCTTGGGTGTGCTCTCAGAATTTGAAATTGATGCTGGGCCAGAATCAAAGTATATCCTCTTTCTTGGTGACACGGACTCTTTTATATTTAAAGGTCTCTGGAGAGACATTGTTAGCTGGGTCTGTATTACATGGGCTAATAGAAGGCTTGATGAAAAAATATAGACTATCTTCAGCATGGTGGAAGATAAAATTAATTCTAATTTTTTTTTTTTTTTTTAAACAGAGTTTCACTCTGTTGCCCAGGCTGGAGTGTAGAGGTGCGATCTTGGCTCACTGCAACCTCCCCCTCCTGGGTTCAAGCGATTCTTATGCCTCAGCCTCCTGAGTAGCTGAGATTACCAGCATGTGCCACCATGTTGGGCTAATTTTTTGTATTTTTAATAGAGATGGGGTTTTGCCATGTTGCCGAGACTGGTCTTGAACTCCTGAGCTAAGGCAATCTGCCTGCCTCAGCCTCCCAAAGTGCTAGGATTATAGGTGTGAGCTACCACGCCTGGCCATAATTCTAATTTTTTAACTAAATCTTTTTTTGTCTTTTCTAAAAATGAGAATTATGTAACTGTGTTGCTTAATATTTTTCCTTGGTTGCCAGGAAGCTCAGATCTAAATTTTTCATCTTGTCTGACAGTTTTGTGGCCCTTTCCCTTGGTTTTGTTGTTTATTGTATGTACTTTTACAGGATTTGTATGTTGTCTCAAACTCTTGGCAGATAAAAGGGATGTATAAATACCTATAACTGATAAATGAAAACTTTCCAAAATATTCACCCCTTAGAAACAAAACACCACTGGCACAGTGCTTAAAAATGGTTCTATCTGGTTTTATTTCCTAATGATACTGGAACATTCACATATGTATAAGCTGAAGCTAGGTGAATGATAAATAGACATCTATAGAGGATAATTTATTATTTTAAAAAATTAATTAAACTGATATTCAAGGAGTGTTCTGGGTTTTCAAAGCCCTCACCTAAACATTGTTTTATTTGTTCTTGTCAACTGCCCTGTCTGAGTGCTGGAGCAGGTATTACTGATTACTGTTTTCATTTGACTGCTGGTAAGTAAATGCAGGCTCAAATATTTTGGGTGACTTATTTTTGCTTTCTAATGTTATTGGCCCAGACTAGCTAGTGGAAGAGTTTAGAAATAGATCTGAATCTTTCACTTCCAGATGGGATGTTGGACCTGAGTGGGGTGGTAAATCTGTGGTACATGTACTGAAGCGTCCTGTCCCCCCCAACTCCCGGGTCCAAGAAGTGCCAGTAGCATCTCTAATTGATCTACATTATCTTTTCCCATTGAGCCCAACCGTAGCCAGAGTCCAAAACACAGTGCTCCAGACATACATCCTCAATTACATAACAAAACCCATACTAGAACTAGATTTTTTAAAAGGATTCCATTAAACTCAACAATTCTCAAATTATATGACTGTATACTAGTAGAAACCTGAGATCATTGAACACAATGAATCTTGTCTGTAGCATCTGTGTGGCAATTTAAAAAGTAGTGGATAGGTCATTTGGGGATAATCTTCATTGTTCTCATTTGTTCATTCCAGCCGGGTGTGGTAGTGCACACCTGTAGTCCCAGCTCCTCAGGAGGCTGAAGTAGGATCACCTGAGCCCAGGAGTTCAAGGTTGTAGTGTGCTATCACTGTACCTGTAAATAGTCACTGCACTCCAGCATGGGCAACATAACGAGAACCCATCTCTAAAAAAGAGAAAAATTCATTCCAGTTTGGATGACACTATCTTAAACGAGTCATTACTAATAGATACTAAAAACAGAATTCGCAAAACATTTACAGCAAATATTATACCTTTAAAAATTCTCCTGCCAGGTGCGGTGGCTCACGCCTGTAATCCCAGCACTTTGGGAGGCCAAGGTGGGTGGATCACGAAGTCAAGAGATCGAGACCATCCTGTCCAACATGGTGAAACCCCGTCTCTACTAAAAATACAAAAAGTTAGCAGGGCGTGGTGGTGCATACCTGTTGTCCCAGTTACTCAGGAGGCTGAGGCAGGAGACTCGCTTGAACCCGGGAGGCAGAGGTTGCATTGAGCCCAGATGGCGCCACTGGACTCCAGCCTGGGCAACATAATGAGACTCCATCTCAAAAAAAAAAAAAATCTTCTAGTTACTTCAGTTATCCAGCACTAAATTAATTTCTTAGCTGATATTTTGAGTTCTGCAATCATAGTAATGGCAAATCTAGCTAGAGGTCCAAGATTTTAACATGGGTCAAGATTACAGGGTAGTAGATATAGATAGCTCTTTCGGAAAAGGGAAAAATGTCTCCTTTTAGCTTTAGAGAATGGCTTAAGCAGAACCCAGCTCTCTATCCTCACAGACACTATGATCTCAGGGTTTTACGTTTTTTGTTTTTTATTTTTAAATCATTACTTTCTCCAAAGTCTTGCCTTTTCTCTGGCTTGCAGTATACATTAAGAGCAATTAAAATCAATGCCCTGCTTTTTGCATGGTATTATTTATCATAAATTTGCTTCCTTTGATGTCTTGCCATAGAAAATACAAGATTTTCCTCTGTCACCATTGATGTATAAGATGATCAAATCATAGCTTAGCATTTTTTAACTAAGGATTGTTTGTTATTTTAGGCCATGCTCCCATTCTTTTTCATCCCGTTTTTTGATTTCGTATGAATGTGCAAGAAAATGGCCAAATGATAAAGGAATATTTGGACCATTGGCTGACAGACATGTTTCCTCTTTCTCCCTCTTTCAAGTATAAGAGATCCTGAGTCTTGCACGATAAAACCACAAACGGAACTAAATTATGCTGAGCAAAAATACATTCTTTTACTGAGAATTTCCCAGGAGTTTTGATATTTTTGACTCTTGCTCACTAAATATGGAAAAGATTGAGACACTATGAGAAACAGGGGAGCTGTTCTGCCATTTTTAGACCTTTAAGAAATTGTTTCATACCTTTAATGCTATGTTAACAATACATTGGAAATCTCCCTGCTGAAAAGTCACAGCCCTCTGAATGGTAACAGTTTCTGGAGATGTTCTCTAAGCTTCCATTTTAATATAAATAATAAAGCTCTGTGAGTTATAATTTATATTTTTGAGTGGTCTAAATGTTGTCCAACATATGGAAATGATAGAAATAGACATTTCACAGCATTTTTCTTCTTCAAGCAGTCAAAACTCCTTTAGACTTAATTTTCTCATTTGTTTCCTATCAAATCCAGGTTCACATGATTATCCAAATTCAGTGGCATGTCAATGGAACTCTGGTGGAAAGTGCTTGTGTACAAAGGCTGGGGAGGAAATTTTGTGCTTTCTTTTTCTTTTTCTTTTCTTTTCTTTCCTTTTTCTTTTCTTTTTTTTTTTTTTGAGACAGGGTGTCACTCTGTCGCCCATGCTGGAGTGCAGTGGTGTGATCTTGGCTCACTGCAATCTCGACCCCCCTGGGCTGAAGCAATCCTCCCATCTTAGCCTCCCAAGTAGCTGGGGCTACAGGAATGTGTGACTGCACCTGGCTACTTTTTTGTTATTATTTTTTTGTAGAGATGAGGTCTCACGATGTTGCCCAGGCTAGTCTCACATTCCCGAGCTCAAGCCATCTGCCCGCCTCGGCCTCACGACGTATGTACTTTCTTATTAATGTGTAGGACACTTTTAATGAAGAAATAGATATGATCAGGAACTTCGGTTAATGGGGTTTATTTTAGGGATATGATTGTAGAAGGCAAGAGAAGGTGGAACGATCTGAGCAGTTAGATGCCTCAGCTTCACTGAAAATGAGTGCATTCTTCAATGGTGGTTAGGACTCATTAAAGATTTTAGTTATTTGACGGCAGTTGCATCGATCCAAGAGCAACTTGGTTACCTGTGATACTCCTGACTGTTCCACATTTCACCCTGGTACCATTTAATGTGTTCTCTATTCTCTATCCCTTGTGGTACATTCAAATTTGTGCAAATTGTTACCTAGAGTTCCCCACCCCCGACCCAAGACTTCAGAGTTGCTGTTTGTTGTCTGTCCAGGTCTCTTCCCTTAGGGTTGTGAGCAGCCATTGAAATTTATTGCCTAGAGACATTGACTCAGTAGGGTTGCAAAATGATAGCATTCTAATTTTGTCATGCTTTATTTGCTGGAACACATCTGTAAAGAGAAACTTTCCCATGTAAACTATTTGGTTGCCTTGACATAGAGTCCCTTTGGAAAGTCAAAATAAGTGCTTGATTCTCTTCTGTTTATTACTTTCAAGATAATGAGTTGGATCCTTAGGAATTTCCAAAAGTAACCAATGACGGTGCTTTTTAAAAAATCACTATGAACGTATTGATAGAAACATACCTGTGTTTTTAATGTACTGAAGTTTTTATCTTTAATTGATGGCCACATTTGCCCATCTTAGACCAATATGTTGGTTCCCAAGTCCTTTGGTATGATCCTAGGATTCTGATAGCTTCCTTGCTTTCAGGTATGACAAGATGTTCTAGGTTCATTTTGTACATTTTTGGTTTTTAGACCTGGAAGCAATCATCTCTTTAAGTAGATTTTTTTTCTTAATAGTGGAAAATGATATTTAGAAAGCACAATTAGGGTGCCAGAGGAACTCATACACTGGGTTGGTTGTTGTGTGTTAAGTTTTTTAGGTGATAAAGCCAGGAAATTTTCATTTACATTTTAAAGATAAAATACATCATGCATTCAAAGTAAAATTTCTTGGCCAGGCACAGTGGCTCATGCCTGTAATCCCAGTACTTTGGGAGGCCAAGGCAGGTGGATCCCTCGAGCCCAGGAGTTTGAGACCAGCCTGGGCAACATGGCGAAACCCCGCTAGTATACCCCAGCCTGGGTGAAAGAGCAACCCTATTAAAAAAAAAAAAAAAAGGGTGGTGCCGGGCACAGTGACTCATGCCTATAAGCCCAGCACTTTGGGAGGCTGAGGTGGGCGGATCACCTGAGGTCAGGAGTTCGAGACCAGCCTGGCCAACATAGTGAAACGCCATCTCTACTAAAAATACACAAAATGAGCCGGGTGTGGTGGCACATGTCTGTAATCCCAGCTACTCGGGAGGCTGAGGCATGAGAATTGCTCGAACCTGGGAGGCAGAGGTTGCAGTGAGCTGAGATTGCGCCACTGCACTCCAGCCTGGGCGACAGAGTGAGACTCTGTCTCAAAAAAAAAAAGAAAAAAGAAAAAAGAAAAAAGAAAAAAGGCATTGAAGTAAAATTTATTTTATGGGGCGACGATTTGCTCTGTGCTCTTTTTCCAGTTTCTTGAATTAAATGCCAATCTTGTTTTTTCTTATCACCTACTGGCCCAATTTAAAACTATAAATTTCCCTCAAAGTTAGTACTTATTCAGCTGTGCTCCATACATCTTAATGTGTAGTTTTTTTCATTATCATTTAGTCCTAAGAATTTAACTTTCTCTGTTTTCCTTTTTGATCCAAGAGTTATTTTGTAATATATTATGTAGCTTCCCTAACATATGGTGGGTTTGGGGGAATTTTTTTTTTTTTTTTTTTCTGGACAGA
Source organism: Homo sapiens (assembly GCF_000001405.40). NCBI lineage: Eukaryota > Metazoa > Chordata > Mammalia > Primates > Hominidae > Homo > Homo sapiens. Next base: position 70,507,790 of record NC_000009.12, read on the forward strand.
GTCTCACTCTGTCGCCCAGGCTGGAGTGCAGTGTTGTGATCTTGGCTCACTGCAACCTCTGCCTCCAGGTTCAAGCGAGTCTCATGCTTCAGCGTCCTGAGTAGCTGAGACTACAGGTGTGCGCCACTACACCTGGCTAATTTTTGTATTTTTAGTAGAGACAGAGTTTTGGCATCTTGGCCAGGCTTGTCTTGAACTCCTGGCCTCAAGTGATCCACCCACTTCAGCCTCCCAATGTGTTGGGATTACAGGTGTGAGCCACTGTGCCTGGCCCTGGGGGGATTTTTTTGTTTTTGTTTTTTGTCTTTTTGAGCTATATTTTTTTTTTGTTAATGACTTTTGATTTTATTGCATTGAGGTTAAAGAACATAGCTGCTCTGCTATTATTCATTTAAGATTTATTGAAACTTGCTTTATGGCCTAACACAAGACGTATTTTTATAACAGATCTTGATTGCTCAATAATATGTACTCTGTGCTTATTGCACATATAGTCTTGAATATATTAAATATTTAATAGAAGGCCAGGTGTGAGGGCATGCACCTGTGATACCAGCTATTCAGGAGGCTGAGGTGGGAGGATCGCTTGAGTCTGAGAGGTTGAGGTTGCAGTGAGCCATGATTATTCCACTACACTCCAGCCTGGGCAACAGGGTAAGACTCTGTCTCAAAACAAACAAACAAAGAAATATATATACCCATATATATATTTAATAGAAAATGCTTATTAATTGCATTATTAGGGTTTTTAAAAACAAATTCTCCAAAGTAAAATTTCTAATTAAAATTTAGTTCTACAGAGTTTTATCAGACTTACATCTGTTTTTTTTTTTTTCTTTTGAGACAGGATCTTGCTCTGTTGCCCAGGCTGGAGTGCAATGGTGCAATCACAGCTCACTGCAGCCTCAACCTCCTAGGTTCAAATGATTCTCCCACCTCAGCTTCCTAAGTAGCTGGGACCACAGGCACATGCCATCACACCTGGCTAAATTTTGTAATTTTTGTAGAGAACAGATTTCATCATGTTGCCCAGGGTCAGTCTTATATCTTTATCTTCTCACATGTTGACAATTGTAATTGCTAGTGATACAATGTAACTAATTTTTTTTGTTTTCTTTTTATTTTTTTGAGACGGAGTTTTGCTCTTGTCACCCAGGCTGGAGTGAAATGGTGTGATCTTGGCTCACTGCAACCTCTGCTTCCTGGGTTCAAGCGATTCTCCTGCCTTAGCCTCCGAGTAGCTGGGATTACAGGCATCTGCCACCATGCCCACCAATTTTTGTATTTTTAGTAGAGACAGGGTTGGCCAGGCTGGTCTCAAACTTCTGACTTCAGGTGATCCACCTGCCTTGGCCTCCCAAAGTGATGGGGTTATAGGCGTAAGCCACTGGATTCTGCCCCAATGATACAATATAACTACTAAATTGCTTTATTCTACAATACAGACACAACAGTCCCAGAATAACAATATCAATACTATAGCCAACAATATAATTGCCAAATATAGCTTTTTTGTCCAGTCCTATATTTAAAGTAATAGGAAATAGTTTATCTCTGTGTGGTTATGCCATCAACTAGACATATAATTAGGTTTATTTGCTTTATTTTGCTACTTTTAGGTTTGTTGTTTAAAAAAAATTTTTTTAAATAAAATATAAAGGTGGATTTTGCTACTTTTAGGTTTGTTGTTTAAAAAAATTTTTTTAAAAATAAAATATAGAGGTGGAGTCTTGCTATGTTTCTCAGGTCGGCCTTGAACTCCTGGCCTCAAGCAGTCTTCCAACATCAGCCTCCCAAAGGGCTGGGTGGGATTATAGGCCTGAGCCACCACACTGGCCCGAAGTGTTTTCATAGTGTTGTTTTCCCTGTTTCTCTGCTCACTGTTCTGCTTTACCTTTTGGTTTTCCCCTAGGATGAATGGATTTATTTATTTATTTATTTATATCCAGTATGATTCATTCTTGCCAAAGGGTACCGAGAAATAAGTATTGACCATGCTGGGTAGCCATGCACTCTGGGGAACAGAGTGGAGCCAGCAGTGGTGGTTGAGGTAAGACAGAAGTAGCTGAAGTCAGGCTGTAATTATTTAATCTCTGCAACCTTCCAGAAGGAAGAATATCCCTGTGTAAGCCTGTGAGATCTGTTAAAAGTACATGAAATCAGCTCCGGAAATGGCAAACTATCAGCTACAGTTCTGTGTCGTGTGACCATGTAATGTGCAGATTCTCATCACACTAGAAGATCAAAACAAAAATTGAGCTCTGGGCAACATAGAGCAGGAGCCACAGTGTTTCAGGTTAATAGAAATATTCTTGCCTTCCAGGGAATGACATTTTGGGCTATCAGATGCAATTGGCAGCCCATGGCTATTTTCACTGAAACTTTTTGGAAAAGTTTTTTGTTGAATTTTTATTGGAGAATATGTATGACTTAAAATGTGCAAACATTTAAATAGTGGCAGATTTCACATTTTAAAAAGTCCAGATTTCTGGGGTCTCTTGAAAAATCGAGCTTGGTGACACTGGGGCCACTGTGCGGCCTGGTAACAGTCAGCTGCAGGTGCTGCCCCCTTCAGGTGGAGTGTGTGCTCTCCTGCTAAGCACAGTTTTCACCTGTTTCACATATTTATTTGTGCTACCTGCCTATCAGATTGATGAAGCCTAGTGTAGGGCACCAGATTTCTCTAGTATAGGGCATTTGTATTTCTTACCTCTAACAGCCTTTCCTTCTCCTAAACATTTCAGTCATGTGGTTCCTACTCTATTCAAATATAATCTCGGAGGACTTGCAAGTCCAGGCTGCTAGGGCCTCCCCATATTTCCTCAGGTCTTTGTGTTATTTGAGGGTTGGGGCTGGGTGTAGTGGCTCACACCTGTAATCCCAGCACTTTGTGAGGCCAAGGCAGGAGAATTGCTTGAGCCCAGGAATTTGAGACCAGCCTGCAACATAGTGAGCCCTTTTCTCTATTAAAAATAAAAAATTAGCTGGGCATGTTGGCATGTGCCTGTGGTCCCATCTACTTGGGAGGTTGAGGCAGGAAGGTTGCTTGAGCCCAGGAGGTCCAAGCTGCAGTGAGCCATAATTGTGCCACTGCATTCCAGCCTGGGTGACAGAGCGAGACTCTGTCTCAAAAAACAAATAATTTGGAAGTTTGGCAGTATAATTCAACTAAAATTATGGTCAGAAGTTCTTCAAAACCCTGCTGCCTTGGTGGCAGGAATATGGCCTTAGTGTTCTTGGACCTCTGTGGCCATGAAAGATGGCTGAATAGGAATGGCAGAGTGTACCACATAGCCAAAATTAATTTTTATGATTCCGAATGCAGACCACACCCTGTTATTTATAACATCCACAGAAATGATTCCCCAAGAACTAAGTCTAATTAAGAATTCCTGCTCATTAGCTAGTGAGAAAATAGATTGGGATGAGTCCCAGACCCCCATCCATGCCTGCAGTCAGAGGCAGGCACAGGAGAGAGAGGACAGCTCTGGTGGTCTCTGTCAGGATGAGGAGAAAGAGCCCCAACAGCAGGTACAAATAGGTCATTCAATCAAAAAGACTCATTTTTGCAGGGGAAACTCTTAGAAGACTTCTTGTTCAATGGTGTGGGCAGAGGAAGGTTCGGAAGAATCGGTAAGGAGTGAAAGGCCCAGATACGATAGATAATTGTTGGAGTAAGTAGAATATATGCAGCCACAGCTGGAATTTTCCATAAAGTGGGCACATGCATGATGCGAACCAAGGGTTGGGAAGGATGACTCAAGGGATACCCACCACTGCCAAAGGTTTTTGAAATTCACTTCCCATCTGTGCTTCCCAGCCTTCCTGATAGCCCATCTTGAGAGAGTCGTTTCTTTGTAATCAGGCACTATCCCTAAGCATATTTCTTTTTACATAAATATTTTGGGAGCAGGTTTTAAAAAGCTTTTTAGAAGACATTTAGTCTGTGCCAGGTTCTTTCTTATGCATGAATTCATGCCCAAGGTCACATACCCAGTAAGTGGTCACCAGGATTGGAGCTCCTCTTACCCCATGTTCATTATTCTATAGCAGTAGCTTTCAAGTTATGGTCCTGGGACAACCGCAGGGGTGTGTGTGTGTGTGTATGTGTATGTGTCCCAGAGACCCTTTCAGTGTCTGTGAAGTCAAAACTATTTTTGAGTAACACTAAGATGAGATTTGCTTTTTTTTTTTTTTTTTTTTTTTTTTGAGACAAAGTCTCGCTCTGTTGCCTGTTGTCCTGGCTGGAGTGCCGTGGTGTAATATGGACTCATTTGACCTTCTAGGCTTAAGCAATCCTTCTACCTCAGGCTTGCAAGTAGCTGGAACTACAGGTGCATTCCACCATGTCCAGCTGATTTTTTTTTTTTGGTGGAGACAGGGGTTTCACTGTGTTGTCCAGGCTGGTCTCAAACTCCTGGACTCAAGCAATTCTCCTGCTTTGGCCTCCCAAAGTGCTGGGATTACAAGTGTGAGCCACCATGCCCAGCCTGGTATTTGCCTTTTAAAACACTCATTCTCTCATGAATGTATAGGGGAGATTTCCAGAGACTACATGACATGTGATATCACAACAGAGCAAATCCAGAAGCAGATTATGAGACTCCAGCTGTCTTCTATTAAGACAGATGCTAAAGAGGTTTGCAAACATTTAAAACAATGCTATTCTTCTCACTAATTTTTGGTCTGTTTGATTTGGAGTTCTTTGGGGTTCTCAATAACTTTGTTTTTTGTTTGTTTGTTTGTTTGTTTTGAGACAGAGTCTTGCTCTGTTGCCCAGGCTGGAGTGCAGTAGTGCAATCTCTGCTCACTGCAACCTCCGCCTCCCGAGTTCAAGCAATTCTCCTGCCTCGGCCTCCTGAGCAGCTGGGATTACAGGCGCCCACCACCATGCCTGGCTAATTTTTGTGTTTTTAGTAGAGATGGGGTTTCACCATGTTGGCTAGGCTGGTCTCGAACTCTTGACCTCAAGTAATCCACCCCTCGGCCTCCCAAAGTGCTGGGATTACGGGCGTGAGCCACTGCGCCTGGCAGGTTCTCAATAACTTTGAAGTGTATAAAGCATCCTGAGACCAGAATGTTTGAGAAGCACAGCTCTGCAGCCCAGTTAACTGTGCTGCCTATCTATCTTCATCAGAGTGCTGGCTTAGTTCATTTTTCTCTGAGACAGCTGGTGAAGAGAGGCTCTGAGACTGGGAGAGGGGTGGGGAGAAAGGTGGTCTCTACCCATAGAGAATGCAAACTTCAAAGATGAAAAGGTAAAATGAAGATCCTTCTCCTTGAAGGAGAGGGCACCCAGAGGGGAGTCCACGAGGCACTAGGAACAAGATTTTTCTCCTTGCCCAGGATTAGTAATTGTATATTACAGTGTAGCGTCAGGAACCAAGACATGATTTAGAAGACTCGCTTTAGCAAAACCACTTATCAATGATGTTACCTGGGCAAATAGCTCACACTTGCTGAGCTTGACTTGGTTTTCTTTGGCTGAGAAAGAAAAAGATTAGACTAAATCAGGATTTCCAACTCAATATTGTGATAAATAATAGATAATACATATAGCAGTAAAGATAAAATAGTAGGTAGGGTAGAAAATTTTATAAATATTTAATAAAAAATTAAGAGAGATTTAGCATTGTCTCCTGTTACAACGCCACTGTACTCACATGAGTTTGATGTGCTTTCTTTCTTTTTTTTCTTTTTTTTGAGACAAGTTCTCACTCTGTCACCCAGGCTGGAGTACCGTCGTGTGATCATGGCTCCTTGCAGCCTTGACCTCCCGGGCTCAAGTGATCCTCCCACCTCAGCCTCCTGTGTAGCTGAGACCACAGGTGCATGCCACCATGCCTGGCTAATTTTTATATTTTTTGTAGAAACAGAGTTTTGCCAGGTTGCCCAGGCTGCTTTCAGATTTCTGGGCTCAACCTATCTGCCCACTTTGGCCTCCCAAAATACTAGGATTATGGGTGTGAGCCACCTTGCCCGGCCAGATGTGCTTTCTTGAGTGGGACTACAGCTAGCACAAAATGGCTTAGCCTAGGGACAGTTAATCATTGTGGCAGATAAGAGAGATATTGGAAGTCGATGACTTGGTAAGGGTTTTTTTTTTCCCCCAGCTCAAAATCTCTAGAGGTCTAAAGCAGTGTTCGGTTCCTAGCCTGTTGACACATAACCTCAAAGAACGGAGAGACCTACTTAGAAGAAGGGTCAAGAATTATCAGACTTTCTAGCTGTGTAGACCTGAAATTATTCTCAACTCTGCCACTTGATACGGTGTGTCCTTGAGCAAGATATATAGTCTCTCTGGAAAAAGAGATATATCTAATAATGCCCACCTCACAGGGCTGTTGTAGCTGTTTGAGGAGAAAACGTGTCAAACTGGCTGACTTGTAGTCAGCCCTCAATAAGCATTGGCTGCCTTCTCTTTTCTCAAAGTGGGCAAGTAGAGAACTGAAAGACATGGAAAAGGTTAGTTTTTCGGGGGGTGCCTCTTAATGAATGGGAGGACTGCCTCTGAGGGGTGAGGTTTGAGTACTTAGATGCTCTGTAGCAGGGAAAGCAATTTGGTAATTCTGTAACCTGAAGCCGAGTAGGTCTGGAGAAGCCAATTTGGTGGCCTGTTCCTTCCTGGAGGCCACAGGAAACATGTCCTCACTCATATCTGCTCCCCTGGGTCCCATTTCCTGGGAGACATGATGGATGAGCCACAGCCAGCAAAGACTTTGTCCCCCATTTATCATCTTCTGGATTGCTTAGTGGATCCATTTGCTTTCCAACAGGTGAGTCGGATGAGATGGATTACTTGTTGTCAAAACAGTAAGTAATGGAAAGTTGTGGTCATTCTTTTGAGATGTAGAGTGGGAAACATTTAAGCATTTCAACTTAGCTTAACAGCAAGCTCAGGAAATAGACATTTATGGTTCCAAATCTTCCCTTTCCTACCTGTTTTACTTATTGATTTTAAAATTACCACCCAAAGTGCCTTATTCAGGTTGATTTTTTATTGTTTTCTTGGCACAGAAGTATTTGGAGAAGGTAAACACTGACTAAAATTAAACATGGCAGTACTTTGTACAAATAAATATGGTAAACAGAGATGTGAGAAAATGCCACTGGGATTCATTGGTTAGTCTGATTAAATGAGCTCCAGTTGAAGTGCTTCTCTTTGGCAGCCCAGAGTTCAAAGAATGACAAAATCCCACACTCAGGCTTTGCATCCGTTGTGAGAGGCAGAGGAGTGGGAAAAGCCTAGGCTTTGGAGTTCAAGAGACCTGGGTTTGAATTTGAGTTTCCCTCCTTACTACGTGTGTGACCCTGGAAATACCTTTTAACTATGCTGAGCCTTCATTACCTCATCTAGTTGGAGATAACAAAACCTACTTTGTAGAGCTGTTTTGAAGATTAGACACAAAGAATATAAAGTGTCTTGCAATTACAGATACATGATAAATGGTAGCTCAGAAGTTGATAATTATGTCTGTAGTCTGTGTAGATAAATTCAGTATGCCTAGTTTAGCCAGAGCTATTTACGCTGTAGAGCTGTTTCAAACTCCTACTTTATATACCTTATGATTTTGAGTTCTGTCCTCTAGCCTGGCCGAAATTTACTAGGCTTTTGGAAAAGTTAACAAGTTAATGGACTGGCTTAACATATATAGTCACAAGCTGCATAAGTGTCCCTATGAAGAAAGTATATCAATAGTTGTAAAAGCATTTGAACATATGTACATTGTATAAGCATAAGATTAATTACAGGTAGCTTATGATGGAGACTGTACAGGAAGGCCCACCAGAGATTAAATCTGTGCAGTTTTTCTCTATGTACAGGTGCCAGAAATGACTTTGGATCATTGAAGGTAGAAGTGTGGGGGTATAGATACTGTAGAATCACTTGGGGAGATACTCTTAGAAGGGCACATTGTCTTTTTTTTTTTCTTTGAGACAGGGTCTTGCTCTGTTGTCCAGGTTGGAGTACAGTGGTCAATAATGGCTCACTGCAGCCTTAACCTTCTGGGTTCAAGTGATCCTCCCACTTCAGCCTCCTGAATAACTGTGGTTACAGGTGTGCGCCACTATGCCTGGCTAATTTTTTTATTTTTAGTATGGAGAAGGTGTTGCTATGTTGCCCAGGCTGGTGTCAACTCCTGGCCTCAAGCAATCCTCATGCCTCAGCTTCCCAAAGTGCTGAGATTACAGGCATATGCAATCGCACCTGGGACATTGCCTTTCAGTCACTGAGCATGGCTTCCCTTAGAAGGCTGCATGGGCCACTGCTGTTGAGACAGGTGATCGTTTCTCTAATCTCCAATAGCAATTTCCAGCTTCCACTCTGAGTTTTTCTGGTTTGATTGGGAATATATTTCTTAAATTTTTAATTTTAATTTAATTTAATTTTATATTTTATTTTATTTTATTTAGATGGAGTTTTACTCTTGTCGTCCAGGCTGGAGTACAATGGTGTGATCTCGGCTCACTGCAACATCTGCCTCCTGGGTTCAAGTGATTCTCATGCCTCAGCCTCCTGAGTAGCTGGGACTACAGTCATGTGCCACCATGCCTGGCTAATTTTTTTTATTTTTAGTAGATACGGGGTTTCTCCATGTTGGCCAGGCTGGTCTCAAACTCCTGACCTCAAGTGATCCACCTGCTTTGGCCTCTCAAGGTACTGGGATTACAGGCATGAGCCACTGCACCCAGCCTGTTTATTTATTATTTTAGAAATGAGGTCTCACTATGTTGCCCAGGCTGGTCTCAAACTCCTGGTGATCCTCCTGCTTTGGCCTCCTAAAATGCTGGGATTACAGATGTGAACCACTGTGACTGGCTGTTTTTTTTTTTTTAAAGGGACACAAAAGAGTTCAATCATAAAAGGACAGTTGAGAATGCAGAGAAGATCCAAATGGCCAAAAACAAGAGAAAAGATGCTAATTAGTGATCAGAAAAAAGCCTTAAGACACAATGAAATACCATTTTATACTGTCTACAAGTCTAAGGTTAAATAGTCTGACCATATCAACTGACAATATGGAAAGAAGCAAAATGTCACACACAGTGGGAAGGAACGTAATTTGATAAACTATTCTGGAAAATTTTGCTTAATCTAATGAAGTTGAAGACACACTTATCCTAGTACTCAGAAATTCCAGTCATAAGGACAGACCCAACAGAATCTTCATTATTTTTAATAGCCTCTAACTGGAAACAATCCCAATGTCCAGTGAACTGTGGTATAATTACACACTGATACTACATTTCCATGTTAATGATCATGCTATAGTTAGTCTAAACAACATCGATGAGATTCATACACATAATATTATTCCAATTACATAAAGAGAACTCAATTAAACTTTAGGTTTTCAAATATGTATATATAAGCAGTAAAGTCCTGAAGAAAGAAAGGAGGTGGTTACCATAAACACAGTAGTCTGCTGGAGTTGAGACTGTGCTGTATCAGGAGAGTTGACTGTAGCATCTCAACCCAAATCTCTGTTGGTAGCTTGGAATCAGCCACAGTTGGAATAGTTACATCAAGGAAATCAGCAAGCATTATAGTCTGAGAGGTTTTTTTTTTTTTGTTTGTTTGTTTGTTTTTTTTTTTTTTTTTTTTTTTTTTTGAGAAAGGGTTGTTAAACACTTACCAGCACCCCATTGCATAAAAGTCATGACAATGATTACCTTTATTTATTTATTTTTTTGAGACAGGGTCTCGCTCTGTCACCCAGGCTGCTGTGCAGTGGTGTGCTCTTGGCTCACTGGAGCCTTAACTCCCTAGGATAAAGCCATCCTCCCACCTCGCTCTTCTGAGTAGTTGGGACTACAGGCTTGTGCCACTGTGTCCTGTTAATGTTTTTATATTTGTATAGAGACAAGGTCTCCCTGTGTTGACCAGGCTGGTCTCAAATTCCTGGGTTCAAGTGATCGTCCCACCTCAGCCTCCCAAATTGCTAGGATTACAGGCATGAGCGACTGTGCCTGGTAATGGTTACCTTTAAAGGAGATAATAGTTATTGGGGACAGGTATAATTGGGTCTTCTCAGATGTTGGAACTCATTGGGCTTATTAGCCAGACCTTTATTTACATAGATTTTCCCATATGTGTTACATGTCACAATAATCAGTTTTTTAATATAAGTGCAATAAGGCAAGAAAAATAAACTGAAAAAAGAAGGGTGAGTGTGGACAGGGAGTATCATCAGTCTCACTCTATTTAGTTATAAAGGAAAACCTGCCTGCTCCTTAGTGTGGGTCTTTGGGAAAAGAACAAAGTCAGTTTCCTCATGGAATCCATGAGGTGGAAGTTGCTGGAACTTATTGTGAAATTAGCCCTCCTAGGGAGGCTGATGTGCTGAGTCTGCATATGTGAACCTGAGAATTGAACTGGGAGCATAGGGGAGGGGCACTCAGAGCTCCACTTATCACTGATAGGCTGGAATTGGCCTCTTTTTTGGAATACAGCAGCTTGTTCAAGGATTTGGATCCAAGTGGCACCATCTCAAAGTGGACCAGAACCATTAGGGTTGTGCAGGGACTGTCTTCAACAGTGACACTGAGTGACAAGAAGAAGCAATGGCAGTAGTGGACTGCTCAGACCTCATGCTAACCTCATTTGAATGTGAAAGTAGAACTGACATTTTTGGATTAATTCCAGAAGGGAAGGGGGTACATTTTGCAATCCCCAATGTATTCATTCAAGGATTGTATCAATGGACACTAAAACCATTAGGTGTAAAATTCTTCATACTGAAACCATTCGTTGTAAAATTCTTGGGGGAATGATATATTCATGTGACTTAAGTGTCACACCACAGTTTACTTATGAATTGTAAAGGTAAAATATATCTTTACATTGGAGAGATCTGGTGGTCTCTACCTTAACCACTACTAATGGCATTGTGGAGCTTCTACTGTAATACAAAAGTACATAAGATACTTGTGAAGGGTTTGTGCCAAATATTTTTTTTTTCTTTTGAGACGGAGTGTCGTTCTGTCATCCAGGCTGGAGTGCAGTGGCGCGATCTTGGCTCACTGCAACCTCTGCCTCCCGGGTTCAAGCAATTCTCCTGCCTCAGCCTCCTGAGTAGCTGGGCTTACAGGCGCATGCCACCATGCCCAGCTAATTTTTGTATTTTTAGTAGAGACAGGGTTTCACCATGTTGGCCAGGCTGGTCTCGAACTCCTGACCTCAGGTGCTCCACCTGCCTCAGCCTCCCAAAGTGCCAGGATTACAGGTGTGAGCCACTGTGCCTGGCCTGTGCCAAATATATTTAACCTGAGTCTGAAAAAGGCTTTAGGCCAAACTTCTAGTTTATAGAAGGTAGAAGGGACAGAGGAGCCTAAATAAGACAAGAGAAAATAATCACACAAATTCAGAATGTGAGACATTCAACAAGATGTTTGGCCTGGACTCTTTAAAAAGTCAGTGTCATGAAAAGCAAAGTGTGTGCTTGGAGGTTGCTCCAGACTAAAAGGTTAAAGAGCTATGTCAGCCAGAGGGTGATGATTTGGAAAATAAAAAATAATCACAAAAGTACATTTGGAAACAATTGCAGAAATTTGAGTATGAAACAGATATTAGATGACATTAAGGATCATTTAAAATTTTCTTATGGTATTGTGGTTATGGAGGAGAATATTATTATTCTTAGGAGATGAATTTTAAAGTATATAGAAGTAAAATGTTTCTTTCTTTTTTTTTCTTTTTTATTTTTTTTGAGACAGAGTTTCGCTCTTGTCTCCCAGGCTGGAGTGCTGTGGCGCGATCTTGGCTCACCACAACCTCTGCCTCCCAGGTTGAAGCAATTCTCCCTCCTCAACCTCCAAAGTAGCTGGGATTACAGGCATGTGCCACCATGCCTGACTAATTATTATATTTTTAGTAGAGATGGGGTTTTACCATGTTGGCCAGGCTGGTCTCGAACTCCTGATGTCGAGTGATCCGCTTGCCTCGTCCTCCCAAATTGCTGGGATTACAGGTGTGAGCCATTGGGCCTGGCCATGAAATGTTTCAATTATTGCAGTTTACTCTCATATAGTTTTAGAAACATATATACATACAGAGAAAGCAAATAGGGCAAAATGTCAATAATTGTTGAATATAGATGGAGGGTATACAGATATTCATTTTTCTATTACTTCACTGTTTCTGTATATTTGAAAATTTCATAATTAAGAGTTAGAGGAAAAAAGAGGGAGCAGAGAGACTCAAGGGGAGACAGTGGACTTCCAACTCACAAGATGTGAGGGTTCAAAGGATTCACTGGAAAAACGAAGAGATGAGACAATAGTGGTAGTGTGTGTTTGTGAAACAGCAGCTCGTGGTTCAAAAAATAGCAGACGAAGCTTGTTCATGTATAAAATCCAGTGTGAGTGAGAGTTACGTGTCAATCCCATAAAGTCATAATGAGAAAGGCCACTTGCGAAAATAGGGGTGGCTTCCTTGTCAACAGACAGCCCTTTAGGGGTTAGAGGCAGGGACTTTGATCTCAAGAGAAACTGAGATCACTGACAAGACTCAGTTCATCTTCATGTGAAGGCAGAGCTTACCATTGGAGGTTTGGTTTACAGGAGACTTGGAAGGTGCACAGACTGTTCATATTGCCTTCGTCGGGAATAGTTTGATGTGCTTAATTCAGGATCTTACTGTCTCTACCTCAGTGCATTTGTTCAACAGCTGTGGAGGAGGATGGGCGAGGGCTTGCTGCTCACAATACCATGGCTCAGCTGTCAGCCTGATTTCTTCTAGAGACAGATGTTCCAAAAATGATCGTGTATTTTCTGTTTTGGCAGCCTGCATGCAGTCTCAGGGCTTTAGAGATGGAGGCGCAATCATTTCTTAACCTGGGGTACGTAGATTCTTCCCTTGGTGACTGTGGATGAGTTTAGGGATTGCATGAACCCTTTTAAACAGTCTTTCAAATCTCAGCTTTCTTTTTCTCTCTTAGAAAGGATTTCTAGTTTTCAGCAGATTCTGATAAATAGTTGTAACCTGAGAAATTTAGAAGCCACGGATCTGATTCAACCTCTAAGCCCCATTTAAAAGATAGAGAAACTGAGAGGAAAAAACTGATTAGGAAAAAAAAAATCAGTTATTAAAATTTTTGGAATGTCTGTGTACTTTGTAGAATTGACCTGATTTTCTGCCACTGCAGACTGAGCTAATGGCCCAGTAAAATGGGTTGAATGAAACAGAGCCACTAGGGAGCTTTTGCTGTCAGCATAGAAACCCCAAATAGCAGAGACAAGTCTGGTTGAAATCCCTAAGAAAGGAAGCAAATTTAGGAACAGCCCCTGCAGTATCTAGAAGCCAGCAACATGGGGGAGACCAGTTAGGTTCTTTTGCCTGGATTACATAGGGACAAGCTTTGCAAAAAAAAAAAAAAAAAAAGTATATATATATATATATATATATATATATATATATATATAGAGAGAGAGAGAGAGAGAGAGAGAGAGAGAGAGAGAGAGAGATCTATGGAAACAAATTCTACCCCTCCACCTACATCATTCTTCTCCACATAGCCCTTCCACCCCTGTTTCAATAAACAACAACGAAACAAAACAAAACGAGAAGTGGATCCCTTGGCAGAACTGACACAAAAAAGATCAGTTTTTTTTTTTCTGAAATAGAGAAAGCACTTTATTTGATGAAGCATTGCTAGGCTTACCAAATAAGATAAGACAGAACGGATTCTTTAAATTATACATTGAGAATGATAGGGGTGGGTGTGGGGGTGGAGAATAAATATAACCAAGAATAATGCCATGTAAATAATTTTTGAGAGGCTTCAAGCATCTTGGGTGCCCAATGGAAGGGACTGGTGAGTCCGGAGGCCACCTCTGCTCCCAGTTGTGGTATCTCTGGGTCATGTGGGATGCCACACTTTTCCTCCAATCTTCCTGTCACCTTCTCTTGCTTGATTCAGGGGCCTCCAGTGGAGCACCCTATTAGGAGCATCTTCCCATGACAAAGTTAGCTTTGATGCCAAGTTCTAAATATTTCTTAGGGGACATCTGTTGGATATATATATATATATATCTGTTCCTGCTAGATTGGGAACTCACTGAGGGCGTATTCAGACATACCACATGGGGGAAAAATACCTTGGTGGGCAAAGCATTTGGGGCCATGGTCCCCAAAACACTTTTCAGCCCAGATTTAATTTTGAGTAAAAGGTCCCATGTATCTTCTGCCTCAGCCTTCTGTCTACTTGCCACTGTTTGGGCAAAGAACCATTATTCATTTGTTCATTCATTCAATTCGTCACTCATTTGTTTTATAATTCATGTATTCACTCATCCATTCAGCAAATGTTTATGAGATTGCAATTGCAATATACAATTGCACACTCACCAGACTATTTCTGTGACCTACATTTGAGACTAGAGACTTCAGAGTCATCTTTAACTTTTCTCTTTCCATTGGTTGTATCTACTCTCACCCCATTGTGTCTGCCTAACTGATCCTTCCTGCTATATTTAACCCATTCTATGGCCCTTTTACTCCATTAGCAAGTCTTGTCTCTTTCCCATTTTCGCTTTGAGGGGAAAAAGCACAAACCATTTTTCCTCTGCTCTCACACCACAACAGTCAACACAGAAGACATCTGTGACCAGATGTGTGGAAGTTTTCCCCCCTACACCAGGCAAGCAATCAGTTCTGCAGTGGCCACCAGCTGGGTGTCCTCTAATTCAATTCAATTCTGACACTGTCTACCTGGAGATAGTGTCAGATCCCACAGGTTGAGGGCCCAGTCTCCAAGACTGCCCCCACACTCTGTTCCTGATGCCAACCACAAGCTCCAGGTTGTTTTCCCTGTGCTTCTGACTGACTGGCTACAAATCTGGGTGCCCACAATTCCCTCCCTGGGTTTGATTGATTTGCTAGAGTGGCTCACAGAACTCAGGGAAACACTTTACTTACATTTACTGCTTTATTATATTACAAAGGATACCAATGAAGAGATGCATAGGGTGTGGGGCGAGAGGGGTGTGGAGCTTCTTTGCCCTCCTTGGGCATGTCACCCTCCAGGAACCTCCAGGTGTTCTGCTATCCAGAAGCTCTCCAAACCCTGTCCTTTTGGGTTTTTATGGAAGCTTTATTAAGTAGGCTTGATTGACTAAATCATTGGCCATTGGTGATCAACTTACCTTCAGTCCCTCTCTCTTCCCTAGAGGTGGGGGAGGCTGGAGCTGAAAGTCCCAACCCTCTAATCATACCTTGTTTTTTCCAGTGACTAGCCCCCATTCTGCAAATACTTAGGGGCTGCCAACCATCAGTCAGCTCACTAGAATATGAAAAGGTGTCACTTTGGAGATTCTAAGGATTTTAGAAGTTGTATGCTAGGCAATGGGGTCAAATAACAAATATTTCACAGTATTACAGGCTTCCTCTATCATTTCCACTTTCAGGTCATCTTTAGCTTTTACCTAGTTCAAATTTTCCTTAGCTCATATCTAGAGCATTCCACTTCCAATATGTTGGCATATGCTCCAGTCACAATAAATCTCTCACCTGTCTTCCAGCGCTCTGTTGTGTTTTCATGCCATTGTGATTCTTGTTGGTCATGCTATACTACTTTTCCTGAAATCTCTTCCCTGCTCCCTCTTTTCTGCTTCTTGAAATTCCACTCATTCTTCAAGGCCAACATATTTGAGCTCAAATATCACCTCTTCTGAGAAGCCCCTCCAAGCTTTCTTTCAACCCTTCTTTCCAGTTATTGCAAATTTGAATGTACATTAAAAGTACACTCTGTAATCTAGAGGACTCTGTTTATATAATCTGTTAATGGTGCTTTGAAAAGTTTGATTCGTATGGTAACATATGTGTTTCTACCAGATTGGGAATTTGTTGAGGGCAGGAACTGTCTATTCATTTATTTCTTCATTCATGCTATTTGCAGGCACTAAGCTAGGGACCAGGGCTCTCACTGTCTGGCTGGGAGATAAACAGGTGAACTTACCAGTATTGCGTAGAAGGACAATTGCTGTGATAGAGGACAAATGCAACGCTTGATGTGTTGTTGTATTAGTCTGTTCTTGCATTGCTCTAAATAACTACCTGAGACTGGATAATTTATAAAGAAAAGAAGTTTAATTTGCTCTCGATTCTGCAGGCTATACAGGAAGCATGGCTGGGGAGGCCCCAGGAAACTTACAATCACGGCAGAAGGCTGAGGGGAAGCAGTCACGTCTTACATGGCTGGAGAAGGAGGAAGACAGAGAAGGGGGAGGTGCTATACACTTTTTGTTTTTTTGAGATGAAGTCCCACTCTGTCACCCAGGCTGGAGTGCAGTGGTGTGATCTCAGCTCACTGCAGCCTCCACCTCCCAGCTTCAAGCGATTCTCCTGCCTCAGCCTCCCTAGTAGCTGAGACTACAGGCATGCACCACCACGCCCTGCTAATTTTTGTATTTTTAGTAGAGATGGGGTTTCACCACGTTGGCCAGGCTGGTCTCGAACTCCTGACTTCAAGTGATCCACTCACCTTGGCCTCCCAAACTGCTGGAATTACAGGCATGAGCTACCATGCCTGGCCAGTGCCACATACTTTTAAACAACCAGATCTCATGAGAACTCACTGACTTTCAAGAAAGCAGGAAAGGGAAATTCTGCCACCATGATCCAATCACCTCCCACCAGGCCCTTCCTCCAACATTGGTGATTACAATTTGACATGAGATTTGGTCAGGGACACAAATCCAAACCATATCATTGGTCAGGAAAGGAAAGTTCATTGTGGTAGGCTGGAGAATGCTTCATAGAGGCAGAGTTGTGAAGGCAATGTATCCTTTAGTTGTGACTTGAAGGATATACTGTCTTATTTTATTAAATCTAAGCACATTGTTTTTTACATCCTGAATCCAGGATATAATTTTTGATCAATGTATACATTTAATGTGGCAATATTTCTGTCTTCCCAAATCTGGTATTATTTTGGTGGTGTTTCTTATAGTCGCTGACATCTTAGTATTAAAAAGATATAGTAGACTTAGAGTCTGTGGTTGCACAAAATTAGACACCAACGTGATTTTTTAAAAACGTGAAGGTGGGGAAGGGGTTCATTACTTCCCTATTGCTGCTATAATAAAACACCAGAAACAGTGAATTAAAATAACACATATTTATTCTCTTACAATTCTGAAAGTCGGAAATCCAAAATGAGTTTGAAGGAACTAAAATCAAGATATCTGTGGTTCCAGTTACTTTTGGAGACTCTAGGAGAGGAATGCATTCCTTGTCTTTTCCAGCTTCTGGAGGGCTCCTGTATTCCTTGGCTTGTGGCCACATCCTCCATCTTTACATTGTATTACTTCAATCTCTGCTTCTCTTGTCACATAGTCTACTTTCTGAATCTGATTCCTCCTGCCTCACTTTTACAAGTCTCTTGTGATTACACTGGACCCATCTGGAGAATCCAGGATCATCTACCCATCTCCAGATTCTTAATCACATTGGCACAATCCCTTTTGCCATATAAGGTAACATTCACAGATTTTTGAGGATTAGGACATGGACATCTTTGGGGGCCATTATTCAGCCTACTAAAGAGAAAATTTATTTTAAAGATACTGATATGGCTTTAGACATCAAAGGTGAGATGATAGCCATGTTCCAGGAAGAGCCTAGAAACTTCGTTTTATGTATCTGCCCCGTCTCTGTGTCTTTATTAATTTCTGTATTTTTTGGCAGACTGACTTCTTCTGCAAGTCAGCCAGTATGTAGAAACATGATTGCTGACAATTCCTGAGACTATAAGTTATGGTTTCAATACCCGGAATTGCTCAGCTCTCTCAACTCTATTCCAGATCCTCAAAGAAAAAACTCTGATTGGTGTTCTTGGGTCAATGCCTCCTTCTCTAAGGGTGTAGCCAAAGGTATAGAGCTCTTCCATATTGCACAAAATGACTGCCAGCAAGGAGGCATTTCAAGTCATGCTCATACACTGAAAAATAGTCCTCTATGAAATATGACTAATTGTTCACCAGGAAATTGAGTAAGAGGCTGACATTTCACACAGAAGGTACTAGCACTTAGTCAAGTGTTTTTCAAATTGTGGATATCCAAGAAATATTTCCTGAATTGAGTTGTGAAATTTCTCCAAAGTGTCTTTTAATCTATAAGGTTTTATCACCTGGAGCCTGGAATCCTGCAATTAGTCTCACTGTACCTACCCTCTCCCTTGCCATGCCATAATGTTACAGCCCACATTTTGGACCAGAATTTTTCAGTCGCTTTCTTTTCATCACAGAATAACGTTCAAACCATTGATGTATAAAATGATGGGGCTGGGTGCGGTGGCTCAGGTCTGTAATCCAGCACTTTGGGAGGCCGAGGCGGGCAGATCACTTGAGGTCAGGAGTTCAAGACTAGCCTGGCCAACATGGTGAAATCTCAACTCTACTAAAAATACAAAAATTAGCCAGGCCTTGTGGTGTGTGCCTGTAGTCTCAGCTACTAGGGAGGCTGAGGCAGGAGAATTGCTTGAACCTGGGAGGCAGAGGTTGCAGTGAGCCGAGATTATGCCACTGCACTCCAGCCTGGGCAAAAAAGTGAGACCCTGTCTCAAAATAATAAAATAAAACAAAATAAAATAATGAACCCCATTTTTTCCCATCTGGGACATGGGAATATTAATGGCAATCTCATAAATGTGTTGAGATTAAATGAATATAAGGGATTGCCATACTTTCCGGCAAATCTCCAATGTGAATCCTCCGCTCTGGTTAGGTTGGTTTCCAACTGGAGCCCAGGCATTTGTCTCAATTATTCTTTCTTTTCTTTTTTTTTTTGACGTGGAGTTTTGCTCTTGTTGCCCAGGCAGGAGTGTGATGGTGCGATCTTGGCTCACCGTAACCTCCACCTCCTGGGTTCAAGCAATTCTCCTGCATCAGCCTCCCGAGTAGCTGGGATTATAGGCATGCACCACCATGCCTGGCTAATTTTGTACTTTTAGTAGAGACTAAAATACTCTCTACTGGTCAGGCTGGTCTCGAACTCCCGACCTCAGGTGATCCACCTGCCTTGGCCTTCCAAAGTGCTGGGATTACAGGTGTGAGCCACCGCGCCTGGCCTGCCTCAATTATTCTTGCGGCTACACCTTTGTTTTTGCCTGGGACTCCAGGCTTGGAAATGCCAGACTCTACCTCCTGGCTTCTTTAGTCTTGCCCGATTCCTTCAGGTCCTTCTAGGCTACAAATGTTCATTCTTTCCTTTTATTCTAAGAAGATTTTGAGTCTGTTCTACACAGAGTCTCAGAGCAGATTTTTTAGTCCAATTTCCAACCCAAATGTGGGAAACCATCCATACGCTGCCTTTCTGGTGGCTATTTTGCTTCTACTTGAATAGTTTTAGTGTTGATGAGCTAAACTTAGGCTGCTTGTCCCCATTTTTTCAACAGCTCTAATTAAATAACTAAAACATGTAATTATCTTTTTAGTCATGACTGTCTTGCTTTTTTAATAAAATTTTCAGTTCTTCTAGAGGAACAAAGTAGCTGCTCAAAAGGCATTGATTATATTTATGCCTAAAATTATAATTTCCCAACATTAATAGTTAAACCATTGCTACCATTTTTATTTTCTTTTATTCCAGCTTTACCATACCTTGGAGAAGATGACCTGCCATTATAAGGCTTATGATTATTGTCACAATACCTACAACAGGTTTCTGAGGAGAAAGAAAGCAAAGAAAATCCTCCTGGTTCATGTCTAGTGATACTTGCATTAATTTTACTTAGGTCACTTTAGGTTGCCCTTACACAGCATTTGAATTTTTGTGAAAAAAAAGTTCTGTTGCAAAAATTTTATTCTCTTCTGTGATATTCTTTTGGACTTTTACTATTCATATGCAAATACATCCATAATCTATATGCCTGGTTTAATTTTTACAAAAATTGATATTAGAACATGCTATGGTCTGAATGTTGGTGTCACCTTAAAATTCACGTTCGAAACTAATAGTGTGATAGTATTAGGGATCTTTGGGAAGTGATTAAGTTATGAAGGCTTCACCATCACGACTGGGATTAGTGTCCTTTTAAAAGAGGCTCAAGGAAGCTCCCTTGCACCTTCCCCCATGTGAGGCTGCAGGAAGGTGCCATCTGTGAAGCAGAGAGCAAGCCCTTACCAGACACCGAGTCTGCTGGTGCCTTGATCTTGGCCTTCCCAGCCTCCAGAACTGTAAGCAATAAGTTTCTCTTTTTATAAATTAATCACCCAGCCTAAGGTATTTTGTTATAGCAGCCCAAATGGACTGAGACAGACCATATATGCTTCTCTGTACTTCTTTTTAAATAGACTTAAGAATATAGCAATGACATCTATGTCAATACACAAAATTTAATTATTTTTAATCATGTATCATAATCAGTTATTTTCTCCTGTTGACCAACACATATGTTGTTTCCAGTTGATTCTTGTATTCTGATTCCTTTACCTTAAAAGAAATTAAAATTGTAAAAGACCACTACATTTCCACTCACAAATTCACCCACTGTTATGGGCTGAATTTCATCCTCCCAGTACATGTAGGGGCCATCCAGGTAATGCTCTGAGTAAAGGGAACTTGAGAATGGTGGGGACTGTGGTATATTAGAGAGTACAGGCTCCTTCTAAAAGAGCACCCAAGATGCCATGATTCAGCTGATTATTGTCATATGAAAACATGGGTCTTATATTACCAGATCTTCAGGTTTTTTAAAAGAAGCTAGAAATCTGGAATTAGATGTGAAATCTGTCAATTATTTATTTATTTATTTATTTACTTTTGAGTCAGAGTCTCGACCTGTTGCCTAGGCAGGCTGGAGTGCAGTGGTGCCATCTTGGCTCATTGCAGCCTCGACCTCCTGGGTCCAAGCAATCCTCCCATCTCAGCCTCCAGAGTAGCTGGGACTACAGGCATGTGCCACCATACCCGGCTAATTTTTGTATTTTTAATAGAGATGGGGTTTCACCGTGTTGGCCAGGCTGGTCTCGAACTCCTTATCTCAAGGGATTTTCCCACCCTGGACTCCCAAAGTGCAGGGATTACAGGAGTAAGCCACTGTGCCCAGGCTCAATTTTTAAATGTTCCAAATTAAAAAAAAAAATTGCTGGCCAATAATACCCTTTTCCTACTGGTTAGATATGACCCACAGGCTACCAGTTTGCAACTTCTGCTCACCGGAACAAGTAATTTGTGGAGCCCTAGGCAATTATCTCTACTCCAAAAGTTCTTAGGATGAGGATGGTGAAGATTAGATGGCAGCAAATAAGTGCACAAAGAAGTCCAAGTCATGTTTTAAACTACTGAGTTTTTTTTTTTATTGCAAAACATTTGTTACAGAAATTTCAGAAAGTTTTTCCCGTGGTATCTGCCAACTTCTGCTCTGAATTGTATATCTAAACAATCAAACTCAAAGTGCATTGTGAATCCAATAATAGACCTTTAAAAAAGAACAATTCTTCTAAGGATTTATATATATTTATAGTGTCGATAGATATGCATACCGTGGTCCATCCATACACAAAGAAGGAAAAGATGTATATATATTCAGCAAACCCAATTTTAAAACCATTGTATTTGTAGGAATTCATTTAAAAATGATATCTGAATAATTTCCCCCATTATAAACTAGGGTTAGAACGTTTACAAATGAGAGTCTAGGTCCTATATTATGAAATGGCTATGAGTACAGTATACTGCACGTACTGTTTTTACACAGCGGTAGCAGCAATATAAACTCAGGTCAGACGCAGTAGTGACAGGAAGCAGGTAAGTCTTCATACCATGCTATGGTACTCTTCTTCTGAATCTCTCTCACAAAGACTCTGTGTTCAAGTTTAGAATTATGTGGCTAACAAATATACATGCATATATCATTCAGAACAAGAGTAACTCTGAATAAGGCGAGTTTCTTTTCCCCCCTCTCGGTTCTCAGTGTATTTTGTGTGTACACTCACCAAGTCACTATCAAGAATCTGATCCTGTTGGCTCTAAATCAGAGGTCCCAAACTATTGCCTTTGGGACTGAATGCTGCTGGCAGACATGTTTGTTTGGCTAGGACAGTGTTTGGAAAGCTGAATTTGAAGGTGTTTGTGGTGGGATGTGTATTCTGTCATGCCTTACTTACAAACCCTACTTCTGTTGACTTTCACCAGTCCAGTTCACACATTTGTGTTTTCTGGATCCGGCCCCTCCATGTGTTTGAATTTGCAGCCTCTCAGTCTATGTGCAGATGGCTGGTTTTAATGATGTGTGGGAAGCTGCGGTGAAGATGTGTAGGACTCTTGAGATTTAGAGAGGCAAAAATTGGACGAGGTCAATGTGAACACCAGCCGGGGTAGAGGCAGGAGGAGGCTAAGTTGGTGGGAAGATCAGGCCTGGGACAAAGTCTAAATGTTTGCCTTTTTCCAAGCGGCCGCTGTTTCAGCTTACTGTGCGAGGGTCAACAAGGTATAAAGGTAATGTGGGCAAGGGTCTGTTGGTCTGGTGAAAAAGCAGCTAGTCTTAGACTAAGAGAAGAGAAGCAAGAAGAGGGGAGAAAGAAAGCCGCACATCCAGGCACAAGGCTGAATTTCCCCCTTTGCCCCATAGGCCTCAGCCACCTGTCTCCTCCAGAGGAAGGCATGGGTCCTGATTGGCACTGACACTCTTTACAAAGCCTATGGACTTCTAGCCATACACATGTCTTTTCAGTTTCCAGCACACAAACATTGTGCAAACGCACAAGGGCCTGCAGGTTTAAGGAGGCTGGTAGACTAGGTAAGGTAAGGAAGGGAAAATTCACCTCATTCTTATTGCCATCTGGATTACCTGGTCACCAAAATCCTCTCTTAGATGACCTGTAGAAACAGTCACGTTGCTTTCATTAGCAGTGATGAGTGCAAGGAAATCATCAGAGAAAAGGTAACACAACTACCTTCTGAGAGGAATTAAAAGAAAAAAATTGCTTTTCCTTAATTGGAACCAGCCTTTCTTTTGGTTGACTCCAATCTGAGAGACAGAATATCCAACTTGTAAAAAGAAGAGAAAGCTTAGGTCAATGCAGGCTGAGAGGAAAGTTTTGTCTACTCATTTTAGGAGCAGTCATTTTCAAAACTGTGCAAATTGGCTCCTCTCTTTAACAGATGTTGAATGGCTTCTAGTAATGATGATTTTCTAAAAGAGTAAACTCTTTAGAACCACCCAGTGCTTCATCAGACACCCAAACACACGCCTCCCACCCCCAAGGTGAAGAAGCCACAAGACAAGGAGGGAGGTCTCTTGTCATATCATTGGATCACACATTCACAGCGATCTGCGCACTTCTGCACTATCACAAATGGACTTTTCGCTCTCATCTCCGGCTTAGCAATTTGCACCCAGTAGCTCTGAAGAATCAGAAATGTGTCTTGCATATATCACAGATGCACAACACCTAGACCTTGGCAGACCCAAGAGGTGTTGGCTTGCCACCTCTGGGTCCCATGGCTATACAACCTGCAGTTAATACTTTATTTCATATTATTTGTTCAGTGCTTAAAAAAAAGATTTAAAAATCCCTTGGTTACTTTTTTTTTGTTTTTAATTTTTCAAAACTGAACATAATCCCCATAGTAAGAAGCCCAACTGTTTGAGTGAATTCTTAACTGGCTTAAGCGTCACAGCAGGCAATAGTAAAATGTTAAGTGCCTTAGAAAAGTCAAAAGAAATGCATAAAGCAGTGCATGCATTTTGTTGACACAAAATTAAGACCAGGTTTGGAGAGAGATTACTTCATTTCAGTCACATTGTTATTGTTCAAGGATAGTGAGTTATAATGCAATATCTAGGCCAAATATATAACCACCTACACACTAGTATCACTTTATCTAGAAACAACATAGTGTTACTAAATGAACATATTTATAAAATACTGTACACTGCTTCTGCATGGGGTTGGCAGATGTAAACAGCTAATTCAACTGGAGTTTAAAATATCATTTTAAGTTCATTTGTCATATAGTCTTTTGCATAACATGCCAGTTCATCTTTCACAAAATCACAACTTGCCTACCACAGCTCGCAGGACTCATTAGAGGATATACATCAGCTTACACACATATTTTACAGTGGTCCAAAGGAACATGAAAAGCATCAAGCAGATCAGGAACAAAAATGCCCGGTTCACAAAGATGCTAAATAACATGGAATTGGGAACATAATTAATCATTGCAACATGTGTTTCTTTATTGAATGTTACAGATTTATAAATGATTATAAAGCTCTCCTGTAACGTTCATTAATACAACCACATGCTACAACTACGCTGGGTTAAACATGGGTTACATACATGTTTACATGTGTTTTATAATACAGCATTGCCCAACATATGAATGGTATAGCCTATAGATAGAGCATGATGGATGACCGGGTAATATTTATCATCTTTAAAGAAATTAAACAGCCCAAACATTCAGGAAGATTAGACTGTACAGACTCAGAAAGTAAAAAAGTACTATCCAGTTATCTACCATAATATTATCTATAGAAACCATATTTTAGAATACATTTGAAACATTCAGAAGAAACACATTTTGTGTTTTTATGAGTACATTTTTCTCGTTTGATTATTCTTATATATATATTTTAAAAGGGGAACTTTCAAAGTGCTAAATAATATCCTAGACCTGGAAACTTATACATTTAAAAAATCCAGTTCTGTAAAGTGCTGTATTCTGACTGCTAATACACCTTTTGGCTTGCAGAGATAATACAAACTAGTCATGAAAATTGTACCCAAGCTTTCCAGCTCCTCATTCAAATCTATCAAGGAGGGGCCCTCTAACTATAAATATAAAGTATATTGGTTAAGCAGGAGACCTCCATGGTCATTTTCATAAAACATCCTTAAATTTTTTTCAAAAGGAACAAGCAATTTAGAACAAATCATTACATATAGTAGTATGTAAAAATTGGCACCTTTGAAGCAGATGATTAAACCGAAGCTATTACTTCCTTGAGCTCTCTATGACTTTATTTACGGTCCTCAGTAACTTGCTGCTCATAAACTGCTTAATTCACAAAGACAGGTAATTAACGTCCCCTCGATCAGGGATGTGGTGGAATCAATGGGCTGAGCATAAGCTGACTGCACAAGGCCACAGAATCAATGCCACATTGCTGCACAGAGAACCCAGAAATGGAAGGAAATGGACTGAAAAATAACACACATACATGTGCACAGGAAGGAAATGGCTCATGGAAGTTACACAGTTTGTGTCTACAGTCATTTAAGTTTGGCTTATATATTTCACACGTTTCACAGACGTTAGAACTTAATTTTCATGCACAACAAAAGAATCAGGTAATTGCAAGATCAGGACTGTTGAGTATTTCGTTTCCCAGTTCCTATCCTTTTCTCTCTGAAATCACGATGAATGGAAACACTTGAGCTGAAAATTTCTTTCCCTCACTTCCAATCTGGCCCAGAATGAGGCCTTGGAGGTGTTTGATGTCAATGAATAATGTTTTCACCTCCTTCTTGGATTCCTCTATAGACCCTTCAGGGAGACTTCAGCATTGTGATTGTGCTTGATACTTAAAATCATCAACATGTTAGGATGTAAGTGCATTAAATTGGCAACATCTAATTTAAAGAACAAAAATAACAAAATCTTTGTTCAAACTCTGGTGCTGAGATTTGGCCTTCCTGAGAATCACAGAGAGATGGTCTCAAATGTAAAGTGCCTATTACAACTGCATTAACTACGAGCAAACATGGTTCCTTTCCCTCATAATCAATATAGAACCAGGGGCTCATGAACCCTTTCAAGTTATATTGCAACTTTGCATTATGTACATTTTTTTTTTCTTTCTGGAGAGAGAGCCTAGAGTTATCGTAGAGCCTCGTAGGGATTCATGACTCAAGGAAGTTTAAGAACGACTGATTTATTCTCAGACCCAGTGCATGTTTGCTGAGAGGGAAATAGCCAGCGTGGGGCCCAATAAAATGTTAAGTGTTTCTAGAACAGCTGTAAATAAGGGAGTCTGGGTGTTTGTTAGCAATTCACCTAAATGCCAAGGAGTGAAAAAGGAATTGTTTAATTCTTTACATATGTGACCTCATCACAATTTTTATACCTGAAATGCTTATTCAGAAGAGTTTTTATTTTGTTTTTTATCTTATATTTAAAGGCCATGTATTTACTTGATTTCACAAAATAAAGTAAAACTTGGTGTTTTCAATTATAATTAAACAAAAGAACCAGGTAGTATCTCAGGCCAGGAACAATAGATTGTTTTCCTTAAAGGCTTTATTCTTTTTTAAACGTTAATGAGCCAAATAGGAATCCAAAGATTTGGGGTCAAGATTTCTTTATCCCACTTCCAATCCAGATTCTGATCTAGAAGATTATGCCTCTACTTTAGAGTCTGTAACACTAGCTGGTTTAAAGTTGCGTGTCTATTCAGATTGTACGTGGTGTAAAAACTTTGTTTAGGAAAAGCGAGACTAAATGAGATGTCCTGATAGTGAGTGATTTCAGACAAAAAAGGGCAGAAGGCGAGCAGTGAGTCATTTTGACAACTCTAGTTTGATATGAGGAAAAGTCATAGGAATTTAAAAAATTCATAATTTCAACATTTGGTCTAATAGTATAATGAACTCTTTCAATGGAACTTCTTGTATATTAAAAAAAATCTTGATTATACTTCAAGGTGATAGAAAAGTCCAAGCCTCTTAAGAAAGCTCTTTATGTCCATTTATTTTATATATAAATATGTGTCTCTGCATAAATGCATATACATGTGTATAAGTGGCATATACTATAGAACTCTTTATATGGTTTATTTGCTTTCTATTTTGGTCTACTGTATCTTTTTTTATAGCTCTGTCTATAAGAAAAATATTCATGGTATGCTTGCAACTGATGGCTTTGGGTTGATACCAAACTCCCAGTCAAATCTAAGGTTATTTATAGTTTTGAAACTTCCTTAAAAAGTACTTTGGAACATTTCCATAGAAAAGATACCAGCCCTTGAAAAACTCCAATTAAATTTATGCTGAGCTCAGATTAGATGGCAAAACTCTAGGTATGAAAATATCCACATATAACCATATATTCATATACAAAATGGTCATGTGATGAGTGGTGTGAAAAATTGGCAGTTACGTCTTGGAGGTGTTCAGGAGGACGTGGTGGAGCCATGCAAATGATGACGGTCACACAGCAGCACAACACACGACATGAACGGT
This sequence comes from Homo sapiens, assembly GCF_000001405.40. NCBI lineage: Eukaryota > Metazoa > Chordata > Mammalia > Primates > Hominidae > Homo > Homo sapiens. The sequence goes on from NC_000009.12 coordinate 70,534,985, forward strand.
GAGAACAGAACATCCCACATGGCAATTTCAGGCTAGTTCTGTCCACTGTTTTTTTTTTTTTTTTTTTAAGTTCAATATTACATATTCAGTGAATGAATTCATCCATGACAGGTGAGATACAAAATAAATTAAAAAATATAAAATTATTTAATTACATTCTCCTGAGCTTGCTCGACTAGACTTGAACGCCCACTGTATATAATAAATCACTTGACTTTTGTTTTTTTAACATCAACTCTTCTTTCATTTCGATTGCAATACAAAAAGGCATTTCTGTTCCCTTATTTTCTTCAAAAAAGGATAAACAGTTGTGGCACCAGAAGTGAATAGATAAGAGACAGGTGAACTATGACTGTTACCTTGTTTTTTCTTTATAATGATCAATTACAGAAGTGTTGGCATGAGAAGGATGTGGGACGTTAGGTAGAACTGCTTGCTGCCGGCTTATACTGAATAAAGAGGATGCTCTTCATCAGTCACCAGTGATGGAGCCAATGTGAAAAGAAAACAGAATGGAAGTTTAGAATATCTCATTGTGTACGCTGGCTATTTTATTTTATTTTGCAATTTAGCCCTGCATCCTACAACTCTTGATAATGGTCAGAAATCAACAGATGCCTCCTGGCATGGAGCGTGCTCGAAGCCCCTTGTTTCCCCTGCTCTCATGGCTTTCTGCTGTGACTGCGGATACACATTCATCTCTAACCCTTCCTTCTCCCTCTCTTCCCCCTCCCTGCCCAGCAAGTGTGAACATGCCTTAAATCCCCTGTGTCTGGCACTGGGTCAGATCAAATGCTTTCTTGATCTGTGGCCCAGAAGTCACCTTTGAGTTAACACCTCCCAAAGCATTGCTTGTTTTGCTCAGCTAAGAATAAAGCAGGTATGATTCAAGGAAAGGGGAAAAACTGGAGTTGGAGAGAATTTTAGGGCTGGATTCTTGAGCCTTCTGTGGCGGATATTAAGAAGGTTTAGTTGTGCTTGCTTTCAAAGCTTTGGAAAGCCGATGTTCTGGACAGTCTCCTCATGGACAGGCTGTCCCCTCGGCCCTCCGGCTTGGAGGACTTGCTTCTCTGGAAGGGATTTCGCAGGCTTGCTGTGTTCCGCTGCCTGTCGAGTTTGTCACTGATGGAGAAGCTCTTCCTGGTGTGTGCATATGGCGCACTTGGCTCCTCTGCCGAGTAGCTGTTGGCGCGCTCTATCTTGGGAACAGTGATGTTGTTGGACAGGGTTCTCTCTGAGTTATCACCCTCCTGGGAGGATATTGCAATGGTGGCTCTGCGGCCTTTGGCCTCATTCTCCTCACTGTCAGAGCTGGGGTGACTCAGTTCTGCTTCTCGCTCTGGATGGCAGCAAGTTAAGTCCTCCACTTTGTCTCCAAGACCTCCAGGGAAGGCAGCTCTGTCCGCAATTGCTTGAGGGGCATTGACACACCTTGTGTCAATACAGTCTGTAATACTTGTGTATTCTGCTGTTTTTACAGGCACCCCAAAGTTGGCATAATAGCTCCTTGAGGGGGAAAACATAAAGCTATGAGATTTCACAATGGGAGCCTCTTCTAGAAGAAAGGGTGTGGTGGCTAGGTAGCGGCTACTTTTGGAACGCTCAATGGTGTGGTACATCGGAGGCTCTGAGTCCCAGGGGTTTTGGCATTCTGGGAGGTGGGTGTAGTCTGAAGAAAAAGATCTAGTGTCCATGGAGGTGATGTCCTCAAAATCAATGCTCCGGCTTGGAGGTCTGTCTGTGGGTGCAAGTGTTGCATAGGCACTACTTGAAGGGGCTGTGGAAGGTACTGGAGTTGAAAAGCTTGGCTCGCCCAGCCCAAGGATGTTCACGGAATTGTCCAGAGGGTCTATATCACAGTGGAGCTCATCCATAGCAGAGACATAGATGTCTATACACGATGATGGTCTTCTGGAATCAGGAACAATGGCCAAGGTGTTGGCAGGGGCTGCAGGAGCTTTGGGTTCTTTTGCTACAGAGTGGGAACTAGTAGCCCGGTGTAGGCTCAGGGACCTTTCTTTAAAAATACTTTCCAACTTTTCTATACCACCTTTGTCTTTCATATTGACCGAATAGAAAGAATGGCTTCGCATACGGGGCATTAAGGTTGGAGAAGTTGGGGACATGGTCTCCTCACCTGCAGGGTCTATACTCTCTTGGAGCTTGAAGGTGTTCCCTTCCTGGCTGTTGAAGCTGCTCTGACGGACAATGTAGGCGGCGTCCGTGCAGTCTGACGAGGTCCTCGAGCGGATTTTGTTGGACTCGGCCCGCTCCAGACCTGTCAGGCGCTCCAGGGCCGTGGCCATGCGCCCGATAAGGTCTTCCAGCTGCGCCAGCCGGATGTCCACGGTCTGGAGTGAAGCCTTCATGGAGTGCTCTCTCTCGTTGACTTCCTCCAGCCGCATAGACATGTTCTCCACCCTGCGCGAGGAAGAGAGAATGAGAGTCACTCGGCCTGGTTCCTCTGCTGGGGCTTTAGAGAGCAAGGATAAAGGGATCACAGCTGTGCCTGACCTTGGTACCTTCAATGGAAGACAGGTTACAGGTGTTGAGAGGGGTTGGGGAGGAGAGAATGACATTGATGCTGTGAAAGAATCACAGAATTCAAATCTTTTTGAGCTAGAAGAGGCTTTAGAGATTATCTAATCCAATGATTTTTTATTGTTTTAGCTATCAATCCCCTTTTCCCTCAATGAAATGGAATGCACAGTCCTGATAAAAAGGCACTAAAATGGAACAGTTCTTATTGAAGTAGAGTGGGGCCAAGTCCACCATGGCCTAGCTGTGGCTTGGGGCAGGGTGCAATGACCTGACTAAGCATCCAGTTGTTGGCTTCTCAGGGTCCCCCACAAAATGAGAATGTTGCATTTTGAGGATTTTACCCAGAATTTTGCAATGAAATTTTAGAATCTAGCTATTTTTATTGCAATACACATGTAAAATGAGTATTCCATGGATGGGGGTTATTTTTATTTTGCATTTATACAATAATTTTTGTTATTCATGATAATCTTTTTAGAATGTTGTGTCTCCAAAGGAATTAATATGGCCCAGTTACTGAGGCATCCAGGATTGATCTAATCTAATCCAATCCCTTCATTCATAAAGGAAAAGCAAAAATTAAGAATTTAACCAAGATTGCATAAAGCAATTTGTTGTAAACATTGGAGTATCTGTCAATAAGTCAATTCTTCTACTCCTCTCTCTGTCTCTCCCTCTCTGGTTAGCTGATCACAGATGCCTTATATTACAGTTATTGCTAGAACTCTCTATCCTCCCATTGGAAATTCTTTTCTTTTTAAAATTAAATTAAATTAACTTTTTTAGAGATGGGGGGGGTCTCACTTTGTTGCCCAGGCTGGTCTCAAACTCCTGGGCTCAAGTGATCCTCCTGCCTTGGCCTCCCAAAGTGCTGGGATTACAGGCGTAAGCCACCATGCCCTGCCTTTTGTTAGTTTGTTTGAGACAAGGTCTCACTCTGTTACTTAGGCTGAAGTGCAATGGTGTGATCATGGCTCACTGCAGCCTCAACCTCCCAGACTCAAGCGATCCTCCTGGCTCAGCCTCTCTAGTAGCTGGGACTATAGGTGGATGCTACCATGCTAGCTGTTTTTTAAATTTTTTGTAGAGACAGGGGCTTGCTGTGTTGCCCAGGCTTGTCTTGAACTCCTGGGCTCAAGTGCTTCTCGTGCCTCAGCCTCCCAAAGTGCTGGGATCACAGGTGTGAACCCTGGAAATTCTTAGGGGCATGGTTTGTCTCATATTCCTGTTTTCATTTCTATGTGGCCAACCTAATACCTGCCAGGTGTCAACAAATGGGTCAATGACATTTACGAACTTGATTTCAATTGTCACTCAGTCTGCCTGGCCATTTAAGACAGAGGCCACATATTAAAAATAAAATCATACCTTATTTTTCACTTGCTCAAATTAACTTGGAAAGGACAAACCAAAGCCAAGTTACAATTTGAGCTCAAACTTTCACTTTTAAATGTCCAAAGACAAACCTTTTGGTGAATTTAAATGAGACCCATGCACAACTTTGCTGAAGAGGATTAAAGTTACTTTTTCCAATCCTTCCAATATGCAAAGTAAATCATTTGACTGCTGATTCTTAAGGCACTTGCTGCAGGAAGACCATGGCTACAGAATATGCTTCACAGTGAATGTGGGAATTAGGCTGGGCCCCTGCAGTCTGTGGGGGTGGTGGTGAGGTTTTAATGACAGCAACACTTCTATTAGGGAAGCACATACACTTCAATGCCAGAAGCAGGTTATATAATACAAGAGGCATGTGGATCTCTGGGAGACCTATAGACTTCTTAAAAACCTCCTCTCCTGCTGGCCAGGAGCATGGGGGTGTGACTCCCCTGCCTTGGGGCACATTTCTGCCTCTCTCAGGACCCCCCACCCCGACTCTGCTTTTATCTTTCAGCTTCCCTTCACCCAGCCAAAGGTCCCAGCCTGCCCTCAAGAGCCCTGCTTGTAATTTTTTTTTTTTTTTTGCTCCCTCCTGCTGCCCCATAACCAACCCAATGCATCTCAGGGGCCAGGCACACTCTGCCACCATCCCCAGGTGTATTCCCAGAAGACTTGTACATTGAGCTATTCTGTATCTGGCAAACTCAACGCCATGCACTCAGCTGACACAGCTAATTCAGAAGGAAAATACAGCTTTTCCCTCTTTCACTTCATTCTGTCCTATAAACATAGCCCAAGAAACAAAATTACTTACAATAACAAGTTTGTGTGTCTCATAGACTTGGAATTACTTTTTCACTATCTAGCCTATGGAGTTTGATTTTGCAAGTACTGTAGTTAAATTTTTTACAATGCAATCTGTTATATTTATTTCTTTATTTATGTTTGAGACAAGATTTCACTCTGTCACCCAGGCTGGAAGGCAGTGGTGCAAACATGGCTCACTGCAACCTTAACCTCCTGGGCACAAGTGATCCTCCTGCTTCAGACTCCCAAGTAGCTGGGACTATAGGTGAGCACCACCATGCCCAGCTAATTTTTTGAAACATTTTTTATAGAGCTGGGGTCCACTATATCGCTCAGGCTGGTCTTGAACTCTTGGGCTCAAACAATCCTCCCGCCTCGGCCTCCCAAAGTGCTGGTATTACAGGCATGAGCCACTGCACTTGGCCAATAAACTTTGTTAAGTGTATAAAGTACTTGTTCATTGAAGTCCAGAGGAGGATAGATCATGCATTTCTGTAGCACGAGATGTTTTGCTTAACATACTTTAGGTATTGGGTCTCACTAGCTCTCTAGTGCTAGGAGAGTAATAAGAGGCAGGGGAGGTTTATTTCTCCTTCTCCCTTTCTCTCTGGAGCCCAGTGTGTACAATGTTGGTACTGACAGAGATGAAGTTGTTGTTTTGACCTAACCGTAGTCACTGGTCTGAGTGCTGTGAAGTATCTCCTTGCCATGGCCTGTGCTGTGGGGTCTTCTCTGTCCACATCCCACCCCTGACCTTCAGCCCCAGGATCCAACACTATAGAGAAAATTTGTAGGTGAGAGGCAGAGCTGATGCACCAAAAACACGTAACAGAAGAGTCAGGACCTAAAAAGCCATGTGTCCCTATAGCCCCAGCTACTCAAGAGGCTGAGGTGGAAGGATGGCTTGAGCCCTGGAGTTTGAGAGTGCAGTGAGCTATGACTGTGCCCCAGCACTACAGACAGCCTGGACAACATAGGGAGATCCTGCCTCCTGTTATTTAGTATTTATTTTTATTTTATTTTTTCCTGAGACAGGGTCTCACTCTGTCACCCAGGCTGGCGTGCAGTGGCACGATCATGGTTCACTGTAGTCTTGACCTCCCGGGGCTCAGGCAATCCTCCACTGTAGCCTCCTGAGTAGCTGGAACCACAGGCATGCACCACAACACCCAGCTAATTTTTGTACTTTTGGAGAGACAGGGTTTCACCATGTTGCCTAGGCTGGTCTCAAATTCCTGATCTCAAGTGATCGATCACCCGCCTCAGCCTCCCAAAGTGCTGGGATTTTCACAGGCAGGAGTCACTGCACTCAGCATTGGTCCAGAATCAGAACCTGGTTGCCTGGACGTAGGCAGTAAACTGGACACATAAAGTGAGTAGTAGCCCAAGGAGATGAGAGGAAAGCAGAGAAGGTACAGGAGGAAGAGTCTCTTCAGGGAAAGAGAGAAGGTACATGGTGAGAGCCCCAAGAGTGAAGAAGGATGGCTGCAGGGCATGGAACCAGGGGAGGGAGGCCTGTTGGAACAGGGCCAAGCAACTATTCTTGTCAAACCTTAACTGTCCTATGGGCTCTGAGATGGGCTGAAATGTAAGACTTGACTAAAACAATAATGGACTGTTTTCTCCATTTTCTCCCAGAATGCTGGGTGTGTTCAACAAACTTACCATGAAATGTGTGATCACTTAGGTCATGGACCTAGCTGATAGGGGTTTAATATAGGGGCTATAAAAGAAATAAAAAGTCCTAGAGTCAAGGTTACCTGTGTTTGTTTCATAACTAGACTGGTTCCTTTAATCTTTTTTTTTTTTTTTTTTTGAGATGGAGTTTCACTCTTGTTGCCCAGGCTGGAGTGGAGTGGTGCGATCTCGGTTCACCCCAACCTCTGCCTCCTGGGTTCAAGCAATTCTCCTGCCTCAGTCTCCTGAATAGCTGGGATTAAAGGCATGCATCACCATGCAAGGCTAATTTTGTATTTTTAGTAGAGATGGGGTTTCTCCATGTTGGTCAGGCTTGTCTTGAACTCCCGACCTCAGGTGATCCGCCTGCCTCAGCCTCCCAAAGTGCTGGGATTACAGGCATGAGCCACTGCACCTGGCCTTCCTTTAATCTTTAAAAAAATTTTTTTGAGGCTGGGTACAGTGGCTCACACCTGTAATCCCAGGACTTTGGGAGGCCAAGGCAGATGGATCACTCGAGCCCAGGAGTTTCAGACCAGCCTGGGCAACATGAGGAGACATGGTTTCTACGAAAATAAAAAATTAGCTGGGTGTGCTGGTACATGTCTGTGGTCCCAGCTACTCGGGAGGCTGAGGTAGGAGGATCACTTGAGCCCAGGAGACTGAGGCTGTGGTGAGCCCAGATGGCGCCATTGTACTCCAGCCTGGGTGATATAGTGAGACCCTATCTCAAACAAAACAAAGTTCAATGTAAATGGGCAGGTGTCACAGATATAAACAGGCCTGAGGTATATACCAAGAGTTTTGAGTCATGATTGTAGTCACTGAGAACTGATTCTGATCAAAGAATTTGTGGGATAAAAATGGAGATATATATGGATGATAAAAAATTTATGGATAATTTAAGGAGACAGACTCCTACAGTGACTAAGAAAAAAAGAGGCACTGCAGAGAGGAAGAGATGCTATGAGAGGAACTCTTTATTGAAATTTCCCTCTTTCATATCTCCAGACCTCGAATGGCTCATTTCTGAATAACTCAAGTAGTGATCAGAGCAGGGACACAATGGAGTGTTGGAAAGCTGTTGGGTGACCCATGAGAGAAGGCCCAGTGGGTGGGTGCAAAACCCCAGTAAGATGATGACTAGCTTCTTCAGCCAGTGAGATAAGGAAAACAGCATTCAAAAGAAGATTATGGTGGCACAGAACATTTTGGCTTCCACATGCAATTTCTTAAGAATTGTTATGCTATTTTATGGAACTTTATCTGCTTTTCTGATAACCTCGAAATGTGGTGAAAGGAAATGTGGTAAAATAACAGAGTATTGGCAGGCCATGCCTATTCTAAATTTCAGACATTCCCTGAGTGCTGGCAGTGGGGTGCATGTAGGATGAGGGCAAAAGCAATCCCGTATTGCATGAACTCTATCCTGTTGGAAAAGGGTAAACAGGTTTCAAATCAAAGGCAATGATGCAGAATAGCTAAAGCAAACTCTTGCTTATCCACAGACTGATATCTAATCTATGAATTATTAAGTCCTTTGGGGTCACCTACCCTTCCCTTTGGGTTAATTATCCTTCTCATTAACTCTGGGGAGAAAAAGAGAAACAAGTTTAAACTTAACTCAGTTAATGGAGAGACCAAAGATCAGCTTTGGAAAAAGATACGGTGGGAGGTGGATGAAGCTCAGCTTTTTGGCTTACACTGATTTAAAAAAATATTACTTATGAATTTTATATATCCTAAGTCATTTCTCTCTGCCATTGTTATGAAAAATTATAAGTTGAACATACTATTTTTTCTGACTTTTATTTTAATTAATTTTGTGGGTACATAGTAGGTGTATATATTTATGGAGTACATGAGATGTTTTGACACAGGCAAGCAATGTGAAATAAGCACATCATGGAGAATGAGGTAACTATCCTCTCAATCATTTATCCTTTGAGTTACAAACAATCCATTTACATTCTTTATTTAAAAATATACAATGAAGTTATTACTGACTATAGTCACCCTATTGTGCTATCAAACAGCAGATCTTATTCATTCTTTCTATTTTTTTTTGTACCCATTAACCATTCTCATCCCCTCTCCAATCCCCGACTACCCTTCCCAGCCTCTGGTAACCATCCTTCTACTCTTTATGTCCATGAACTTAATTGATTTGATTTTTAGATCCCACAAATAAGTGAGAACATGTGATGTTTGTCTTTCTGTGCCTGGCTTTGAATATACTAGTAATAGCTATGTTTCTGTCACTTTTTGGATCTAGGTAAAATGAAAAAGGGCAAAAAACTTACTGCCTTGGGAAAGAATACTAGATTAAAAGATGACACTAGGAATACTGCTAAATCCTTGCATTTGCTTAAATGTTGCCATCAAGGAGAAAATTCAAACCTCAAACTTCTGACAAGTGAAGCCTGGTAGGTGGGGTGATGGTGGATGATCTGGATGCTTTCATCAAGAGTCTGGGAATTAAATGCCTATAGGCAGGCAGATCAAGTATGTAGGTACAGCAGGCAGGATGTCAGACGATTGACGCAGGGACTCACTCTGTGGCAGTGGAGAGCATGCCAAGTCCAAAGACTTATTCAGGATGAATTTTAACAATCACTGCAAGTCCAGCAAAACAGCCCTGTGTGGGCAGATGCTGCCCACAAGCCACCGTTTTTTGAAGTATGCTTTCAATGGGTTAAAGGAACCCGAAAAGAACTCCCTACTGTGATCACCAGAAAATGTAGGTAACCCTTAAGAACCAATGGGAAATAAAAAGAAATGCCAGAAAATTGGAGATAGATAAAAGCTTTTCCTGATATTTAAAATTTCTAGATTCTAGAAATTATGTAAATTTGACACAAATTCTGGGCAGCATTATAAAATGGCTCAGTAGTAGGTAATTAAACAGACGGTATTTTTTGATTGCTTACAAAAGATAAGGTTAGTTAACAGGAGACTGCATGAGATCATTATTAATCTTGCCCCTTTTCTGATAATCAAGACCAATATATTGATATAGATGATCAATATCTGTGATGTACATTGTGGTTTTAGCCAGGAGATTGACATGCGGGGCCACCTGGAGAAATGTGAATACTTAGCTGGCTAATTAACCAAAGGAGAGATGGTAGAGCAATGAGCTGATGTCACGAAAGACATTTTTTGGAGTCATGCAGTGGTCCTCTGACTTAGTTCACCTGATCTGTGCTTGTGAGCATTTTGGGGAACCATGTCTAAGATATAGTAAGTGTGGTTATCAAACAAACGATGGCCTAAAATGCATAGGATGAAAAATTAATATACTAGATGAAAAAATCAGGATCCAAAATTACTTGAGGTGCTGAAATAATGATCTAAAGGGGGGAAAAAAAGAAAAATTTTATAGTAATGAATACTAAGTCTTGATTCTAGGTTAGAACAAACATTTCACAAGAAGAAGTTTGAGGATATTGAGTCAGTTCATGTAAAAAAGCCCTGGTTGAATTCATTGAAAGTGTACTCTGAACCAAAGATGTTATTTGGTTGCTAAGACTAGTAATATAATCTTATAGCATACCTAATGTGTAGGTCAAAAATAATAATCATCACCATTTATTGAAAGCATAATACCTCATATATGCCCCTCAATAACTTTTAATACTCTATAGTTAGGTCTTAATACTCCATTTTATGAATGGGGACATAGGTTAAGAGGAGTTAAGTAAATTGCTCAAGAGGAGTTAAGTAAATTGCTCAAGGTCACATAGCTAGTTATTGCAGAATTAGTATTAAAATTTTGTTATACTATATTATGCACATTATACTGTGTTCTTTCCGTTATACCATGGAGAGAACTCCTTGTCCTACTCTATATGTACTAGTCAAGTACATAGTAGGTGCTCAAAAAAAGTAAATGAATGGATAAAGGAATTAAATCTAGGCTCTAACAACACAGGGAATTGAGTTTAACTTAGGCACCACGTTTAAAAGATGTTGACAATTTAAAGTGCATACTGAGAAAGTGAGCAGGGTAGTAGATGATCTGCTGGAAAGCAGGATAAGCAATGAAATGATCTTGGGATATTTACTTTGGAAAAGACACAGCACAGTGGGGAGATGACAATGATCTTCACATATGCAAAATATTATTTCAGAGAGAAAAGAATTTTAATTTTCTTTCTTTTTTTTTTTTTTTTGAAGTGGAGTCTCGCTCTGTCGTCCAGGCTAGAGCGCAGTGGTACGATCTCTGCTCACTGCAGCCTCCACCTCCCGGGTTCAAGCGATTTTCCTGCCTTAGCTCCCACAAGTAGCTGGCATTACAGGTGCCTGCCACCATGCCTGACTAATTTTTGTGTTTTCAGTAGAGATGGGGTTTCACCATGGTGGCCAGGCTGGTCTCGAACACCTGAACTCAGGTAATCTGCCTACCTCAGCCTCCCAAAGTGCTGGGGTTACAGGTGTGAACCACTGCACCCGGCCTTAATATTCAGAGAGAAAAGTCTTTTCCTGTATTCATTCCTAAGACTGGTAGCATAGGCAGTTTCTTCTCTTTTCCAGGAGGTGTTCAAATCAAGGTTGGGTGTAACCAGAGAATGCATTCTTTCAAAGTAGAGTTCCTATATCACCTCCTCCTATGCAGGCCTTGCTCATGCCAGTTGCTCAGAACATGTTTGTTAAGTCGACATTGATCAGGTGTGTGGAGGAAACAACTGCTTTGGGTACAAGCAATCTGTACTCAGTGACTTCCAGAACATTTTCCAAATGTAAGATGCCAGGATTTTATATGCTCCACAGTGAATAATTCAGCACCATCCTCTGCCAAGTTTGGACTTAAAGCTGTCCATTGGTTTTCATCAGTGGTTATTAAAGTATGGTTCCCAGACAAGCAGCATCAACATTAACATCAGTATCATCTGGAAACATTTTAGAAGTGCAATTTTCAGGCCTTACTGCAGATCTAGTGACAGAAACTCTAGGGGTAGGAAGGGGGCTACCCAGCAACCTGTGTTGTAACAAGCCCTCCAGATGATTTTGAGACCTGTTAAAGACTGAGAACCACTGGGTTGGATGTTTCTGGTCATCCCTGCTGGGATGCACACAAAAGCTCAATGAGGCTGCATGTTTCCTGAGGACTGAGGCCTGCCTTGTGGATCCTTAGTGCGTGGCTTACTGCCTGGCAATGGTGAAAGCCTGGTATTCACATGTTGAAACAGAACTGAACTCATAAAAAGATAGTGAGCACAACATTTGATAGAACAGGCTTCAAGAATTGGTTATCTTCAGCCAAGAGTCCACAACTCCTCATCGGAAAAAAAAAAAAAAAAAAGCCAGTCACCAATGTTGCATAACAGATGAAAAGCTTGGTTATTTGAGTATAATTATCATTAGTTAGATATTGTCCCAAATAAAGCAGAGGGCATTGGTTACTCTACTGGTGCATTATATTCTAGAATTGTATTGCTCTAGATGCATCAGGGTCATTGCTATATAAAAGGGAAAGACAAGGATTTTTCAGAATCAGGTTCCTATGAGGTGTTAATGATCTCCTGAATATTGTATTTAGCTCTTTACATACCACTGTGATGCAAAAGTGTGATTGAATAATGATCCATTTAAATGGATAATTATGGGGGCATCTTTGTATTTCTAAGAAGACTCACGCAAATACAACGTGTATAAATAACTTGTGTTTTAGGGCAGTGGCAGGAGGAGGAGTATGAATCTCACTCTGTAAAGAAACTCCTTTTCCTAAGTCTTTTAGTAGGACAAAAAGGCATCTCTTAATGTTGTTGATTTCAAATCTCTGTTATTGGGGTTATCTAATATGAATGTAAAATTATATAATCTACACACTGTATAGAATATACACAGCTAATTTAGGTAAATTTAACCATATATACCTTTCCAAATGTGTGTATATACATACATATACATATGTGTATATGTCTCTACCCCTTTCTCTTGCTCAATCAAATGTAAATAAGACAGGTGATTTCACCTGCCACTCCACTCAGAAAGGACATGTTCTAGAAGATGTTTGAGATTGGTAATATGGATCTACTCTTCCCTTGGTTAATCTCTGTTCCCTTGTGCATCCCATGGTGTTTCTGTTTTGCGAGTGCAATTTCAGTGTTGAGAGACATTATCTTTGGTTCACTTACAAATGCAAAAAAAAAAAAAAAAAACCCAACAACAATGACAACAACAGCATTTAAATTCTAAAACCCACACAAACAGAAGCAGCAGAATGAAGCCTGGCTTAGGTTTGTTTCTCTGGCACCTGGGATTGGTCTTGAGGTCATCTTGGTCTTTCAGGCCCCTGTTACTCCAGAAGGTCAGTCTAAAGCCTAGGACACAGGGAAGGTGGGTCTACATTCTGTCCTGGACTTCTGAGAGTTGCTCACCTTGGCCATCCTCTTTGAGGATGGAGCTCTGTAATCACCCAGAAAGGAACAGGGCCTTGGGGAAGGAGTATTCTTAAAGGGTTTGCAGGCATGGGGCCAGAGGCTCAAGTGGATGTACTATAGTTTCTTTTTGTTTCTTTTCAGAAAGAATTAGTGAAATGGTCACAATTTATTCACGTGTGCTGGTGCCTGCACCTCTTCGTTCTAGTTCCTCAGGGAGGCAAAGCCTTCCTTGCATCTTAACACTCTTTTTTCCCTACCTCTCTTTCCCTCCAGGTCTATGGCTTTTCTGAATTTAAAAAGCATTTCAAAGGCCTGTAGACAAATGCTTTGTAAACATGTCTGAGCAATGGGTAATGTGTCCACATAGAACAATTTCCGGGGAACCACATGGTTATATGTCCATTAATAAATAGCTTTCTCAAGGTCTCAGAATGAGAAATATCTTCAGACTTTTAGTTTCTTCTTCTGTTTGCCAGAAAATTGCTTTACGTTATATCATCATAAAATGGTCTATTTTGCAGCAACAGATGTGTATAAAATCTGTGCATGGCTTTAAACTTTATTAGTATTGGCTGAGTACCGATGGATACTATCACTTAATGGCATATGTGTATATACCTACTTACATAGACTGAATTCTTCAAAGAAATAAAGGGCCAGGGACAAAATATACCATTTAGGTAATTCCTACAGAGCCACTGGAGAAGTCTGAAGTGGATGAGCAGACAAAATGTCATTTCATAAAAACTGGAGGTGACTGCCTTGAATCTTAAAAGCCTGAGCCATTCTGACTAAAGTCGTCAATATGTTAGGCCTTTCTACACTATTTCTAATTTGCTTCTGCCATCTTTCTATTGCAAATGCTTAAAATTTAAAGTTACACCTATGTTTCGTAATATTCTGGGTGTTCTTCGGAACAGTGGTTCCCAAATGCTAGGTTCTGAATGTGCCAGCCTGGAATGAAGTTTCTATTAGTCTACAGCAAAATAAGAAAAATAAGAAAATGTCAGTGTATTTTCATAAAGCTAGACTTACTAGGTTTAAATAATTCTCTTTATTTGAAGATCTTGTGCTCTCTCTCTCTCTCTCTCTCTTTTTAATACGCTGAGGTGTATCCTTCAGACTGAAGATTTTTCTTATAGCTCTGCTGGCTATACTATTTGGCCCATGAGATCTAAATGTATATAACCATTCAGTAGAAAAATCTGCTTTTATTATTTTTTTTTGCTTTCATCTTGTTCTATAAAAAGGAAAAACAAAACAATTCTGGGGAAAAATCCTAATTATTATTTTAGCTAATTTACAATTCTGTTACTGTCATTTATTCAGAAGGTGTTGGGCACCCATATAAGGCAGGCACTAGGGCTGTTCAACTCCTCTGGAAAAGACGTGCAATAGTCTACACAAAACATAAACTAATGGAGAGCCTAGAGTCAGGTTGAGTCTCATTTGGTTTTTGCCTGGAACAGAACTTCCCAATTTCTGATCTGAGCCAGCAACCTCAGGCCTGTCCTGCACTCAAAATTCTCTTCTGTCTGGGAGGACAGCTGCTACTGCCTGCTAGAGAAGTCTAGGATCTGTAAGTCTGGGATTTTGATCTATAGATACTTTGGGCAATGTTCTGTTCTCTCATAAGCTCCATGATTTCTCAGACAATAAAAACAAACACAAAAGATCTCTGTTTTGTGACCGTGTGAATAAATTCGATGGATAAAGCATGCCTTGGCACAACACATCTGCAGGAGGCAGGTGTCCACAGAACACACCTTTCTGAAGTCACCCGTATCCTCTCATCATTAGATGAGTTGAACCGATCATCCTTTTCTCTGAAGTATTCTTCTATGCATTGCTCTTCAAAGTCATGTACTTTCTTGAGCTCATCATCGGTTATGAAGAGTTCTGTGGAAAAAAAAAAAAAGGAAGTCTTGAGGGAGAGAAGTAAAAGCGATGGCATCTGATTTGTGGGCCTAGTGACATTCTCAGTATAAATCTAGGTGGGAAAAGGGGCCTAGATTCCTTGTTAAGTCTCAAATGAAATCCAAATCCAATTAGGCAACTTGCATCACTGTCTTCTTTCTGAACATGAAATTTATTATGGGTCTCTGAAGTTCACCTGAGCATATCTGGTTTACTGCAGGAGCTGAGTAGAATTAGGCAAGTTGTGAGGCCAGGGAAAAAGCTAAATCAAGGAAAGGGAAGCTATTCAGAGCCTAGAGTATCTTAAAAGCTCAAAAACTTCTGGGCTGGGGGTGTGGCAGAGAGACATTGTTGATTGGCCTTACTAAAAGCCCTTTTGCAACCTCATTCTCCTTTTTCCCTTTCCTGCTACTGAGCTTAGAAACCCAACACAAACATTTCCAGTTTCCCTTGAAGCTAGCAGCAACCACGAGGATCCAGTTTGGGCCAAGAAACAAAAGAAGTCTGCTGCAGGGAGGAGTGGTGTCTTGGGAAGAGATTTTACTTTCCTGATAAAATATAGACATGTGGTTGCTTCTTTCTACAGTTTTTCACCTTCTCCTCTTTTTCCTGCCTGGAACATGAATGTGATGACTGGAGGTGAGGCATCTATTTTGTGACCATGAAACAAGAAAGCACAAAAGGAATAGCTGAGCCTAAAAAATAGAAGGAATCTGGATCTTTGACTTCAATGAGCCATTGTTGAGCTCTGGGCTCTTCATTTTTTGTTAAGTGAGAAAAATAAAGCCTTATTTATTTGCATTATTGTTAGCCTGGTTTCTGTTAATAGAAGGTAAATGGATTCATAACTGATATAGCAGTAGAAAGAGCCCAGTGGAAAATTGAACCTTTAAGTAGTTTATGAATCAGGGTTATGGGGAGAGAACTGCTTTGCCAGTTCTTAAATGGGACAAGTCATTCTTCTAATCCCATGCCCTCGAGATGTGATAGGGATTGTCCCAAATATTTGGAGCCCTGGATTTTGGACCCTCAGGGATTTAGTTTGCTGAGGTGGCTCTTGCTTGCTTTGGGACATTAGCCTGAATTTGCCTGGGGCATGGAAAGTATGAATGTAAAAGCAGGTGAGAGAAAAGAAAATACCAGAAATTAGACTGCTCTTGTCAAATATGGGAGGCTTCCTGAGGTGAGGAAGACCTGTATCACAGGGAACACTTGAGATTCACTCATGAAATTACACAGAGCATTAGTCTCGAGGGAGGGGAAAGAAAAGAGGCAGTTTAGAGAGGCCCTCAAAGCACAGATGATTGCTATTGCTGCTATGCTATTGCTATATTTGAGACTCAAAGGAGTATATTTAACACTTATTCTGCTGGCACTTCATTTAACTTCTTTGGCTATATGTAACGCCTTTTTAACAAAAATAAAATACTATTTTTTAAAACTCCATTAACACGTCAAATTTTAACAATAAAAATTAAATTGTACATTTCAGTGTTTTGTCTGAGCCTCTGCCAGAACTTGGCAGTGCCCTGGGTTCTTTTAATTAAGGCTACAGATGGATAGTGAAAAGTTCAGTTTCCCCGACTGATTCATACAATGCAGGGCCCTTGTCTCTGACCTTCACCCTTTTCCACCCAGCCACAGCACTAAAATCTTTCTTCTCTGAGAAAGCAGACATGGCTGTTCCTCCCTTCTGAGCATCCAGTAACCTGGCAATGCTTTCGTTGCTACCATTGGTGATAACGACAAGAAAACCCTGAACAGCAACTGCATGGAGCTGGCTCCCATCTAGCCCAATGTCTGGCTTATTCAGGTTCTCTGGCCTTCTTTGAGGGGGTGGGCACTGGAAAGGAAATGGATCTCTGGACCATCCTACTTCCTGCATTGTATTTACAAACACCACCTTCCTAAGCTCTCTGGATAAGTGAGGTTCCTCTTCTACCACAAATGACTCATGCTGTATTGTAAATTATTTTGGGACTCTGAGCTAGCCCTCAGCATGTTATCCACTGCAGGCTATCATTCATTAGAGCATCCCGCTGCCCCTGATTTTGTATCCCATGCTCCTCCACATTGGCTAGAGTTCCTGAGTCGAGAAGCTTAGGGTTTATTTCATAGGTCATCCACCCCGACCCCTCCAACTTTTCTCTTTGCTTAAATTTGTGTTTCAGATGGAAGCAGTGAATTCTGGAATTCCCAGGTCTCTCTAATGTAAATGTCTAGAAAGAAGTTGGGCATTGCAAGGTCAGGGAGGGTGTTAAGAGCTTCAGATTTAGAGAAGCTGTTGACCAAATCGTTTTGGTTTCAAACCTTAGATATACTGGTGACCACACAGAGGGAAGTAGACTCCTGGGCTATAATCCCAGAGGCTCTTGTTCAGTAGATTTGATGTAGGTGGCCTGTTTGACACACTTTGAGAAACCATAGGAGCTTGCTGGTATGGGATTGGATTCCCAGTGGTTCTTAATGGAGCGTGGTACCCAAAGGGTATTTAGGAATCTGTGGGAGTCACCAGTATTTAATGTGTGGAGGCTGGATATGCCAAACCTCCTGCAGTGTGTGGCACAATCCTACACAACAAGGAATTGTTCTGCCTCAATGCTAATAGAACCTCCTTTTAGAAACACTGGGCTGGAAGGTGGATGGTGAAGGGTCTTCTGTTTTGTCCTCCGAGTAACAGAAAGCTGGGCTGGTCTTCTCATGAGGCAATCTAGGCACAACCCCTAAGGTTTAGGAAAATGTTTAAGATCAGAAAAAATTATAGGTCCAGAAGTTATTGCTTAAATTATATATAATGTAGCCTTGGGTGGCATATTAATATCATTGATGTATTTTGGGTTGAGATCTCTGGAAAGCAAGAAACTTAGAACTTATGAAGGTTCTAAAATAGCCCTGCTGGAGACTGATTGTATCTCTCTAAGAAAGACATGAGGCTAAGAGTGCTCAATTTCAGCCTCTACCATCTTCTTTCTGACATTATTTCTCATTCAAGTCAACTCCCTCATCCCCCAATGCTCTCCAAGCCTTCAGAGCTGTCTGCAGCCTGCAAGAGGTAGGAGGAACTAGGTGGGCATGCGATTCTGCGTGATTGCCTATAGGAAGTGGTAGGGATTTCTGATTTGTGGCAGCTCGGCTGTCGCTTGAAGCTTACTCAGGCCGTAGTCCCTTTCATCCGGGTCGCTCTCGTGTTTCCTCCATCGGCAGCACAGGTGCTGGAATATCATGGTCATGTGGCTGAAGATGATCAGTGGTGGGGGCAGAACTGGCCTTTCATGGAAAGTCATGATGAGCTGATACCTCTGAAACTTCCAGACTTGGTTGGATATCGATTTTACTTCAAAAAATGTATTGCTAAAATAGAGACCAAAGAGAATCAAGTGAGAAAAACCCACTGTTTTCTGAAGCATCGACTCCCCTTCACCCCTGCTGTCCTCATCCATCCCACGTGCTCCAAAGGACCCACTTACTTAAAGACAGCAATGAGGAGGTTGACCAGCAAGATGTTTGCCACTAAGAGGTAGCAGGCCATGATGGCCGGCACGATCCAAGCTCCTGTCTTGCAGGGAGGCAGCTGGATTATTTTACCATCCTCTCGGGTCTCATTCTGTCCACAGGGAGCTGGAGGGAGCAACACACACAAGAAATGAGAAACTGGCTATTTGAGTTAGAAAAAAAATAAAAAGATGGATTTGTAGGAGGGTTTTAGATGGAAGAAATATATAGCCATCTCAAACAGAAAAAAGTTCCAAACAAGCCAAAATTGAAAAATGAGAGCTTCATGAATATCTCAAGGGGCTGCTACTGTGGTGGTGGGGGGCCTCGGTTCCACAGTCTCCCCAAGTTATCACCTGACCAGAAGAGGGGGGTGGAGCCACCTTCTTGCTCACACTGCCGCTAGGCCCCTACACCGGGTGAGGGGCACTTGGTGCTCTTCTGAAGCCTGATTGAGAACTTTTCTTGGGTGTGCCCAGGGAGAAGAAAGTCCCACCACTGGCAAGTTACTTTCAAAATGTGCTGTAGAGGCTGTCAGCCTGACAGCTGTAAGAGCAGCAGCATCTCGGGACTATTGATCGGGAATTAACAACAGGGCAGCTGTTAATTGCTGCAAGAAACAACCTGGGAGCTCCAGCTAACGATTTGCTGTCTCAGTACAGAAGGAACAACACAGGGCAGTGCCTTGGGAAGTATTTAGAGGGCTTGTTGCTCTCTGCTCCTGATGGATGGGATTTCATTAGGAGGGCAATGAGGGGTGATCGGCCGTGATCATGGAGCTCATAGCCACACCTGTTCTTCCAGCAGCATTTCCATTCCAAAAGTGTGCTTTTCAGGGCACAGGAAACAAAACCTAACTGCAGTGGATAAATGGGCAAATGGGGGGAAAAAAAAAGCCTGGAGGTGGGGGTGAGGAGGAAGGTGATATGTGGGATTGGCTGTGTGTGAGTAATGTGCTAATGAGGCCTGCTTGGAATTTCCGGGTAAATGCAAGAAAGAAAAAAATCCCTGACAAAGCTTCTTAGTGCTGCACAGACAATGTGGCTCAGGAAGCCAGATGATGCCGTGAGGTGCCAGGCATGGGTGAGGTAGCCCTCCTCTCCAGCCCCCTATAATGGCTTTAGAACAAGGCTCTTTACATCTACCTGTAAAAGGTGGTTGGGGGGAGTGGGAGGAGCACCAAGAGGTCTCAGCAGTTGCCACAGGCTGCTTTGATGATCGGCCAGGAAGATTTGAAAAGTTGACCCAGAATCTACTCGGCTGGAGTACTTGGCAAGAGGCGTCCATTCCTTTCTCAAGAGTTTCCGTTGCTAGGCTGCACATTCTACAGTGATTCTCAACCCTGGCTGCCCTGGGGATCACCTGGCGAGCTCTAAAAAATACCAATGCCCAGCTTGGCTCCAGACAATTGAATCAGAATCCCTGAGGGTGCCCCAGGCATCAGCATTTCTTTTAAAACTTTCTAGGTAATTCTCAATTGCCATGAAAGTTGAGCCCACTGAGCTAGAATTAGGCTGGAAAAATTATGTAATTTTTGACATGCTCTGAGGCCCAAAATGCATCTTCTCAGCCTATGAGGATTTTAATAACATTAGGACACCAAGACCTGGTTTTTATGGCTAAGAAAAGAGGACCAAAGTGCTTCCTTTAGTTCTGCCTGCCAAGATGACTGGATGCAGAATCAGGCATTTTTGAGGAGCAAGAATCTTTTTTTTATTATTGCAGTTGTGGCACTAAACACCCAAGACAGCCCTGTAAGAGGTCCTGATCATTTCCACCCTTAGAAGGAAAACTCAGCAATGAAGGCCCCCTGGCTTCAGCATGAAGTCAAACTCTGAGAGTGCCTGGCCCTGGGCCGTGTCTTGCCACCTCCCACCTCTCCCTCTGAGCACAAACTGGACTGAGTTTCCTGCAGTTCCTAGAAATGCCATGCGCTCTCTTACTTCCTGATTTTGAGCCATGCTGCTGCTTGGCTTCTAAAAGACCCCTCTGCTACCTTGCTCCCATTCCCATGCTTCACCTGGGTGCATCCTGCTCACTCTTTAGTGCTCACCTGGCTTTCCAAAGCCCACCCAGCTCCCTTGCTGCCCCATCCAGTAAGGACTTGGGTAGGTATCTTCCTTACAATCCCAGAGCACCCTCTGCCTGCCCTTTTGGGGGTCTCTCACACTGTGTCACCATTGCCAGTTTATTCGTCTGTATTCCACACAAGATTCCTGGTGGAAGGTTGCTCCTCAAGATTTCCCATCATCTGGCTCAGTGCATACACATAGCACATCCACATGCACCTGTACAGGACGAATGTTGCATAAATACAGGAGATCATGGGGACACAATCTTGTTGGACACTAATAGACATTTCCCACACCTCCGCAGGCCTACTTGTGATGCATAGTCCTAGCTCTGAGGGGTCATTAGCTCCTTTCTTAGGTTCTTTCCAGAAATCCTGCCCTCAGCTTGGCAAGGAATCTTCTTACACTCAACCAGACTTCAGTGTCTCTGCTACCCACTTGGCCACAGGCCTCATGGAACCATTGCTTTGTTTTTCTCTCCTCTGCGAAGCTTCTCGCACCTACTCTACTCACTCCCTCCCAGCCTAACAGTCTAGTAGGCTGGTCACTCCTCTATTCTGCCCTTTCCTCTGGCTCCTGCTCAGATCTCTGTGTAGACGCCAACAAAGAGCAGAAATAACTGCTTGGGGTTAAGTTAGAGAACTTACATGATTTTTACAAATGTGTTCCCTGATCTCCATTTCTTGACTATTCTGAGAGAATACAAAATAAACTTGTGAGAGGCAGAGCTCATTTATCTTGCTCTTTTTGACCCTATATTGAGGGAAGGCCATGAAGACACTTCCTCCACTTGGGCCCTTGTGCCCAGCTGAGAGAGGAAACAAGGAACAGTAGGTGCTTGCTTGTTTCAAGTGGTCCATGTGCATTTCCATGGACTTTCAGAAAGTGCCATCAACATATTTCCAGGTCTCTGCTGAGTTCCTCTGCTTGGTTCCTCAAAGGCCCTCACTAATTAAAATATTGGACCAGCTTAATATCTTTTTTTTTTTTTTAACATTATGTACCTTCCTGAGAAACTTAATATCTTTATTGAAGATTTGATTTGTTTGGCGCCGGGAACCTCCTGCCAATCTTTTGGGTATTAATTTATTCCAGCCTCCCCCACCTTTTACTCATCCTGCTTTAACAGAGGTAGTATTAATTTAGTGGTTAGGAACATGTATTATGTTCAAACCCCGACTCTGGCTGAGTGCAGTGGCTCATGCCTGTAATCCCAGCATTTTGAGAGGCCGAGGTGGGTGGATCACCTGAGGTCAGGAGTTCGAGACCAGCCTGGTCAACATGGCAAAACCCTGTCTCTATTAAAAATACAAAAATTAGTCAGGCATGGTGGCACACACCTGTAGTCACAGCTACTTGGGAGGCTGAGGCAGGAGAATTGCTTGAACCTGGAATGTGGAGGTTGCAGTGAGCTGAGATCGTGTCACTGGACTCTAGCCTTGGTGACACAGCAAGACCCTGTCTCAAAAACAAAAACCCCCCTCAAAACCCTGACTCTGCCATTTTCAAATGATCTGACTTTAGCTTTGTCCATAAACTTTAGCTTCTTCATCTGTAAAATGGGAGTAATAATGGTATATTACTGTCAAGTAATGTACTGTCAAGATCATTACACAAGATAATGCATGCAAAGTATGTAGTTCAGTATCTAGCACATAGCACTCAATGAACATTAGCTGAGTCATGATTGGTATTTTTATTTCTGTAATTGATAGACTTTGAGCTTCTCAGGAACTATGTTTTATTCCCCTTTGTTTTGCAATCACTAAGAATAGCGCTTACTCTACAAACATGTATTCAGTGGTTATAATATGCTGAATACAGGGTATATTGGGAATTAGAGAGATGCTTCCTGTTCTTAAAGAACTTGTAATTTGGTAGAGACATAGAAAGGGTACAAAGCTTTGCATTATTGTGTGATATGAGCTTGGATGGGGTTTCTGAGGAAGCACTCACATTTGAACTGTGATAGTCCCTCTAGCCTGGCCATACAGAGCAGTCTGGTAGTCAGGACCAGCCTGAGGAACATTATCTAGTTTCTACAGCAGTAACGGCAATATCCGTGAATTAGATGATCCTTGTTACCATGATGATGATGGTAAAAATGAATAGTTAAGAAATAGCCTTCATTTGGTAATATCAGCAAAGAAAGAGCATTATATGCAGCAGTTAATGCAAAATGTTGTTCTATAATGGTTTCTAATGATGTCCTTGTTCTGGGTAGTTACCAACCTAAAAAGTGCTATGACTCAAGCTTACAGATGTCTACCACTGATGAAGATGAACTGGTGCCTTAAAACCCTGATAAGCAGCAGATTCCAGGATGGGGAATAAATTATCTGGAATGTCATATAGCACCAACCAGTATCTGGAGATTTATGTTCCCAGAGAAATGCCCCCGGGACATGCACCCAAGATGGCACATGGGTGGATGTTTAGGAAACGTAGGCTGGTGACTTCCCCTGGGCCTCCTCCTTCCTTGCTTTTGGGACCTGACATTTGGGTGGCTTTTCTCTCAGTCCTTTTGCAAGAGGCAAATGCATGGTCAGTACCACCTCCATACCAAGTGGCATGTTGTCACCTCCCTCTTTCATGGTGACAGTCAGTACAGAGTCCTTCTAGTGGATATTGACTGGTTCCAACTGCCCAGTGTATATTTCCCCATCCTAGTTTCCTTTTGTGGAACCACCCCTTGTCCAGTCTCAGTCCA
Organism: Homo sapiens; assembly: GCF_000001405.40. Lineage (NCBI taxonomy): Eukaryota > Metazoa > Chordata > Mammalia > Primates > Hominidae > Homo > Homo sapiens. Next base: position 70,557,967 of record NC_000009.12, read on the forward strand.
TGAAGTACGGGTGAAATGAACTTCAATGCCAAATCTAGGAGAAGGTTAATCAGTGTATTTTATTCCCTGATTGCAGTGATCGGTTCAGGGATGGACATGTGACCCACACCTGATCAATCAGCTCAATAAGCATCAGCCTTGGAACTTTTGTTGAAACTAGTATAAAAGAGAAGTTCTCTTTTCACAATACAACGTAAGGCTACCAAGTAGAGAAGGCCTGCCCAAGAGTGACTCTATCACAGAGAACAGAAACTGATTCCTGGCTCAGCCATGCCTAAAACCAGCCTTCTATAGTCATAAAAACCATGCGATTCTTTTTCTTAAGTCGATTTCAATTGGGTTTCTGTTACTTGTAATTAGTCTTGACTGATACAATTACCCCCACCTCTAGCCCTTGTCCACAAGCCAGTAATAAGAGATGTTCATATTTTGGGCACCTCATTGCTGAGAGACTGCATTTGGAGTCTTGGAATGGCATGGAAAGATTGGAAGGAGCAATGCGGGATGTAAAACCTGATCTGATACCAAGGTTGAATTATTGCCAGGAGCCAGAGGCCATGCTGCTCCCCTTCTTCCCCAAAGTATAAAGTAAAGGGCCTATACTGATAAAGCTCGAATTTTGTCCAAGTGGGATCTTTGACTCAGAAACTAATGACACAGATTAGACCTATTATCAAACCTGTAGGATTAATGCAGCTGGGAAACTTTGGCCAAGCACCTGGCCAAAGTTAAAGTGAAGAAAACTTATTCTAGAAGCTGGTCATAGCTTAAGATTAAGTCGTAGGGCCTCAAAGTCACGTGCAGGTACAGAATGGGAAGGCTACATCTATGCAGCAGTGGCAAATTAGAAGGGATCAAACATTTGGAGATTCAGATTCTCTATGGTTTACTTATGGGGGTCACATTGACACATCACATGGCAGAAGCCTGGAAATGCTATTTGTGTTAACTATGCATTAATAAGTAGAAATAGATGATTGGGCTCTGGAACAAATTAACAGGTTGTTCAGGTAGAATTCTGCCAAAGTACATGGATGATAGTAAGAAAGCCCTCCCTATAGATGTTGTGGGGGGTTTTGGAGCACAGCCTTCCAATGGTTGAAATGTTTTTCATACATAAACTTTTATAATAACAAGTCAATGACATCCCTTGCTGGAATATAAGCCTCACAGGGCAAGATTTTTGTCTCTCTTGTTCACTAAACAGCCTCTAGAACACTACCTGGCACATAGTAGGTGCTCAATAAACAATGGCTGAATGCCTGCAGACATGGATGTCACACACTGCACATGTGACCTGCAATGTCAGGCCACATTCTGTGAGTTACAGCTCCTCTATTTCACTGGGTGTCTATTTTCCTGTTTATGTCAAGACCTCAACAAGTATCATCATGACCTGTCAATATAGGGTGGCTCCTGTGAGAGCAAAAAACTGACAGAGGGAAAAAATAGATTTTTTGGTTTTTGGTTTTTGGTAATTGCCAAGGTTAAAGCAATAGGTCTGGTCTTTGACAAAAGCTATAGAAAATCTCCCTCTAGATGCTGTTGTGTAAATCTCCATGGCAAACCAACAATACCCCATCTTGCATCCATGACAGACGTTGCCAATTAATCTTGATGTTTTTTCCCTCTGAGCCAAGATGTGACCTTGGAAACCTTCTCAAGACAAAACTCCTGAAAGCACACCAACCAACTGAAATTGACGCAAGAGAAGGGACCTTTCTCTCAGTCCCAGTAGAAATGGGAATGTGAGGTCTGGGGTGAAAGATCAGTGACATTCTTCTTTTCAGGAGCCTCCTCAAGCCCACATGGCCTGGCCAGTACCTGCCCTATACCACCTCACAGTTGCCCAGGAACCAAAAAGGGTCAGAATAGGACATCCTACTTATTTCAGACACTGATACTTGTGACGAGGGACCATCCTGAGAGGGCTGTGGAATTCCCCCACATACATCCTGGACCTGAGGACCCTGCCCCCTGTGTATTTTAAAAGATAGCTTTAAAAATGGTGCTTTCCCAGAAAATCCTGGTCCTAGTTTTTTCCTTATGTGGGATCGTCAAAAGTGAAGGAGAGTGGAGATTTGGGAATAAACATCTGTGGAAAGCATATTATGTGGCAATCTCCATGCTGGGCACATTACATTGGCCATTGTGTTTCATCTTCTTACCAGTTCTGTAAGAAACGCATTGTCCTTGTTTTACAGCTGAGGAAACATGTGCCGAGGGGTGAAATGCCTTACCAAAGACCACACAGCTAATAAGGGGATAATGCCAGAACCATTCCATATATCCAAAAAATACTGAGTTCCTGCTATGTGCCAGTGGCAACTGGCAGTGAAGATACAATTACAAATAAAGCAGAAATGGGCACTACCCTCTGTCTGACCCTGAAGTCTATATGTATTCTGCTCTACCTCACATGGCCTTGCCAATGTAATATTAGTGGCCACCTACCGCAGGCTTAAATGGAAGGCCCTGTGCTATGAGCTTTACGTATATCACCTCATTTTAATCTTTACCATATTTTGACATGATAGGTCTAATGTTTCCCATTTTACATTTGAAGTAGGGAGGCTCAGAACACTTTAGGGTCCCTGTCAGGTAGCTCAGAGCCAGGAAGAACAAAATCAGGATGTCTATAAAAGCCTGGTGAGCTACAAATTCCCTTTCCTTGGTGCCTCTGAAGAAGGAGCCAACGTGGGATTGAGAGGAATCTCTCAATTATGAACAAATCTAGAAACAGTTCATTAGACATTGATTATTCTTGTCCCTATCAACATGAATAACTTGGCCTGAGCCGTTCAGATGAAGTACGAGTACACAGAACAGTTTAAAAGTTCAGAGGGTGGAGAGAGAAATTAGGTTCAAGTAAGAGGTATCAGGGGCAGGCACCTCCACCCCAAAGATTAAGACACTTGCCCTGTTGATTTCATCCTATAATATGCAGGGAAAAGAAGTATTTATTTATTTAATATGCACACCATCTTGTCCCTAAAAAGTCAGAGAAATTTAAAATGGAACACCAATGTTTGATATAATCAGAGTCATCCTTAAAAATATGGCAAAAAAGGATATTTCTTGAAGAATGCCCCTTCCTCTCCTGTCTGAAGAAATGTTTCAAAAGCTCAGTCCAAATCACAAGCAATGGAATAAAGAGCTTAGTTGAGTATCTGACTACATTTATCCTATTTTTTTTATAGAAAGGATTTTCATCTAAAAATCCATCTTGAAAAGATAACGAGACAAAGAGGATTTCTCCACCTCCTTTTGAAAATCTATACAGTTCGCCATGGAGGATTTAGAATGCCATTAGCACAGCTGCTGTGGCTTTACTGGGAGGACAAATTTGATTTAGATAACGCTGCCCTTTGGCCTTTTCCTGACACAACGTTTTCCTTGGCAAGACAACTGGAGATGCCTCCCTTTGCATGGCTACATCTTTCTAGAAGTTTCCTTATCTGAGGCTCTTTGATTGTGGTGGGTCCAGGTGGAGGTTTTCTCTGTGGAAACATGAGGCTCTTTCTATTGCTTTCAGTAGGTGACTGCCAATATCCTCTTATAATGGACAAGAAGAGCAAAGGTCGCTGAAAACCAGGCAAGCCCAACTTTCTAGAGTCAAAAGCACCATCTACTAGCATCCCCTTTTACTTCTTTTGTGGCTTAAGTTTTTTCTCTTCACCTAACCCAAACACTAGGTAAGATGCTAACTGATAATGATATGGCGCAAAGGCAGCCACTGGAAATTGGTGGGAGGCCTTGGTTTCTCCATCCATGAACAAAGGGAGTTGGGTTATTGATATTCTCTACAGTGCAACAGACACACAGCTTGGGAAGTCCAAGATGGCTTTAGGACACACAAGCAGGGCATTAAATGGCACTGAACTAGATAGTAAGGGATGACACTGTCAAGCTTCTTTCCATCTTCCTGACGCCATCAGAGAGAAAGTGTTAGTTTAAGCATACTATTCTTTTAACACTTCCTTAATGTTTGCTAAATTCCCTTTTTTAGGAAAGACTGAGCTCAAGCATCTGGTAGAATTTCACAACAATGTAGCGTTTTTCATTCTGTTTATTTTGTGGTTATCCTCTATTTATGTCAAATGATACTGATTTTCAACTTGTGACCCTAAATCTTTAAAAATAAATTAAGTTTCTAAAAAATGAGCCAATTTAACAAAAAATATTTAAGAGTAGAACAAAGGTTATAAACTAGTGAATGGGGGTATGTGGTTGACTGAAGTTTGGGAAATGCTGGATTAGATTATCTCTAAACTCCATCTATTCCTGATATTTTGTCACTCCACGATTCCAGGAAAAGGAGCAAAAGACTTGAATTTGCCCCAAACTGAATCATCTATCCCAGGAGCCAACTGTAGGCCACTTGTAGAACCTTAATCTTTTTATTCCTGGTAGAAAAGCAAACTAGCTCCCACTGCATTAAATGGAATTCAGCCCCTACCTGGGGAAAAAAAGGGACCAATGATATAGCCTCCAACTCTTCAGGGCCATCTTGGCTTCTGGTCTATCTGCTATGTGCACACAGTTTCAGCTTTGAGCTATTCAGAACCCACTATTAAGCTCAATGTCTCATTTTTTAATCCAGTAAATTAGCAGGATGTCGCAAATCTAGGTATGTTGTGTGTGTGTTGGGCAGGGGGGAGGTATGGGGGGAAGAGCGTCCTGGGGGAGAAGTGGGGAGAATTCAATTCCCTGTTACTTGGTTCCATGTTCTTCCTATCCTATATATCTAGCTTTACCTGGAAACAAAAATTATTTATTTGAAGAGGGCTTCAAAATTCTAACCTTAGTATTTCATTATTTTGCATCAGGAATTAATATCAGAAATATTTTATGCAAATCTTGCCTTGGAAGAATATATATCTAAACTAGCCTATTGTACACGCCAGTGGGTTTGCTGTCATGATTAGGAGATCGATTGCATTAACAGCCCCAATTTCTCTCCCCTCCCTGGATCCACACTGCTTTGTCATGTGATGTTAGAGTTTCTATCACTAAACAGGTGGGATCTCTTTCTTCACCTCTTGATTCTGAGTTTGGCCATGTGGTTTGCTTTGGTGAATGGAATGTTAGCAAATGTGACCCACACAGAACCTTGGAAAAGCCCTTAATGTTTCTGTTTCCACTTTTTGGCTTCCGCCATTACCATAAGAGACATGCATGAGCTAGCCTGTTGGAGAATGAAACACAGGGAACCTTTGCTTCTAGGTGCTTGTTTTCTGAGCTGAGGCTGTTCTGGAGGAGGTGATAGCCCGCTGACCTCCTGGCAGGTGATTGAGCCCAGCCCAGACCAGAAGAACCATGCAGCCAACTCTCAGTCTTCTGAGCTCAATACGTGCTTATGGCGTTAAGTTCTGAATTCTAGGGTGGTTTTTCCTGTATCATTTTTGTGTTGATAGATACCTGATAAACAAGCTAAATTTCCCTTGCCCTGCTCACAGCTGGAAGAGGTAGCCCTACGTCCTTCAGGCTGACAAAGTCCTTTCCTCATTTCTTCACTTCTCCTTTCACCCAATTCAGGCTACAGATGATTGGAGCAGATTCCACCATTGACCAAGAAGGAGTGAGTTCATTGAATGGCCAGTGACTAATCAGACTCTTTGTGTTTAGAAATAAAACAGAAGTGCAGAGACTTAAGTTAGATGATGGCATGTACTTAAAGAACATATAGAGCCTGACCTCACTGGGTCATGTAAAGCAAGCCATATGAGAGAGGGATGGTGGAGGAAGGGAGAAAGGAAATGGGAGAGAGAGCAAGAGAGAAAGAGAGAAATGATTGATTGATTATTGATTGAGGCAGGAGAGAAGTATAGAGAAAAGCAGATGAGTGTGGTCATGTCTTCTGATTCTGACTTTACAAAACCACTTCTGGTTTTGTTCCCAGTCAGCTCACGCATGTCGTGCTCTGCTTCCTGTCTTTGAATGCCTCTGTGGTTTTCTCTTAGGCACTTACAGTCAGTCTTTATTGAACCTACTCTGTGTAGTTTTGTTTTCTTACAATCAACATTTTTCTCTGGTTGAGAACATAGTCGCTAAGACTTCAGAAGGAATCAGTTTCCTTGCCTAGTAGTTTCATCAGAGAAGGGAGGGGCTGTGAGAAGGGAGAGGGAAGCTCTGGGAAGGGTTAGAAGAATGGAAATAATTGTGTTTAACTCAGTTTTACTCAGGGCTTGCCTCATCATCATCATTACACCTTCCTTTTGATATTTGCATATACGAAATAGGATTAGATAAGTTCTTTCCTTCTTCAAACCAAAACAACAGAAAAATTTCAGAGAAAACATAAAATAAGTTACTCTTTCAGATTTTTGTGTTGCTGTCCACCTACCTATAATTCATCACAACTCCCTGACACGCAACAATACACCTTTCTGAGCAATGAGGGCAGGAGGAGGCACCCCTTCCCCTGTAGGTGAAGGGAGCTGGAGTCCATTCTCATTGCCTTTACTGTGGAAGGTTTTCCCTGTGAGTCCACACTACCTCAGCCTACAGGCCACACACTAAGGAATATGCTTGTTGTTTCTGTTTAAAATGGAATTGTATTACTTTTCAGAAGCCCATGCATATTTAGGGTATTAGAGTATTCAAAGAGGGAAGAGCCAGGGCCCTCTTCAAGAGGGGCCTTCTTAGGAAAAGAACCAGCAACCTCATATCAGGGCTCTCTGTGCCTGGAAGGATCAGTCCAGTGAGCCAGACTGCATGTCTATGTGTAAATGCACATCAGGGGACATGAGGCTACACCACCTCCAAAGAAATAATCTATGGCTCTTGTCGACTCCCATTGCATTGTGCCTGAGGGGTTATATGATATCTACAGAAATGATCAATGTGGCTCCTAATATTCAGGAATGCGTATATAAGCAAATAAGTTCCTGCTGACATTATTTACAAATCCCCTGGTAAGAGACAATGCAAGAAACACATCTGTACTTACAGCTCACGGTTCAGGCTCGAATCTCTCTGATCTGCAGGCACTAATTCCTCTCTGTGCCCTCTGGATCCCAAGCTCTGTTTACTGTTAAAACTTGAGCTTTTCACGCTTCAAGTGATGCTCCTCAAACAACCAAGAATCCAGACAATAGGCAGTCCACATTCCGCTTAGAATCTAAGCAGCTGTTGGCTCTTGTGTTGGGACTATGTGTCCAAATGTATGCTGCATATGAACTGCTAGGAATATGATAAAATAGTTGGGTGACAGCACACCCTTGTATAGTGGGCTAACAACGTTATTCTTTCCCAGAGCAACATTGACACGTCAGTTAAAATACAACAAATAAACATTTTCATCTTGGCAGATTTATCTGTTTTTATTTTTATTTTTTTTTTGAGACAGAGTTTTGCTCTTGTTGCTCAGGCTGGAGTGCAATGGTGTGATCTCAGCTCACTGCAACCTCCAACTCCTGGGTTCAAGTGATTCTCCTGCCTCAGCCTCCCAAGTAGCTGGGATTACAGGCACAAGCTACCATGCCCAACTGATTTTGTATTTTTAGTAGAGACAAGGTTTTGCCATGTTGGTCAGGCTGGTCTCGAACCGCTGACCTCATGTGATCCACCCACCTTGGCCTCCCAAAGTGCTGGGATTACAGGCATGAGCCACTGTGCCCAGCCTAGATTTATCTGTTAAAAAATAATAAACTGAGATACCAATCAAGTGAATTGCGGTGGGGGCGGGGGCGGGCCAAGAGGGAAAGAATAGGCAAGGCACTTTGCTGTTCATCATTTTTTAAATTATATTTTAAATAATCACATTATCCCACATTACTAAATCATTTTGTGAAGTCACTAGACACAAGGCACTAACCTTGGGTAGGTTCAGATTGAGACTTAGATCTGGCATTTTGCCATCTATGTCCTATGGGTAAGTCCTTTGATGTGTCTGAGCCTCAGTGTCCTCATTTCTAAGCCTGACCTAATGATGATAATAGAAATAGTGTTAATAACAGTGATGATGACACATTTCCAGCTTCCCTCATCATTCATTCAACAGGTATTTATGGAGCCCCTATTGTGTACCAGGCACTATTCTAAGTGCTCGGGATGCATCAGTGAGCGAAACATCAAAGATCCCTGCCCCTAGACTATCTATACTGGGAAAGGGATGGTGGTGGTGATAGTGGATGGACAGAAAAGAAACAATAGCATAATAGATAAATAAGCTAAGCAGGCTGTCAGTAGGTGATAAATGCTGTGGGAGAAAGTACAGAATACAGGGTAGGAAGGATCAGGTGTGATGCGGGAAGCCCACGGGTGGTGGTGGTAAGCCACACTAAGAAGGCAAGATTTGAACAAAGACTCCAACCTCAGATGAGGGAGTTGGCTAAGTGGCTCTCTGGGGAAAGGATGCTCTAAGCACCAGGCACTGCTTAGAGCTACATCCTGTGAGCACAAGAAGGTCCCTGGTCTGGAGTAATGCCAGGGAGTAGCTGGAGAAGAGGAAAGAGCACCGAGAGGTGGGAGCAGGGAAAGCAGCATGTGGAGGCTTTGGAAGGACCTCAGAGGATCAAATCAAGCTCCAAGGCAAGGAGATAAACTTATAACAGTAAGGCGTTATTATTTATTGTAATCGTTTATTGGATTTATTAAAGAAACTGAGTAATTGCTCCTCATCCATTCCACCTCTGGCCTGATGGTTTCTTATCTACTAAGTAAACCCTCTCTTCATGATTTCTATTTTCCCCACCAGATCCTCAATGCCCTTACATGAAATAGGGAATGGCCCTGCTGTACCTAGTTGGGGGAGATCTGAAGGCAGCTGAATGTTGGTCCTGTGCAGTCTGCAACAGTGACTCTCAGACTCCTTTCTATGTCCACCTACTGTAAGAAATGGAGGGCGAAGGAAAATGCGTGCCAGGGAGGGCTCAGGTTTCCTCTCAATCCCACCCACATACACAGCTGCCCTGCCTTTATTGGCCAAACAGCAGTCTGCCAAGAGAAAGCTGATTTCTAATCTGGTTTGAGCAAAACCAACCTTTATAGGTAGATGAAAACCTCACAGTATGAGGTTTGGGAGAGGGAACAAGGTTCTTACTGACGACATCAGGGCAGAAACCCAGCTTTTCTCACTGCAGTTAAACTCCTTAGTGGTTGCTGCTTAGCTCACACTGTTTACTGCACCTGCTGTGTCAAAGAACAATAAGCTTGGATGCGGGAAAAATCCTTCTGTTCCTTAAGCACCTTAAACTTTTTCCAGGCAAGAAACCCAAACTGAAGCTATAGCCAGAGGTTAACCTGAACAATTTTCTAGACAGTTTCACTCAACAATGACACCCATCATAAAGTATGTAAAGAGAAAGGGTAGATTTAAATTCTCATTTTCAGTATTCATGAAGACAGGAGGGTTGCTACTTTCAAGGTGGCTTACAGATAATCTGTATTTTTCTTTTATGCCTGGAATTGTGCACATGCACATACACAGCAAAGATCAACTAAGTTGATAATATTCATTAGAGTATTTGAAAATTAGATGGCTTCACTTCGCCAACACATACACTCTCCAGAGTACAAACTGGTGACATGTCAAATCTAACCTACATTTTTTTTTAAATATGGCCATCACATTTTTAATAAGCGAATGCTTCATGCAGTGCCACTCTAAACAATGCTATGTGAACGGCATTTCCTTTGGCCAAGTTGGTCTGAATAGACCTGTGGGAAAATCCTAAAACTAAACCACAAGTCGTATAAAAATTGGCTAGTTTCTGGATCCTACATAGAAAGAAAACAAGTTGGGCTTTTTCCACTTATATCCCTTGTCGAATTGTGAAACAAAAACTGTTTGCTGGGCTCTGATAGGCCAGTATTCGTGGGGGTATTTACGGACTTAGGGAGTTTATAAAAGAATGTTCTGTCTTCCTTTCTCTACATCTTGTGCAACTATTTAGTAAAAAGGGGACAGTTAATATTCACGCTTTGTGCTGCATTCTCAATGATCATACAAATATACGCATACACACACAGGAGAGAGAGAAGAGAGAGATGAGAGAGAAAAAAAGACAGGAGAGTGGAGAGCTAAAAGAAAGCAATTGGGGTCAAGTCCAGCTTGAATACTAAGTTAAGCTAACAAGATATAAGGGAGTAGCCTCATGCCTGAATTGGATATGTGAACTGGCTACAATAAAATATATGTGTAAGATGCAATTCTACTTAAGGTGTCTAGTGGAATAAAAGTGATAATTGTTCACTGGGGCCACAATAGGACATTCCAACATGCACAGACACAAGGCAAATGGCTGAGATTTTTTTATATGATCTTCAAATAGGGTTGACATGGATCTGATATAACAAATTTCAAGCCCAAGTACAGCAAGCATTTATAATTATCTAGAAACAAATCTGGTTACAACCATCCTAGAGATGCACACATCAAATTCTATGCCAAGCGCTTTCATATACAATATCTGATTGTTACAACAAACATTTTAAAAAAGGTATTAAGGTTATAGAGGCTGATCATTAAGACAAAATGGCATAAACCCTACAGAAAACACTTTAGAATTTCTGACCCATTCATTTGTTTTTCAAAATTTTTGTTTCACAGACACTTATTAAACAATTGCTATACCCCAGGCATTATTCTATATGCTTTGTAAATTTCAACTCATAAAGAATACAAAGTAGATACTATTATTATGGCCATTTTACAGATGAGTAAATTGAAACACAAATAGGCAAGTAACTTGCACAATGACACACAGCTAGCAAGAGGCAAAGCCTGGATTCAAACTAGGATTCCATCATCTTAACCACTACCTTGTGCTATTTCTCAAGGTGTGAAAGCTATTTTAAAGGCAGGAGGATTTGCATGCCCAGATATCTGCATTTAGACTTTCCTTGTGTTCCATCCTTTTGTCTGGGTCAGTGGCTGTCAACTGGTGACATCCATAAGTATTAATCTTTCCATGTTATAAAGACTTTTGAGGACAAGTATGGCTATAAAGTGAGTTTGGCTAACATGCTTGCTTTGGAACCACATCTATGTAGATAATACACTTAATGTAAATGGAAAACTTATCCCCATAAATATAATGAAAGAAACTAAGAAGCCCAGTCTTCATTTAACTATTGTCCAATAATTCCTTTGTAAATGAGTAAACTGATACCCTTTGGAAGGGACATAACCAATTTCAGGCTAGGAAATATCATTTATATTGTGTTGGATGAGGTGATTCATTCCACAGCCTCAAAGACTCAATGTAAGCCATCTTCATGTCTTGTTTATCCTGCATCTGTTTTTAATCCATGGAAACAGAGACTTCTCCATTTCACTAGACAGCATAGATGGACCCAAGAATAAGCAGTCTGTTTAGGCATAGCTATGTGCACCTACCTTGACTGATAGCTTTATTTAGCATAGTAGGGTTGGGTTTGCAGTAGAATGTCTGTTGAGAAGAGGTTAAAGACAAGCATAAAATGAGGCTTATACAAGCAAAGAACAAAGCAAAATCTTGTTTTGCTGTATGTCATGAAGAATAGCCTATTATTTCACGTGACTAGGTGATTGAAGGAACTAGTTATATTGACGGTTGCCATGGATATGCACTGCTCTAACTGGTCCCAGATTATAATAGGAACCAGAGACGATGAGTTTAGGAATAGCAGGCAAAGGGATCTGGCTTTATCAACTGGTAGAAGTCTGTGTGTTAGCATCTGAGATCAATCAGGATGTTCACATCTGTCTAGTTTGTACTTAGTAAAACAAAAAAAGATGTTCACAATCACGTTTATGGCTTTCAAAATCCAAGAGATGAATTTGCTCTCATAGAATACTAATAACAATGGCAGGTTTACAGGGCCAGCTGGGTAGAGCAGGGCCAACAATATCTTCCTTGCAGTGTTCTTTTCATTTAATTAATTGATATATGTATATTTATATAAATACAAAAATGTAAAAAATATTTAAAAATATATTTTTTTCATTGCTTCTGCCTTGCTTAGGTCTGTCTCCAGTCTAAGTTATGTTTCCATGGAATGGACTCCAACTGTTGATCCATGAGCAATAGTTCATGGGACTTGACTTCCTCTATTTTGATATTTAAAGCAATTAATTTAAGGTTACTTCCATTTTTGTGTGCACGTGTACATAAGTCTGAAATATTTAGTGCTCAAGATTGGCGTTGCTTTAGATTTTGGGACTCTGTATTTGTGTAGAATCTTCTTGCTGGGCAATCCATCGCTAGCCTAACTTAAGACATTGTACACATGTAAAAATAATGGAGCTGCATTAAAAAAATCTATAATTCAGATTTGGTTTTTTTTTTTGCTAATTCCAGATTCACTTGGTAGTTAGCATTATTAAAGTTTTGGGTCATATTACTAGAGTTTTTTTTTTTTTTTTTTTTTTTTGAGACGGATTCTCGCTTTGTCTCCCAGTCTGGAGTGCAGCGGCACGATCTCAGCGGACTGCAACCTCCATCTCCTGGGTTCAAGCGATTCTCCTGCCTCAGCCTCCCAAGTAGCTGGGATTACAGGTATGCGCCACCACGCCCAGCTAATTTGTGTATTTTTAGTAGAGATGGGGTTTCACCATGTTGGCCAGGCTGGTCTCGAACTCCTGACCTCAAGTGATCAGCCTGCCTTGGCCTCCCAAGGATTATGCTGGGATTACAGGCATAAGCCACGGCGTCCGGCCTTAGATATTTTAAAAGTAAATCTGCTGGTGAGCAATATTCACTATTTTTTTCTCTCTATCTGAAAGGACCTTGGTGTGTATTAAGTAGATTGAATATCGGGTTATTATGACACGACCTGTCAACTACTGGAGAAAGTAGATTCAGGTACCAAGTGTCCATTGAATGGCCACCGAATCATTTGAGATCAGGGAGAAGCTACTCAATTGCAAAGAAAATATAGGGCTTGATTCCACATATCTCCAGGATGGGAACACTTGCAATTATCTTTTATAGTCTATCTTCCAATCTTTCACATTCTTTTTCTTTCCTTTTATTCCATTGTCTTTCATTTCCTTGCTTATTTTGGAAGAGATAATGAGGTACATTTTCTATTCCATCTGAATAACAGTATCAGTTATTTTGAGCTGGCCAGAAAATGTCTCCCTGATGTATCTTACCAAATGGAAGCCCGTAGCATCTGTTTGGAGGCTTGACAGGAAAAGTCTCTCCTTTCTAGACTAATGACCTGCAGCAAAAGCTTATCTCATTCCAAATTCTGCCATACCTACAGACACACAGGAGACAACACAGGACCCAGGCTCCGGAGCCGGCCAACATGGGTTCAAGTCTTAGCTCTGCCGTTTACTAGCTGTGTAACCTTTGGCAGGTCACACAAGCTCCCTGGGCCTCAGTTTCTTCAATTATGAATTAGGTAATAATTACAGCTACCTTAAGAGTGTTGTTGTAAAGATAAACGAGTTGTTGCTGATATGTGTAAAGGTTTTGCACAGCGCCTGCCACTCTGTAAATCCTGACCATTTCTGCTGGAGGCCCTGTACCTTGGAGGCTCAGAGTCCAGGTTTCTGAGCCGCCTGCCAGGGTTCTAAGTCCAACCCCGCGTCTCAAATAGTTGTACCTCTTAGGCAACTTACCAATTAAGTTAAATGTGAACCATATGCACTTTTTGAGAGTAGACCATTTTTGACTTACAAAAAAGGTAGTTTCATAGGGTTCCACAGAATACATAGGTATATTCTCTGTGCCTCATTTTCCTTGCCCATTAAACATAGGGGCAACAATCCTATCTTGTAGGATTGTTGTGGGGATTAAATTAGTTAGTATTATTCACAACACATGTAGGACAGTGCTTGATATGTAGAAAGCACTATGTAAGTATTTGCTATTATTATTTTTATGACCCTCACATCTCTTTACTACTTGACCACCTAAATTTTTCTCAATAATAGCCTGTTTATTGATCCTTCTCTTTGCTTCTGTCAGAGCAGAAAGAGGCTTCTGCTTTTTGTGTTGCCAGCAATGTCTCTCTGCCCCCTTGAAGCCTGATTGACTTTGTCCCCTTCTTTTTCTCCATGTCCATCTTGACTGTTGGCATTTGCATACTCACTAAGGACACAGTGCTTTACATTAGCTGGCAGTGGTTCCCGGACGTCTTTGTCTTCTTTACATATTGACCCTGGAGTGTGAGGGCCCAGGAAAGATACAATATTTCTTCCCAGTTACTTGTGTGTGTGTGTGTGTGTGTGTGTTTCCCACATGATGGTGATTTTAAATCTTTAGAAAAATTCCTTATGTTCAAATGTGGAATTCGTAATGCTTTCCTATGCTTTTTGTCAAAAACAGACTTTTAACAAACTTAAATAATTTTAGATTTGTAGAAAGGTTGCAGAGTTAGTACACAAAATTCCTGTTCTGTATATTCTTTACCCAGTCTCCGTTAATGCTAAAGTCTTAAATAACCACCTATATTTGCCAAACCTAAGAAATTTACATTCATAAGTTACTGTTTGTACATTACTATTAGCTAAACTCCAAACTTGATACAAATTTCATTAGTTTTCCACTAAAATTCTTTTTCTCTTCCAGGATCCTACATTGTGTTTTATTATCATTCTTCTTAGTTTCCTCCGGTTGTTGACAGTTCTACAGTCTCTCATTTTTTATGACTTTGGCACTTAGTGTTGAGGAGTACCGGACAGATATATTTTGTAGCATGTCACTCAATTTGAGTTTGTCTGATTTTTTTTCTTCTCATGATTAGACTAGGGTTATGGGTTTTTGGAAAAAAATCACAAAGATGAAATGCCCTTCTTTTTATAACATATCAGTGAGTAAACAATACTAAGATGAGTTCTCACTGGTAATGTTAACTTTGATAACTCTCTCCACCATTTACAAAATACATTTTTTAAACATAGAATTCTCACATGTTAAGGTTACCAAGAGACCATCTAAAGACAGTAAGTAACTAGATTTCTAAAATTGCAGCATTTTAAAGCCCTGAACGGGCTTGTTCAATTGTTCTCAATCTTCTCAGCCCTAACATTTCTTTTTAATAATAACTATTTCCTATTCTTCCTTCATTCTTCAGAAGTGAAATTTATAGATGGTATAATTTATCTGTACATGTAGTCATAGAAGAATCAATATAATGTCCTAATTTTAAATAAACGAGAAATTAAAGGAACATAATTTATAATAAAATAATTATTTCAATATATAAGTGTTCAGACACAACAATTCCAGAAGCCATAGTGAAGTGGTCAGATGCTTACACCTAAATGAAGAACTTCCATGAATAAGACAGACACAAATGCAGACAGATGTGAGGCTCAAATACAATGAGGAACATTGTCTTTGGTGAGTTGATTTTCCAAAATGTTGAACAACTCATGAGAAAGTTCCAAAGCAAACAAAATACCATCTCCCTTGATTTTCATGGTGGTTTCATTCCTGGAAAAATTCACAGCTCATTAAAAACATGCAAAAATTTGTGTATTTAAATGTAAAATGGAGTTAGGCTCAGATAATTATAACCAGGTTTTTCACCTATGTGAATGTCTGCTGGGATAGCAGAAAGCTGTGTGGACAGAGAACAATGCTTCATTGTGGGAGTGTCCTGTGCACTGCAGGTTACACACACAGTCTGGGCTCTAACCTCTCAATGTCAATGATGCCCCTAATCAGGGAGGGCAAGCAAAAACAATCAGGGAGGGCAAAAAACAAAAAACAAAAAAACCAAAACAAAAACCTTGAATTTCCAAGGTAAAGTTTCCCAAAAAAAAGGTAAAGTTTTCAAAAAAAAACCCTTGAATTTCCAAGGTAAAGTTTCCAAAACATGGGGGCCATGCTGCCCATCAAGACCAGCACTGTTAGAGTTCAGGTCTAATCACTTCATCTCACAGTGAAGAACTGGGCTCAGGTCCTAACAGCCAGCACTTTAGGGCAAACAGCCTGGAAGCCAGCACTTTAGGGAAAACAGCTCCTAACCTGCAGGATCTGGTGTTTGTTGAGCCCTCAAAAAGGGTTCTGGTAACCCTTGGATTGATGCAGAAATGTAGCTTAAATCATGCAATTCATTTCACACACACACACACACACACACACACACACACACACACACTACCAACACCACCATGCTTGGATTGATTTAGAAATGTAGGTTAAATCAGCAATTCATGTCAGACACACACACGCGCGCGCACACACACACACACACACTACTAACACCACCACCACCATCATCAACAACATAATCATCAACTCAGTTTCTACACAAAATCCTTCACTTCTTAGTTTTCCCAGTGAATTAGGAGAACATTCAAATCCTTACACTGGCCTAAAAGGCCCTGCACAACTTGGCCCTGGTCTGCCTTCTCCAGCTTTATTCCCTACCATTCTCTCCTTGCACATCACACTTCCACCCTGCTGGTCTTCTCAGTTACTGGCAGGAGGAGTACCCTCCCCTCTGTCTCAGGACTTTGCACTGGCTATTTCCCCTGCCTGGGCTCTTTTCCTACTCTTTCCCTCGCAAATTCCTCCTTATTCTGCATAGCTTGGCTTGAAAGTCACTTCCTCAGAGAGCCTTTCTCTGAGTCCCAAATATGTCTCCTTGTTAGATGTTTTCATAGCACTCTGTATTCCTTCATCACATACTTAGCAGAGCTTATGATTAAGTATTTATTTGTGTAACTCTGGGTTTGATATCTGATGCCTCTACTGGGCTGTGAGCTCCCAAGGAGGCAGGAGCTTCATCAGTTTTTCTCATTACTAATCCCCATTACGCAGGAGAGTGCCTGGAACAGAGTTGTTTCCAAATATTTGCTGAATCCATGAATGAATGAATAATTAGGTTAGCTGCCCAGAATGACTTTCAGGCTGGCTGGCAGGCTGACACAATGGGAGAAACACAATCATGGTTTTTCATGATGAGCAGCAGCATAATACCTTGGTTCTGTTTTGCTGTGAAGAGAGAGAGGCATGCTATTTGAGACTGTTTATTTTGGCATAGTTGTTTCAGTGAGCTTGTTTTTTTCTTTTCTTTCTTTTTTTTTTTTAAATTTTTTTTCCCAACAGGGTCTCACTCTGTCACCCAGGCTGGAGTACAGTGGCACAATCACAGCTCACTGCAGCCTCAAACTCTCAGGCTCAAGCTATTCTTCCACCTCAACCTCTCAAGTAGCTGGGACCACAGGTGTGTGCCACCACATCCCGCATAATTTTTTTTTTTTTTTTTGTAGAGACAGGGTCTTCGTATATTTCCAGGCTGGTCTTGAACTCCTAGGATCAAACCATCCTCCCTCCTCATTTTAAATGAACATAAATGGAGCAGAGAAGCCTAGAAGGCACCTGGGTATTTGAAGTAGTGAAGGCTCCTGCATCTACCTGGAGCTGGCTTCCCCGCTGGAAGAAACAACGGCTTTGCAAATTTTAGCTTTATAGGGCTCACCCTTACATGTACCCTACTTCATTTTTTCCTACTGTTACTACTAATAACACCTTATCTCTAAGTAGCCTTTGACACTGTGCTGTTTGTTTCATTCTTTCCCAAATTTTGGTCTTTGGGTATCACTTTCATTAATTTGGCACATGACACATCACCAGTGCTATTATTTATTAACTTTTTTTTTCCTTGAATACATCCCACTCTGACACTGATGCACATTTTAGCTTCATCAAAAACAATAATATGCATGAATGTCTGATTATATTCATTTGGGCTTATCATATTCATTTGGAAAAAAAATGCTCTTTTTCTGGGCTGTGTTCTTGTGTGAGAGGAACACCAAGGACAACCTCCTTTCTGTCCTCAAACTGTTAAGAATATACCAAAGAACAGACAGTTTGAGTAACTTGCCCAAGGTCGCAGGGTTAGTAGAGATGACAGAACTGAGATTCAGTGTCTGGCTTCTGCCTCTGTCCTGGACTGTTCCTGTCACACTAACTCAAACCATTCTTAACTGAGTTCTCTACCCACACCAGGCACTCCATAACTATAAACTGTGGTTGGACTAATGATGGCTTCCAAAAGCAAACTCTTCTTCATGCTTTTTCTCTGAGTACATTATATTCTGTGCAATGCTGCTGGCATCTTGGGACAGTAGCTGCCTCTTTCCAACTTGTAATTTTCTGACCCATCTATGAGCCATGTCTCATTTGTATTACCAGGATGCCCCCTGTTTTCATGATGAATGCCATTTTGACATACTTGTAGAGACAGGTGAATCTCCTCATGGGCGGTACAATGTAGTTTTCATGGATATCTAATTTATCCATGATGGGTGATTTTGAGACTATCCAAGGTATCACCATATCAGTGTCATAGAAACCCTTCTGGGAAGCCTTCAATGGTGGAGGAAGCTCCCTTCCTGATTTCCTAATTCTGGAAACCACTGGTCTTTGGGTGATTCTCTATCTTCCTGACCATCAACCTTTGGCAGTGCACTGTGTCTTGAATAGCTGCAGAGTTGCCAATCCTGTTCTTAAATCCAGTTCTCATTTAGAATTAAACCACATACTTGAACACAGAAATTCCACCATGACATGCTACGCCAACTTGAGCTGCTGCTATAGATCTTCTTCTTCTTCTTCTCCTCCTCCTCCTCCTCCTCCTTCTTCTTTTTTTTTTTTTTTTGGTTTTCCCAGAGGGAGGCTTGCTCGGTCGCCCAGACTAGAGTGCAATGGTGCGATCTCGGCTCACTGCAACCTCTGCCTCCTGGATTCAAGTGGTTTTCCTGCCTCAGTCTCCCTAGTAGCTGGGATTATAGGCACCCGCCACCGTGCCCGGCTAATTTTTGTATTTTTAGTAGAGATGGGGTTTCACCATCTTGGCCAGGCTGGTCTCAAACTCCTGACCTCATGATCCACCCACCTCAGCCTCCCAAAGTGCTGGGATTACAGGCGTGAGCCACCACACCCGGCCGCTGCTATAGATCTTAAACTCCAATCACACTGGCATTTTTTTTGATCCTAGTTGAAAGCATCCAGACCATTCCTACCACATGGCTTTTTGCCCTTGCTGTTCTCTCTGTCTGGAATGTTCCTTCCCCAGCTCTTTTCATGCCTATTTCCATTATTCACATTTCAGCTCAACGTTATCTCTTCAAGCCCTTTCGCTGACCATTCTCTATAAAATTGTGTGCCCAAGTCCTTGCCGCAGTGACTCTTGATCCTGCTAGTTGGACTTATTTTCTCCCTGGCAGTTATGACCACCCCAAAGTATGCTGTTTATTTGTTGACTTACTGTTTCCACCGAACCCCACAGTAGATGTAACTGCTATGAAGTACATGCCAAGGCCTCTCTTGTTTACTGCTTTCTCTTTGCAATAAGTGGTTGCTAAGTAAATAAATGCATGATGTGGTCCAGGCACTGCAGTGAGGTATAGGGGAAAGTGCAAGGCTCTGGATTCCGATGGAAGCAGCCTTCTGTTCTAATGCAGAAGTTAAGAGCGTGGGTCTAGAAGTCAGATGGGCCTGGATTCCAATTCAGCCTCTGCCACTTTCTGGCTGTGTGCCTTCAACAAGTTCTTTAACCTCTGTTCTTCATGTAGATCACTAGTAAATCAGCACTAATGAGTCAGAGTGTATCATGTGCCTGGCCTGGTGCCAGCCACTGTAATAGCCTCTCAACAAATGTTAATTGACTTCCCTTTCCCTAGAAATGTCAGAAGAAACCCATGAAACCCAAGACATAGCTTTTGTAACACACTTGGTAGTTAATAGAGAATTCAGGCATCCCTGTATTCAATATAATCTGCTTAAGTACGACTGCCATACATTTTGCAAAAAGCAGTGACATTTTCAGCAGTTGGCTATCTTATGTAGACTCCTGATAGGGTTGATAATCTTAAATCCACAGGAAAGAATCCAGTCTTTTAGTGCATGACCTGTTTGATAGTGGTGTCCCCCGCCCTGTATATTCAATTACTTGCTGTAGAATAGAACCGCATGCACCATATATAGTTCCTTCGGTGCTTGAACATTATGTTCCTCAGGTGGCACGAGTGACTTTGAAGTACTTGTCAGCAACCGGCTTTCTTGTAACAGTACTGTAACCATTCAGTTCATAGTGACATTTTACTTCTGAAGCTCTTGTTCAGAATATTAAAAAGGGCACATAGCAGACTTCATCCCTTTGCTTCAAGGCCTGTGATTCTGTAAAGCTAGCCCATCAACTCAGGAGAGAGTCACTGGCCCCAGTGAATGTTTAAAACTGTTTTCAATTTGGTTCAGTGGTGTTAAGTTGATCAGTAAATATAACTATTGAATCTTATCATGGGGGGTTTGATTCCCCTTTGCGCTTTATCACAAATGGTGAGCTGGATTGATTGAACTGAACTATTTTGCCAGGATGTCTGAGATCACTCAGACCACTTTCTTTGTGAGTGCGTCATGGTGCTTTTGTATCCAAAAAAAAAAAAAAAAAAAAAGACTGGTGTCTCTCTTAGATGCAAACTTGAGAAGGGAGGTGTTGAAGTTTGCTAGACTCCACCTGGATTAGCAAAATATTTGTAAATTCTAAATCATAGGTTAAGGCCTCTGGGTTCTTCTTGTTCTTCATAGCAATGATAGCTTATTATGTCCAAAACTGGTGCCCAAGGGCATGGGACAAGATCTACTGGTGTTTGCCAAAAGGAGTCCTTCACGTTGACTGTTCAGACACCCTAAGTGCCCGATGTCCTAACTTGGTCTTTGGTCTGAAGACAGAGTGAGCAGAGCAGAGGGAGATGTCGTGAAACCCTGTAAGGGATGATCAATGGGGACCTGCAGCACTCTCTGCCTGGCTTTAGTTTGTGAGGACTTGGGGCCCCTTCAGATCTGTCCTTTAGGACTTCTTACAAGTTGAGGCAACTACATTGTGTCATCTCTTTCAGAAGCAATCAGGAGTTGAATTTTGGGTTCTGATAGGCCAGGTTTTCTCAATCTCAGCACATTGACATTTTGGGTGGGATAATTCTTTGTCTGGAGAAGATGTCCTGTGCATCAGGGGATGTTAGGCAGCATTCCTGGCCTCTACTGCTAGATGTTAGTAGCGCCCCCTGGGTTGTGACAACCAAAATACTTTCAGGGAGTGCCAAATGTCTCTTTGCTGGGTGGTGGTTAGGGGGTGCAACTGCCCCTGGTTGAGAACCAGTGAGATAGACCTTGACTATGAGAGATTATCTTGTGATCATAAGTAAGCATGTTTGAGAGTACTCAGCTCCTCTGGGCTGTCCTTGGGCCTTTCAGACCTTTGAGTTTCCTGGAGAATAGATTTTTATTTTTAGTTTTTTAGAGATGGAGTCTCGCTATGTTGCCCAGGCTGGAGTGCAGTTGCTATTCACAGGCGTGATCCCACGACCCATCAGCATGGGAGTTTTGGTCTGTTCCATTTCTAACCTGGACCACTTCACCCCTCCTTAGGCAACCTGCTGGTCCCTCCCTCCCAGGAGGTCACTACATTGATGCTAAACTTATTGTGGATGCCTGATCGACACAGCACACTATAACCCAGAACTCCTGGGCTCAAGTGGTCCTCCTGCCTTAACCTCACGAGTAGCTGTGACTACAGGTGTGCACCACCGTGCCCAGTGGGAATAGATTTTTTGATTTGGATGAACTAATGATAAGAAAAAAGTGAGAAAGGGTAGTATATAAATGCATTCATTCCTCTCCTCTCTTCCTTTCTCTCCTCTGTCTCTGTTAGTTTTCCAGAAGGGGAGAGATGGGGTTTGGAGGAGGAGAAACCTAGCTGAACTGAAAAAGCTGCAGCTAGGAAGCCCGTGCCCGCAGACTGAACTGAGGAACCTGAGGCTTGTAGAACTTCAGGTGATCCTGATATTCAAGTTCAGGCATCAGCAATTTACTGCAGGCAGCGTAGAAGACAGTGTTTGGAGGCAAACTGGGCATCTGCCAGGACCCTTGACAAAACTGCCATGTAGGCAAAGCCGTTTTGCCACCATGTGTCTTTGTGAAGCCTCCCCACACCCTGTCTCACTTTTCTTGCCCTCCAGACACTCAGTTGCCTCATGCTGGCTTCTGGCTGCTCAGGGTCCACCTCACGCATGCTGAGCCATCAGCTTCCACGTCACCTGCCCCCATTTCAACGCCCCTTCCCTGAATGCTGATTTCAGCTATTTTGGGGGTTGAGAGGAGCGATTCACATACTTCACATTAAGGCGAGAAGAGTCAGCAGGTTTAACCTGTTCAGGGAATGTTTTGACTCTTAAAAGAGAAGGTTGTTGCTCCTGTTTTAGAAGATATTTTGGAACAAAGGGCTTTTTTATGGCTTATCTAATTTCCCTGAAATGAGCATTATGGTTGCATATTTTCTAGCCATGATCTCCCCACTCTTCAGTGACACCTATGCATCCCATAAACTGAAGCTATACTTAAAAAGGGGCTCCACACAAGGCGACCTGCGAATTTCCAACAAGATCCAAATCCCTTAGCCTGACATATAAAGCCCTTTACAGCAATCTGCCTTACTAACCTCTTCTCCATTAATTCACTCAAGTAATGGTGGAAAAGATGAATACAGACCCTGGCCCCAACCCATCCCCAACCCCCACAATGCATAGAATCCAATAAGGGATACACACAAGAAATCAGACAAAAACAATATGGTGTCCACATCAACCCAGTGTAGATACAGAGGGCTTGGGAGTACCTCGGACACAGAACTAACCTAGAGGCTAGTTCCAGGCTGGCCCAGGGAGGACACCTCATATCTCCGTTCTCTCTGGCCCCCATATGCCCACACCAGGCATGCTCTGTCATGCCTCTGGTTTTGTACATAACAGTCCCTCTGTTTAGAATGCCCTGTCATTATCTGTCTGAAAAACTCTTAAAATCCTTTGTGATCCAGCTTAACTGTTACCTCCAGGAGACTTTCTCAGAGTGCATCTGGCCCGCCCTCCCTTTTCTCTTCCCCTTTTCCTACTGCTAAACTGTGTTCTTTCCTTTGAGCTAAGTCCTTACACAACACCTCTATGAAAATATATATCACGCTGATTTGTAATGTGTGTTTAGCTGTCAGTCTTCTTCAGCAACTTCCTTCAAAACTGAGGCAACAAAGTATGTCTTTTTAACTCCCATCTCGTGGCACAGAGCCTGGCACTTGAAGTGCTTAGTAAATGTCATTGAATGAATGAACCCATTCAAACTAGAATCTGGAAAATATTATAGCAGGATGTCTCCTTTATTCCTTTGTGTATTAGATTATGAGATATATACACAGAAGAGTCCATAAAACATATATGTCCAGTGTAAAATGAAAGCCCACGTAACCACAGCCTGGGCCAAGAAATAGCCCCTCTATCCTTAACTCACCAGTGGGTGTCATCTCCCTGAATTGAGTGTGTCACTAAGTTGAAGACTCAACATCCTGCATTTGACCTGAAGTTATTGGGGTCTTTTTCCAAGCAAGCACTCATCTTGAACCTTAGGCCTGATGTTCTAGATATCAAATATTTGGCTGAAAGCCAAGCAATTCAGTCAAACATCACTTGACAGACGTGGTCTGATATCTAGCCGCAGGAAGCGACTCGCTCCACTGGACAGTATCTTGCAAAAGATCTTGAGCATCTTCCTTTCCCTTACATATTGAGGTTGCAGGCTTATTTGGACTCTGTCACATCTGAGGAAAGGCAACTAATGTGTGAGCCTTGCTGGGATCATCTGCTAATAGTTAGCCTGTGTGGAGATCAGTCTATTTGTTGGTTGCTGTTAATACAGATCAATTAAAATCTTGCCACGTTATTCAGAAGGGGTGTACTCTGCTCTGCTTTGAGTGGAAATCAACCATCTGCCTTGCTGTGTTTGGTCAGAACACTGAGCCTTTGGAAAGGCCATAGTTACAGGATGCATGGCAACCACCGCCGGCATGGTGAGGCTCAGAGCTGGTGGGGCTGTCTGCATGGGCCTCAACTGGTCCTGCTGCTGGGCTCACACAGCTCTCTCTTCCTTCCTCTGCTGCCCTCAACAATCAAGGGCCAGCAGGTGGGCCAGTCTCCCTCCCTCCCTTCCTCCTTCCCTCCCTTCTTCATTCCTTCCCTCCTTCCCTCCCTTTTTTCCTTGTCTTCTCCTTCCTTTCTTCCTTCCTTCTCTCCCTCTTTTTCTCCCTCCCTTCCTTATAGCTGCCTAATCTCTGCACATATACTACAATCATGACTTTTTCAATAGATATTTCTTGAATGCAGCTGGAATTTTCTTCTTGAAAACAAAGTTAGCTAGCTACTTTCAGGAACTTAACTCTAGAATCCCCTTTGAGTCCACTTTCCTTTCTCACTCCTCCCCGCCTCCACCCTGTGCGTGTGTGTGTGTGTGTGTGTGTGTGTGTGTCATGAATCCATGATCACTACATTTAATTTAATCCACATTTTAAATTCCTTTATAACAAACATAGCTTCTTTTCATCATCTTGACTGACATTTCTGACACTTCAGCTTTTCTAGTTTCTTTATATGTAGTCCCTGAAATCTTTTTGTTTGCTTGATTGATTGTTTAAAGCAGATAACAACATCACTCTCTATCCTCTGCTTCAAGGAGTTTAATTCATGCATCAACTATTTTCTGAGCACCTACATTGTGTGAGACATAGTTTGAGGTATTGGAGATACTGCAGTGAACAAGAAAGATGTGGGTCCCTGCTCTCACAGAGCTGGCATTCTAAAGGATTTTTATATTCTAGAACAGTGCTATCTAATTCAGTGGCCACTAGCAACATGCAGCTATTTAAATTAAAATCTCAGTTAATTAAAAAGAAAAAAATTAAAAATTTAGTTTATTATTTATACTAGCCACATTTCAAGCACTCAGTAGCCATATGTGACGAGCAGCTATGGTATTGGACAATATAGATCTAGATGAGTACCATCACCCATCACAGTAGATTCTACTGTACAGGGCTATTCTGAAGAATTTCCAGACTTACCACCATTCTGGGAGTCTAAGAGATCCCTGTGGCCACACTGTGAGATGATTTATGATGACACCAGGTTACAATTACTTCATATATAATCTTTCTTTGAAACATGTGGGTTATGTCTAGGATGCGTGGAACCTATGTGTTTATTTTTATTTTGGGTATCCTGTTTTTACTTACAAGATGGTTAAATTAGTGTGGTGGAATAGTATGTAGAAGTACTCACTTCTCTTCCTATATTTCAAGCAGGTACTGGCTTGGTACCCCCCACCCCAGGGAACGGAAGGTTGCAGCACAGAATCCAGAAATAGCCCTTGAGTTTCTCTGGCTGCTTTTGTGGTCCAAATGTACAAGCTCTCAGGGACCTTAGAGTGTTTTCAGAAGGGGCAACAGAAGGGAGGATTTGGGGAATAGATAAAAATGTCTTGGCAGAAGCAGGGCTGGAGGAGAGAAAAAAGAAATGTGAGTCTGCACATACACGTGAGAGTGTATGAGAGTGAACGCTACACTTCATAGCTTGCGCATGCTTTGCGGGCTCAGGCTACATGGTGTTTCTGGAGTTCCACTGGGAGTGGCCAGGTTACCTATGACTTATAGTCATGATAGAGTAGAAAAAGCATGGTCTTTGAAGTCATGCAAACATAGGGTGAAACAAAAGTGCTCTGTTAAAGGCAGAATTACAACAGAGGCTGAAAATGGTCAAGATGGAACAAGCGCTAAATTTAATTATAGGCAAGGTATTAGCAAGTCTGGAAAAGGTTAAAGAAAAGTGGAATATTCCAAGGTTATATCAAGAGTTCACCTTTGTGGAAGGTGATGAATGATGCTTCTCTAGCATCACAAGCCATTGCCAATTTCAAAAGGAGAGCCTCCTTTGAGATGGAGAATCCTCTAGCCATTTGGGGAGGTTCCTCTTCAGGATCTAGTTACTCTTCTCTATTACACAAAGTCTCCAGTTCTATCCTTTTAGGGCTAGGTATCATTAGCTTCATCTGATCTCTTATACTACTAGAGTTCCAGTCTTTAGCTGTCTTAAAACTCTGGCTAAGTTACTCTCACCGTACTTCTTTCTATCATCTCCTATTCCTACAATGCAAGCTCCTCCAGCCACCCACCTTCCCCTGGGCTATTGTCTTCATATGATGCTAGGCTTTCTGCCCCTGAACTCTCATCGCTGTTCCCTTTTTCTCCTTTTCCCCTGAGTCTTCCAGAACCCAATTATCACTGAATACAAACTCCTCTGCTTTCTTGTACCTTTTTTTTGAGACAGGGTCTTGCTCTGTTGCCCAGGCTAGAGTGCAGTGGCGCAATAATGTGTCACTGGAGTTTTGAACTCCTGATCTGAAATGATCCTCCTGCCTCAGCCTCCCGAAATGCATGAGCCACTGTGCCTGGCCTTCTTTCTCATATTTTTATGAGTCCACTTCCCCATTTTCTTGCCTTAATTAAAATCCATCTTGCAGGAAGACACCACCTCTCTGTTACCTTTTCAAGTAGAAGTTGCACATTTTTCTACATTGTGGTTCCGAGGCAATGTCTGCATTTTTATTGATATTCTTTGCCTTTTCCAAACCACTGTTTTTCACTCTTGTGCAAAAAACCCTTTCTTTTTTGAGTTTCAGGTCATCCTGATCAAAGTCTTCCCATTCACACCTTCTCCTGTCATTATTGTGAACAACTTCAATATCTGTATTGATAAACACAGAAGAATCTAGCTTCAAGATACTTGACCTCAACTCCAGCATGTTCTAGAACCCATCCTCATAGCTACCCCTGGACCTTATCATTATTCTAAACTGCTTCACCTCTTAATTCTGAACACCAATTTACTATTGCCTGACCACAACATCGTATAATCACGGCCTTCAGGACCTTTAGTCAATGTAATTGCTTCTCAGGCTAGAAACCTAGTCCTTTGATTATTCCTTTTTCCTCTGGGGTTTTCACCAACTTTATACCTTTCTTTTCCCTTCATCTTACACCTCACAATGTATAACTTCAAAAACCCTTGCAAACATCTTTAATAACCCTAGTCCCTGTTCCCTCTCTGCCATGTGGGCACAGCAAAGCCTCAATCTTGGATTAATCCAGCCATTTGTCTTTCCTGTACTATATCTGGGGTGCAGAGTCATGACTGGGGAAACACACAACTTATCTATGCAAATAGGTGGCCCAGAGCAATCCTGTGATATGTACCAAGTCAGTGACATCTGCCACTTTCCTAGTGGTGATTATAAGACATCACTCTTCTCAGAGCTCTACTGCATTGTGCTTTCTCTGCCCCTCCTGCCCCGCTGATACATATACAGCATTTCTCTCCCTCTTGCCTAGTAAATGCTTTGTCCTGTTGCTGATTTACTCTTACATCACTGCAATTGGTTTTTGCGCTTGCACTGAAATAAAAATGTCCTGGCAAAAGTCACCAGTGACTTCCTGAAGGACTAACTGAATGGACGTCTATAAATATTCACCCAGTTGGACTTTTCTCTTGCATTTGACACCGTTGACCACTCAGTATTCCTCTCTGGCCTTCTCTTCTCTTTCTACTTGTGCCCGCTGGTAAGCTCACCCATCATGGCATTAACCATCACGGTGGTTGATCCCTAAATCTCTATCTCCTGTCCAGCTTCTACTAAGCTCCAGAGTTCTATGTGCAAAATAGCCTTCTTCATGGTTTTCCTGGAATTCCCATAGAAACCTCAAACTCAATTCAATCCTGACAGAAAAAGTCCCCATACCCCCATAGTTCCTTGTCCCAGATTCTCTATCTCAGTGAATGACATCACCCTTTAGACTAAGCCAGAAACCTTGGCGTAATCTCCAGCTCCTCTGTTTTAAATCCCCATCCACTTTTCCCACTATCACCCTCTGCACCATCTGATTTCTTTCCAGGTTCTTTTGATTGTACCTTCCTAAAATCTCATCCTGCCTGTTTCCTCCATTCCAGCTGCTGCTGCATTAGAAATTTCCTCTCACCTCTCACTTCCCACCTCTACCCCTCTTATGGACTTTCCACATTTTTGCTTGGGAGCTCTGATTAAAACATACATCTTGATCATGGTACTATTCTGAGCATGGAGTGTAAGTCCTCCAGGATCTGTACCCCGTCTGTCTCCTCAGACCCTTCCGTCCTACTTCCTATCTCTTGCCTCTTACTCTACCATCAGCCATACTAAATATCCACTGCTCCTGGAACTTTTCATACTAATTCGCAGTTTGGAAGGCCATTCTTCTCTCCTTACACCTCCTGCTCTCATCTTCCTGAAACATCAGCTCATATCGAGCGGCTCAGCTCAACCCTCCCTTTCTCTGCAAGGTCTCATCTCCCACCCCAGGTAGAACTGGCTACCTTCTTTGGCTCCATCTCTACACATGTATCGTCAATGGCAGCTTGCCTTTCCTGGACTGTAAGCTCCTTGAAGACAAAGCCTCCGTCACATGTATCTCTGTGCTCTGGTTCCCAGCTCACAGTACAAACAAAATAAATATTCATTGACTGAAGAAAGAATTCAAAGTGGAGTCCAACCTGTGAGAAAATGCTAATTAAATGTTATGACAATAGAACAAGTGTTGATCAAAACAGCGTCCGGAATCATCACAAAGTCCTGTCTGCAGATAGCTCTGTTATTTGTAAATCCATTAAGCCTCAGTTTGTATTAGTAAACAAGTCAGGTGGGTATTCTCTATAACGTGAGCTGGCTTTCAGGGACAGAAAATGAGGATGGTGCCTCATATTGGCTTGCTTCCTTAGCAATTTGTGAAAACAAAACCCAACAAAACAAAACCCTTTCCCAAAAGTTGGCACTGGCTCAAGTTTTCCTTTTCCAAAATACTTTTTTGGTCAAGCAACACTCCCCACGCTATAGCTGTTAGGCATTAGTGTGCTCTGAATCCATTAGAGAAGGTCAGTTCAGAATACTAAACAGATGCACAGCCCTGAGTCTTGAGAACTGGAGTTTCATGATTGCAATGCATAACAATAGTCATCTTCGTTCATGCTGCTCTAAACTTCACCATAAGCAGGCGTATTTTAGAGACTGGCTCCTTGAGATGTTCTGATTTCCACATGGGAAGTGAGGAACAATTAATTTGAGGCAGAAAAATAATTCAGGAATGTGTTTTGGCTTTACATGCACACACATGACAAAAACAACACTTTAAATTCAGTCAACATCACAGAGACAACATGGACACAAAGGAGCAAGGATTTTTTTTTTTTATAGCAAACCTTTGTACTAAATATATACATACATAAATAAAGCAAAAACAAAACAAAAACCTTCCTACCCCAGACTACCTATTAATTTTAGATGGAAAAGCCCTAGGCAGTAAGAAAAAAAAGTAACCCAGGCATTAAGTAGATTGGATAGCTAATTTGGAGTGAATGGAAAGGGCTAGATAATATTAAGTTGTCATGGTAGAAAGTAAGTTTTGGACATTCTGCTTTCACATTACTATCTAAACTTGTAAAAATACTCAGAGAAGCAGAAAGGAGGACTAAATTTAGACCCTTACTTAATGCATTCAAGAGCATGATTCATTTTCCTCCTGCCCTGGTACAGCCTGGGGAATCTGAATATACAGCCAGCAGCACATGGATGCCCTGTAAATAAATGAAAGTCGCATTCATTCAGGGGCTGGAGAAAGCCAGAGACACCCCGTTTTCCCTGCCAACAAAGGTGCACTTCTAGGCACCTCACACACCAGAATGCAGAACCAGATTTCTAAGCTGGCAAGAGTCCATCTAATTTTAGCTTTGCTCCGGCCTTGGCATGAAATGCTGCTGGGGTGGAAATGAATTCTGCTGCTCCTCTTTTCTAAGTGGCTTTTCTCCTCAAGCTCCAGTGGGATCCTGACCAGCTCTCAGAGGCCATGCCACATGGGTCACACTGATGAGACTACCCAAAAGGGTGTCATCATTTGGTAGCCATGCATTTAACAACCCAGGGCCTAAGTTGTTTCATGGTAGCCCTTAGATTGGTTCTTGGAGAGCTAGGATTCTATATAGCAAACACGTGAAGACAATTTTGGGCTATTTGAAAGAAACCAGACAAACCAAAAAGGAACCAACCACACAACAACAGCAAGTTGCATTCCCACGAATTAAATCAAGGTGGTAGGCAAAGTTTCCGGGTAGAGCGGACAGTCACTGTCCCTTCCCCAGGTTCCTTATCTTCTGCTTCCAATCACATTCTCTCACTCTCCTCTGCTTCCAAACAAAACAAACATTTCAGTCTCCACAGAGAACTTAGATTAAGGCTGAACTATCATTTGTGTTTAGTTCAACATGGCTTAGAGGTGAAAAGCACCTAAATTATGTTGTGACTTTACAGCGACTCCATTTTCTTTCCTTTGGGTTTAGTTTTAAGCACATTTGGAAAGTAACCTTAGAAGTTTCATTCCAGTATCTTAGGCTTTATTGATCTTATCGATCTTTGATCTCTGTGTTTAGAACAAATAACAGAAGAAAAGGTGGAAGGCATATCAAAGATCTGTAGCAAGGTAACATTGCCTCCCAGAAGTGAGGGCATCAAAGCCGCCCTCTCTTCTGAGGTGTATGATTGATGTTAAAAACCCACCCCAAGGGCCCTATTGTACATCCATATACGTCCAACCCAATTAAGAAAGAGTATTTTCCCAAACATGAAATGGGCTTAGCAATTCTGAAGTAAAAAAAAAAAAAGAGTTAGCTATGGAGCACACGCATTCCGTTAGAAATGAGTCACTCTGCGAAGGTGTGTTTGAATGAGCAGCATTTCAGAAGGCCCGCACGGGGTACACCCACAGGATGGGACTGGAGACCCTGGGAAGGGCTGTGGGTCCAGGCGGATATGAGATCCGATCAGCCTGAAAACATGCTTCACAAACCAACCTGGGCACGACACAGAAAAGAGGCAAGACGTCGTAGGGCAGCATAAAAGATTTGTACCTTTCTCAAATAGCTTGGTACTTGGGACTCCAGAGCAGTTCTGAATGACCAGCTAGGGCAGTCACCCAATCCCCACTGGGCCCATCCAGGGCCATAACATGAATATTAAATCATTTGGAGGACAGGAATGTTCAATGACCTTGGCCAAATGTCATGACAGATTTTGGGGGCAGCCTTCTATATCCATTTGAGAAAGGACAAATACTCACTAGCACTAGACAGAAAACTGGCTGATTTAGCTTAGAACAGTGGCTACCATTGTAGCTCTTTCAGAACATCGAAAAGGAAGGTAAGTGGTTGGGGAAGGGCATCACGAAGGCTGCATCTATCCAAGGCTGGGTCAGTTATACATTGAGGTTTGGAGTCGAAATTTATTCTCACACACGTAGAGCTCCACAGATCTAATTAACAGTGTGGGAAATCTATTTTCATGTTTCACTCACACAGAACACATCTTCTCTGTCTCCAGGGGGTTTTCAAGTTCTAAACTACAATCAGCCCTTCTTTTAAAATAACAATAATAAATCCTCTTATTCAGCCAGATGGTGGTGTTTGTTGCACTAGGCTGGGTTCATAGTACAACATCAATAAATGGCCACTTGTAGAGGGACAGACAGAATCCCATTTATAAAACACACCTACACCTCCCTCCTTCTCCCATCCCAAAATGTGGCATTGTCAAAACTTCCCTGGGGGCTTAATCTCATTTTGGAGCAGAAAGGAAAACTAAAAAAGGCAAAATAATGTAACTAAGTGGAAAAACAATTTCTTGGGGGGAAATAGCACATTTAATCTCTGAGGAAAATGGTCATAGGTGGGTTTTTAAAAAGTGTTGTTTTGCCTTTAGGGACTGTTTGAAAGCAGGCTCTCAAAAGGATTTTCCCCAGTCCCTGGCAAGCTGTCTTGGTGAAGGCTGCACATTGTCAGCCAAAGATATTACAACCAGGAGATGGAGTTAAAATTCTTCCTCAGTGAGTTGGCTAAGTCTCATGAAACAAGTATTTGTTCCAATTAGGTGTTCCAAAAAGTCTTGATTGCCTTAGATAACGCATTTTGAGAAGGAAAGTGTGTTTGTTCAAAATCCATCGTGGAAGAATAAATGACGTACCGGTGTGTTCTGTTGCCAACGTACACATCCTCTTCACAGGCCTGGAGGACTCACACTCTTTGCTGCCTTGTCCCTATTTTCCTGGTCTCAGTCCTACCGGGGATGGGCAGTGGGAGTGGGGATGCTAACTAGTCTCTGCTCCTGCTCTTAATAAGCTATACTACCTGGTTATGCAACCCTAATCCATGTCCACAGTCCAGGGCTCAGACGGCTGGCCTGTCAGCAAAAAAATGTCTGAAAAATGTTAATTCAACAATGTTGGAGGGATGTTATTTCCAGAACTAAACTCCTCAGGGGAAATGAGAAATCATTGCTCCTGGGATTCAACTCCTCCACACTGAAAGATGTTTCTTTAATGATGCTTTCTTCCCAAAAAATTTCCCAATGCCTGGTGTGTCCTGACATTTGGTCCCAGTAAAATCCTGGAACAGACTCCTAGGATACAACTATCTTCAAACTCCATACAAAAGGAGTGTTTATTACAGAGAATCGGCATCTATTAGGGCATGAAACCTTGGGGGCTTGCTGGCATTCACTCCCCACACTGAATCGTTTCATAATATAGATACTATTTTCTTTTTGGCATTTATAGCAAGCAACTCAGTTTATGACCTAAGGCATTTTCCATACTTCCAGGCAATGAATACCAGCTTCCTATGAGTCTCAATAGCACATAATTTAAGACAGTGGGAAAGGGAGTTGGAGAATAGTTTCCAGTGCAAGAAAAATACCATGCAGATGTTTGCCCTTACTCTTGAATTCTGATGGTGAAATCGAGCATTGTTTATTTGTTCTGAAGTCCAACTCAAGAAATTTATTTTCTAAAGGCTGGGGTAGAGGTAGGGAGGTAGTGACATAAAATATTCCTGATACTGAAATATTCAACACATGGCCCTGGGAGTTTGAATCATAAAGTAATTTAGATCTTTCTAAGTGGTTCATTGTTTGATCAAATTTGGTATACCAGATGTCGATTCGTGTCACAGAACATGACATACCTAAAGAAATACCCAAGAACTACTTTGCTAAAATTGTGTATTCACCTTCTGTAATTTTTGTTTCCTCCAAGATAGCAAGCTAGGAATCAGTCCTCTATCTTGAGCCATTTATTGAGAACAAACAAATGAACTTGGAAAAGACATAACCGAATTGAATTTAAATACCTGACTTTGGTGTATGAGAATCATAAACTTGCTTACGGTCTATCTGGTCCGCAAACACTTCCCCATAAATCATCCAATAGGGCATGTAGAAGATGTTCTTGGCCAGTTTCCATGATGGCTCCTCATTGGGAAAAAGGATGGCTTGCCTGGCGACCCCAAAGCTCATCAGAACCACCAGCATAATGATGACAAAGTACATCATGTCTATCATCTGGAAGGGTGGGGAAGCAGAGGGAGAAACAAGAGAAAACCCATATGATTGAGTGTTCTTATAATTGCTGACAATGATGGGAACCTTTGGAGGAGGTCCACTTTCTAGACTGCTGGGAAGGGATGTTTAGACAGGGAGTTGTGTCCAGATAAGAAGATGCTTGGTCTGTTGAAGCCAGTGTCCACAGAATTCTATCAGTGACTCAAAAAACATTTCAAAAAGTGCACACACAGATGAAGCCTCTTCGTTTTTCATTGCTGTCTGTGGGACCGAGCATAGGTCCCACATAGGCTAGGCATAGGAGTCATATAAATGGAAGCTTAGGCCTCTGTGTGAATCAGGTGCTAACTTTTTCTCTGCTCCTGGGGGAGGCAAGTGTCCTCTTTGGGTCTCTTTCTTCTTAGAGAAACTGGAATTGGGAGAGTTGAACTATTCCAAGAGCGACTGCAATGCTGTAAACCTCCTTTCTAAGTTCTGAAAGGCTAATGAAAAATTGGAAAGCTCAAAAACAAAACAAAACAACAACAACAAAAACTGCCTATAAACGAAGCTAGGATAAACCAAATATCCATTATATTCTTATTCTTGTGGCCCCACCCCACTGCATAGTATTCTACCACCAACCAGTCTCTCAGAGAAAATGGCTGTTTGTATACTTCTCCTGCAGGGTATCCCATTGGCTATGGAGGGTGTTTTCTTGGGCATTAGAATCATGCACCCTAATGACTCAGACCTGTACCTGCTGTAGAAATGATGGATTTTCATCTTGACAGGTTTATAAAATCCTCCAGGCTGCTCTCTAATATAATGTTATCTCTTGTTCCTCATTCTTCCTTCTTTCCATGATGTATGTTATTTGGGATCTGTTTCTTATATGCCAAATTATTTTCCTTTTATCACTCAAAATATTAAATAGATGAGGATGCAATAACTATTGATTTTTTTTCTGGCCAGAACCCATTACCTCCTCCTTTTATAAACAGTTTCTACCCAGTATGGCCACAAGGTAGGTGTGTTTTCCAGGCTACGTTAAATATGATACTGGCCCCGGCAAGAGTGATAGAAGCAGGGATTTGACCAAGACAGGCCAACCAGAATCCTTGTATTGGCTTTGCTTTGTTTTGTTTTTAACTAAAGCTGGGAGAAAGAAGTTCCTTGTGTCTCTGTAATGGGGTGAGTTCATAGTATTTGTATCTGACGCTGAGTTCTCCGCCAGTGAAACTGATCAGAGTAAATGAAGCCGATTTGCAAGAGAAAGTGAGCAAAGCTTGACAGTGATTGGGTCCCTGTTTGCAGTAGCCCCTAAGGCCAGTTTCATTATGCCCTTCATAAGTCAATATATCCCTTCTAGGCTTAAGCTAGTTGGAGATTGGTTTCTATCGCTTGCATCAAAACATAGAATACAAAAGACTTTCTCTTAGATACCATACTTCCTGAAGGGATGCCCATCCACAAAAAAAAGCCTAATGCTAATTTTATCAATGATAATGGAGGCTTCAAATTAGTTTTACAATTTTTTAATTTTTATTTTATTATTATTTTTCAGATGGAGTCTCATTCTGTCACCCAGGCTAGAGTGCAGTGGAGCGATCTCGGCTCACTGCAACCTCAGCCTCCCGGGTTTAAGCAATTGTCTGCCTCAGCCTCCTGAGTAGCTGGGATTTCAGGTGTGCACCACCATGCCCCGCTAATTTTTTTGTATTTTTAATAGAGATGGGGTTTCACCATCTTGGCCAGACTGGTCTTGAACTCCTGAACTTGTGAGCCACCCGCCTCGGCCTCCCAAAGTGCTGGGATTACAGGTATGAGCCACTGTGCCCGGCCACGATTTTGTTTTAAAAGAGTGTCTGTTATTGGAATTCAAACATTATAGCCTTCCTTGTATGCCTTAGGACACTGGGGTCTAATCAATTTTCAAGGCAACTTCAAAATGCATCTCACAAGTGTTGCATGACTTAAAAACCAAACAGGAATATCTTAAAATCTGACATCCATTCATATTTTTAAATAGTCTTTAAAGTTGTATGCTAATTAGTTATTTCTTCTATAGTTTAGTGGTCTCAGAACTCTTTTAAAGTGAGCAAGCCAGCTGTGTTGAAAGTTTTATAGAAAACATGGGTCTGTTTTTCATCCTCTCTCTTATTTTATAAAATTCTTTCATCATTTATTTACAAAAAGTTCTATCAATGAAAAAGCACACATGGGTCCTTCATGTTGTGTTTATTTACACTGATTAAAAGATGGGTTGGGAGAGGAAGGTTTGTGCTCATGAGATTTAGAAGCTAGTTTGACCCAAGGAAACTCAGCCAGTAAATACAGAAACTGTTCTAATTTAATTTCTCAGGATTGTTTTTGTTCAGATTGATTGTGCTATCTATCCAAAGGGTCAAAACAATCAAAGAGAAGAAACATTTTTCCCAAACACTTAGCTTCATATATTTCAAAGAAGTCTTAGCTTTCATACAAATACCAAAATCTGATAGAATGCAGTGCAGAAATAGAGCATTATTAGTGAGAACTGGGGCTGGCCTCCTTTTTTAAAGCTAAATTATCCAGTCGGTTCAATATTAAGAGAGCTGATCCTGTCCTAATCTTGTAAATATCTTTCTGTTGTGTTCTACAGAGGAGAGTATATAATATATATTATATAATTTATTATATATAATGTAATATATAATACACATATATATAATATGCATTGTATAATATACATTATAATGTATAATGTATATATAATATATAATGTGTATATAATATATATTATATATACACTGCAGTGGTTAAACACATGTACTTAGGTGTCAGAATACCTGGGTTTTCATCTTGACTTTGCTAGTAAAAATAGCTACATGGAAAAAAACTCACACAAAACGAGTAAAAATAATTACAAAAACAAAATAAAGGCTTCCTAAATGTTAAAAAGAAAGAAAGAAAGAAAAAGAAATGTAGCTAGGTGGCCTCGGGCAAGCTGCTTAATCTTGTTTTATTTTATTTGTAAAATAGGAATAATAATACATTTATTTTATAAAGATTCAATGAGATGGCATGTGAAACAATGTGGTAAGTTCTCCATAAATGTTAATGTATTATTATTATTAGAGTTGGAAGGAGGTCAGGTTGTGGGGTCAGTTAGACAGAAATTTGAATCCTGTTATTGTCCCTTGATTAGTCTCTTATTCAATTGTTTAAATTATTAAACACAGATATGAAAACCTATTTCCGAGGGGGTATGATGATGACATGTCTGACATGGTATCTGGCACACAGCAAATGATAGCTATCATTATTGTTTTTATTCTGAATTATGTAAGTGAGCTTAGTACTAGGCTTAGAGAATTCCATTGAGAAGTGGAATATGGAGGAAAGGAGTCAGGATTTTGTTAAGTGATTCTGGGCCTGCAGCAGATCAATTGGAGTCTTTCCGGATATGCAGGCTTTCCATGCTGTGAGGCATTTGGTGTACTGGCTTCTTATATTATGCAAAGACTCATAGTACCAATTTCAAAATAGACTCCTAATGATTGTGTGTCCAGGAATCTCATCAGCTGTCTGTCCCTAGACCACAGGGCAGGGACTCACTTGGCTGTTTTGTGCTTAATGGGAACTCCCTAATGTTGAGAGGCTTTCAGTATAACACATCTGGGCACATTTTCTTAAGT
Organism: Homo sapiens; assembly: GCF_000001405.40. Classification (NCBI taxonomy): domain Eukaryota; kingdom Metazoa; phylum Chordata; class Mammalia; order Primates; family Hominidae; genus Homo; species Homo sapiens. The sequence continues at coordinate 70,594,865 of NC_000009.12, forward strand.
TCCAGCCTGGTGGTCCATCTGACTCACTGATAAATTCTATAGGCATATTTTATCTGCCTTCTGGATCAGTGCATCAATTATTGAACTGATTATCTTAAAAGCCCCTTGAAAGAGAAGCAAAGTCCCCAAGTGTACTCATTTTGTACTTATTCTTGACTGATAAATGAAGTCATTCATAAGTTAAAAGGTAGAGAAAATGCAGTACATTCCTCTTGCACACTCCTGAGTAAGGTTTCATTCTAGTCAAAACTGGGATAATTATGCCATTATTAAGATGATAGACGTGGATTTTAAAATAATCTCGCTGCATTAGCATGACTTCAGTTATTCCAAGTATATAAATGCTACCCAGGCTTTAAAGGGTAATATATTTGGTTTGTTTGGGTCTTTTCAGATTTTATTTGTTAAAATAAAATAAGGTAGCAATCAGAAAAAACATCCAATCTGATTATGTAATCACAGAATGCAGTAATTCTCAACAGAGGCCAATTTCATTCCCTGAGGGACACGTGGAGATGTTTAGAGACTTTTTTGTAGTCATAACTGCGTGTGTGTGTGCACGTGTGCATGCTACTGGCATCCACTGGGTAGACACTGCTAAATATCCTATGATACACAGGACAGCTTCCTAAAATAAGGAATTATACAGCCCACGATATCAGCAGTGTCAAGGTTGAGAAAATGTGGCCTAATTTTATAGCTATTATAGTTCTTTGCTTTCATTGGGTCCACTTGAAAATACATTTGAGAATCTCATGAAAGCTTGTCCCCTCTGTCCAGAAAATTCACACACCCACACATTTTTATATATAAATTGCAGAGAGGGTCCACAGATCCTACCTCCTGAGCCCTATCCCTTGACTCTAAATCTAGACTCTCTGCTTTTAGACAGGAATTTTCACCACAATCTCAAATTCATTGTTAAAGTGCAAAGAAGATGATATAACAGGCAGTATAATGGAGTAAGATACACATTTTTTTCCTAGTCAAAAAATCCCCAATTGAACTGGGGTTCCGTTTTGGGTAAGTAACTCAAGCTCATGAATTCAAGTGTTTTTTCTCTCTAGAATGAGTTTGGTGATATTTGTCCTAAACAATGCTGGTGTTATAAATACCATTTGTACAGTAGGGTTAGGAATACAGCATAATAACTATACTCACCAATTTTTCCTTTCTTTCATTGTATTTAAAAAATGCAATTTGAACATAATGATAACAGATATAATTTGTCAACCACCAACTATGAGCCAGACACAGCTGGTCATTTAGTATGTATTATTTCTAATAATTACAACAATAACCCTATAAGATATGCATTTATTATACATCACTACTTTAGAAACAAGTAAACCAAGTCTCAAAGGGGTTTAAATAAATTGCTCAATGTGTTATACCCAATTCATTTTGAATTTGAATTCTTCCTCTCTTTGCATGAGTTTGTTAGTGATTTTGTAAGAAAAGTCGTGATTATTTAAGATTCATTTCAGTAGAGATACACATACATACATACACAGAGCTGTTCCATAAATATTGAGTTAGCAATGATACATATAGTAAATCTCAAGTAATAATAATAAAGAACATCAGCCAGGCATGGTGGCTCACACCTGTAATCCCAGCACTATGGGAGGCTGAGGCGGGTGGATCACTTGAGATCAGGAGTTTGAGACCAGCCTGGCCAACCTAGTGAAACCTCGTCTCTAATAAAAACAAAAAATTAGCCTGGCGTGGTGGCAGGTGACTGTAGTCCCAGCTGCTCGGGAGGTTGAGGCAGGAGAATTGCTAGAACCCAGGAGGCAGAGGTGGCACCACTGCATTCCAGCCTGGGTGACAGAGTAAAACACTGTCAAAAAAAAAAAAAAAAGAACATCTATTGACTAATCATTGGTTTCAATGGCTCATACAATGGAAGTGAAGTGAAAGATATTAGCAAAGAGGTTTTTCTTTTTCTGTTTTCGAGAAAAAAATACCTCACCGCAGTCTTGAACTCTGGGCTCAGGTGACCCTCCCACCTCAGGCTCCCAGATAGCTGGGATCACAGGCTCATGTCAACACACACCCTGTTAATTTTTCTTTTTCTTTTCTTTGAGACAGAGTTTAGCTCTTCTTGCCCAGGCTGGAGTGCAATGGTGTGATCTTGGCTCACCGCAACCTTGCCTCCTGGGTTCAAGTGATTCTCCTGCCTCAGCCTCCCGAGTAGCTAGGATTACAGGCATACACCACCATGCCCAGCTAATTTTGTATTTTTAGTAGAGATAGGGTTTCTCCATGTTGGTCAGGCTGGTCTCGAACTCCCGACCTCAGGTGATCTGCCCACCCTGGCCTCCCAAAGTGCTAGGATTACAGGTGTGAGCCACCATGCCCGGCCCTAATTTTTCATTAGTTTTTGTATCACCAGTGTCTCACTGTGCTGCCCAAGCTGGTCTCAGACTCCTGGGCTCAAGTAATCTGCCTGCCTCAGCCTCCCAAAGTGCTGGAATTGCAGGCATGACCCACTGTGTCTGACCAGGAAAAAGGTTTTTCAGTAAGAGGTGTTCGTCATGGTAGGACAGATGTACTTAGCTTTTCCACATATATCTTGTAAAGATGAAGTAGGGGACACACTTAGAAAACTGGGAGAACTGATGAAAAGTACCCAGTTCTGGCTTCAGGCTCTGATTCTTCCTCTAGTGAGTTTTGAGAGGGAGCTTGTTTACTGATGCATTCCCAGATTCACACTGATGCTGTTCTCCTAGGGTTCAGTCTCTACGGAAAAAGTCTGGAAACTGGTGTGTGGTCAAGGACTATTGGAACAAGTCCTTGGCCATTTGTAGGGAAGCATATTAGCTTGTTACTTGGGATTTTTTCTTCAAGAATTCGATAAGAAGGAGCATCATTCTGGAAGCTAGTTCTTAACAGACATCATTTTCCAGTAGTGTAACAAACACATGATGCATGATAGAACTTAATGTTCAGTTCAAACCCAACTCAACCCAACTCAAATCAGCACAAATAAATTATGTTTTTCTTCCCTTTGTGTAGGGAAAGGCATTTTTCTAGAACTTTATTTAAAAATACAGGATCTTCAAAAAATCTGTTAAAAATTTGTAGTGGAGACCCATTCCTTCTCCAACACCCAGCTAAAATGTAACCTCTGTGTGCTTTTTCTGACCTATATTATCTTTTCTGTGGTTCTGTTGTACTTTATACACATCTCTATTACAGCATTTTTCACATGGTGTGGTAATTCCTCCCTCCCTCTCTCTCCCATCAATTTTAATCTCATGGAAAGAACATCTTTGTATACCCAACTCCTAGTCCAGTGTCCAGCATAAAATAGATGATCTTATGTATTTTTCAGTAAATGAATGAGTGACTGATGGATAAATTCTCCAGTTTTGTATATAGATGTAGTCAAACCCCCAAACATTCAAAAGGAATTCATAAAATAAAACACCTCTAGGGCCATCTCATTTAGACTTTGATAGCAGGCCCAAATGAATTATTTCCCTCTATCTATTATCACCATTCCTCCTCTGAAAACTTATAACATGGAATCAGAAGACCCTGCTTACCATTTTTCCAATCATCATTACATACGGGCCCAAATACTTGTTCACGCCGAAGATGTCTAGGAGACGGATATACCAGTAAATGATGTTCACGCAGTAGATGACCCTCCCGTCACTCCTGAAGGGCTGGTCTTGGAGACGAAGGATCATTCCGACAGAAAACAGAAGGATGGCGATGAGGTCCGTGACATTCCAGTACTCCTGCAGCCATACCTTCACTTTCTGTAGCAACTTCCCTGGCTCTGACATCAGAATCTATAAGGCAGGAAGGAGAGCAGAGTTAGGTCTGGTTTCTGTCTGTATTTTCAGCCCAGTTGGGAAGTGCTTGGTCTGTTGGCTGATGTTAGTAGCTTGCTTTGTCTACCTATATCTACTTAAATACTTGCATGCTGTAAAAGTCCGACTGAGCTAAGCTTAGGTGATTATTCAGCTGCAATATTCCAAAGGCACATATAAGCAATAATTTTGATTCTTTGGGTGGTGGTAAAATTCTAAGACACACATAAGAGTTTTGCTATAAAATGATTCAATCCTAGTATGCTGCAAATCTCTGAAGTCTTCCTTCATCTCAGTAAACAGTGCCACCATATTGAGTTCCTCAGGCTGTTCACTTGGGAAGACTCCTCCATTTTTCTCTTTCACATCCCACATCCTCTGCACCAAGTCCTATCACCTCTATTTCTAAATGCAACCTAGCCAACTACTTCTCACCACCTCCACTGCTGCCTCCCTATTCTAAGCTCCATCACATCTTACAGATTGCAGCAGCCTTCTAACTGGTATCCCCATCATCGTCATTGCCCACTTACCCTCAACCCATTCTCTGAGCAGCACAAATAATGATCTTTAAAAGCCTGGATCTTTAAAGATCTGGCTGGCAATTACCAGGTTATATGCATAGGTAAAAACTCTTCAAGCTGCACCCTTAGGAGTTGTTCAATTATAGATAAATTATACCTCAATTAAAAAAAAGACTTAGGAGACAAATGAACAACAACAACAACAGAAACTAAAGCAAATGATCATAATTGTATGCTTAAGCTTTCTGATGACTTCCATTACAAATAGTGAAAAATCCAAACTCCTTATGGTCGCCTCATTTCACGTCCCATCATATTCTCCTTTATTCTCTACCCTGCAGCCATACTGGTCATCTCTTAAGCATAACAAGTTTATTCGATATTCAGGATGCTTGTACTTATTCCTTCTGTTCAGCACTTTCTTCTCCCAGATCTGTATTTGGCTCCTCTTCATCTTCAAGGTCTCTGATCAAATGTCCCCTTTTTAGGAAGGCCTTTTTTGATTACTTTAGCTGCAGCTGACTTCATGTCCCCAAGTCACTCTCCAATACATTACCCTATTTATTTTTTTGAAGTTTTTATCACTATATGAAGTTATCTACTGTAGCTTTTATATGTATGTGTGTATGAGTATGTGTGTCTGCCTATCAATCAATTGATCAATCATCTATTTATTCATCTGTCCATCCATTCTTCTCTCTTTCCTAGACTGAAACTCTGAGGGCAGACCCTTTGTACCCCAGGCCTGTTACATAATAGAAACTCAATACATATTTGTCAACAGACTGACTGTTGTGTAGGCACTAACAGCAATTTTCCAGTTCCTTGCATATCCTAACTCCTTTGTGGGACTCTTGCCTTACCTTAAACTTAGAGGGGCTACCACACATGGGTCTATGAAATGCACAGCTGGACAGCAGAAGTTGCACCCATCCTGCATCACAGACCACCCCAGGATGTGAGAAGCCAGGGAATGCCACTTAGTGAAGCTGTGCACCAGGGCCACCTTCCTCAATTGCTGGTGTTTACCTCTGAGGATTCCATCTCTTCAAACCATGACCAACCCCTTTCCCCACCTCAGAACCTCTCAAAGGAGAGGAGAGAAAAGACTGGAGGCAGGTCTATATCCAGCTATTTGTGTGAATCCTCATGTCCACTATAATGATTTACCTAATTCTGAAATACTAAGGAAGACAGGTTTTCGTAAGTCAGGGCTGGGACTTGGAAGCTGAGCAGGGTACCAGGAGCTACCCAAGAGCCCTATTTTTCACAGGCAGTGTCCTGCCCTAAGCCCTAGCCCAGGGTTTCTAAACTTCAGTGCACATCAGAATCAGCTGGAAGGCTGGGTAAAATATAGATGCTGGGCCCTCAGTCTGGAGTTTCTGCTTCAGGAGGCTGGGGGTGGGGTGGAGGATTTACATGTGTAACAAGTTCCCAGCTCCTGCTGGTGGCCACAGTTTGAGAACCACTGCCCTAGTCATCAGCAATCTCTGCAGCTGGTGTTGTCCTGATGGCTTCTCACTCCCTGGCTGCATCTTAACAGAGCAAAAATCCGTGTATGTAGCTGGGAGAGGGGGTTGATGGGCAATGCCTTGAGCTTTTCCAACCCTTTGCTCACACTTTCCTAAAACTGCTAAACACAGAGGTTTGTAGTATCATTTTTAAATAGTGAAGCATTTTTTGGTAAAGTCCCAACATTAAAAAAGAGATGAGAGCAGAACAGTCCGGGGTGAGGCAGAAGTGGAAAGTCAAGAATCCCCCCTGCCTCCTCCACCTCTCGAACCAGCCCTCAGGCACCTGTCTTAGAACCCTGGGAGCCTGAGGAGCATCGTGGGGGAGTAGAAAGAGCAGTGAGTCTAGGGACGGATCTGTCAGGTTGCATACTCAGTTGTCCTTTCTAGCTGTGGGATACGGGGAAATTGCTAAAACCCTGAGTCTCAGTTCCCAGACCTGTGCAGTGGGACGTCATCATAGTCACGCCATCGACCTCACAGAGTTGTCGGCGGGGGTAGGATCCAGATGAGATAACGTCTACCCACGCATGCTGTAAACAGTGCCATGCTATTAAGGGATTACCGGGGCTTGCTTTGGTGACTCCGGGCAGAAGTATGTGGGGCTGGGAATGGGGGTATCATGGGAAACCACAAAGCCTTCCTTTTGTGTATCCCTGGGAAGGCACCAAAGCATGCAAACTTTTCCACATTTCCAGGATCTTGCGTCTGAGCCCTGGAGGTCCTGCGTGCTGACTGTGAAGAGGCAGGAAGGGCATGGCCTGTGGGGTCCTCACCCTTTGGTCGTCAAGCAACTCTTCAGTGAGTTCAGGGCAGGACACAGGGGTTGGGGCGCCGCCTCACTGAGCCGCAGAGGAAAAGGTCAGACTCGGAGGTGGTCACCGCCTCACTCCCCACGGGAAGCGGGAATCTTCAGTTGACCCCTTCCTGACTCCAGCCTCCAAAGCCCTGCCCTCCCTGCTATTCTATGCCTCTTCAGGAGAAATGGATATCCAGGCCTCGAGGCTCCTGGCAGCCTGCCCGTTTGGCAGCCTCTGCCAGAACAGTCCGTGGAGTACAGACTGCTCCCTGTCTTCTCCCAGTCTGGTCCCTGGAGAGACTCCAATCTCCCTGCTCGAGTCCTTCCCTTTTCTGCTTATCATGGGGAAGGAATATGCGTCTAGGCGTTAAATCGCTCGAGTGCCAGCTGGCACAGCACAGCCACAGGGCCCCAGCAGGAGCGGGCCTCAGTTCTCAGAGAGCTGCACAAAGACCAAAGCAAATTTATTACTGTTTTTCAGTTTACAAATGGGAAATCCACAACATTGGTCAAGAAGAAAAGGCACCATGAATGGGAAGACCGAAGTGCAGACAACCAGCTGGAACAAGGCAAGGCATTCCTTTTTTTTTTTTTTTTTTAAATCCAGGCTCTTGTAAAATGAGACTAGCAGAGCCATTCCCAAGTTCTCAGGATGGGGAGATGGTAGTCAGAGTTAAAATATCACCCAAATAGTTTAAAAACTCAAGAGAAGGGCTTAAGAGATAAGACATTTTTTATGATCCCAATACAACTGCATCTAACAGATACTGCATCTTTTCTCTGGAAGAGAACATTATAGAGCTGAAACCCTTGCCTTTTAACCTGTCTTTGTAATGAAGGCAAGAATGAAGTTGTGGATTTGTAGGAGTCCTTTTTTCCTATGGTGCCCAGTATGTTTTCCCACCCACTGCAGTACAGCAATTAGGGTTGTTCTTGAGCTCTTAAAGACCCAGTGGACTTGAACGGGAGCATTTCTTCCAGAAAGGGCCTGTCCTGCTTACTGTCATTTCAGGAAAAATGCAGAGAAATCAGCACTACCTCCTAAGCCTGCCTTCCTAATGGCTTTCCCTGATGAAATAGGAGCTTGTGGTGAACATTGAGTGGGGCTGCAGAGCCCTCTTGTGGATTTTCGCTTAATCACATTCTTTTTAGCAGCTCTGAATCTGATGGGCCCCTGAGGTTAGCTCTGATTTCAAATAAACCATTTAGGGGTGGCATTTTGAAGGCTCCTTTTAGGCCATAGAAGTGGGGGGAGAAAAGAGGGACCCTGCACTCACAACCTGAAGGATCTGTGTTCAGTTCACCTTGGTGGTCCCTCCTGCTGGCAGAGTGGTTGGTGCCCAGCAGGTACGAGCAGAATGTTAAGAAATAAACCAGAGAATAAATCCAATCAGTGAGTGAAAGCAGAGTTCCTCCTAAAGCAGCCGAAATACATCCAGAGAGTCACAGGTATTGGCAGACTGTGTCCGAAGACACCCAGAATAAGGGGGAGAAATGGGAGTTAAAAGTGGCAAAATCTAGAAAGTCATGTTTATAGGGATGAGGCATCAAAAACAACTAGAGGCCTTCTTGGGACAAAGGCTACGTTAGCAGAGAATAGACCAAATCCTAAGCACTCAGGGAGTTACACCCCTATAAGCACCACACTGTGAAGCCTCCCCAGGTTTGTCAGAGGAGCAAAGAAGCAGCTGTGGTAGAGTTAGAGAAAACAGTTTCCGGCTTAATTTGCATCCCAGGCATCTTCCTGTCCCCTCCATCCACAGATAGAACTTAACCACTGTCTTTCTCTTACGTTTTCTTTTATAAAAGCCGTTACCTCTCTCATCTTTTCTATTCCCAGGGTGAAAATATAGGAGATTACGATCCATTCCTGGGTGGACGGCCAGCGTTCCATCTTCACTAACACGATATAGTTGAAGAGCATCAGGTATCCGATATACGCCAGCTGTAAGGAGACACAATACAGTGCTCTGGCTGTTCAGGCCCAGGAGCCCCAGCATCAGCCAAGGCCACTGCACAGCAGCACAGAGCAGGGTCAGCAAGCAGGACACAGACTTTATGACAAAAGGAACTTGAAGGTGCTAAACTAACAAAAGAATTAGAAAAGACAGTAATACTTGAAGGATTATAATATGCAATCTTCCTTTTGACCTGTACATGTATCTCTGGGGCTCTGGTGCTTCGTTTAAATCTATGTGTCATGATGCATCATTTCGCCTTGCAGTTACCCATTTTTGTGTGTTTTCTTGGCTAAAAAGGGAGCCTTGGCTGTCAGTGGCGGCTCTTGCTCAGGCGTGGACCTTAGGTTCTTAAACTAGGGCAGCACAGTGGATTTTTGCCTCACGAATGCCAGGCAGAATAAGTGTCTGTGAGAAGCAAAGGAAGAGGAAGACACATGTAACACCTGTAAATTGGTCAAACCAACATAAAAATAGCCCAGGCTTAAAGTGCTTCGCTTGTCAGTGCCCTGGGAGGGTCTTACCTGTTTTCATTTCACCACTTTCCTGTCCTAATCAAGTTAAGATAAGATATTCCTTCCTGGTGTCTGCTTCATTGAAACAACACAAGAAAAGACAACACAGTTTACAGAAAGGAAAGGGTCCGTGTGGCCTTTTGTGGACGGGTGTGGGGTTTAATCCCCAAGAGGCTCTGGCTCGTGGGGTTGAATCCTGATGTGACTGGCTGAATTGCTGGATGTCTGGGAAGAACTCCCTAGGGTTTGGTGACTGCTCCTGGAAGATTCAGTTGTGTCAAGGTGAGTGAAGTGCAGGGAAACTGGTGGCTCTTGCATAAGGGGCTGAGGAGCCTTGAGAGAAGACTCACTCACCTTAAGGGAAATGGCAGACTAGCTGGGCCTTCCTTACACAATGCCTCAAGTCAAGTGAGGTACTCACTGGCCTTAGGGGCCTCAGGGGCTGTGAGCAGGAACCAAGAGGGAGTTTATTAACTAAAATCTGCTGCACTCTTCAGAGTGGTGTAGCAAAGAATAGACACAGTGTGGGTGAAAGGATTGAGGCCTTGAGGGGTCTGGAGGTACTGCATGACTTTGTAGCTGGGAAGGCAGCTTAGAAGGTGGAGGAAGCTGCAGCCTTGCTGGGGGATATGCTGCTTTCTCTACTAATTCTCTTATGTTTTGGGACAGGGTCTCACTCTCGTCACCCAGGCTGGAGTGCAGTGGCATTGTGATCTCGGCTCATTGTAGCATTGACTTCCTGGGCTCAGGTAATTCTCCTACTTCAGCCTCCTGGGTAGCTGGGATAACAGGCACGTGCCACCACACCCAGCTAAGTTTTTGTATTTTTAGTGGAGACAGCATCTCACTTTGTTGGCCAGGCTGATCTCAAACTCCTGGGCTCAAGAGATCCTCCTATCTATCTTGGCCTCCCAAAATGCTGGGATTATAGGCATGAGCCACCATGCTCAGCTGAATGGATTCTTCTTTTTTTTTGGAGACTGAGTCTCACTCTATTGCCCAGGCTGGAGTGCAGTGGTGCGATCTCGGCTTTCTGCAAACCTCTTCCTGGGTTCAAGCGATTCTCGTGCCTCAGCCTCCGGAGTAGCTGGGATTACAGGCACCCATTACCACGTCTGGCTAATTTTTGTATTTTTAGTAGAGACTGAGGTTTCATCATGTTGGCCAGGCTGGTCTTGAATTCCTGACCTCAAGTGATCTGCCCGCCTCGGCCTCCTAAAGTGCTGGGATTACAGGTGTGAGCCACTGCGCCTCGCCTAAATAGAGTCTTAATATGACTCCAAGGTATCTCTGAGACCCCATCACACTGACACATTTGCAGACACAACTGTTGCACAAAAGTCCCTCATCTCTTAAAGGGTGAAGTATGTCGGAGTTAAATAAGATCACTTATGAGAGCTGGATATCTGGGCTCACTCTCTACATGCATGGTTTGTGCTGGCACACCCCCACCCCCACCCCCAGGGGCCTATCATTTCAACCTATGCCTAAGTTCCTACCCCTCCCCATCTTCAGGAGCATTGGCAAATCATGAAAACTTCTCATGAAGGAGTTTACTTAAAATTGTGTAGGACGCTGTTTAAAAATCAGTTCAAAATGGAACTTGGTTCATATGGTTTCCGTTTACCATTATTATACACTGGCATTAATTCTGTAGTCCTGTGAGTACAGACTGCAAAAAACAAAAAAAGGACTTTAGTGGTTAAAACTCTAAAATATACTCTCAGCCTCCTTCTGACTTGAACTCTTTCCCTCTCCTTGTTGCTTCCTTCTCTTAGTTGGGTCAAATTCCATCACTTGTAGGTGAAATGAATATTGTTAACTGCCCTGGTTTTATCATTTTGCCCAAATGATTGCAAAACATTCCAAAGCATTATCTTCTCTTGTCATATGTAGGCCTAGTGACATGCACATTCTTCCAGAACCTCTGCATTTTAATACTTAAGTAACTCCTTAAACCTATTTTAATGCTTAAGTAACTCCTTGAACCTACATCTGTCCTCTGAATACAAGTCTAATGTGTTCAGTGGAAGGAAGGTAGGCATAGATATCAGTGAAGCTTGGATTTAAATCTCAGCTCACATACTTCCTAGCTGTATCACCTTTTGTAATGTTAACCTGCCTGGGCCTCCATTCTGTAACATGGGATCACTTCCACTTTCCTTATAGGGCCTTTATAATGACTGGGGATCTATATATCTATCTATCTGTCTGTCTGTATCTCCCAACACACTGTAGAGGCCCAATAAATGCTGGCTGATATTATTCTGTTATTCTTTTTGTCTCCTCTTCCCTTAGTCCTTACTTCCCTTTGATCCCCAATTAACTGTTCACACCTCTCTTCTTTTTTTTTAAATTGCCCTCATTATTGGTTATGTTTCCTCCACTTTCATCATTTTTAGCCCCTGCCTGTTTTTTACATCACAGTTATTCTATAATGAACTTTTCCCATAGTCAAGCTATAATATAATATTTTGGGACAACTCTCAAAATACAGACTTCTGAAAATAGGGTCTTATGTTTAGATGGCATAACAGAGGACTGGCTGCTGTCCTGGAAGCAGCCTATCATAGAACTCACCAACATTCATGCAGCCTTGCTGTAGATTATCTTGACATGACATGCTTTAATTGTGTGTGTGTGTGTGTGTGTGTATATATATATATATATGTATACTCTGTAAGGTTTAGCAACCTGTATGTAGAATTTCCAAGCTTTTGAACCTGTGAGTCTTATTTAAGTAAGTCAGTAGGAGAACTCTAAGAATTTGTATTTTATTAACATATATTCTTTCTATGCATTTTCCATTAACTAAGATTCATGCTTCTTAAACTAACTATCAAACACAAGCACTAAAGCCTGACACAGTTTGCTATGGATCCCTGGTGGGGCTTTGCTCTTCCTCACTTCTTCCTGGGCCTTTTTCTACTACCTCTGGAGAGCAGAGGGGCACATGGTCTTGTAGAGGATAGAGTTGGTCACTACTAGAGAAACTCAGAGCACACACTGTGTCCTCTGACCTGCAGCCACTTCACACCTTGAATTTGAATCCTCTCCAGATGGATACCTGAAATAGGCTCTCAAAACAAGCAGGGTCTAGGAGCCAGTTGGACCCCTGCCTCCTTTCTTCTTGGACCAGAAGAGGACCCAATCTGCTCCTAGAGAAACTTGCTACGATGCAGAAGTGAGGTTATATGGAAATGAAGTGTGTCCTACCTTTCAGAAACTTGGGAGAGTAGGAGAGACCATTTTTGAAAATCTGGTGAGAAATACTCTTACAGAGAAAAACACAGCCCAAAGCACATGGGACCTTCAATCTGAAATTGAATTGTACTGTTAAGCATGTCTGGTGATTCAAAAGACTGGCATACCTTATTTCCAGTCACTTCCTCGAGGCCTGGGCTTTGTCAATATGTGAAGATGAATTTTGGAGAATCATGTAAACACAATTGAACAGATCTGGGGGATCCAGTCTGATGGGTTTGCTGAGGCCAATCCAGTCAGCCACGCAGAAGTGTGCTGGACACACAGGCCCCACCACCCCCCGCCAAAGAGGCAGCCTCCCAACAAGCTGCCAATGACATAAGCAAAGCAGCGTGTCTCAAGTGTCTCCAATCATAAGATTCGCCTGGGAAGCTGGTTAAACTAACACAGCCTCTTAGGCTCCTTCCTGAAGACTGGATTCCATGGGTCTATGATGGGGCTAGAAATTTGCATTTCTAACAAAACTCCCTTGTCATCATGGACGTTTTAGAGATATTGATACTATTATTTCTACTGATTTCTGCTCTCGGGAGTCTGTAAACTTTTTCTGCAAATGGCCAACTGGTTAACTTTTAAGGCTTTGTAGAACCGATAGTCTCTCTCTGTCTCTCACTACTCATCAACTTGATGTGGTAGCACAAAAGCAGTCAGTCAGCCTATTGCTAATGGTAAATGAGATTTAGCCTAAAGCTGCCTCCTTAAGTTCGGCCTGAAGTTTTCTCTGTACATTGTGAACTATAACAAATGAAGGTGTAACAAGACCAATCACCGAGTTTCGGTCAATCAAATGTAGCCAACTGCTCAAACTGTGTTCAAATAAGGCAAACGCTGAGCTGTAACCAATCCAGCTGTTTCTGTACCTCACTTCCGTTTTCTGTATGCCACTTCCCTTTTTCTGTCCATAAATCTTCCACCACGTGGCCCTGCCAGAGTCTCTGAGCCTACTCTGGCTTGGAAGACTGCCCAATTCACGAATCGTTCATTTGCTCAATTAAACTCCTTTAAATTTATTCGGCTCAAGTTTTTCTTTTAACAGAAATCAAGAGTCTGCCTGTGTTCCAATTATTTATGGACACTAAAATTTGAATATGTGTTTCAAGTATTCCTTTTCAAATTTTATTAAAAATGTAAAAACCATTCTCAGTTCGCAGGCCACAATCACAGGCCATGGGTTGAATTTGGCTCAAAAGCTGTAGTTTGCCAAGCCCTGTTCTAAGCTAACAGTTGGGGAATCATAATATAAAAGGAAGGACAGACCTGGGTGTGAAATAGCTGCAAAAATATTATCTCGGGCTGGGCGCAGTGGTTATTGCCTGTAATCCCAGCACTTTGGTAGGCTGAGGCAGGCCCATAGCTTGAGGCCAGCAGTTCAAGACCAGCCTGGCCAACGTGGCAAAACCCCATCTCTACTAAAAATACAAAAATTAATTAGCCAGGTGTGGTGGTGAACACCTGTAATCCCAGCTACTCGGGAGGCTGAGACATGAGACTCACTTGAATCCAGGAGATGGAGGTTGCAGTGAGCCAAGATTGTACCACTGCACTCCAGCCTAGGTGACAGAGTAAGAGTTTGTCTCCTAAATAAATAAATATTATCTTGATAAAATAGTTGTTAGGATTACAAAGAGTACTTAAATAATAGTACCTAGAACATTGCCTCAAACTTAGTAGGTGCTCAATAAAAGAAAGATATTATTTTTGTTGAGTGGATGTATGAACACAACACTGATTATCTATTGCTGGGCAACGTGAATAGCCTAGAAGAAACAATAGTCACAGTTACATTGTACTTATATGTCAAGGAACTGTTCTAAGTGCTTTACATGTTTTAACACATTTAATCTTGATTAAATCCTATAAAATCGGAACTACTATTATTGGCATCTTAAGAAAACTGTGGACAGAAGGGGAAATTAAGTTGTTTGAGGGCACATGGTAAGAGGTGCAGATGGGATTCCCACCCAGGCTGTCTGATTCCAAAGTCCATGCTTGTCACCACTAAGCTGTTTTCTGCAAGGTTAAAAATAATATAGAGCTGTATAAAATATATGAATAGAAACGATTTTTGCATGCCTCAGTTATTTTTGGGGGGAGAGAATTTTTCTCTTTTCCTAACATTGATAAATTTGAATTTTTACCTCACTGAAAACATCTAATATTTACATTTCGATAATATCCTATCTTTTCTCAAGACCACACTTTAAAGTGGTAGTTTCCGAATGGTGGCAATTTTATCCCACAAGGGAACATTTAGCAATGTCTGGAGACATTTTGATTGTCATACTTGGGGGATGAAGAGTTGCCACTGAGTAGAGGCCAGGGATGCTGTAAAACATGCTACCTGTTGGGGACAGCCCCCCACAATGAAGAATTATCCTGCCCTAAATGTCAATAGCACTGAAGTAGAGAAACCCAGCTTTAAAGTCAATGTTAAGTGTTAGCACACAGGACCACGTGAAAAGCACCTCATCTGGTCATTTGAGTCATTTTGGCCTCAGATTCAGATTATCCTGTTGCTGACTCAAATGACTGCTACGCAGCTGGTTGTGGAAAGGGCTAAAAATACAGATGCACTATCCTTCATCTGGCACAGTTCCACCGTGGCTGGAAAGAATTGGAGATGACCTGGGCCAAAAGCTCATCTTAAAAAAAAAAAAAATCACTGAACAGTAGAAGTAGAGAACCAATAATTGAACAATTTCTACCATATCAGGAGGTCGTCATTTCAGGGACAATCCACTCTTTTGTAGGCAGAAATATTTACAGGATGTGCAAACTAAACAATATTTGCCTTTGAGTAGTTTTTGCTGCTGTGGTTTGCATATTGTTAATTGTGTTGGAACAAGAAGGGTTGTTTGATGACACTAGCAGACTGTGAGTAGTTACACATGCACACACACGCATGCATACACACACTACCTTCTTTAGTGGTGTTACCTCCACACTCTCCTCACTCCTTACCCACCAAAAGTACCCCCAAATCCGGGACTGACATCTAAAATGGGCAACTGTGATCTAGCCCTTATCCATTCAAAACAAGGAAGTATTTCGGAAAAGAACATCTACTTTCCTGTTAGGCAAGACTCATACTCATCTCACCTCTATTACTGTTAGTTCTCACCTCCACCATTTCCTTTATTTTCTGAGAGGAGGCAAAATGTGGCCTGTGAAAGCTGCCTAACAAACGCCACAAATCTTGCAGAGCTATTGAAAAAGCAAGGTCACAGAACTTTCACTCCTGTGTGTGGCACTTACGACTTGCAGAGAAAACCACACAGATGCATGAGAAATGGACGTTGGCTCCTTGTGGCCATCCACTAGGAAGGAGAAAAGGAAATGTGCTTACTGTGTAGAACCAGAACTTCACGATGGGTGCATTGTAGAATTCATAGATTTTTCTGCCGAGGGGGATTAACCGGTGCTTGCTCTGAACTTCCTCTTCATCCTTCTTCCTGGAGGACTCCCCGTTGTTTCGTCCCAACATTGCCTATGTTGGAAGAGAATCGATACCATCATGACAGGGCTCTGGAGAGCATGTTGTTCAATGTGCTTACTTTACAGATGAGGAAAGGATGCTCATAGAACCTAAGAACCCAAGGCCCCAGAGATTTAGAGGTTGTACCTTCCCTAAGAGTGCATTTGCACTACACGTATAATCTGTGAATACCCTTTGCCTGAGATGGAAGGCCTTGGGTGTATTTCTTGACCATTCTCTTCTCTTCCACCCTGGGAATTCTAGAAGATGTGGGTTATAGATGATACCCAGAGTCCAGAGAGGAAGAAACAGTGTAGCCTGGGAAGGCCAGGCTTCAGGAATCTATTCTTCCTCCCCACCTGCTCTCTTTCTATATATCATGAAACAGGCTAGATCTGGGTTCAAATTCTGTCTCTTCAGATGATAATGACCCTTAAAGGTAAATTGGACCAGCATACCTAATTTATCCAAAGGTTGTGAATACTCAAGAGGTAAATTATCTGCTGTGCCTGCAATTAGTTAGGTTAGTGATATGGTTTGGCTCTGTGTCCCCACCCAAATCTCATCTTGAATTGTAATCCCCACATGTCAAGGGAGGGACCTGGTGAGAGGTGATTGATTGGATCATGGGGGCAGTTTCCCCCATGCTGTTCTCGTGATAGTGAGTTCTCATGAGAACTGATGGTTTTAAAGTGTGGCACTTCCTCGGTCTGTCACTCTCTCTCTCCTGCCACCATATAAGACATGCCTTGCTTCCCCTTTGCCTTCCACCATGATTGTGAGTTTCCCAAGGTCTCTTCAGCCATGCAGAACTGTGAGTCAATTAAACCTCTTTGGTTTATAAATTACCCAGTCTCAGGTGGTATCTTTATGGCCATGTGAAAACGGGACTAAAACAGTTAGCGACTTCTCCCTGACCCTTAGGCATGTGCCTTGGTTCCCTAATTTTAAACACTGTAAATCCTGAATTACTGCTGGTACTAGTTTTATGGAAGTTCCTGTGAACACTGCCTTCCTCTGCAACTACGTGGGACTAGGAGAAGGATTCCATTCAGGCCTGACCTGGAGAGGTCCTCATCTCCAAGCTGCTGGAAATTTCCTTGAGAACAGAATCATTTCCTTTTCATTCATGACAACAGTAGCAGTGACAACTATAATGACTTAACTGAGAAAGAGTTCCAGGCCCTGGGTCACTCAGACGGGAGACTGAATCCTAACTCAGACACTTCAAATTGGTGGCACCATGGGAAAGGTTTTTAACCACTCTGAGACTTAGTTTCTTTAACTGTAAAATGAGGGTAATAAAGTACTCACTATAGGGTTGGCCTACAAGTCAGGTAGCATCTGGCACTTAGTAAGTGCTCAGTAAACACTAGCTAGGCTTTAAAGTGAACTGAGACCTTCTTAGACACTCCTGACTAAAATGATCTAGTTGAGATCACTCACTCACTAGAACAAAAAAGTGTTATTAGAATCTATAACAGCATAATTTCTTGACTTTAATTCTTCAGTACTGTTCTAACACAAAGCTAGTTTCACAAAGTTTGGAGATTTTTATTACATGTGAAGACAGGGTAAGACTTTATAACTTCAGGACTGACAAGGATTTGGGGCAAGACAGAGTACTGGGAAACAAGCTTAAAGTTGAGAGAGCTCATTATAGAAACAATGCATTAGTTTTGAAGTTGAGAATAGAGACAATCCTAGATAATTCTGGCTTAAAACCACTTTACCTAAAGTATACAAATATTAGTTTCAACTACTTGGTTCATTACCTCAAATATCCACTTTACTCAACTATGTAATAATCACAAATGATTGACCTGTAACCAATAGGATTTCTGGAGAAGGTAACTTCCATTCCTTTGTGGACTCCGGCTGGAAAAGTCCCTTGGGTTAATAAAGTTAGATTCCATACTAAGACTTATTGAAGTGTGTATTTTCATCATTGAGTGGAGTAAATCTTTCTGATGGACATGGCACACTAGACTGTGATAGAATTCTATAAATATTGATCATTGACCTCAAGAAACTGAGGTTACATGACATTTGGCTGTCTATAATTTATGTAACATAATTATCATGCCTCTGTTCTGCTTATTTATATGCTTGAGAATCTAATGCTATTTGCGGACACAATGAGATGAGAGTAAAGACAGCCAGAAGGTTTTTAGGCATCTTGGAGAGTGGCATTTTGGGGTAACTTCTGGGGATGGTGACTTTCCCAACAGAGCTATAGACATGTCCTGGGTCTGTGGACTTGTGGGGACTTTATTAGGCAAAGTGGAGACATTTAACCAGCACTGCATTCAAAACAAAAGCAAAAACCTGTTTTGCCTTTATTATTCAGATATATTCCAGCATGAATGCATTTGTAAAAGGCTTGTCTTTCACGGGTTTAAGTAAAGCATTTTTGACATTTCATTAATTCCAGCCTAAGCAGCTTAACTTGTGATTTTGTTTATGTCTTTTCTCTGTATTCAGACATTTCCTTTGACATTCCTTAAAGCAGAATCTAACAGGGTCAAATATAGACAAAACTGCACAGCATGATTTGAGAATCTATGCTGGCTAGACACAGATGTCAAGGCTGAGAAAGTTCTTTTGAGGTGAACTAAACTACTAAAAGCTACAAAAATGGAGTGAATTGAGGTTGATATTTTCGTGTGTCGTTTTGGAAGGGCCAAAGGAAAATGTCCCATTCCAAGAGAGGATATACTGGTTTAACACAGAAGCTCAAATATCAATCCCATAAAAGGAGGGGAAGTGCCAATGAGCTGCACTCTGCAGTTCTGTCCAAGTTCTGTCCACTGACCAGTGCCTGAGCAGTGACAGAATTTGCCATCAGAGTCAAGGGAAGGGTCCACTTTACAGACAACTGCTGTCCAGCCCTGAGTTTGCCAGGCCACATGTCCTTTCCTTCTTTCCTTCTCCCTGCTGTTTCTGCCTGTGGAGAAGAAGCTTGGGCAGCAAAGCTCTTGCAGAACCTTCTACTGGGCTCTTAGTAAACAACGTCAGGGTCTATTCTCTTGTTACTAAACTTTGCTCTTAGTCTAGAGATGCATCTCTTATGGTGGCTTCTTGAAGGATCAGGTTCTCAAAGCTCTAGGCTGAGCAGGGGAAGCTACCTCCCTTTGCTTTCTTCCTTGAGACCCAACCAGAGAGAATGCTGATTCAGTTTCTGGATGTCTTCCTAGGATGTGTGCTGATGTCAGGACTGTGCCACACTTGACTTTGGAGGCTCATTCATCACTTTTGGATTCTTTCTGCTACATGGTGGACCAAATCGGCTGAGTGGCCACACTTGAGACTAGAGAGACATTCTCTCTCACCCTTAACCTATTGTCTAAAAGTGTGGCTGATGGAGTCTATATGCCTGGGTTCTAATCTTAGCTTTGCCATGAACAGGCTGGGTATCCTTGAGCAATTTAACCTCTATGACTGTCAGCTTCCTCATTTGTAAAATGGGGATTAGGACTGGGTGTGGTGGCTCACACCTGTAATCCCAGCACTATGGGAGGCCAAGGCTAGAGGACTGCTTGAAACCAGGAGTTCAAGATTAGCCTGGGCAATCTCTTAAAAAAAAAAAAAAAAAAAGGCCAGGTGTTGTGGTGTGCACCTGCATTCCCAGCTACTTGGGAGGCTGAGGTGTGAGGATCCCTTGAGCCCAGAGGATCCCTTGAATCCCATTGAGGTTACAATGAGCTATAATCACACCATTTTACTCCAGCCTGGGTGACAGAGTGAGACCCTGTCTCTAAAAATAAATAAATAAATAAAATGGGGATAATAATAGTGCCTATCTTGTGGGACTTTTGTGAGGATTCCATTAGTAAGTATGTGTAAAGCACTTAGCACTGTTAAAACAGTATTAGTTCACAGTGTGCCAGTCTCCAATATAAGTAGTTTACAGGCACACTTTTTACACGAGACAACTACTTGTGAGGTAGACAACATTATTGTTCCTGTGTTTGAGGTTATAAAATTGTGCCCAAGGTCACACAGCAAGTAGGTAATGGGGCAGGATTCTGGCTACAGAGCACATGTTCAGCTGAAATATTCCATAAAGATTCAGTATTACTATTGCCAATTTTCTTCTAATGATCAAACTATTATATTCTATTCAGAGGACAAAACTATGGTGAGATTGTTAGGGAAGACAGTCGTCTGTTACAGAGCTGAGCCGACTCCTCCACAGATTTTTATACAAATCCTCAAACTGAAACAAAAGTTGGCCTTTCATTCAGTAAGTCAGGGATTATGTCTGCAAATAGATCTTTAGGAGAAGCCTACTGGAAGCAAATATTGTTTACCTGCAGGAGAAACAATTCACACTGCTGTCCTACTAGGATAATAATGCAAAGGCCTTTTGTCACCTGAGCAAAATTAATTTGTGATTTCACCCCTTATAGCTTCTGGGTCACTACAGCAATGGTCATTGGTGGGGGTGGTGAGGGAGGGTGAGGCATATTGAGAAAGTCCTTATGGAGCTGTTGCTTGATGACTTCCAAGCTATGAAGCCTTGTTTGTCCCTTTAACAGAATGTGATATTTTTAGCCTCTGCACATGAGCCAGTGGCAGTCACGCTGCTCAGGCGGGGGTTGCAAGAAGCTGTCCCATGTCCAGCTGCCCCCTTCCCTCTGCAGAACAAAGCCTCTATGCTCTATAATTATATGAGGAAGAGCTAATAAAAGCTTTGCATACAAACCTCAAAATTCAATTAGTGCTGTAATTGTGAGCCTGACCCTGAAGACAGATACAGGCTTAGCTTCTGATCCGCAGAACAGTACCAGTTCAGTGAAGCCGGCTGCTCTCAAATCATGGATTCCCTTTCCTTCTCTGTGTGCTGAGACAGACACATCATCTGGTTGTTTAAAAAGCTTTGCTTGTTTGGAAAATGTAGAGTGTCTTGCTTTAGAATTTCATTGGTTTGTCCTGCACCACTAGCTGGCTGCAAGACTTCACATATGGGTGGACCCTATGGTCATGCTATTTACACTTTTCCAATACCCTGGTCTCAATACTGAAATGAAAGCACTCCATGATTAAACCTGGTGGAAGGCTGGGAACAGATGTCTGA
Source organism: Homo sapiens (assembly GCF_000001405.40). Classification (NCBI taxonomy): domain Eukaryota; kingdom Metazoa; phylum Chordata; class Mammalia; order Primates; family Hominidae; genus Homo; species Homo sapiens. The sequence continues at coordinate 70,615,818 of NC_000009.12, forward strand.
CCTAAGGAGTTACTGAATCTTGAGCATATCGGTGGGACAAGTGGATTAGGAATTCTGCCCATAGAGAATAACTGTGCAATGTTTTCTTACTGTGAGCTCCATGTCCTCTTCCTCTTTTTCCTTTGTGGGCTTCTCTGGTTCTTCTGCCTCCTTCTCTTGGAGGTGGATTTCCTGGGCCTGAGACATATAGGGCATGTCGTCTTTGTTCTTGAACTCCAAGCTGAGAATTGAAGGAGGAAGTAGAATTCCCAGAATTACCTAAAGTAATAATAATGATAATAATAATAATCACATTTAAAGGATTAAGATTAGGGTGGTTGTTTAGAATCAGAGAGCCTGAGGTATGGGGTATAAGAGTGTATGCGTGTGTGTGTGTACACATGCACACACAGTTGTTATATGCTCTGTGGGGGACCTGGACATCTGAGTAACTAACATATTAACATATTAATACTAAGAGGATCATTTTGTCCCATCTAGGAAATATTTTGCACAGCTCAGTCTCATTTTTGGAGGAAAAAAGCATTTTGCCCAAATTTGTCTTACCCAATTAACACCCACTTTGCATGTGGGTAACAGAGGAAAGAGAGACTCTATTTAAGGCAAAAGTGGGAAAGAATTCAGATTTACATTTAGCCATTAGACAGCGCTTGATTTTGACTGTGAAATCAATTCATACATCTGTCCACTGGCATTTTTTTTTTTTTTGCTAATGTGTCAAGTGGAGTGGATTATGTGTTATCTGATTATCTCTGCAAAAAAAAAAAAAAATGCTGTCCTAAGTTGACCTTGAGAGAATACATGTAGGAAAGCATTTAATTCATTTTAGGGCATCTTCCTGGTATTTGCTACGAGAACAGCAGAAACACAAACACACATACACACACACACACCCCCCAGTGGGCTCCGTATGTGCTGAGAGAGTCCCCTTACACACAAGCCCCAGGAGAAGCCAGCGCTGTATTTCTCTCATGTATAAACATCACGCATAAATCTATGCAAGGACACTAAATACGGAAGCCTTTCTTCTGAGAGGGCGGTCTCATTCTTCAGAATGAACAAGTGTGTTTCTGCATGATAATACTGATGTCTGACTGTATTCCCCAAGTCCTCTCTCACCTCTTCTCTCAATCCTAAAACAATTCTGGGGCACAAGACTTCTGAAGATGAACCTCCTTAAAGAAACTGCTCCAAGATGAGGGGCTAAGACTCCTCTGAAGGGTCAGGAAAAATGATCCTGAAGTAATGAGGCAGGAACAGTCCTTGCTTGAATGCCCACAGGGACGCCAAAGTAGTTCAGGGAAAATGGCTGTGAATTCATGATGCTGAATTCTGGGTGCCTGGCCGGCCTACGAAGGCTCAGGTGGCATGCTGGCATCTTCAGGGGACATGACACCCTGTCCTCGGAGCTGAGAGCCAGCATGACTCCCTTCCTAAGGCCGGGCTTGGCGGTCACCAGCAGTGTGGCTATGGAGTGCCCATGACCCACATCACAGAACCTTTCTGTGACTCTAGGCCAAGAGCCCACAGGAAGAGTGGTATGGAGAAGGGGTATTGGTCCCATAAAATGGTGGGTGTCAGGGGCAGGGGTGAGGTTGGGGAGGGGAGGAAATGGGAAATGGGGCCATATAGGTCAAAGGGAACAAAGTTGCAGATATGTAGGATGAGTATGTACCATACAGATGTAATGTACAATACGAGGACTCTAGCTGAAATATTGTACTGTATACTGGAAATATGCTAAGAGAGTGGATTTTAGGTGCTCTTACACACACAGGGAAGGGTAATGAGGCAAGATGATGGATATGTTAATTTGCTTGACTAGAGTGACCATTTCACTATGTATATCAAAACATCATGTTGTGGCTGGGTGCCAGTGGTTCATGCCTGTAATCCCAGCACTTTGGGAGGCCAAAGCGGGTGGATCACTTGAGGTCAGGAGTTCAAGACCAGGCTGACCAACATGATGAAACCCCGTCTGTACTAGAAATACAAAAATTAGCCAGGCATGGTGGCTTGTGCCTATAATCCCAGCTACTCGGGAGGCTGAGGTAGGAGAATCGCTTGAACCTGGGAGGTGGACGTTGCAGTGAGCCAAGATCACACCACTGCACTCCAGCCTGGGTGACAGAGCAAGACCTTGTCTCAAAAACAAAACAAAACAAAACAAAAACCAAAAAACTCTCAAAAAACCCATCTTGTTGTATACCTTAAATTAAAACAAACAAAAAACTCCCCATATTCTTTCAGTCTTCCATCTCCCATTTTTTTCTGTCTTTCTTTTCCTTTTTCAGTTTCACATTTTCCTTGAAAAACACTGAAAAGAACATAAAAAAAGCAAACGCTATACACCATCCTATTTCCCTTAAAAACAGTAACATCTCTTTCACAGTCCATTCAACCTCAAAGGTAACCACTGCGGACAATTTACTATGTGTCCTTCCTGATTTTTATAGGATAATTTATACAGACATAACTATACATAGACACATTAAAAATGGCCTCAGATTATATACAGTGGTCTGTGACTTGTTTTTCTTCATTTAAGAATAGATTAGGATTATCTAGCAATGGCTTTCCAAGTAGATCTATCTCAGTTTTATCTTAGTTTAAAAAGACCTCTCAAGCACATCTGGTAAGAGCCAATGTCTCTATGACATGATGCCAAGGAGGGCCAGGGGTTCAGGCACCCTCTGCAGCGACAAGGTGGCCTAGGTGGGGACTCCTGGTGCAGCTGGCTTTGCTTGTGCAAATGGCAGCCCCTGCAGTACCTGTGCGTGGCCATCCCCTTTGACTCCTCCGAAAAATATTAATGTCCAGGCATCCTCCATAGAGATGCTAATGCAGCAGGACCCAGGGGGAGGCCCCAGCCTCTATATGGAATAAACAAAACCAAGCAACACTCTACAGGATTCTGAGGCACAGTCAGGATTTAGAACCTCCCTCCTGAGATAAGAGGATGCCCAATTCCATGGCAGATTTTGGCTGGGAAAACTCTAACCCACCCGCCGGTCCTCATAGCCAGGAGGGCCTTATTGGGCGCCCTGACCTTGAGGCCTGAGTTCTTGCGCATGCGGAGCCGGCCCATCCACATGTCGGTGAGCAGCATCTGGCTGCACGTGTGCGCGATGAAGTCGCGGTGTTTGGCAGCCACGGCAAGCTGCAGGCACGTGGCGTTGCTCCAGTTCTTCAGCTCATACGTCAGCAGTTTCATGGCCAGCTGTTCGTCCTGCTTGTAGGACTGGTCCAGGAGCTCCACAGCCAGCTGGCCAAAGTCTCTGAAAGACAGAATGGGTGGAAGAGTCCTTCAGGTCAGCTTGGAGACTTATAAGGTAAAAGTGGACCTGCTGGCCAACCAGAAAATGGGGTCACTGGATGATGTAGGTGTTTCATATGGGGTCTAGTCTGTTTGTAAATTCATCCAGCCAACATCCACTAAGCATCTACTATGTGCCGGATACCATGTATAGAACTGGGGGTATAAGTCAAACAATACATGATCTCTGTACTCAGGCCCTCAGATTCAGTCATATGAGTGTAGGAGGTGGAGCAAGCAATCAATAGAGTACAGTATGTCATCGTCGTCTTCTTTTTTTTTTTTTTTTTTTTTTTTTGAGACAGGGTCTCTCTCTGTTTCCCAGGCTGTAGTGCAGTGGAATGATCATGGCTCACTGCAGCCTTGACCCCCTGGGCTCAAGAGATCCTCCCACCTTAGCTTCCTGAGCAGCTAGGACTACAGGCGTGCACCATCACACCCAGCTAATTTTTAATTTTTTTTTTGGAGATGGGGTCTTGCTATGTTGCCCAGGCTGGTCTTAAACTTCTGGGCTCAAACGATCCACACACCTCAGCCTCCCAAAGTGCTGGGATTACAGGCACGAGTCACTGCACCAGGCAGTATGTCCTGTTAAATGTGTCAAACTTCAGTTCAAATTCCAGCCTTGCCACCACAAATGTGTGATCTTGGACAGGTTACTTAAATTCTCTGAGCCCCATTTTTCCTAGCTGAAAGAAGTGCATAACTACGGGGCCTACCTCATGGGGAAGTTGACAGGATGAAATGTTCCATGTTTCTGTAGGTACCACCATCTGTGGCACTGTGCACAATAAAGGGGAATTGTTTGTGTCCATCCTGTGTGTGCATCACTGGGGTGATACTGATTTCCCTTAAAGTTCTGAGTAGCTCAGACTCTCCAGCACTGGGAGCCCACCTTTCCTCCTCTCCCCCTGACCAGCCCATTTTGCTGGGCGGACCCACCTGGAATTGTGATTCAGCTCCTGGGAAATGTCGTCAACCATGTCGTTCTCAGAGGCCTCATGAGCCATGGCTTTGCAGAGCTTGCAGGCCACCAGGGCCTTGGCCATGGCCTCCTCACCGTGCTGCCAGAAGAACAGGGCCATCTTCTGCCGCTTCATGAGAACAGCCCACACCATGAGCTCATGGAAAGGGAAGGGGAAGTGGTTGATCTCAGGATCATCCAAGTCAATGTCCACCTCTTCTTCACGTTTCTTGGTTGTCTTTCTTCCTCGCCTCAAGGGAATATCATCCTGTAATTACAGGGAAACCACACAGACTGAGTTAGAAATGAATTGGTTCATTTCAGCAAGTAGCAGTTGTATATCTTCTCCCAGCTAGCTCTGGGATCAATACTGAAATGAACGAGGCCAGCTCCTGTCCTAAAAGAACTCACAAGCTCATCCATGCCCAACTTTAAAACAAGTGATGATAAATGCATAAGCACAGTGCTGAGGGAACATGTCAGTGTTACACTCTGATTAAAAAAATTATTTTTTAATGGGCCATTTTCTTTCTTTTTACTTCTGTCCATTTATTTCTTCAAAAGGTAATGTTTGTACCTAATGATGGACAGCACTACCCTTTTTGCTGAAAGGATAAGGACATCCTAGATTTTTATTTGCATATATGACAGTAACCACATGAACAAAAGATGGCAAATGGATAATTTATCTCAAGTTTCTGAATACCTATTAGATGCATTTCTGAAGTAGTTCTGGCCTTTAGACCTGTCATCACTTGTAAACACTCATGAATAGATTTTGATTACTAGAATTTATGTGCTTCCTTGGTTTTCAGGTTAGTATTTCAAATAGGATTTTTTTTTGTTTGCATTGCAGATATAACCTCATGGTGGAATTTTCAAAGGTGCTGTGAGCAACCCTTATGACACATTATATATATATATTATTATATATATATAATATATACATACTATAGTATGTAGTATATATAGTATTACACATTATATATACTATATATTTATAGTATATATATATTATATATAGTATATATATTATGTGTATATACACTATATATTATTTTATATATATACTATATATGTAGCATATATATAATGGGTAATAAAGAGAATAAATCATTGACACTAATAATTTGGACAAACACTTACCTCCATTCCCAGCAGTTTCAAGGCTTTGGGCTGTTAAAAAAAACGTTGTGAACAAAGTTAGATCAGTTAGATCTTTCTTTCATAAAGGTAAGAAGAGTCCTATTATATATTTTTTGTTTTGTTTTGTTTTGTTTTTATTGAGACAAGGTCTCACTTTGTCACCTGAGTTGGAGTGTAGAGGCATGATCATGGTTCACTGCAGCCTCAACCTCCCGGGCTCAAGTGATTCTCCTACTTCAGTGCCCCACGTAGCTGAGAGTACAGGTGCATGTTACCACGCTTGGCTAAGTTTTAAAAATGTTTTGTAGAGATGGGGTCTCACTATGTTGCCAGGCTGGTCTCAAGCTCTTGGGCTCAAGTGGTCCTCCCACCTCAGCCTCCCAAAGTACTGGGATTATAGGCATGAGCCACCACACCCAGCCTCCAAGAGTCCTATTATATTTTAAACAGGTAATAGAAGAACACTATTGTACCATATGGCGTTTATTTTATTTTGCTAAATAAAACACCACAAGAAGAACTGATTTATAGAAATTCCAAGAGAATTTTGGATTCGGTGATTTTAATGAATCTACAGAAAATGAGGAAACTAGCCAGGCATAATGAGATTGCCTGAGAATAGAGCCTGCAGGTTTATAATGTCTTTTGTGAACCAAGATTTCTTTCACCTTCCATAACCATCTTGTTTGGGTGACACCTTCACAACATGTAGTATTTGAACAAGTGCTTTGGTCTGAATGTTTTTGCCTCCCAAATTCATATGTTGATATTCTAATTCCAAAGGTGATGGTATTAGGGGGGACACTTTCTGGGAGGTGATTAGATCAAGAGAGAAGAAACCTCAGGAATGGGATTAGTACCCTTATAAAAGAGGCTCAATGCAGCTCATTCACCCTTCTACTGGATGAGGACACAGTGACAAGGTGTCACTATGAATGAGGAAGCAGGCTCTCACCAGACACTAAATCTGCTCGTCCCTAGATATTGGATTTCCTACCCTCCAGAACTGTGAGAAATGAATTTCTGTTGTTATAAGACATCCTGCTGATGGTATTTTGTCGTAGCAGCCTGAATAGACGAAGACAAATGAACAAGGAAACCTTCTATCAAGCAGAATGAATCATGTATTTCTCAAACCTCTGAAGAGCCTCTATTATCTGGAGACCTGGGGTATTATTCAGAAATATATTAATATGTTTAGATTCTTTATGCTGGCCGTTTCCCTGTGCTGCTGCACATCAGGGCAAGGGCGAGTGGGGCCAGAGGGCCTGTGCTGATGGTGGCAAAGGTGCTTAATAGCATGGAAAGTGTCAGCACACAGGAAGCATCATTGGCCATGCTGGGAATGTGCAAAACAGGCACAGGCTGAGTCGGAGAGAAAAGGCAACTCAGAAGAACACAGACCCTGATCTATATTTACCAGGAGGTAATACAAAATTACATCTCTGGGGCCAGGAATAACAATTTTAAGCTTTTAAATATTTCAGAATGGTTGGGCACCATCTTGAAAGTTATTTGAGTAAATGGTAAGTGTACAGCACTTACAGTTCCTCCAAATTGTATTTGGCTATTCATGTTAGAACAGCTCAAACCGAATCTCTCTCTCTCTCATTTTTCTCTCTCTCTTTCAGCTTCTAAAATGACTACTAGGCTAATATCTATTTCATTTTTTTCTTATTTATAGTTACTGGTATTTTTTTAAAAATTCTGTTATATATATTTTTTCATTTTCAAACAAATCCCTGTTGTTAAATTTTAGGTATTTTCAAAGTTCTTTACTAGTTCCACAAAATGCTTTCAGAATCAGAAAAAAACTTTGTTAAATATAAAAATCATGGCTCCACACAGTGGCTCACACCTGTAATCCCAGCAGTTTGGGAGGCCAAGGTGGCAGGTGGATCACCTGAGGTCAAGAGTTTAAGACCAGCCTGGCCAACATGGCGAAACCCCTTCTCTACTAAAAAATACAAAAAATAGCTGAGTGTAGTCGCACATGCCTGTAATGCCGGCTACTCGGGAGGCTGAGGTAGGAGAATTGCTTGAACCTGGGAGGTGGAGGTTGTAGTGAGCTGAGACCACACCACTGCACTCCAGTCTGGGCAACAGGGTGAGACTGCGTCTCAAAAAAAAAAAAAAAAAAATCATGCCCACTACCAGCTAGAGCAGCAGTTCTCAGAATGTGACCCATGGGTCATGAGGGTCCCTGAAACATTTTGAGAGGGTGTGTAAAGTCAAAGCTATTTTCATAATAGTACTAAGATGTAATTGGGTTTGGCACCATCTTGACATTTGTACTAATGGTGCAAAAGCAGTGGTGAGTAAAGCTGCTGGGTGCCTTGGCAAGAACAAAGGCAGTGGTACCCACCTTTACCCGATGTCATTAGACTCCAGTGTTATGCATTTGCAGAAAGCAAATGCAACCGTTTTACTTAAGAATGGCCTTGTTGAGGTCTAAAAAATGATTAACTTTATTAAATCCTTAACCTTGGTTAACCGTCTTTTTACTGTTCTGTGGGATGAAATGGGAAGTATGCCCCTAAAATAGTTCTGCTGTATACTGAACTATTATGGGTTGTCCTGAGGAAATGCACTTATGCGATTGTTTGGATTGTATTATAGCCACTTTTTTTTTTCATGGAATATAATTTTTACTTGAAGGACTGATTGGCAGATGGACTAAGGTTATGTAGACTTGGACCTTTGGCAGATGTTTTTGGAATGACCAAAGTGAGGCTGTTATTTCAAGGAAAACAACTGATCGTATTTGCTGCCAATGACAAAATTCAAACTTTTAAGAAAAAAATTGGGATTCTGGAAAACTTGTATGTACTCCCCCCACCTCCACCATGACTTTGACAGCTTTTCAGTACTGAAAGACATTTCCCATGAGATAGAGGTGATACTAATGAAATTGTATAATAAAATGTGTCAATATTTGGAAGAGCTGCATACCTTAACAAACTAATTTTCCATGACCAATCTATGATGTTACAAGATCCATCAAAGTACAAGATAGACCGTTGGATTTTACTTTGTTATTATTTTATTGTATTGTTTTAGAGTCAGAGTCTCACTATGTTGTTCAGGTTGCAGGGCAGGGGCTACTCACAGGCACTATAATAGTATAATACAGCCTCGAACTCCTGGGCTCAAGCGAGTCTCCTGCCTCAGCCCCCTTAGTAGCTGGGACCATGGCTGGCTAGACTAGTGAATTTCAGTGTAACAGAATTTGAAAAGTTCACTTACATGGTTTTAGATTTCACCTTGCAACTCATTTTTAAGAAACGTTACTTATTAAATTTTGGTGTAGTATCAAAAAAATGATATTTACAATTATATGTAAAGAGGGTTAAAATACTCCTTCCTTTGATATATTTGCTGTGTTTGTCATATATTTTTGTGGGGTCAGATTTTCTTTATATACTTTAACCAGAATATCCTACAACAGACTGAATCCACAAGTAGATATCTAGCCCTCTTCTATTAAGCTGGACATTACAGAAATTTGCAAAAGGTAAAAAATGCTCCTATTATGAACTTATTCTTTGTTTTTGAAAATATGTTTTTGTTTGTAAACATGTTCTTTATGTTAACATATAATGGGATTCCTATGTTTAACTTAAAATGGATTAAATATTTTTAGAGTCTCCATTTAAATTTCTAACATGGTAAATAAACACCAATAGGTAGAATTCCCATAGATAAAAGCTCCTTGAGGTTCTCAACAATTTTTAAAGGTATAAAGACCCAAAACCTGGAAAACTGCTGAGTTTAATAATCTCAATGATAAGATTAATTTGAATTTCATTACTTTTCTTTGATTGTTTAGGTTCACTCTCAGCGCAATTTTCTGATTTTAATTCCCCTTGGAGACAAAGAAGCCACAACCCAAATCCCATACACCCTAGTCCTCCCAGGAAGGGCCCCGAATTTGCAGCCAGCCTCACCCTCTTGGGGCCGAAGAGGTTGTGGTAGAGGGTCCGGAAGCGCTTGCGCGTGTAGTTGCAGCGATAAGCCCCGCCCATCAGGTACTCGATCACCAGGCCGATGTCAATCAGGCTGATTCTGTAGTCTGGGGGCAGGTTCCCCTATCAGGGTAGAATGAAACAAACAGACAAATCCAAAAGACAACGTGGTTTACTAGGGATTCTACTTCACGTATTCTGTAACTAGAGTAAAAAAAAAATAATGAAAAAAGAAACATATGAATGTATTATTATGCTGGTTAATTAATTCACCTTAAAATAGATCCAACCGAAACCTGGATACTCTCGCTTGGAAAGAAGACATAAGTTAAATAAGAAGATGCAGTAATCGTCGGCAATAATAGAAAATCAAAATATTTATTCAAGTCTTCAGCTGGGGAGAAAAAAACACCAGTGTAGAAGAAAGAAACACAAGGCTAGACAGGGCAAATGCTATCACTCCCAGGCACTAGGAACTAGGTTTCCCCAGATGCTCCCCAAGCCCGCATTTCTGCCTCTGACCCAGGCCTGTTACCACTCTCTTGATATCATTTGGTTTCTACCACCCTTTAAAGGAAGACTCCTTTCAGAAGATGAGTGTCATTACCAGAGCCTCCATCAGCTGGGATTTTAGGACTCGGGTCTCCTTTAATACAAAACCTCTATCCATAATTTTAAAAAATTGACACTTTTTTCATAAAAGAAGAGCAATATTTAGGGAGGGGATTTTGGGTGTCAGAATGAGGTTGTATATGAACATCCCTTGCATTTAAAGAGAAGGGGGAGAGAAATTGGAGGAGACATTTTTATCAATGGAGTATTTATTTTTCTAGAATTAAGGAGATTTTCATTTTTTCTTTTAAAGAGAGTAACATTTCTTAAAGATCTAGAGTTATGGTGTCTTTTTTAGCTGTTTGCCATCTATACATGCAAAAATAGTAAAGATTTTCTTATTATTTACTCACTACTGCTTTCTACTTCTAAAGTTTAGGTTCTTAAGAAAATTTTTGCTGTTAGGTCAAGGGAGAGTTAGTTCCATTTGTGAGAAAGTCTGAGTGCATAGTGAATTCCAAAGGTCATGATTAATCCACTCTCACTGCCTGGTGTAGCTCCTTCTTGCGGGAGAGCGCTCTATACCATGAATGGCTGGGTGTCACACTGCTTAGGAAGCCTCATGCCCTTAGATCTATTTGGGACAGACACAAGGGGCTCCATCCACTTTTGTCCTTAATGAAGGACCCACCCAGGATGCTGTGTGAGATTTCTGCCACTTCACAGAAGACGTGCATTATGTATAGTGGTGGTTTTCCAACTTTGGTGGCATCAGAATACCCTGGGGAACTTGGTGACATTACAAACGGCTGGACTTTGTCTCACCTACTTCAATGTATCGGGGCCTCTGTGGCCTTTCCTAGCTCCTCAGGTGATTCTGATGCACACTCAAGTTTGTCAAACTGCTTGTCTACTCAGTAAGTTTCTGGTGGTAGTGGTAGATTAGGCAGCAGAACTGGGAAATTCATAGTGTCAAAAGTTAATTGCTTTCAGTCAGAAATTAATTAAAATTTTTTTGCTAACCTGAGGGTAGGTTTTCAGTTGTCCTTACTCAGCTTTTCTATGGGCAACTGTATCCATTTGAAGGTTTTGGGATTCAGGATTAGAGGTATCCCGCTGCATCCTATCATTAAACCTATAGCTTTACATGTTTCTTGTTTGATTTATCTTTATATCCTGAGAGCCTCTTATAATATGCCTGGCATATGGTGGGCACTCAGAGTGTTTTTGTTGAAAATGTAAACCAGTAAAACAGTGAAATTAATTGATGTTGTTGGGATCAAGTCTGGGTTTGGGTTTTTGAGTATTATGTTCTCAGTAACAAAACCAAGTAGCCACAATCTTGTTAGTCATCCCTGGTTGGAATAGCCCTAGTTCACTATGGAAATTTGCTCTGAAATACAGGTAATGCTGTATCTGGAATTCAGTGGCTATCCTCAATGGAGTGAGAACAAATAGATAGTAATTGAAGCACCAGCCTCAGGCATATAAGACTCCATTGCTGCTTTTTTTTTTTTTTTTTTTTTTTTGAGACAGAGTTTCACTCTTGTTGCCCAGGCTGGAGTGCAATGGCGTGATTTGGGCTCACTGCAACCTCTGCCTCCTGGGTTCAAGTGATTCTCCTGCCTCAGCCTCCCGAGTAGCTTGGACTACAGGTGTATGCCACCATGCCCAGCTAATTTGTGTATTTTTAGTAGAGACAGGGTTTTGCCATGTTGGCCAGGCTAGTCTCGAACTCCTGACCTCAGGTGATCCTCCCGCCTCGGCCTCCCAAAGTGCTGGGATTACAGGTGTGAGCCACCATGCCCAGCCCATTGCTGCTTTTTAGACTTCTTGCTGTCCCCAGAATTAGCTCCCACCCCATCCCACTGTGTTCTACCTCTCCCTTGGCTTGGGGTACATGGTAGGCTTGGGCATCTAACTGGAGCCAGCCAGGCAAAATGGGGCTGTGTGAAGGGCATCATATATGAGGTGGAACATTTTGAGACACAGACCCCTTCCGTCCTTGACCTTGGCCCTCCACAGCCTAATCTGGCATCCATTTGATGAGCTGAATAGTCCCCTCACAAAAATGACCTCTACCCTCCTCAGAATTTCAAAATCTCCTTTGTTTGAAGATTATCTTTATCCATCTAACTGAATCAGCAAGCTAAGCTATCCTCAGGCTAAAAAAGACCAATTGTCTGACTTCTTTATGCAAAGCATGGCAAAAAATATTAAAAAGGGAGCTCAGAGAAAGTTTTAAGATAGTAACTTTTCATGTATTAGCCTTCCCATAAAACTAAACTGAGTTTAAAAATAGTACTAATGCAACCACTTTTCTCCATTATTTTGGGGCAGGCTAACAAGGCCACAGTTTCTGTATCCTTTGGCTTTCCTGGACTGTTAGGCGAGGCTGTTATTTAAAGAGTAGAAGAGTCTCAGAGACTGGACTGGCCTGGGTAAGCCTCATTCATAGCCACAGGGCTCCTATGGGGATGACCGCCCGAGGATGCCCACCCATCGTGTCATTTTCCCTGGCAGGGTGAGGAGGAAGCACACCAGTTTCCAGTCAGCTGCCCCGGGCTTCTATCTGTCCTTTGGCCAGCAGACACTTTCCCTTAAGCTCTCAGATTTCTTTCCAGTGAAAGGGGTTTGCACTCCATGGCCTTTATGGTCTGCAGTGTTCAAAGGCCAGGTTTCAGGAAAATCCTCAAAGGACTTTTTGTGATGCTATAAAAAGGCAATCAGAGCAGATCTATAAATTTGTGCCTAGTTTTAATCTTGTAGGAATTCAAAAAATTTTAAGTGTGGGCTCACACCTGTAATCCTAGCACTTTGGGAGGCCAAGGTGGGTGGATTGCCTGAGCTCAGGAGTTTGAGACCAGCCTGGGCAACATGGTGAAACCCCGTCTGTACTAAAATACAAAAAATTAGTGGGGCATGGTGGCATGCACCTGTAGTCTCAGCTACTCAGGAGGCTGAGGCAGAATCGCTTGAACCCGGGAGGCAGATGTTGAAGTGAGCCGAGATTGCACCACTGCATTACCATCTGGGCGACAGAGCAAGACTCTGTCTTAAAAAAAAAAAAAAAAAAAAAAAATTAAAATGTGGGTAATACCAAGCCTAACACCTATGTATTTTGCTTTGAGAAACTTAGGTGTAAGCATCAGTTAGAATTCTAAAAATAAGACACCAATATTGCTTGAAGACCAATACTGAAAGGGAATATTTATGCTTTCAAGGTGTCTTTGGGAGTTGTCAGGAAAGTGATTATAGTAAAATTCAAAATCAATAAACATTTAAGGGGCAAATAGAACATTTTTAGAAAATGGCTATATCCATAAAGGACTTTTAGCGGTATATATTGGCAAGCAAGCAGGTGCTGGGATCGTCTCATATAAAGCTTGATTCTTTCAGAATGATTTATGTTTGGTCAGCCCTGAAGGAGGATAAATGATTCTGTGACCAGTGCCGGGGGGGGGGGGGGCCTGCGTTCTGTTTGACCACAAGGGGGCGATATTCACCTAACCGAAGCCAATGAGAATTCCTCCCTTCCCAGCAGCATTTTCCTGCCTCTTCCGTTTTTTGTTTTGTTTTGTTTTTTTCTTTTGAGACGGAGTTTCACTCTTGTCGCCCAGGCTGGAGTGCAATGGTGTGATCTCGACTCACTGCAACCTCCGCCTCCCGGGTTCAAGTGATTCTCCTGCCTCAGCCTCCAGTGTAGTTGGGATTACAGGCATGTGCCATCATGCCAGCTAATTTTTTTGTATTTTTAGGAGAGATGGGGTTTCACCATGTTGGTCAGGCTGGTCTCGAACTCCTGACCTCAGGTGATCCACTCATCTCGGCCTCCCAAAGTGTTGGGATTACAGGCATGAGCCACCGCTATAAAACATGTATGGTATATATATGTTTTATATGTACTATAAGGCCATATAAACAAACCCAGAGTGGATGAAGGATTAGGCGCTAAGGAATGAGTCAGATGCTCTCCTGTAAGTGATATTTGGAGGAGTGAAAATTTAACAAGTAATGTGTTTGCATTCAGCCTGCAAGGCTGGATCTCATCTGTTTCTTCACAGAGATTTTAGGGAGCAAAGAAGTTAGGGAATTACTTTTACCTTTCTTACTAGGAAGAGTGGAAACCTTCTTCGGGAGGAAGAAATCGGTTTTATAACATGAATAAAATTGAGTACAATTTAGGCCCCTTGGGATAGGTGTCCTGCGTGGACTCTGAGGGGGATGGCAGCCTCAGTGCATGATACTAAGCTGGGCCAATGGCCTTGACCACTGGGACCTGTGGATGTCACAGATGATGCATTTGCATTGCTTCTCCTAGGATGGGTATTGCCAGGTAGAGGGGAACTTATGGATACTCATTCAGGAGCAGCCAGCAACATGACCCCATAGAGGAAACAGCTCTGGGTTGGGCCATGGTCCTGACCCCAAGTGACCCTGGCCAGATCACTTCCTGTCTCTGTACCTCGGTTTATGCTGTGAAAATAGGTGGCTTGGACACAATAACTTCTAAGATTCTGTCTATTTCTAAAAATCCAACTGTATGACCACTACTTGGCAGGCTGTTCTTACTCCTTTCGGCCCACTGGCCAAAGACCCTGTTCAGAGCTTCCAAGGTTGATGTAGCTTCCAGTGATCCCCTGGAGTTTGGTTAGTGGAACCAGAGGCTTGTAGACAAGGGATGGTAAAAGGATAGATGGGGATGGGGTGGTGCTCAGTGCATCCAGCTCCTCTGGAAAAAGCAGAGAAGGTGAGCAGTACCTCACATGCCAACAGGTAAAGTCCAAACACCTTCTGGAGGAGACTTCCTTTGCTTGGGTCCTTTTCAAATTAGAAGTCAAAAAGGATACTGGAGGAACAGTCATTCTGCCTGCTGTTTCTGTTCTAGCACTTCCCCCTCCCCCTTCGGTAATGACTTTGGTAATTGGTAAAGCCTGAACTATTATTTCCCATTTCATGCCTTAACAGTGGGAGGTCATGTGATTCAAGTAATTTGCTAGACAGGCTTGGGTTCTATGAGTAGGTACGATTTGACAACTTGAAAATGTTGTCTTCTTTTTTCATGCTATGAACTGCTAACCTGAAGCTAAGGTTTACTTCGTGCCATGCATAAGGAAACCTTTTAATTAAAAGCATAGTTTAAATTCACTTATTAGATCTGCTCTTCAAAATGGTTGGGGTTTTTCAGATGTCAGCTCACCATATCACTATCAGATCTCAACTGTTTAGGAAAACTGTCTTCCTTTGAAACTCATAACAAGCCTTCAAAACAAGATTGGTTCCTTCTGAGATACATAAGATATAAAATGATTGCGGTTGTCAGGTTTACCAAGGAAGTGTGAAGAAAAGACTCCCCTGGGACAGCTTGTATAATAAAGAAAAGTGGACTGCAGTTGGTGTGAGTAATCACCCGGTAGGGGCTTCATCTGGTGAGAGCTCAGGGGAAAAGAGGACATCACCCCAATGTACAGCCCCTTAACATGGCAATATATCGGGCAACCAATCCTCTGAAATATAATAATGCTTTTGCAAATTTCCATGCATTTAGCAGATGGGATTATGCAAATGTCCTTTCCTTACCCAAAGTGTGTCTGAAATGCCTTTTTTTTTTTTTTTTTTTATTCTGAAAAGCTCTGGGTCTTAATTCCCATGTAAATGAACTTTAAATTATCATAATTTCACCACTACTTCCACATAACACTCAAATAGCATCCTCTTTTGGTGGGGAAGGATAGTATAGGTAATTTGAAGTATTAGCACATTTAAGAAAGGAAAAAACTACTTTAAAACGTACAGAGGCACAAAGTGAGCAGACAGCTACTAAAATGGCAGGTTATATTCCACAGAAAAGCAGACAGACTTGGGCCACTCTGGTTTAATATGAGAGCATTGGTACATTCAATGGATTTATGCATGAAAATAGTTCAGGGAACTGGGTTGGTTTAAAACAATTTAAATTTCTGATTAATGCTGAAGTGCCACTCTTTTTACCTCATTGCTCCTAGATTGTTCCCTTGATATAAATAATTTGAGATTTCAAAACAAGCTTGGGAGCAATTCCCCACATTCAGTTCTGTTGGTCTCAAAGAAGAGGTAAACTGGAGATGTCATGCTGATTGACTTATGATGGTCTGATAATTCCTCAATGCATTCCTTTGGTTCTTAAGAGTTATTTACATATAGTTTTACAGATGTATTATCAAACACTATGCTTAAGGTCTAGGACTGTGTTCCTAACTCATGAATAGCGTTTTGTACCAGAGTTAATAACTTATTCATTAATTTTGTCCAGGTTAAATATATATGCACACATATATTTCCCCCCATAATTGTAAAGAAGAAAGCACACATTAATTATTATTATTTTCTTTAATTTTGAAAATTGCTTTAAGTTCCCAAGATTTTCTTAGCATTTTAACTCTAGTTTTGTAGCCTTTGATTATCCTATTGGCCTAAATTGCTAGAAGTCACTTGAAACCACCTGAAAGTCACCTGAAACCACCTGAAAATTGCTGAAAGTCACCTGAGAAAGTTGTGCACCAATGTTAACTTCTCCCTTATTCACTTCTTCCCCAAACACAAAACAAACAAAAGTCTTCATTTTCAGCTCCCTTAATCCATATAACATAAAATGTAGGCCTTGTGACTCCTGTGACTACCATTGTTCATCTTTCTTGCTCTCCCATCATCAGATACTTACCTTAGTCCTGGAAATAATGCATTCTGCATTTCCTGCTTCTACTTTTTCCCAAGGGAAGAAATTAAACATTGGCTTTCTGTGTCTCCCTGTCTTATTGGCAGTCTCTTTTTCCAGGTAAAAGGATAAATTATTTCTAGACCAGTTCAGTACTATTCTTGGTCATTTGTTATCATTTTTTCCAGTTACTAAATTTGCAAGTAAATGGTAACTGCATGCTTATATAATGATTTTCTTGCTCTAATATTTGGATCATACTTAAAAGGAAAAAAAAAAGCTGCTTTTATTCCTTCTTCCTCCCAAATTCTTACCATCCTGTTCTTTCTTGTTAGTCTATATTATTTTTCAGGTACATCTTTAGCTGAGAAGCTACAAAAAACCCTACCTTAGAGATACTTTACATGCCTTCTAATCATACAAGTGACGTGAGCAAATGCAAAAGGCAGCTCAAGGGATTTCAGAAAAGAGAAAACAATATTGCAAAGCAGAGTCCTATGGGGAAAAGAAAGTAATGAGAGGGATTTTAATAATTTATACTCAGTGAAATCTAACTGCAAAAATCCCTTTGAAAATTAGACAAGACCTTATTGCTGGGAGGCTGGGTCATTGAATTGGATGAGCGACTCTTTTTAAAGGTTTGGGTTGGTGATGACTGGGATTGAGGGACAAAGGCATAGCTGTCTCTTTAGAAAACCTCACAATTCCTTCAGGGACAGAGATTAACTTAAGGTGAAGGAGAGAATACTCCAAGTCATTACTTTAGAAAAACTCAAAACATTTGGTTGAACATGAGCAACAACTATCTCTCTGAAGAAGACACATCGAATGTGTCTACTTCTACTCTTCTGAGTTTAGTTTTCAGGCAATTTTAAGCCAGGATGAATTAGACAAAACCGGAAGGTTCAAAGGAAAGAGAAATGGGTTTGTTGAGGGTAGATCTACTACGATGGCATGGAATGGGTAGACCAGTGAAAGACACAATCTCAGGAAAGTGGTTGTTGAGTTGGGAGTACAGATTGCATAGTGTTTTCCCCTCTTGTTTTGAAAAAACTACAGGCTTCACCCACTCAAGTAGATGAAAAATCCTTCATTAAGGTGGTATAGAGATGGGAGGAAAGTTTGCAAGGGCCAAAGGATGGAGATTTTGATTTTCTGTGTGTTATTTTTATATCCTTTACTCATTCTTAGCAAAGATCCAGCAGGTGAATAGGTACATTATAAGTAGCCCCAAGGCCTTTGCTTGGCCTTTCAAAGGAAAAATAAAAAAGTAGTTACAGGATGCCTAAGGGCAATTCTAGCCAATCACTTCCTGTGAGATGAAGAAATCATACTGTATTTTTGACTTCACTTTGTAGGTTTCTCTGAATATGTCCTGTGGACTTTGGTGAAGAATTGTTACCAAGTGGCGATAGTGGGCAAATGTGTGCATACATGTATGGGCACATAGGTAAGGGGCGGGGGCAGTGCCATCTTCTGTTTTATTTTTTGGAATTAAAACATCACTTTCTGGGATGGATTTAAGGGTTCAGAACTCAAGCTACCTCTGAAGGAGATAATATGGGGCAAAAGAACAACCACTTGGCTAAGATTAAACAGAATCTCCCTATACTTCATTCTTCTTGTCTTTAAGTGGGAATAAAACTGTATTATAATAATAAAATAATAATTTTTTGATGGAATCTCACTCTGTTGTTCAGGCTGGAGTGCAGTGGCACGATCTTGGCTCACTGCAGCCTCCACCTCCCGGGTTCAAGTGATTCTCCTGCCTCAGCCTCCCAAGTAGCTGAGCTTACAGGCACACACCACCATGCCAAGCTAATTTTTGTATTTTTAGTAGAGACAGGGTTTCACCATGTTAACCAGACCAGGCTGGCCTTGAACTCGACCTTAGGTGATCCACCCACCTTGGGCCTCCAAAGTGCTGGGATTACAGGCATGAGTCTCTGTGCCTAGCCTATAATAATAAAATAATAATTCTATTTCATAGAATTGTTGTGAAGATTAAATGAATTAAGATGCACTGAAAGTATGCAGCAATGCTGTGCACCTAGTCATCACTAGCTCATGACTATTATTATTTTATCATTATTAATAAAATGAACTGAACTTTAAACCTAGCTCTTCACTAAATGCCAATATAGCTCTCATCTCCTTGTAGTTCGGCTTCCTCATCTGTAAAATGAAAATAATTCTACCCGATCCATACCTACCAACATTTTTTTCCCATCTAATGAGATGAAAAGTGTGAAAAAATATTCTGGAAAAAATAGAATGTTAGAAGAATGGAATGCATATTTATGTTTTAGTCCCTGTTTTTAGAAAATTTGGAGCTATGCTTACTACACTCTATGTAATGCTAGATGTGACATTGTATCAGGAGCTGGTGAATGAAGATTTACTCTTGTGGTCAGTCAGGCAGCTCCCCAAACAGTGAGGGGCATATGGAAAAATACAGGTATGGCATAAATCCACTTGGCACGGGGAAAGCCAAGAGTTCCGCTACCCAAAAGCATTATGTCCACCAAAAGCATCTAAAAGCACGGCGATTGGAGATAACACCACAGCTGCATCATGAACAGAAGCATCAGAGTTAAAAGACACATACACACACACACACACACACACTGTTCTGAAATGAGTGGCGCCTGATAGGGACAGGAATACTCTGGCAGCTCATGCAAAACAGAGGCACTCTCTAATCACAGGAAGCAGTCAAGACAGGGCCTCCGACCTGCAGTCGAGAGGGTTCTTACCTTTTTGACATCCCTGACCAAGTGGTACAATGTATTTGAGGGCCCATGTCTCTGAAAACAATAAAGAAGAATCAAACAGTTTTGCTAGTCAGGGGCTCTGGTTGGCAAGACAAGAAGGATCTAGAAGGAAGGGTGCTGGCTGGTGGAGGGCAGTTCATTAAGATGGACCTTGTTCTAGTTGCTCAGTGTATCTGCCTTTTCTTTCTTTCTTTTAAATTGTCCCCATTTGCAGATGAAAAGCTTTGTCAGTGATTTTTTTTTTTTTTTTTTTTTGATACAGGGTCTTCTGTTACCCAGGCTGGAGTGCAACGGCATAATCACAGCTCACTGCAGCCTCGAACTCTTGGGCTCACCTTAGCCTCCTGAGTAGCTGGGACTACAGGTACACAACACCATGCCTGGCTAATGCTTTTGATAAAATTTTTTTTTTTTTAAAGATGGGGGTCTCACTATGTTGCCCAGGCTGGTCTTGAATTCCTGGCCTCAAGCAATCCTCCCACCTCAGCCTCCCAAAGTGCTGGGATTATAGGCATAAGCTACCATACTGGCCATACCTGTTTCTTCTAAACAAACACGTTGGCAGATTTTTGAATTGTATTTCCTCAAGCAAATGTATTTGAGATTCTAGGTTCAAACTTTGTAAGGGAGGTTGTCAACTCTGTTGACAGCTAGGCCAAAATATGATGGAAGAAGCCAGTTTTGCAGCCGGGGGCTGGGATGAGGGTGGGAGAACAAAAGGACCCATTGACCGCACTGGAAATACACTTGGGCATTCTGCCATCACAACTTGTTTATTACCCATCATGAATGAGAAATTGTCCAAGAAAAGGGTTGGCCAACTTTTTCTGTAAAAGGCCTGAGAGTAAATTAGACTTTGTGGGTCACACGGTCTTTACTGAAACTGTTCAACTCTGCTGTTGTAATGTGCAAGTAGCCATAGATCATATGTAACAAATGAGCTTGGTTATGATTCAATGAAATTTTAATTATGGGCACAGAAAGTCAAATTTCATATTATTTTAATGTGTCATAGAATATAGCATTTTTCTTTTGATTGTTTCAACCATTAAAAATGTAAAAAAAAAAAAAAAATCTTAGCTTGCAGCCCATACAGAAACAGGCAGCAGGCTGGATTTCGATGACAGTTTGCTGTAACTTGATTTAAAGAAAAAGCCACAGACTGTTTGGGAAAAAGAGAGTTTTGTAAAAAAGACGGATGTTTGTTTGAGGTAAATATAAAGTGAAATAAGTTGCCATTCTATTGTCTTTCAGGAATAGGAATGTCAGATAAAATCCAAGATGCCTAATTAAATTTGAATTTCAGATAAACAATGTACAATTTTAATCTAAGTATGTCCCATGCAATCTTTGGGATATAACAAAATTGTCTGTTGTTAATCTGAAATTCACATTTAACTGGGCATCCTGTATTTTATTTGCTAAATCTGGTGAGATGATTAGATAATCTAAAATAGTGATGGCTTTTTTTTTTTTTTTTAGTTAGTCTCGCTCTGTCACCTGGGCTGGAGTGCGGTGGTGTGATCTCAGCTCACTGCAACCTCCACCTCCAGGGTTCAAGATATTCTCCTGTCTCAGCCTCTGGAGTAGCTGGGATTACAGATGTGCACCACCATGCCCAGCTAAATTTTGTATTTTTAGTAGAGACGGAGTTTCATCATGTTGGCCAGGCTGGTCTCAAACTCCTGACCTCAAGTGATCCATCCGCCTTGGCCTCCCAAAGTGCTGGGAGGCCACTGCGCCCAACCAATGGCAAATTCTTAAGCACTGTTGCAACCATTCAAGTATTGAGACAGGTCTATGAAATGCGGCAACGACCTGCCCATTCATGTGGACGTGCCCATCAGAGCTCTTTTTCCACTGAGGGGATGCTGGATTGTGCAGTGATTTAGCCTACAGACTCTGGAGTCAGAGTGCCTGGCTCTACACCTCTGCTGCTTACTGGCTCTGAACGTGGGCAAGCAACTTAACTGTGACTCAGTTTTATCATCTTTAAAATGGGAATGACAGTATCACTTTATCTGATGGGGTTGTTGTGAGGATTAAATGATATAATGTTTATAAAGCTATTAAAAATGGTGCTTAATGCCAATTAGTGTTAGCTATTATTATTACTGAGGCTATTTACTGTTCCATAATCCTCAACAAAGTATTCCGGGAAGCCACCACCAGCAGACTGAAGTGATCAAACTTACTGGCCTTCCTCAGTCTAGAATTTTCCTACCCACCCCCACTCCCCAGTCTTTGGAATAAATTACTCCCTTGATTCTCTAATTGATAGACCATTCAATGCTTGTCTTTATTTATTTATTTTTTTTAATTGAAAACCCATTATTCTTCCTGAAAGTCTCAGTATGCTGAACCAAGAAAAGTCTCTGGAGAAAACAGAGACTAGGAGACATTCTGCTAACCCGTTTCTATTTTTTGCAGATGGTGCCAGCGTGGCACCATCTAACAACTACTACTGGCTGGGGACAGGAAATAAGCTCCATCCTGCTTGCCCTCTGCGTGATGGGACAGAGGCATTGTGAAAAATGAGGGGTAGAATAATCTTAGAGACAGAAGCTTGGGTTCGGTACTTACTGGCTTTCTTAGGAGTTTTGTGACCTTGAATTCACCTTGGCCTCTGCTATGGTTTGAATGTTTGTGTCCTCTCCAGAATTCATGTTGAAAGTTAATTTCCAATGTACTAGTATTAAGAAGTGGGGCCTTTAACGTGTATACCTGTGTAATGAACCTGCACGTTCTGCAAATGTATCCCAGAACTTAAAGTATAATAATAATCACAATAATAATAATAGAAAAGAAGTGGGACCTTTGGGAGGTGATTAGGTCCTGAGGGTTCCTCCTTTGTGAGGGGGATTAAGGCCATTATAAGAGAAGCTTCACACAACATTCAGGCCTTTTGCCCTCTGTCTCTTCTGCCTTGTGAGGACACAGCATTTGTCCCTTCTGGAGAATGGCAAAACAAGGTGCCATTTTGGAAGCAAAAAGCAACCTTCGCCAGACACTGAACTTGCCAGAGCCTTGATTTTAGACTCTCCAGCCTCCAGAACCCAGAGAAATAAATTTCTGTTGTTTATAAATTACTGAGTCTAAGGCATCTTATTATCATAGTACAAATGGACTAAGACAGCCTCAGTTTCCTCATTTGGTAAATGGGGAAAAATTTCTGCTCTTTAAACTTCACTGGATTTTAGTATGAGCTCAGAGCCAATGCACTTAACTCATGTGAATGCTCTCAATAACTTCATAAACAGTAGTTTTACCTATGATTACTCCTTGGTATCCCTAGTGAGTAAATTAACAAATCATTACTAAGCTAAAAAACAAAACAAAACAAAACCAAAATTTTTGAGTGACTCAAAAAAGAGATATTTTACCTTTTCTTCCACTTTATAGCTGAACTATGAAGAATGAACTTCATAGCTCTGAGGATAAAAAATGGCGCAGGTTACTTAATCAGCCTTTTGTGATGCTTAGAGTTAAACCAACCCTCCTTTGCTAATTGCCTCTAACACCCTCTGGGCTTACAGAACAAACTGTGTTCTCATTTCCAGAGCCTTGTGGCTTTGTATAAGAATATGAGAATGATACACTTAGGTTATTACATAACTTTTTGCCTTACATGCTGACAACTGAGCAATTAAAACAAGCGGAATCTTGGTGACTTGGTGTTTGTCATCTATGTAGGTCTAAGGGAGTATTTGTGATGAATGAACCATGCATTTGGACGGGAGAAGGGAAGAGAATCACAGGCATATGGGGGGCAGGAGAAGGTAAAACAAACAGAAAAAAAAGAAAATAAAAAGTGCCTTAGTTTGGCCCTACCGTATTGTACAATTCCTCTAGTCTGGAGATGGTGAGAAAACGGTGCATGCTTACTCCATTCTCTATGAGTAATTTCACAAAATCCACTCTGTCCAGAACTAAGGCATCCAACATGGCTTGCTCCAGAGATCCCACCTGCAAACCAAGTCACTGAGTTAGTCTGCCCCAGGGTCTATCTATGGATGCAGTTCTTTAGTGTTCACTTGAACAGCTTAGAAATGGATGCCTTTGACATCTGGTAAACCTTCAGCACATCTAAGAACATGCTAGCAAGACTGTTCACAGATTCACTTTTGGGACAGCCACACCTCTCCCATGTTTGGGTGCCTGTCTTTGCAAATAGAAGTCAAGCATTTCTAGTTCCAAAAACTATTTCTTCCCTGAATCTCTTGTTCTGGATCCCAAGAAGGTGCAAGGGTTCACAAGGTTTTTCCCCTTGCAATTATCTGATTAAATTTCTCAACACCAGCGAAGTGTCAAAGGGGGCACTTTTGCTGTCTTCATTTTTGTTATCCTTAGGCTCTGAGGGAGACCCCAGGCCAACTTGAGAAGAGGGACCCAAGTCAACAGACCAAAGGCCCTAAATCAATGCTGGGTCTCTGTAGAAGCAAGACCACAAAGATGTCACTTAACTGAAAACAAAACAAAAACATAACAAAACAGAACAACCAGCCTACTTTCTGGATTTGCCAATAGCTTAGATTTTTATTTAATCCATTTCACAAAAATGTTGCAGGGTCTAGACTCTGACAAATCTTTCCATGTTAGCAATCCACCAGCACTGAATGAAGACAGGGGCTCCATCCCAGGCAGAAACTCTCTAGGGGAAAGGAAGGAGTAAGATAAGGCTTGCCGGTGAGTGCTGTGATTCCAGGCACAGAAACCGAGTTTCAGGCTGCTGGGCTGCCTCCTGTGGATGCATACATATCCCACCTGATGGCCAATCTCTCAAATTTTTATTTTTGGTAGAGTCAATTGAGGGAAGCAAACCAAGAACAGTTATATAAAGCATTGGTTTCCTCATGTTGTTCTTTGCAAATAGGGAGGACCTGTGCTCAGTCACCAGGACCAGATGGCGCCTGCAGAGGGAAGCCTGCTAATTCTGCATCCTGAGGTGTGACCCTTCCCTTTGCCCCATCAAAGACAATCAGAAGCAAATTAATAATTCTACCCCTTCCTTAATTTTAGTTAATACAGATTTGTCTTATATTTTTTCAGATGTATTCAAATAAATGGCATCATTTGCAGCTGAAAATTGCTATTAAAGACAACTCATAGAGATGGAAATATTTGGAGTTGTGTTCAGTTGAAATTTCCACTAGATGGCGGTGCTTTCCTAAATATGAGAAAGGGAGCTCAGGATACAGACTTTGCTACCAAGGAACACATTCCATCTTAAAGAAAAAGCAATCGTTTTCTGAGCTGACCTCAGAGGCTCCTTAAACAAATACCCTTGGCCAACCAAAGTGGGCTTTTCATGGGAGACGATATATACTCTACCGGCCACTGTTGCCCGTAAATAAAGATCTGGCTGCGAGCGATGTCGACTCTGTTCCAGGCTAAAGCTAAGCTCAGTTGGTCTGGGGCCGAGGCATTGGCTCCTGTGTGAGGACAAGTGGGAGAAAAGAGTGGAAGAGAGAAAACGACGATCAGTTATTACACCAAGAGCGCCTGCTCCATCCCTCTGCCATTAATGCCCCTATTCCCAAAGAGCCTGCTTGGCTATACAGCAGGTTTCTCAAACTTGGTATTATTAACATTTTGGGTAACTCTTTGTCACAGGGCTCTCCTGTATATTGTAGATTATTATTATTATTACATTTTTAAAAACTTTTTAAAAAGAAGGTCTTTGAAACTCCATGCTTTTTTGATATATAATAATTGTACATGTTTATGGTATGCATGTGATATTTTGATGCATGCATACAAGTTCATTGTAGATTATTAATAGCACGCCTTGACTGAACCCAGTAGATGTCAATAGCATTTTCCCACCCCCATCCTTCCAGACATGATGCTCAAAAATGTCTCCAGACATTGCCAAATGCCCCCATGTGTGAAGGGAGGCAAAACTGGCCTGGTGAGCAGCATTGCTCTACCGTCTGGCTAGGCAAAGTGTGGTTCACAGAGCAGCTGCAGCAGTGCCACCCTGGTGCTTCTTTGAAATGCAAGTCTCAGACCCTGTCCCCGACCCACTAAACCAGAATCCGTATTTTCACAAGATCCCAGATGACTTGTGCACACACTCAAGTTTGAGAAACTCTGCTCTACCACACATTTTGCTTCTGCTGGCCAATCACTGGTTTCAAGGCATCACTTGAATAGTATTTTGCATGGGGAGGGTGCTCTCATCAACTAGCGTACCAACTTGCCACTTTTCTGAAAAAGAGTTAGGAAGGTCTTTTAACAGAGAGGCAAACCAGCGGCTTAGGTTTACTTTGATTTGTGGGTAGAAACCATTGGAACTATTTCCCAGGTTCTTATTTTTCTCCAGATTCTGTCTCTAGAGCTGTGCGGTTCACAGGTGGCTAAGTTTAAATTAATCAAAATTAAATAAAATTAAAGTTATAATTCCTCAGTCAGGCTAGCCACATTTTAAGAACTTAATAGTTCCATGTGGCTAGTGACTACTGAACTGGAAAGCACAGATACAGAACATTTCTATCATCACAGTAAGTGCTATTGGCCCAGAGCTCATCTAGGTGAATGCATCCTGTCCATAGAGGCAGCCTGCCAAGCAGCTGGAGGGGAAGCTGGAAATGGAGGCAGTGCAGTAACGAAAGCAACATTAGGCTCCAGGCAGGGGGCCCAAGTGAGAGTCCCTGTGGCTCCTCTCAGCCACTGTTGATTATTTGTGAAATGGAGGCAATAAATATCCAGTTTACATGGCTGGGGTGTGAGACTGAAATGAGATTGTATAAGTGATTTCTGTTTAAACAGGTTTTTCACAGTTCACCAACACCCTTAGTGCACTGAGGAAGAGACACCCCTAAATAATTGCCAAGCTTCATGCTGCTGGATATCTCACGATCGGGGAGGAGGATAAAGAGACAACCTTCCTCAGCTCAGAGTTTTTAAACATCAAACATGTGCTGGGCAAAGTATTAGGCACTTCCATATGTCATATGTAACATCCCAGTTAATCTGGGGACTGGGTCTTATTGTCTCCTGTCTCATTGAAACATATGAGACTACTGAGATCCAGGGAGGTGGAACAGCCAAAGATAAAACAGCTACTAACAGGGTAAATGGAAGAAGTATTCAGCAAACTAGAGGTGAGAGTCAGATCCAGAGAATTCCTCTTCATCATTGCTGCTTCTGATGTTTAGGAAAGAAATATAGCAAATGTGTATGCTGTTCATTCCTCTGGGTTCGCCAGCAGTCAAGGCCAGAAACAATGAGGAGGTGGGGCAGGGTTCCTGGTCGTTAACTTACATCAGTGATTCCAAAACTTTGCTGCACATTAGAATCACCTGGGGAGCTTCGCTCAGGGTGCATCCCATACCAATTAAATCATGTTGCTTGGGATGGGATCCAGGCGCGGATATTTTTAAAGCTCTCCATGTGCTTCCAATGTGCAGCCAATGTCCAGAGGCTGGGAATTACTGCGCTGTGTGCCTCCTTTCCTGCTTACCCTCGCCTCTTCCCTCTGGGCTCTGAGATACTGACGTTATAAATTAGGCAAAAAATGTTTGCTAAGTGAACACTTCTCAAATTTTAGCATGCATAAGTACAATTCGGAGAACTTTTTAAGACACAGGTTCTTGGGTCCCAGCTGCAGACCTTGTGATTCAGTAGCTCTTGGGTGGAGCCTAAGGTTCTGTGTTTCTAACCAGCTCCCAGGTGAGGCCGCTGCTGCTGATCTGGGGCCATGATTTGAGTAACAAGGCCCTCAAGAGCTGTGGTGCTCTGTTCCCTTCGTAGGTTGAAGAGCATTTCTGATTCTGGTGTCCACACATTGATGGGCTTATTATCGACCACATACTTGGAGTAAATTTATTAGTGTTTACAATGATGAATATCATTTCAGCTCTCACGTGGAATTTTCCATTAAAAATTATCTCCTCAGGTAACAACAGGGACTGCACACTCATACCAGGGTAACTGGCATACACAAGTGATAAGTAGAAATGTGTCAAAATGTTCTGTCATCAATTTGGAGAGGAAAAGAAGTGAAGGCTCATTGCGATTGCATTTGGAAAGGTAGCACTTTACATGTTTCTTTGCTTCTTTAGCTGGTCTACTGGTTGGTGCTGACTTGCTGGAATAGTTTAATCATTCCCTTTGCCATTTGTATGTTGCAAATTAGTATGTCA
This sequence comes from Homo sapiens, assembly GCF_000001405.40. NCBI lineage: Eukaryota > Metazoa > Chordata > Mammalia > Primates > Hominidae > Homo > Homo sapiens. The sequence goes on from NC_000009.12 coordinate 70,643,376, forward strand.
CCCAAGTCAATAATAGCAGCACGAGCCTGAACAGGAACACATAGCAGGAAGCAGTTATTGAGGTCAAGGTGAGCTACAGGCCTGAATGTAATTAGGCAAGTGTCAAATGAAAGCATGAAACCAATGAGTCTTGACTTTCAAAAATTGAAAATACATCACTCAAGAATGGCCGTGGGTGACAGTTTGGATCAGTGGTTCTCGGCTAAGGTGACCAGCCATCCAGGCTTGCCCAGTGTAGTCACAGTGTTAGCATTTAAATTCCTGCACTCTGGGAGATGTGTCAATCCTGAATAAACCTAGTGGCTGGTCACCCTATTCTCGACTATGGCTGTGCACTTGGAATTGCCTAAAGAGCTTTAAAATATACTCATGCCTGGGGCACAGCCCCACAGATTCTAGTTTAATTGGTCCTGGGCATTGCGGTTTTTAAAAGTTCCCCAATGATTCTAATGTGAGGATAAAATTAAGAACTTCTAGTGTAGATAGCATATGTTCATTCATTCACTCATTCATCTGTTCATTTACTTATGCGTTCAAAGATACTGATTTCATGCCTCCTTATATGGGAGGCAGTATGCCAGCATGAGGACCGAGACATATAAAGCAGAATACTTTGTCTTGAGAGCTTACAGTCTAGAGGAGAAGAGAAGTCTGTAATTAAATACATTATTTCATGCAGTAATTCATTTATCTCATCAACAGATATTTATTGAATACTCTCTCTGCTGGGAACTGATTTGTCATTGAACGTCCAATGACAAACAAGGTAGCTAAGGTCAACCTCTTCACAGAGCTTACATCCTACTGGTGGTGGGGAAGTACTCGGAAGTAAGCAAATAAACTCATGAACAGCATACTTTCAGATTGTAGAAGTGCTGTGAAGGAGCAGTGCCACTCCTAGGGTATGTGGGACCTATGCTTATACAAACACATCAATGTAGCAGAACCATTCTGGCTACCCGACCTTGCATGTCCCCACAATAGAAGTATTTTGCTAATTGGCTGGAGCAATCTGCTGGCCCGGCTGCCCTCCTGAAATGAGGGCTGAATATGGAGTCATTGGACAACCAACGACAAAAACCACATGATTATCTCAATAGATGCAGAAAAGGCCTTCAATAAAATTCAACACCCCTTCATGCTAAAAACTCTCAATAAACTAGGTATTGATGGAATGTATCTCAAAATAATAAAAACCATTTATGACAAACCCACAGCCAATATCATACTGAATGGGCAAAAGCTGGAAGTATTCCCTTTGAAAACTGGCACAAGACAAGTATGCCCTCTCTCACCACTCCTATTCAACATAGTACTGGAAGTTCTGGCCAGGGAAATCAGGCAAGAGAAAGAAATAAGGGGTATTCAAACAGGAAGAGAGGAAGTCAAATTGTTTCTGTTTGCAGATGACATGATTTTATATTCAGAAAGCCCCATTGTTTCAGCCTCAAATCTCCTTTAGCTGATAAGAAACTTTGGCAAAGTCTCAGGATACAAAATCAATGTGCAAAAACCACAAGTATTTCTATACCTCAATAATAGACAAACAGAAAGCCAAATCATGAGTGAACTCCCATTCACAATTGCTACAAAGAGAATAAAATACTTAGGAATACAACTTACAAGGGATGTGAAGGACCTGTTCAAGGAGAACTATAAACCACTGCTCAAGGAAATAAGAGAGGACACAGACAAATGGAAAAACATTCCTTGCTCCTGGATAGGAAGAATCAATATTGTGAAAATGGCCATACTGCCCAAAGTAATTTACAGATTCAATGCTATTACCATCAAGCTACCATTGACTTTCTTCACAGAATTAGAAAAAACTATCTTAAGTTTCTTATGGAACCAAAAAAGAGCCTGCATAACCAAGACAATCCTAAGCAAAAATAACAAACCTGGAGGCATCACACTTCCCATCTTCAAGCTATACTACAAGGCTACAGTAACCAAAACAGCATGGCACTGGTACCAAAACAGATATATATATCAATGGAACAGAGCAGAGGCCTCAGAAATAGTGCCACACATCTACAACCATCTGATCTTTGACAAACCTGACAAAAACAAGCAATGGGGAAAGGATTCCCTATTTAATAAATGGTGTTGGAAAAACTGGCTAGCCATATGCAGAAAACTGAAACTGGACCCCTTTGTTACACCTTATACAAAAATTAACTCAAGGTGGATTAAAGACTTAAACATATAACCTAAAACCATAAAAACCCTAGAAGAAAACCTAGGCAATACCATCCAGGACACAGGCATGGGCAAAGACTTCCTGACTAAAACACCAAAAGCAATGGCAACAAAAGCCAAAATTGATAAATGGGATGTAATTAAACTAAAGAGCTTCTTCACAGCAAAAAAAAAAAATAAAAAAAATAAATAAAACTATCATCAGAGTGATCAGGCAACCTACAGAATGGGAGAAAATTTTTGCAATCTGTGCATCTGACAAAGGGCTAATATCCAGAATCTATAAGGAACTTAAACAAATTTACAAGAAAAAAACAACCTGATCAAAAAGTGGGCAAAGGATATGAAGAGACACTTCTCAGAAGAAGACATTTATGCAGCCAACAAACATATGAAAAAAGTTGATCATCACTGGTCATTAGAGAAAGGCAAATCAAAACCACAATGAGATAACAACTCACGCCAGTTAGAATGGCAATCATTAAAAAGTCAGGAAACAACAGATGCTGGAAAGGATGTGGAGAAATAGGAACGCTTTTTCACTGTTGGGAGTGTAAATTAGTTCAACCATTGTGGAAGACAGTGTGGCGATTCCTCAAGGATCTAGAACCAGAAATACCATTTGACCCAGCAATCCCATTACTGGGTATGTACCCAAAGGATTATAAATCATTCTATGAAGACACATGCACACATGTTTATTGAAGCACTATTCACAATAGCAAAGACTTGGAACCAACCCCAGTGCCCATCAATGATAGACTGGATAAAGAAAATGTGGCACATATACACTATGGAATACTATGCAACCATAGAAAAGGATGAGTTCATGACCTTTGCAGGGACATGGATGAATCTGGAAACCATCATTCTCAGCAAACTAACACAGGAGCAGAAAACCAAACACTGAATGTTCTCACTCATAGTGGGAGTTGAACAATGAGAACACATGGGCACAGGGAGGAAAACATCACACGCCAGGGCCTGTTAGGGGGTGAGGGGCTAGGGGAGGGATAGCATTAGGAGAAATATCTAATGTAGACTATGGGTTGATAGGTGCAGCAAACCAGCATGGCACATGTATCCCTATGTAACAAACCTGCATGTTCTGCACATGTATCCCAGAACTTAAAGTATAATAATAAAAAAAAAGCAGTGGAACTAAGAGTTGGTTTTTTGAAAAAATACATAAGATTGATAGACCACTAGCTAGACTAATAAAGAAAAAAGAGAGAAGATCCAAATAAACACAATCAGAAATGACAAAGATGACATTACCACTGACCCCATGGAAGTACAAAAAAAAAAAAAAAACCCTCAGAGTCTATTAGGGACACCTCTATGCACAAGAACTAGAAACCTAGAAGAAATTGATAAATTCCTTGTAACATACAACCTCCCAAGATTGAACCAGGAAGAAACTGAATACCTGAACAGAGCAATAGCAAGTTCTGAAATTGAATTAGTAACAAAAAATCTACCAACAAGAAAATGCCCTGGACCAGCGAGATTCACAGCCAAATTTTATTAGACATATAAATAAGAGGTGGTACCAATCCTACTGAAAATATTCCAAAAATTGAAGAGGAATGATGCTTCCTTAACTCATTTTATGAGGTCAGCATCATTCATAACCAAACCTGGCAGAGACACAATGAAAAAAAAGAAAACTTCAGGCCAATATCCCTAATGAACACAGAAGCAAAAATTCTTAACAAAATACTAGCAAGCTGAATCCAGCAGCACATCAAAAAACTTATCCATCATGATCAAGTAGGCTTCTTTCCTGGGATGCAAGGTTGGTTCACCATACAAAAATAAATAAATGTGATTCACCACATAAACAGAACTAAAAACAAAAAACACATGATAATCTTAATAGACACAGAAAAAGCTTCCAACAGAATTCAACATCCCTTTATGTTAAAAACCTTCAACAAACTAGGCATTGAAGGAACATACCTCAAAAGAATAAGAGCCATCTATGATAAACCTACAGCCACCATCATACTGAACAGGCGAAAGCTGGAAGCATTCCCCTTGAGAACTGGAACAAGACAAGGATGCCCACTCTCACTACTTCTATTCAACATAGTACTAGAAGCCCTTGACAGAGCAATCAGCCAAAAAGAAGGAAATAAAAGGCATCCCAATAGGAAGAGAGGAAGTCAAACTATCTTTGTTCACAGACAATATGATTCTATACATAGAAAATCCCATGGTCTATGCCCAAAGGCTCCAAGAACTGATAAACAACTTCAGTAAAGTTTCAGAATACAAAATAAATGTATAAAAATCAGTAGTATTCTATACACCAATAATGTCCAAGCTGAGAGACAAATCAAGAATGCAATATCAGTCACAATAGCTATAAAAAGAATAAAGTATTTAGGAATACCTAGCAAACAAGGGAGGTGAAAGATCTCTATAGCAAGAATTATAAAACACTGTTGAAAGTAATCAGAGACAACATAAACAAATGGAAAAACATTACATGCTCATGGATAGGAATTATTACTATTGTTAAAATGGCCATACTACTCAAAGCAACGTGCAGATTCAGTGCTATCTGTATCAAACTACCAGTGTAATTTTTCATGGAATTAGAAAAAACTGGCCAGGTTTGGTGGCTTATGCCTGTATTACCAGCATTTTGGGAGATGGAGGCAGGAAGATCACTTGAGCCCAGGAGTTTGAGACCAGCCTGGGCAACATAGGGAGACCTCATCTCTATAAGTAATACAAAATAGTTGACAGGCATGGTGGCATGTACTTGTGGTCCCAGCCACTTGGGAGGCCGAGATGGGAGGATCACTTGAGCCTGGGAGGTCAAGGCTGCAGTAAGCCATGATCATGGCAGCCTGGGCATCAGAGTGAAATCACATCTCAGAAAAAAAGCAAAGGAAAACCTATTCTAAATTTAATATGCAACCCAAAAAGAGCCTGAATAGCCAAAACAATCTTAAGCAAAAAGAATAAAGCTGGAGGCATCACACTACCTGACTTCAAACTATACTACAAGGCTATAATAACAAAACCAGCATCATACTAGTACAAAAAAAAAAGACACGTAAACCAGTGGAACAGGTTAGAGAACCCAGAAATAAAGCCACATACCTACAGGAATCAGATCTTTGACAAAGTCAACACTAACAAGCAATAGGGCAAGGACTCTCTATTCAGTAAATGGAGCTGGGATAACTGGTTAGCCACATGCAAAAGATTGAAACTGGACCCCTTCGTTTCACTATATACAAAAATCAACTCAAGATGGATTAAAGACTTAAATATAAAACCTAAAACTATGAAAATCCCAAGAGAAAACCTAGGACGTATAATTCTGGACATAGCACCTGGCACAGATTTCATGACAAAGACTCCAAAAGCAATTGCAACAAAACCAAATTAGACAATGAGACCTAATTAACCTAAGGAGCTTCTGCACAACAAAATAAACTATCAACAGAGTAAATGGACAACCTAAAGAATATGAGAAAATATTTGCAAATTATACATCCAACAAAGGTCTAATATCCAGAATATATAAGGAACTTAAACAAATCAACAAGTAAAAACAACCTCATTTAAAGATGGGCAAAAGACATGAACAGACACTTTTTTTTTTTTTTGAGATGGAGTCTCACTCTGTCACCCAGGCTGGAGTGGAATGGCTCAATCTCAGCTGACTGCAACCTCTGCCTCCCAGGTTCAAGCAATTCTCCTGCCTCAGCCTCCCGAGTAGCTGGGATTACAGGTGTTTGCCACCATGCCTGGCTAATTTTTGTATTTTTAGTAGAGACAGTGTTTTGCCATGTTGGCCGAGTTGGTCTCGAACTCCTGACCTCAAGCAATCTGCTAGCCTCAGCTTCCTAAAGTGCTGGGATTACAGGTGTGAGCCATCACACCCAGCTTAACAGATACTTCTTAAAAGAAGTGTATACATGTGGCCAATAATCATGGGGAAAATGCTCAGTATCACTATCGTTAGAAAAATGCAAATCAAAACCAAAATGAGATACTATCTGAAGCCATTCAGAATGGCTAGTACTAAAAAGTCAAAAAATAACAGATTTTGGTGAGGTTGCAAAGAAAAGGGAATGCTTATATACTGCTATAATAAGCATTATTATAATGTAATGGGAATGTAAATTAGCTCACTTCCTGTGGAAAGCAGTCCAGAGATATCTCAAAGAACTTAGAACTACCATTCAACCCAGCAATCCCATTACTGGGCATACACTCAAAGGAATATTAATTTTTCTACCATAAAGACACATGCACATGAATTTTTATCACAGCACTTTTTGCAATAGCAGAGACATGGAATCAACCCTGCCCATTAATGGTGAATTGGATAAAGAAAATACGGTATATATACACAATGGAATATTACACAGCCTTAAGAAAGAATGAAATCGTGTCCTTTGCAGCAATATGGATGCAGCTGGAGGCCATTATTCTAAGCAAATTAACACAGGAACAGAAAACCAAATGTCAATGTTCTCACTTATAAGTGGATGCTAAACATTGAGTACACATGGACACAAAGGGGAGAACAAGAGACACCAGGACTTACTTGAGGGTGGAGGGTGGGAGGAGGGTGAAGACTGAAAAACTACCCATTGAGTACTATGCTCACTGCTACCTGGATGATGAAATGATTTGTACACAAAACCACAGGGGCATGCAATTTGCCCATGTAACAAACCTGGACATGTACCCCCAAACCTAAAATAAAAGTTAAAAGAGGAAAAAGAAAGTCTAAGGCCAGCTCAATTTTTCCCCTCATAAAAGACTTGGTCATTTTGCCTGGAGGCCCAGGGTATCCTTTATTTTTCTCTGAAGTTTAGTAACTTTATTAGGATCTTTCTGGGCATTGATGATTGTGGGTCAGTTCTTCCTGGCATAAGGTGGCTCCTTCAATATCTAGATCAAGTTTAATATTTTTTAAAAATGAAAACATATCTAAATTATATTTTAAATTATGTACTTATATTTTAAAAATTTGTTTTGATTCATTTTTTCGGTTTCCTTCTTTGGAGACCAGTTATGCTTTTGTTGGATCTCCACTTTCTGTCATATAATTTCTCTTTAATCCCCATGAACTCTTTATTTCCACTTCATTTCATTTTTGTTCGCATTTCTATCCTCTGTGTCCTGCACTGGGTTTTTCACAATGTATATTTGATCTTGCAACATTTCTCAGTTCATCTGCAATTCTGTGATGATTCCCCCGCTTCATTCTTGAGTGCTATTCATACTTTATCTCCTTTTGCTGCCTCATCTACTCTTACCTGAATTTTGGCATTTCAGCTTTTAAGTATTTCTTCATAGATGAGTGCTTCAATAAGATTAAAAATTTTTAAATTTTATGTTACCTACTTATTCATAATGTTCATCTGTTCCCCAGAAAAATTTTTCTCCACTTTTTATCGCAAAGTTTTTATTGAACAATAGTAACACGACAATAAAAATGATACACATATGAAAGTGAATGAAGATCTGCAGTATAGAAAAGGTGTGTACAAAGAGACCAACGTTCGGGTTATATAGTTCTGTAAAATTTTAGCCATAGCACTTTAATACTGATCAAGCAGACACATAAAAAGGGAAAAAGTTTATTTAATGTTTTTGAAACTTAGACTTCTGACTACCCAGAAACATTTTTATAAAGAGTATTATTCTTCTGTTAATAGATTTTGCTCTTTTGTTATTCTTTCTTAGAATATCTCTGTATGCAGTCTATGCTAATCCCTTTTTTATTATTTATCATTTAAAAGGGCCCAGGATAGCATTTCAGTTTAGTTATTAATTATCACAACTGGAAGTCTTCCTGTAGTCTACTACAATGTCAAACTCCCTCCTGTAAGCATGGCTTATCTGACGTGGCCCACTGCCTCTATTTCTGTGTAATAAGTCAGGGACAGGAGGGACTACTGCCACCAACCAACTCACTCTTGTTTTTGCACATACTGTTCCAGACAAAGGAGAGAACTTTGCATCTTGGGGTGTCACTCACATCCAGGAATAATATTTCTGTTGGCGCTTTGTGAGGACTGCCACTGTTAATTTCTATCTCCCCTGCTTTCACCCCTTCCTCCTTCCTCCTGCATAGCTCCTGCATGTACAAACATTTTGGAATATAGTTCCTAGCTTCACCTAACATGCAGTCTGATTGTTTTTCTTTCTTTCTTTTTTCTTTACTATTTCTTGAAGCTTTCTAGGAGAAGAAGAGAAGGATGAGTTAGGTAGTCATGTCTACGTTGGAAGTCCTGAAGGATTTTGTAGGTAGAAGAGTGTTCTGATCAAAGCTTTGCATTAGTATTATTAGTATTCCTCTAACTGAAATATTGGGAATGGATAGGAACGTGCTCAATAGGAAGGAGGAAGACCCTTCAGAGGCCACTGCAATAAATCAAAGAAAAATCCTGAAGGCCTACTGTTGCTGAGCAAGGAGGAATATGAATAGATCGACATGGGGTTGATATGACAGATATTCTGGAGACAAAAAATGCTCGGAATTGGCAAGCATTTTCTTGGACAAAGGGAGGAATGTGGAGGAGGCTTCGAACCTAGATAATTGAAAAGATGGTGGCTATATGAACAGAAATAGGAAAATCAGGTAGAAATCAGGTTTTGGAGGAAAGATGATTACTTTGTTTATATTATTATTATTATTAATTATTTTTAAGACAGTTAATTTGATTGAATTTGAAGTGCTAAGTGACACCCGAGGGAGTTGTCCAGTAGGCAATCAGAAAAGGGTGAGCAGGGAGGGAAGCCAGGGTTGGAGGCAGACCTAGAGTTATTCATGTAGACGTGATATTTGAAACCATGGGACTTTATAAGTTTGGTGGAAGGTGAAGTGAAGAAATAAGGACATCTAATGAGGAAGACAAAGGAGTGGTCAGAAAGGCAGAATACTCAGGAACTTTGACACCAAGGAAAGGTAAAAATAAATAGAATTTTCATCATACAGTGACAGCCAATTACATGCTGGGCATATTACATGTATGATCTCATTTAATGCTCACAAAAAATCTGTACAGTGAGTATCTTTATTCCCACTTTGCTAATTGGAAAATAGGCTCAGAGAGGCAGAGTAACTCACAGTATCAGGCTTTAAACTGTGGTCTCCCCTCAAAGTAGAAAATAGTTGCCAGAAGAAGTGGATAAGGTCAACACTGTCAAAGTGGCTGAGAGGTTCAGGAAGATGATTATTGGGGTTAGGAGACAATTTGGAATCTTCAGGAGTGTGGAAAGCTGTGTGAATAAGTTTGGTGAGGTAGAAGCTGGGATGTAAGAGTCTGCAGAGTGAGTGAGTGAGTCAAGAATTTAGAGTACCTCTCAGAGTTTGCTGGTTAAGAGGAGAAAGGTTAGATGCTACCTTGCAGGGCTTGGTGGAGAGTAGCCAAGGACTTGTTAGGTCGATGAGGGCCTTGAATGTGCTTACAGCAGAAGGGGGAAAAGCCCTCGGAAAGGGAAACCGTGAAAGTGTAAAAGGAAAGAACATGTACATGATGGATGAGATCCTAGAGAATGGAGGCCAGGGAGGATTTGGGTTTAGCCAAGAAGAGAGGTCTTTAGAGAGAGGAAGAAAAGCAAAGAGGGTGAGTGAAGAAACTAATATTCATGAATGGAAAAGAATGATAGGAAGGGAGCTTGGCTGAGGCTGAATGTTATAAGTAGTAACAGGGGATACCATCTGCTGAAGGTGAGAGGGAATGGAGACATGGAGAGAATAGAGGAATGTGGGCAGTGTATTAGAGGATATGGCTTAAATGATGAGGGAGTTGCGGACCAGAGTCAGGGCCCACTTGAGGTAAGACATCACAAGCATGTCACGGCCCTAGTGATTACATGTTGCAGGAAATAGTTGTTTGGGGATATGGTTTTTTTTTGGTTGTTTCAGTCTTTCTCCCATCAGATTTGACCAACTCCACTTAACTTGGTCAAATCCAAGTGAGAATTCCAAATTATGGGTAACAAAGCCTCTCTAATTTGGCTAAAATTCCTCACAGCTGCAAAAGAGGAAAACAAAACAATACAAAACAAACCCAAAACACTATGCACTTGGTTTCTGAGTTTGCTTCCTGTCTCAAAAAAAAAAAAAAAAAAAAAAACAAACCAAACAAATGTTCTTTCATTTACTTTTCTTTCACCCTATACCTCTTTCCCCTTCACCATCTGCTTTACTAAAAAATCTGGAGAAGGCTTCTAACGACTTGAACTCCTGTAAAGAACTCAGAACAAAGGTGCCACTCACCCCTGTTGGGGTGTTCTGTTTTCTTTGTGGAGTTTCAAGAGTCATGGGTGGATTCTTCTTAGTTCTAAAGTTCTGTTTTCCTATATTGTATGATTTGACCTCTTTGGCTTTGTGGGTACCAGAGATTACCTTGTACTGTGAGGAGATTTGACCTTGGTGTGTGTAATGGCACTGAGAGCTCCAAACTTAGGGGTGGCTAAGCACAGTTTACAGGAGGTGGTCTTGGCTCTTTTTTTTTTTCTTCCTTGGAAGTTGTTGTTTAAGGATCCTAATTATAGTTCAGAGATGTATTCTAAAGCATCTTCTCTATTGCTTTTTCTCCCAAAATTAATCTCAGTTCAGCTTGTCTGTGTGCATTTGTGTGAGGAACTGAACTGTTGTTTTTATAGGTAAATGAGGGACTGAGTTTTCTCAGCCTTGAAGAGAAAGGGCATTTGCTCCTCCCAGCCAAAAGGTGCCCCTGGGTGACTGGGGGCCTTGTGGAAGTGTCTGGTGCGTTGACCTCCCATAATGTGCAGTGGCCCTTATAGGGAAATCCCCAACAAAAAGTTATTTAAAAAAAGGCTTGTCCAGGAAATGCATACAAGGGCTGATCACTTGGTGTTTTGAGCCCTCTCAGAGGTCATGGACCTCTGGAGGGAGAAACTGAGACATATAAGAGGGTGGAAATGATCCAGTGGTGACACACTGTGGAGTCCTGCTCATGAGCAGCACACATCGATCCACCACACAAAACCCCTAGGCCACAGCTCAATTCCTCCTTTTAAGAAAAACAGTGGGAAACAAATAATCTAAGAATGAGGAGTAAACAAGGAGAATGACCCCTTTTTAAGCACTCTGTAGTTTTTTTTTTTTTTGAGGTGGAGTCTCGCTCTGTCACCCAGGCTGGAGTGCAGTGGCGCGATCTTGGCTCACTGCAAGCTCCGCTTCCTGGGTTCACGCCATTCTCCTGCCTCAGCCTCCTGAGTAGCTGGAACTATAGGCACCTGCACCACGCCTGGCTAATTTTTTTTGTATTTTTAGTAGAGATGGGGTTTCACTGTGTTACCCAGGATGGTCTCGATCTCCTGACCTTGTGATCTGCCCACCTTGGCCTCCCAAAGTGCTGGGATTACAGGCGTGAAGCACTCTGTAGGTTTTACGGCACTTCTACCTGCCAGAGTTTATGTAAAATGGAAGTGATGGCCAGTGTGGTGGCTCATGCTTGTAATCCCAGCACTTTGGGAGCCCAGGTTGGGCAGATCACAAGGTCAGGAGTTCGAGACCAGCCTGACCAACATGGTGAAACCCCGTCTCTGCTAAAAATACAAAAATTAGCCAGGTGTGGTGGCTCGTGCCTGTAATCCCTGGTACTCAGGAGGCTGGGGCAGGAGAATCACTTGAACCTGGGAGGCAGAGGTTGCAGTGAGCTGAGATCATGCCCCTAAACTCCAGCCTGGGCGAAAGAGTGAGACTCCGTCTCAAAAAAAAAAAAAAAAAAAAAAAAAGAAAAAGAAAATGAAAATAATATGGCCTTTGTGCATATTCACATTAAGGAAAAAGAGCCCTAAGGTTGACCTGCAAACTATGGAGTTCCTAAGTTCTCTTTTTTCTCTATTTTCTTTTCAGCCTGCTTTAAATCTGCTATTATTTTTCTATTAAGGTAAAAACCACTGTTTGGCTCCAACAGGTTTTTTGTTTGCAAGCCAGTGAATTTGTATTTATCTCATGGCTAAGTTCTAAAGTAAAAGCTATAGGATCTTTGTGTGCGTGATTATATGTGTGTGTGTATATATTTAAAAGGCCTTTATGGTTTCTACAATTTTATGTTTAATTGGCAATTAAATCTGTTTTAATTTCCTTCTAGCACACCAGACTTTTTCTCTTTGTACCTTATGACGTAAATTTTGCTATTTGATTTTCACCTGAGTTGTTTCCTTCAGTATGCAAATTTAAAGCTATGTAGCTGATAACTGCTTAGGTTACTGAAAGAGTTATAATAATTTAAAAGGTTATCAAGAATTTGAAAGTCTAAGGTAGGAAAAAAAGCTCTTTTTGAATCTATAAGATATATTTCTATTGGCATGCCTAATACCTCTATGTATTTATATGTTGCGTACACAACGTTTCACTACTGAAAACATATAAAAGAGCTCTAATTAATTGGCTTAAGAAAATAAAAGTGCTTGAATCAAATACCTTATCAGAAAAAGTAAAGTCTAGTTAAATGCTTTGTCAAGTTTACGTAACTTAAGCAAACTGTTTAATAAATAACCTAGCTTTAAAATTATTGGTAAGGTAATATTAGAAATGTCTTAAGAATTGACAGCATACATTTTTGTTTGCATTTATTAATCAAGCAATTTTATACTAATTCCTGCCAAGTACTATAAAGTGTCAACATTTGGCATAGGGGTTAAAAAACTATAAACCCAGCCCAAGACAGAATGATCTTTGTTTATGTAATGTTTAATAAATAAGATACTCATATTGGTTTAATGGAAACAACTACATCTTGAATTTAGTAAGATTACCATAACTTCTAATCTTGTGGCTTTAGGCGGTCTAGTCCACAGGCAGTAAGATTTGTTTTGGGAAAAGACTGTTACCATCTTTGTTTCAAAGCTAAACTATAACTTCCTTCCAAAGTTGTTAATAGTTTGGCCTATGCCCAGGAATGAATGAGAACAGCTTGGAGGTTAGAAGCCAGATGGAGTCAGTTAATCAGATCTTTTTCACTGTCTCAGTTATAATTTTGCAGTGGCAGTCCATAACTGTAAATGATGACTATTGAAATTTTCATAAATAATCTAGGTAAACAAAATAAAATAATTAGGCAAATGTAATGGGATAAGCACTTGTAGACAAACTCATTGTAATTTAGAATCTAAAGTTGTATTAAATTAAATAATAGATATTTCATTATTTGGGTATTTTCCAATGAAAATAAATTGTAGGAAAACATTCTTTCTAAAAAAATGTGTGTCCTTTCTAAAAAGGTGAACAATTTTTGTATCATTCAAAGCTTATTTAAAGGTTATGTATAAAACAAGGTAAAATGAACCAGGAAATAAGAGAGATGTAAAGAAAGTTATAAAAAAAAGTGTTTTTTTTTTGGTAAGAAATCTTAAAAAGAAATATTTTATGTAAGAAAGAATCTTACATGGTAAATGTAGTCCTAGAATAAAATGACTGGTTGTTTAAGAAAGAGGGACGTTCAGGACAAACCAGGAAGTCCAAGAATATCATGAACAATCTGTATAAGTCACAATAAGAGGATTTATATACATAAAAAACCCAAAAAACTTTTATATGATTAAGTAGTTTGTAATTAAAGGGAAATTATAATGGTCTTTCTACACATTGGGCTTGAGGTAAAAAAAAAAAAAAAAAAAAGCTTGTACACCACTAAATAATTGGTTAGAACAATGAAATTTTCTTAAGGAATGTATTTACTCTTAAATTGTAAGTTTTTTTTTTAACCAAAGTTCAACTTTTATTGCATCTCACTATTTTTGCTTTTTTCTCCCCTTTTAAAGGCCACGAAATACTAACAACTCATTTTCAGCTCATATAAGTTGTTTTTCCTTGGGTTCTGTTTGTTGTGGCCTGATGCTAACAATGTTTTCTTAAAGGTCTAAAGGAAATGTTTTCTTCCAATATAATATTTGGTACACTGTAGAAGGTCTTTTCTTTTGCCTTTTGGTAACTGGCCTAACTGGCCTAACAGATTTTATGGTTTATTGAAACAATTCCTATGCCATTATTATTAAGTTTAGTTTGCACAGGAAAAAATCTGAGATTAAAAAATTTTTTTTAAATTAAGATTATTACACCTGTGTATCTTTCTGTATGTGCTTTTAAAGTGCTTTGACATTGAGTTACAGGGCTTTTACTCCTGAGTCTAAAAAGGACAGCAATTCCTGCTAAATCTTAAACACTGACAGCAATTAATCTCACATCTTCGGGTCTGGTAGAAGACGCCGATCAAAGTAAACTGCATTCTGGAGACACAGGGCCAGAAATTAAAGCTATTCAATCCTCAAGGCCCAGGGACTATTGCAGAAGAGGTGAGTGTGTGATTGTAAGGGCCAATTTTGAGAGAGAAAATAAATTCAGTTTCTATAAATTAATCATCAATGTCAAAGGCACACTGATGCAAGACCAGCCTATGGGCCCCTATATCAGATTAACAAGGTTTTCTTGAAGCATTAACTGACTCCCTAATAAAGGTTATAAAAGGCTTATGGAAGTTATATCTTATGGTTAAGATTGCAATTTTATAGATTGTTTATAAAATTTTGAAAAACAAATTTAATTAGCTTCATGCTGTTTTATTAGGGCTTATTGTTTGGAAAATTAAGTCTCCTGTCCCAAAGAATGAAGGTTATAACCTGTTCTTTTTTGAAATCCTTGAGTTATCACTTTGGTCAAATGAGTGACTTATTTTACAATGACCTGTGATATCAAGTGTTTTAAACCTTTGATATTTGACAAACTTTCCAAAATCAAATTACAAATTATGTATTTTTCTGACCTAATTAATCCTCTAAGATATTAGGTTCCCTAAAGTCCAAAAATGACATAATTTGGCTTATTTGGTATAAAAATTATACAGGAAGCATTGTCAAATATGAAATGGTGTTTGGTTTTCTTTGGGCTGTGATTGTATAAATATGTTATTGGTATGTGTTTCAAAATTATGAGAAACTTCTATAATTATGATATGACTTAGTGTATGTTATTAGTAATAATTATAATCGTTATGTTAAATTTTTGTATACTACAGAGGTAACAAATTTCCTTGTCAATTGTGTCTTTGACTATGGCTGCCCTAAAACTTTTTGTCATCCATGGACAATTGTTGTCTTGTTTTTGTCCTCTTTAGAAAGTGGTTTTATAATCAGCTATAAAACTCTAACAGGTGCTTCTGAACACAGGTTTCTGATAACTTTGGAGATTGTGACATCAGAATAGGGAAAAAACTTTCAGGACTCATGGAGAGCTGAAATGTTCATGAATATCAAGCAGAACAGGAATTAACAGCATGGACTGAACTAACAGAAGATTGAAGTAATCTTTTTGACTTTTGGTTTAAAATGTTGCTGATCATTTGTTTTTTTGTCAGAGTCAAGAAAACTTTTCTTTTGAGTTATTGACAGCTTTTAAGAAGTTAGTATACTCCTATGAACAAAATTTGGAGCATATTTTTTTCTCTCTACCTGATTTCTCCAGAATTTGGAAACTATTTGTGAGTAGTCTTAACTTATGGCAATACAGGTATTTGAATAAGTCTAATAAGAAGCTGTTTTCCTTTGTAATAGGACACAACTGGAGAACCTGGTTATTTTACCAAGACTTTGACTGGAATGGTGTGCTTTCCTTTAAGGAACTGAACTTGACTTATGGAGCCAATAAAAGCCCCTTGGGAAAACTGGCCTCATACCTTGTTTACACAGTCCTTGTACAGGGTTCCTGACCGGTGGTAAGTAAAGAATCTCACTTTCTGACAGGCCCAGGAGCCCCAAGTTTTATGTTGGGACCTCAAGAGGAGAGGAATTGACCCAACTCATAGGTATTTGATGGTACAAATCCATGGCTGGGTTGGGTTTTTACAAAGTCTTATCTGAGATTCCTTCTATGGAACAAAGTTCCATTAAAGCCAATATAAAAGCCTATGTAAAAAATAATTATTCTTGCAGCACTGTATACAAATAACTGGGCCAAGTATAATAAAGCAAATCTGTCCTACCATGATGTGTCTTTAGTAAAAATAGGAAACTGGAGAAAAATTATGTTTCAAAAACTATAGTATACCTGTTGTTAGATTCTAGTCTTGTCTAATGTTTTTCAATTTTTATTATTTTCTACAATTTGGACTGAATTCTAATTTTTCTTGGCTACAAGTCTTCAAAATAATGTTAATATTTTTTCCTTTTTTTCCTCACTTTTCTTAATTTGGAGTCACAAAAACTAAGCTGTGCTTTCATAAAGCCCTGTGAACTGAAGCTAGACAACTTAAACTTCAGAAGAAAATAATGGTAACCTATTTACATACATAAGCCACTTTCATACCTGCCTACTGATGGATCGACTTCACAGTAATGTGGCCTATATTGATTTTCCAAGATTGTTCTTTTGTCTGTTGTTGTTTTTCTCCCTTCTCCCCCTATTTTCTCTTCATAGGACATGAGACTTAACAACCTGCTAAAAATGAGCTTTCCTAACAACTTGGGACCTACCTGTCTAGGAATAAACCATTATAGCCATGACAGATCAGATGAAACCTGAGATCAGAGACTCATTTTCTTCTAAAATGCTTTCTCCAAAAGATTTTAAAAAAGAAAAGGGGGAGTATGTCAAAGGAAAATCAGTCTTGGGGCCTCCAAATCACTGAGCTAAAGGGAAAAGTCAAACTGGGAACTGTTTAGGACCAACTTGCCTCCCATTCTATTCAAAGACACCCCTCTGCTTACTGAGATAAATGCATATCTGATTACCTCCTTTGGAGAGGCTAATCAGAAACTCAAAAGAATGCAACCGTTTGTCTCTTATCTACCTATGACCTAGAAGCCCCCTCTCTGCTTCGAGTTGTCCTGCCTCTGCTTCAAGTTGTCCTGACTTCCTGGACCAAACCAATTTTCATCCTACATATGTTGACTGATGTTTCATGTCTCCCTAAAATGTATAAAACCAAACTGTGCTCTGACCATAACTCCTCAGAACTTGCTAAGACTGTGTCATGGGCACACAACCTCAACTTTGGCAAGATAAACTTTCTAAATTAGCTGAGACCTGTCTCAGATATTTGGGGTTCATGAAGGCTACTATGAACATCTTTACACACACAAACTAGAAAATCTATAAGAAGTGAATACATTCCTGAAAATATACAACCCTCCTAGATTAATTCAGGAAGAAATAGAAACCCTGAAAAGACAAATAACAAGCAGCAAGATTGAATAAGTATTAAAAAATGCCAACAAAAATGTCCAGGACTAGATGGATTTACAGCTGAATTCCACCAGACATTCAAAGAAGAATTGGTACCAATCCTACTGAAACTATTCCAAATGATAGAGAAAGAGGGAATCTTCCCTACATCATTCGATGAGGCCAGCATCACCCTAATACCAAGACCAGCAAAGGACATGTCAAAAAAAGAAAACTACAGACCGATATTCCTGATGAACACAGATGCAAAAATCCTCAACAAAATACTAGTGAACTAAATCCAACAGCATATCACAAAGATAATGCATCATGATCAAGTGGTTTCATACCAGGAATGCAGGAATGGTTTAACATATGCAAGTCAAGTCAATAAGTGTGATATATTACATAAACAGAATTAAAAACAAAAACCATATGATCATCTCAATAGATGCAGAAAAATAATTTGATAAAATCTAGCATGACTTTTTGAAAAAAACCCTCAACAAAACAGGCATAGAAGGGACTTACTTTAAAGTAATAAAAGCCATATCTGACAAACCCACAGCCAATGTCACACTAAACTGGGAAAAGTTGAAAGCATTCTCCCTGAGAACAGGAACAAGACAAGGATGCTGACTTTCACCACTTCTATTCAACTTAGTACTGGAAGTCCTAACCAGAGCAATCAGACAAGAGAAAGAAATGAAAGGAATCCAAATCAGAAAAAAGGATGTCAAACCATCGCTGTTCACAGATTATATGATTGTATAGCTAGAAAACCCTAAAGACTCATCCAAAAAGCTCCTAGATCCAATAAACAAATTCAGTAAAGTCTCAGGATACAAAATCAATGTACAAAAATCAGTAACACTGGAATACACCAAAAATGACCAAGCTGAGAATCAAATCAAGAACAACAGCTGCAATAAAAAGAAAACCTTAGGAATACACTTAACTAAGGAGGTGAAAGATCTCTACCAAAAAAACCCTACAAAACACTGCTGAAAGAAAGATAAGTGAAATAAACAAATGGAAATAAGTTCCATGGCCATAGATGGGAAGAATCAACATTGTGAAAATGACTGTACTGCTCAAAGCAATCTACAGATTCAATGCAATTCCCATCAAAATACCATAATTCTTCACAGAACTAGAAAAAACAATCCTAAATTCATATGGAAGCAAAAAAGATCCCACATAGCCAAAGAAATACTAAGCTGAAAGTACAAATATAAAGGCTTCACATTACCCAACTTCAAGTTATACTACAAGGTTACAGTTATCAAAACCGCGGGGTACTGGTATAAAAATAGGCACATAGACCAATGGAACAGAAATAGAGAACCTAGAAATAAAGCCAAATACTTGGAGCCAACTGATCTTTGACAAGGCATACAAAAACATACATTGGGAAAAGGACACCCTATTCAATAAATGGTGCTGGGAAAACTGGCAAGCCACATGTAGAGGAATAAAACTGGATCTCCATCTGTCACCTTATACAAAAATCAACTCAAGATGAATCAAAGAGTTAAATCTAAGATCTGAAATCATAAAAATTCTAGAAGATAACATCAAAAATACTCTTCTGGACATTGGCTTAGGCAAAGAATTCATAATTAAGTACCCAAAAGCAAATGCAACAAAACAAAAATAAATTGCTTCTTCATAGCAAAAGAAATTACAGAGTAAACAGACAACCCACAGAGCGGGAGAAAATATTCACAAACTATGCATCCAACAAAGGTCTAGAATCCAGAACCTACAAGGAACTCAAATCAGCAAGAAAAAAACAAATAATCCCATGAAAAAGTGGGCAAAGGTCATGAACAGACACTTCTCAAAAGAAGATATACAAATGGCCAACAAACACATGAAAAACTGTTCAACATCACTAATTCTCATGGAAATGCAAATCAAAACCACAGTGAGACACCAGCTTACTCCTGCAAGAATGGCCATAATTAAAATGTCAAAGAACAATAGATGTTGGTGTGGATGTGGTGAAAGGAAACACTTTTACACTGCTGATGG
Source organism: Homo sapiens (assembly GCF_000001405.40). NCBI lineage: Eukaryota > Metazoa > Chordata > Mammalia > Primates > Hominidae > Homo > Homo sapiens. The sequence continues at coordinate 70,662,793 of NC_000009.12, forward strand.
GAATATAAATTAGTACAACCACTACAGAAAACAGTATGTGGATTCCTTAAAGAACTAAAAGTAGATCTACCATTTAGTCCAGCAATCCTGCTACTGGGTATCTAGGAAAGGAAAATAAGTCATTACATAAAAAAGACAGCTACATGCATATATTTATTACAGCACAATTCGCAATGGCAAAGATATGGAAGCAACATAAGCGCCCATCAATTAATCAGTGAGTAAAGAAAATGCAGTATATACACACCACGGAATATTACTCAGCCATAAAAAGGAATGAAATATTGTCTTTTGCAGCAGCTTGGGTGGAGCTGGAGGCTATTATTCTAAGTGAAGTAACTCAGGAATGGAAAACCGAATATTGTATGTTCTCACTCATAAGGGGAACTAAACTATGAGGATGTGAAGGCATACGAATGATATAATGTATGTTGGGGATTCAGAGAGGAAGGTTGGGAGTGGGGTGAGGGATAAAAGACTACATATTGGATACAGTGTATACTGCTCAGGTGACGGGTGCATTAAAATCTCAGAAATCAACACTAAAGAACTTATCCATGTTCAACCCAAACCACCCATACTCCAAAAACTATTGAAATAAAATTAATTAAAAAATAACTACTGAGTGTTCAAAAATTATGAATGAGCAAGTGAATGAATGTCTCACCATACCCTCACTATAGTGGTTATAATAATTTATCAGATCTTTGACATTATATTGTTATTATTTTCCTTTTCATTGCCACTATTTCCCCTGAATCCAGGAGTCTCTTTCATTTGAGCCTTTTTCATATTTTATTTGTAATTTATATTATGGTCTCTACTTCTACCATATTTTAAGATTGTTTTACACATCTTTAAGACTTTGTAGCACTTAAGTTAATGATTTGTACACAGTAGGTGTGCCAGGGATTAGGTAATTTATCTCTGGTATTAGGATGGATACACCCTGGCTTCTTGGAGAACTGAATAAGATCTAAGCCAAATGGCAGCTATCTGACGCAATTCTGATCTGTGTCTGGTTACCCTTTACTGGATAGCAGTTGAGTGGCAAGTAAAAATGTGGGCCATGACACCTTCTTTGGGTGAAAGAGAAAGAGCACTGATTTTATTTATTATTTGTAGGAGCTGGAGAAAATTACTTAACCTCTCCAAGACTTAGTTTCTTCATGAATAAAATGATGTCAATAATATCTTCTTCAAAGGATCACTTTGAAGATTAAATAGATAATATTATGTTATTAAGGCACTGTACAAATATTTTTAGTGTTTTACATATTTCCAACAATAAATTTACCAAATTAATAAGTTAATAGACTTAGCAGGTAAATAATGCCACTGCCATGCAGACACTCCTGGATGGAGAAGAGTTACCAGCCAGGTTATTAGTTTGATTTCTGCTATAGTTAATGAGAATATTTAGGTATCATTGAATTTTCATAAAAAGATGCTCTCTACTAAATCCCTAATTTTTCAGAATTAAGTACAGATAGCCCTAAATTACCCAGGGCTTGTACACATAGAATTGCTGATCAGTATTAGAAATTGTTCTCTGGCAGAAATCAGGGAGTCATCCAAATGCTACCTTCTATTGAGGCTTTCTTTTCAGACACTTCCCTAAGTGAGTTTAAGCTTGTAAAGGCTAAGATATAAACAAGAGGATGTAAATTTATTGCAGTGCAAGAGTCTTAATCTAGATACAGGTGCTCTATTTAGATTTTAAGAATGTGATTGCTTTGATGGAACTTAACTTGAGAGAATTTGTTGTGTGTTTATCCCCAGGTAGCCTGGGCCATGGACATGGGGGATTCTCCATGAGAGCCACAACCACACCCGATTAGGAGAGTAGTTTTTTTTTTTTTTTTTTTTTTTTTTTGAGACTGAGTCTCACTCTGTTGCCTAGGCTGGAGTGCAGTGGCATGATCTTGGCTCACTGCAGCCTTTGCCTCCCAGGTTTAAGTGATTCTCATGCCTCAGTCTCCCAAGTAGCTGGGATTACAGGAGCACACCACCACCCCCGGCTAATCTTTGCATTTTTAGTAGACATGGGTTTCACCATGTTGGCCAGGCTGGTCTACAACTCCTGACCTCAAGTGATCCACCCCCCTCAGCCTCCCAAAGTGCTGGGATTACAGGCGTGAGCCACCACACCGGCCTAGGAACGTACCTCTCACGCCCTCCCAGGGCTGCCTGGTCTAACAGGACATCACTCTGGATTCTCCAGTGGCACCTGACACAGGCTGCTGATAGAATTGTAGCACCTGTCCTGACAGGTCAGGGCTGGCTGACAGCGCCTCAGAAACTAAAGGCCACTTCTCTTCTGAGGATTGCACCCTGCCTGGAGTGGGAGCTGAACTCTTCCTCTTCCCGGGTCTAGGGATGGCAGGAGGTGGTAATTCAGCATTGTTTGTTTTTTTCCTCTTACCTATTGAGTGTGCATTTCCTGTGTAAGATCTCACTCACTCTGAAGAACTGTTCTTAGTTTCATTTTCAGAGCTAGGGTATTAGACTTTGAAGAATCGAAGCTATATAGAAACCTCACAAAGTCAGATAATTAAATATGTCTGTCTCCTTGGTGATCTTGGCCAGGATTTTCTGCAGTAAATATTGCCACTATATTCTCATGTGCAAGCAGAAAGGACCACTGAAACTATATGGCCTTACGATGAATAACATTGGAAAGCACCAGGGTATTTGCTTCATTTTGTCAACCTATCCAAATAGACACGTTCTCTTTATTGTGCCCTCTGCCATAAAGTCAGTCAGTACTTCGCAGGTGTCCCATGAACGTGTTAACAGAGAACTTCATGAGTGTGTCTGTTTTATACACAATATGCAAAGCTGAGAAACATGTTACTAATATAAAACTGAGGGAGTAAAAGAAAAACCATTCAATTGGGCTATTCTGCTTACTTATGACAAAAAGGAATTCATTTACACAGCTGGATATATAAAAATACCTGCATTCCCCATATTTTTATTTTTGAGCAGGAGTCTATGGAAACCTATGTCCTGAAGTTCTGGTGTATTTTCTGGAATTATTGCAATTAATGATTTTCAACCTTCTGTTCCCTTTTTCTTTTACTCATTCTGTCTCTTTGAGTTCTGGGAAATTCAGGAACCATATATGCTTCATTTTTACTAAAGTTATACATGCACAGAGTTGAGAGTCATCTATTCCCGCAAGATTTGGTGTAAAAATTACAAGCCTCAATGCCCCATTCCTCTTTCCACAGAGGCAACCAGAGGATTAGACTGGTTCTTTCTGCTAGTTGGTCTTTGAAGATGGCTTCCAAGGAACCGTAGCTCCCAGTGTTCATACTCTTGTGACATCTCCTCTCATGCAGAATCTGGGCTGGCCTGGTGGCTGGCTGTAGCCAATAGAATGCAGCAGGGTGACATGACGGCAGTTCCAGGCAGAAGCCTTAGCAAGGTCTGCCAGCTCTTGCTTTTGCCTCCTAAGCTCCTGGGGGCAGAACTATCACCTTGGGTCTCCCTTCTTCACGATCCAGGGAATTTCCAACTCCTCTGTTTTGTGTGGAAGCTCCTATTTCTTGTGTTTTGTGTTCTGTATTTGTTTATTATTTTTTGGTTTCCTCTTTCATTTTGGTAGAGCACATCCTCCAGTAGTTTCTGAAGAAAAACATCTGCAGAAAGTGGTTTTTCCAGGCACCTAATGCCTGCCAATATCTTTATTTTACCATCACAAGTGATCAGTAGATTAGATATAGGCCTAGATTGAAAATACATGTCTTCAGAATTTTTAAGGCATTGCAAAGTTGTATAATAGCTTTCTGCATTGTTGTTTGGAAGTCCAAAGCATTCTAGCTCCTAGTTCTTTGCATGTGGCCCACTTTTTCTCTTTAGAAGCTCTCACTTTCTCTCTTTTCCCCTGTTCTCTTGCTCCTGTGTTCCTCTATATTATGATAGTATGACTTGGTATAGGATTATTTTCACTCAGTAGTTTCTTACAACCTGAAAATGTATGTTCTGGAGTTCTGGGACATTTTCTGGAATTATTGCATTGTTTTTTTATCCACCATTCTCTCTTTTATTCTTCCTGTCTCTACTTTCTGGAAGAGTATTTCAATTTTATGTTTTAATTATTCCCTTAATTTTGTATTAATGCTATCCTATTTTTAATCCCCCAAAACTCTTTCTAGTTCTTAAAACAATTGAGTGTTTTATAGGATGTTGTTCTTTTTTTAATGGTTAAAACATTTTCTTTGATTTCTCTGAGGCTATTAAAGACAGTATTGGTGAATTTCCTTCTCCCTACATAGCTCTGTTTGCTCCACACTGCATCTCGCTGTTTATCTCTCTCTCTCTCTTCTGTGTTAGAGGTCTTTCCTATGTGTTTGGCAATCCTTGGTTAACTGTTCATATTTAAGAGTGGGCATAAGAGTGCTGACTGGAAGCCCCCGAGAACATAAGTGGAAATGATCAACTGTGAACTTAATGGTTAGATAAACTGGTTGGGCTTCTTATCTGGGAAATCTTTTGTGTGAGTGTCTTTAGGTCTTATTTCTTGGGAAGATCAAAATTTACAGAAAAGGCTCCTTCCAGTCTTTTGCCTGGAGGATAAAGACCAAGCTGCCAGCACACTGGGAACCAAGTTGGGGAAGAGGGCTGAGGTCTCAGCATCTAATATGCATTAATTGATTTCATCTCCTTCCCCTTGCATGGCCCTCTTTCAGTGTTGTGGCCCAGGTCTCACTTTGTACCTGGTTCCCCTAGACCAGAAAATCTGTTTTACTCTCACTAGAGAATAAATATTTACCTTTTGATTGGAGTGTGCTTTGCAGAGTAGAGGAGAGGATATGGCATTCTGTCTGCTTCTTAAAAAATACAATAAATCTTTTATATTTTCTCTCTCTTCACTCTCCCTTTTTGTTTCTGGATGCCCCAATTCCTGGGCCTTTTGAGCATTTTAAAATGTAAGTCAGTTTGATATCAGCTTAATATTCAGGTTTGTTTTCTGGTCTGCTGTTCTCCATTCTTATCTGCTTCTCATCTTCCATGTTAGAAATGCCACACATCACTTCTGATCACATCCCATTGGTTGAAGCACACTCACATGGCCCCAACTTCTCTGCAAAGGAGGCTAGGATAGTTAGTCTTCCAGTGTATAATAAGAGAAACCAGTGTGGTGAGCATGAAATATGGTTTCTGCCCTAATCCTTTTAATATAAAACTGGTCATGCTTGTTTGGAGGGGTCCAGAAGAGAATGATAGTAGATTCTTGTGTTTAGTGGACTATATTTATCTGGTACTTTGTCTGTATTATTTCATGCATCAAGAAAAGTTTAGTCATCATTGACTGTCCCAAACATGTCAAACATGGGGGTGGTCCTTAACAGTCGATCATGGCCATCGATGCTCAGAATGCAGAGCAAGTGTCCTGGACTCAGACAAACTGGGTTCACGTATAGATTCCATGAACTTCTAGCATGTGACCTTGGCCAAGATACTTAGCCTCTCCATACCTCAGTTTCCTCAATTGTAAGATGGATGATACTGCTAGTACCTGCCCCATTGTGGTACTTGTGAGGATTAAAGTAGTTAATATTTAGAAACATAGTAACTTCTGGGCCGGGCGCGGTGGCTCACGCCTGTAATCCCAGCACTTTGGGAGGCCGAGGCGGGCGGATCACGAGGTCAGGAGATCGAGACCATCCTGGCTAACACAGTGAAACCCCGTCTCTACTAAAAAATACAAAAAATTAGCTGGGCGTGGTGGCGGGCGCCCGTAGTCCCAGCTACGCGGGAGGCTGAGGCAGGAGAATGGTGTGAACCCGGGAGGCGGAGCTTCCAGTGAGCCGAGATCGCGCCACTGCACTCCAGCCTGGGCGACAGAGCGAGACTCCGTCTCAAAAAAAGAAAAAAAAAAAAAAAAAAAAAAAAAGAAACATAGTAACTTCTATATTAGTTGTTATTGTTGTATGTTAGATTTACTGTTATATCTATTTTTTCATGCTTAGCCAGGAGGAACATACTTTTATTATTAATGTAAGCTACTTATTTCAGAATTGTGCTGCTATCAATTTCTGTGATTATGTAATGCAGACTAGGCAGCAACTGATTTAATGAATGAAGCTGATTCATTGCCCTGAAGCAAGCCAAGAAAGAAAAGTATGATTCCATAGCCCTGCTGGGAAGTCGGCAGTGATGAGTTCCTCACAAGCCAAGAGGAGCTCAGAAGCGTTGGGATGGCAATTAGCTTACTGTGCAGATCACTAAACACAATGAGCTCTGATTCTGTGCCAGTTCTGAGGCACGAGAAAGTCACAGAGCACAAGGATGCCCAGCTTCTGTGTAACTAGGGGCTGGGGGTGACCACAGCTGCCATCAGAACTGGCTGCATGGCGCAGGGGAAAAAATAATTGACCTGGGTGTCTGAAGACCTGGATTCCAGTTCTTCCTTCAAACATCAGCAGACACCTCTCAGTTCCCTAAATGCGTATAACTCTATTCAGCTTTCAGATTTCACAGTGAGACAATATTATGGATATGGTCATAATCCCGAAAAATCTTCTAGGAATGTCCTAAGACTTGAGACTGGTGAACCCTGGTGTTCTTGGTCTTTGCAAGGACTTAAGTCTACATGTTACAGCTTTTCTCCTGGTTATGACCCTGAAACAAAGAACACCATGCTGTCATCTTCTGAGGAGAGATGGGAGTCCAGGCCCCATTCTCTCACTTACTACCTATATTAAAGAAGCTGAAGAAAGCTGAAGAAACCACTCTCTCCTGTGAAATGCCATTGGAACTCTGCTTAGGAAGAGGACTAACTTTGCAAAAATATCCTGCAAACCTGCTTATAATAGATGAACCTTGAGGGCAGGGGTCAAAATATCAGAGGACAGGGATGAACTAGAACTACTCTGTCTGAAAAGAGAAGAGGTGGTTTCATTTTTCTTTTTCTTTTCTTTTCTTTCTTTCTTTCTTTCTTTTCTTTTTTTTTTTTTTGAGACAGCATCTCCCTTTGTTGCCCAAGCTGGAATGCAGTGGTGTGATCACTGTGGGCTCAACCTCTTGGGCTCAAGCGATCCTTTCATGTCAGCCTCCTGAGTAGCTGGGACTACAGGTATGCACCACTATGCCTGGATATTTAAAAAAATTTTTGTAGACATGGCATATCACCATGTTTCCCAGGCTGGTCTCAAAATGCTTGGCTCAAGCTATCTTCCTGCTTTGGCCTCCCAAAGTGCTAAGATTACAGGTGTGAGCCACTGTGCCAGCCTGTTTAACTCTTAAGGGGAGGTGACTAATGGGAGAAGGAGTGGTGGTGGTGGTGGGGTGTGAGATAGTATGATACTGCGAAAGTCACAGGTGAAATTTCTCTGGAAATTTCTGTTGGAAGATGGGGTTTGATCATACCTACCAGTTTGCCTGGACATTCTGATTCATTCCAGGTGTTCTGGCATAATTATTAATACTGCCAACTTTCATGCCGAAGAAAGTGCCAGTTTGGAGGTAAATTATCTGGTAACCATTCCGCAGGGTTGTGAAAATTAATGATAAAACTTGTATAAACATGCTCTGTGAATTATAAAGCACTGTACAAATAAAAGGAATTAAGGGACTTAAGTTCTTTTATTGAATTCTCCTGTTAGAGACAAACAAATATGTCTAAAATTGTTATCTACTTTGGTCTGTTATTGGACTGAGATCTGTTTGGATTTCCATGAAAATAAACCTGCAAGAAAATTAATTTTATTTTAAGGTAGCTTAGCATGTGCTTAACCACTTTCTAGATTCAATTCCTTTCAGTGGTCTGTTCTGGATTCTCACATGTATGCTAGAGGTTTTCTGCTGTTTTTGTTTTTTTCAAATTTATGAGTCCTTTCAAATCTGGCATTTTACAGTTTTGATGGATTTTGAATATGGGGGATATCCTAATGCCCTAGGAATTTTTAAAACCCGTTTCAGAAGGGAAAGAGTATAAAACGATTATGTGTTAAGTATTTACCATAAAGAAGGCAGAGTAGAGTGTCCGCCCTTAAAGAGCTAGCAATAACCATGTCATGTGTCCCTTATATCAAACCATATGGGAGAGGTTTAATTGATTTCCCTTTTCACATGGAAGGGAATTGAGGCACACAGAGGTTAGATAACTTTGTTTACTGGCTACAGCCAGTAAAGAATTAGGATTTAAGGACATCTAATCTGAGCCAAAACCTGTTGATCATCCATTCAGAAGTTACAAATATATATTGAATTCCGACTCTATGCCAGGCACTGTGTATATGAGTACACTGTGGTAAGTAAAACAGGTGTGGTCCTTATTTCTAGTTTGGTGTCATCATTATCAATCAGGCCATCATCTATTAAATAGATATCCCAGATGTTTTGTTAAGTGCTTTGCTTGCATTATCAATTAAAATTGTTACAACTGTGTATTATTATTATTATTTCTATCTTATAGATGGGGAGACTGTGGCTCAATGAGGTCAAACAATTTGCAGTCAGGGAGTAGGGATGCTTTGAATATGGCCATCATCTCACTGGCTCACTGTGGTAAGTACCACATGCAGGGACTGTGGGTAGGAGTGGGAGCTGGGCTGAGAGGAGCCTAGTGGGGAAAGCCTGGAGCAACCTGACCCTTATGGAATCATTTTTAAAATAAGGAATAGGCTTTGGTCTTGGAAAAAAAGTGTTAAAAATGTAATCTCTTCACAAATTCTTGTCAAAAATAATGAAGTACAAAACCATTAAAATTAAAAAAGGTAACAGTGATTATTATAATAAACATTATATGGTAAGTAATGGTAGGTAATAAGTGATATATTTAGGTTTACTTGAAGTAAACTTTATGAGTATGACTTGAGAGAATGTCTGAACCCTGATTAGTATTCACTTGACCTAGTTCCAGTTTTTATCTGCTGAATGAAGAATGTATCCCTGGAACATAGATTTATAGGTGCTTGCATTTGAGGCAAATTTGACATACTTTGCCCCTCAGTAGTTTTATTTATTTATTCATTTTTGAGACAGAGTCTCACTCTGTTGCCCAGGCTGGAGTGCAGTGGCATGATCTCAGCTCATTGCATCCTCCGTTACCCACTTCAAGCGTTTCTCCTGCCTCAGCCTCCCCAGTAGCTGGGATTACAGGCATGTGCCACCATGTCCAGCTAATTTTTTTTTTTTTTTTTTAAGTAGAGACAGGGTTTCACCATGTTGGCCAGGCTGGTCTTGAACTCCTGACCTCAAATGATCTGCCTGCCTCGGCCTCCCAAAAGTACTCCTTTTAATATAATTGTAGAGATGTGTATTTCTTTTAGTTGCTTTTAGTCTTACCAGCATCCTTTCTTTCCCCCTCTCCTGGTTTTAGAACCTCTGTTTTCTTTGGGAACCAAAAACCCTGACATGAATACAGCTAACCCCATCTCTCATTCCACAGTCATAGGGATTCTCTCAATTCCCCTGCCACAGTGATGAATTCAGGGATGGGCATGGATCCAAGATGAGCAAATTCAAGTACTCCCGGGACCTTTCTGTTGCAGTTATCAGGAAAGATGTTTCCTTCTGATTGGGGTTTTCTCAGTTAGCTGGGCATGAGTCTGGTACTGCTCATGATCACTCTGTCTAACCTATGTACAGATTAGTGTCCAAGAGATACAGGACAGACTCTGATGACATCATTTGAGCCCTGGATGCCACTTTGCCTGAATTCAGTTTATCTTTAAACTTTGGTCATGTGAACTTACAAATCTGTTTTATTTGTTTTTGCTGGAGCTTCTTCAAATTGTGTTTCTGTTACTTGTAACTAAAACAATTCCCAGTTTCAGCAATATTCCACTGATGCTCTAACAATTTAAAAATAAAACAAGTATGAGATCACCCTTATTCTTGCCATTATATTAGATAAAACTGTGGGCATCCTAGTTTCTTCACTAAAATATTGGTTTTCTTTTTTTTTCCATTTCTTCCTTAAGTTCTGGTGCATTCAGGGTGGTACTCGTGTCTGAATAATTACTAGTTGTACTTTTGTAGGGGGAGTGATGCCAGGAGGACTTCTGTTCCACCATCTTGCTGATGTTACTCTCCCTCACTAAAACATTGTGTGTGCAACTAGGGTCATCTGGGCAGCTGGTAAGTGTGCCGAGAATTTTAGGAAGTAGACATCCAGATCTGTTAATTAGTCGAGATCCCCCAGAAGCACAGGTGCAAACACCTGTGCACCTGTGGCTTTGTAAAGCCAGGGAATCTTGTATCTTCCAAAGCCTAATGTATGCAATGTAAAGAAAAGTGGGTAGAAGTGAAGAGACATGGGTTTAAGCTTTGGCTCTGCCACTAACTTGACAAACTATCTTGAGTATCTTTCACACTCTTTGGTTTCAATTTCCTAGTCTGTAAAATGCATGGAGTAGCAAGGGGGAAAGTGGATATTTGGCTTCCAGGTGGTTTTGGGATGAGGTAGTAATAAGAGGCACATGGAAGACACTGGCTTTGGGGGTTCCATCCTGGACTCCAACTTCTGATGACCAATTTGCTTCATAACATCAAAGTTAATGATTTGAATAAAGGGGTAAAATGGACCACCAAGAAACAAGTGCATTTGAGGAAGCTTGATCTGCAAGTCAGAAGACACAAGGAAGCTAAAAGTGGCCTAAAGCAGAGAATGGCTTAATAAATACTTTTGGAAAGACTCAACACTATAAACCTTACCTGGTGTGTTTAGTCCCTAACTAAAACACTTTGCTATCCACCTACAGTTTACCAACCCACACAGTAATGTCCTAGGCACTTTTATGTCTAAAATAGATGGAAAATGTCTCACATTTTGACTTTGTAGATTGCTTTTGCACAAAATTTCATCTACCTTCATTTGTTCACTATTTAAGAGCCATAGGATGGGCACAGTGGCTCACGCCTGTAATCCCAGCACTTTGGGAGGCCGAGGCACATAGATCACAATGTCAGGAGTTCAAGACCAGCGTGGCCAACATAGTGAAACCCCATCTCTACTGAAAATACAAAAAAAATAAAAAATAAATAAAAAAATTAGCTGGGCATGGTGGTGGGCACCTGTAATTCCAGCTACTCGGGAGGCTGAGGCAAGAGAATCACTTGAACCTGGGAGATGGAGGTTGCAGTGAGCCAAGATCGTGCCATTGCACTCCAATCTGGGAGACCAGAGTAAAACTCCATCTCAAAAAAAAAAAAAAAAAAAGAGTTATAGTAACTTTGTATCTCATAAAAATGTCAACAAGTATGTCTCTTTTATTGGCCTTATGAGGGATATATAAACAGTATAAGGTTAAGAAAATAATAACATTAAAAAGAAAGCAATCATCCATGTGGTATATTAAACTGTCTGCCCACAGGAAAGAGGGGCAGCAAGTCTTGTACACATAATTAGAAATATTTTTTATTATCAAAGTTAGGCCATAATACATTCAATAAAATACATTCATGAATCATGAGGGGTTAAGCAAGGTAACTTCTCAGTAAACACTCTGGGATAAGTTAGTTGTTTATGAGAGCTACCTGATGCATGGAATTATTGGACATAAACTACTTCAAAACATATGCCAAAGTTTTACTAAGTTAACTAGGATTTAACTAGGTTTTACTAAGTTACTAGTTAACTAGGATTTACCAAGTTAACTAGGATTTAAGTTATTTTTTAAAATGAGATGAGTTAGGCAGCAAGGCCAATTGCTTATTGATGTTAGTGAAGGTTGGTGATAGTAACTCTGCATTTTCTAGTTAATAGAGTTGGGAGACATGCATTCAGAAGTCATTTCAAAACATTATATATATAATTTTTTTTTTGAGAGAGATAGGGTCTTGCTCTGTTGCCCAGCCTGGAGTGCAATGGTGCAATCATGGCTTACTGCAGCCTTGACCTCCTGGGCTCAAGCAATCCTCTCACCTCAAACTCCCAAGTAGCTGGGACTACATGCATATGCCACTATTCAGGCTATTTTTTTTTTTTTTTTTTTTTTTTAGAGACAAGGTCTCACAATGTTGCCCAGGCTGATCTTGAACTCCCAGGCTCAAGCAGTCCTCCTGTCTTGGCCTCTCAAAGTGCTGGGATTACATGCATGAGCCATTGCACCCAGCATATATATGAAATTTTTAAAAAATTTATCTACCTTTAAGTTTAGGTTTTCTTTTTTCCCCTAAAGATACAATTGTACAATTGTAATGGAAGATGGGTCAGAACATAGAGATTCTCATTATTTTGTGTTATGTAATCTAATCAACAGTATGCTTTCCTAAAACTTTTCTAAAGTCATATAAAACATACTGGCTATTCTTTTTGCATTTCAATTTCAATTTCATTTCATTTTTATTTTTATTATTATTATTTTTTGAGACAGAGTTTAGCTCTTGTCACCCGATCTGGAGTGCAATGGCATGATCTCGGCTCACTGCAACCTCCACCTCCCAGGTTCAAGTGATTCTCCTGCCTCAGCCTCCCAAGTAGCTGGGACTACAGTCACGCACTGCCATGCTCCACTTATTTTTGTATTTTTAGTAGAGGTGAGGTTTGGCCATGTTGGCCAGGCTGGTCTTGAACTCCTGACCTCAGGTGATCCACTCGGCCTCCCAAAGTGCTGGGATTACAGGTGTGAGACACTGTGCCAGGCCCATGTTATTTTTAAATTATTTTATAATTTGAACAAATTTACAAATGGATATATTAGAAGTTATTCTCCATGTATCTATAAGTAATTAAGTAGTTGATTAATTATTGATAGCATTAATTTTGTCTGAAGATCAGAAACACATAAAATAAAATGATAGGAACTATATAATTATCTCTGAAATAATTGTATGAGTTCATATGAAAATTTGATTTCATACAGTTTTTTTAGTTCCACATTCATATATCTCTTGCTTAAATACCCCAGTGATATTTCTGGTCATTTCTAAGATCAACAGTGATCAGCTATTATTCATAGCTATGTGATTTCTATAGATACTTTGTATAGATATTACCTTTGCCTGTCATAGTCCTTTGAATATATATATGTGTTTGACCTTTAAGGTTAATTCCAAAGATCGCTATCTCCTTTTTTGTCTTTTTGACATGAAAGAATTGTGGAGGTTTTTGATTACAATATGTCTCCTGCTCAGATTAACAATATGTGATATCATTCTTATTTATCTCTTAACATTTTTAAAAAAGCCTAAAGCCCATACTTTATTCACATTTTCTTAGTTTTTAACTTAATACCCTTTATTTTCTGCTCCAGGAACCCATTCAAGAAACCACATTGTTCCTGCTGTGACAATTTCTCAGGCTTCCCTTGTTTTTGATGACCTTGACATTTATGAGGAGAAACATATTGTTTTGGCACTCTCTTTTAGCTCTTTTGAAATGCTTTCCAGAAAAGAAAGCAAGCAATAAAGGTTACTTTGTCCCTGTGCCTCAGATGGACTTATTTACCAGTGAAGATTAAACCCAAAGAACACAAATTTCTCATTTATGGAGGACAGTGATCATCACATATTACTCTTCAGTGCACATGTACGAATGAAACTATACAGTCATGTGGTCTGACTTTATATTGAATCCAAGGCCTATGAGAATAGATGAATGGTGGGGGTAATTTTATTCACAGAAAGGGTCCAGAGACCACTTACAATAACTTCATTTGCTGTGAATAGATATTTTCTGCGGTTTTGGAGCCTGGAGCAAGAGGTTTATGCTGATGTATGAGGGATGCTGACAACATGGGGCTGCTGAGAGAGCAGACTGATAAACACCAAAGAGTTTATTAAGTTAACTTTGGGCTCCTCTCTTGGAAGTTTTCTCTGGTTGCTGTGATTAAGGCAGGGCCAGCTGAGAGGAGCAGGTGGACAGAGGGGTTAGCGGACCTCCCTAAATTCTTGAGTTATTCTTCTCAAAGAATCTCACTCTTGAGGTATCTGAGGTCCAGAAATAGAAATGATGTTGGGGCTCAGAAAAATGATTGATAGGCCAAACTTGCCTTAAGGCTAAACTGAAGGTCCCAGAAGCAGACTCAGAAGCGAAGTTTCTCTTTGATCTTCACCTGCCCTCCTGTCTCTCACCTTTCATTCTCCCCCAAGGCAAGCCATGGAAACTGGAAACCGTCTTCCCCAAGGCAGGTCATAGAGACCAGAACCCCATTTTCCCAAAGCCAGTCATAAAGCCTAAAGCTATTACACTAATCCCACCCCCCACCCACTTCTCCTGTCCTTCTGTGTCACAGCTGGCCATAACGAAATTAATACCCTTATTCCAGAAGAGATCTATCTCACACCTGGAAGCAAGTAAGGTAGGAGGCGGGACTTGACTCCAGAGGCAGGGCTCGGACACTGGACCAAAGTGAGAACTAGCTAAAACAGGGCCAGGGTGGAAGCAGCTTTCCATAAGACACGCCCTCCAGTGTGCCATGTCGGCTTACCATTGCCATGGCAACACCCAGGAGTTACCACCCCTTTCCAAGGCAATGACCCAATGATGCAAAAGTTACCACTCTTTTCCTAGCAACTTCTGCATAAACCACCCCTTAATCTACATATAATTAAGAGTTGGTATAAATATGACTGCAAAACTGTCCTGAGCTGCTAATCTAAGCACACTGCCTATTGGGTAGCCCCACTCTGCAGGAGCAGTAACAGAGCTGTAACGGTGCCAGAGCTATAACACTCCTTCAGTAAAGCTGGCTCATCCTTGAATTCTTTCCTGGGCAAAGCCAAGAACCCTCATGGCCTAAGTCCCACCTTGGGGCTTGCTTGTCCTGCATCAGCAGGAATGCTACACAGAGAGGCCAAGAAGCATCTGATAAGACAGGCCTTGCTGGGTTTCCCCTCTCAGTGTGTTAGCATTCCATCAGACTCTTTCTGTGTAATCATATTTCTACAGAGCTGTTCATACTTCACTGAGCCTAAGCATAAAAATGAAAAGTTTTCTGTGTATCTTCAGATCTTCATTCTGAAGGCTGGAATGTCACATAAAAATAAGATCAAACATATTTGTTATGCTTTTCTCTTGTTAATATGCCTTTGTTACAGAAGTGTCAGCTATGACCCTTAAGATGGAAAAGGGATCGCCCCCTTTCCACCCCTAAAATAAGGTAGCTTGTTTTAGCAAATAAAGATACAGCACTCCTAGTGAAGTTTGAATTTCAGGCAAATAATAAACAATTTTTTTTTTTTTTTTTTAGTATAAGTGTGTCTCAAGTAAGACACACTTATAAGTATGATAAGTCCCCACTTGGGGACATACTTATGTTCAAAAATTATTTGTTGTTTATCTGAAAATTCAAAGTTAACTGAATATCCTGGTGTGTGTGGCAGGGGCAGTGGAAGGCTAATGCAGGAGGAGAGTGCCCAGTCTCTGGCCTGAGACCACCGACCTTGTGGAGTGGTCCCATCATGTGAAAGACAAATGTGACATTGCCCATTCTTAAAAGCTACTCGAGGTCATCAGCTGAAGAAACTGTGAGCCCCTTACATCTCTGACTGAAACAACATTCTTTCTTCTTCTTTTTCTTTCTTTTCTTTTTTTTGGAGACAGTCTTGCGCTGTTGCCTAGGCTGGGGTGCAGTGGTGCAATCGTGACTCACTGCAGCCATAACCTCCTGGGCTCAAGTGCTACTCCCGCCTCAACCTCCCAAAGTGTTGCTGTTACAGGCATGAGCTCTTTTTGTCTCTCTCTTTCTTCATTTTTGGACAGACACTGGATAAGTCTGTATAATATAAATAGTATCCTCTAATACAGAATATGCAGATCCCAAGGAAAAATCAAACCCAACAGGATCAGAAACAAGGAGCAGCAAAGAAATCTTTTCCCCATGGTCACCTGATTTCCTGTCCTTTCTTGTGGCCTCTGGATCTAGGGACCAATGGGTCATTTCCTGGCTTTCTCCTCTTCCTAACTTCTGGTTCTCTCAGAAATTTCTCAGATTCCGCAGAATAAAAACTGGATTGCACAAAGTTTCTACATGCATTAGATAATTGCAAACTAAATGTAACAATTTGGTGTTAAACCATGTTACATGCCCACGCATAATTCAAAAAAAGTAGGAAGAATAATTTAATAAACTTAAGAGTTTGAAACCAATATAAGTAGGCTCTTGGCCTCCGAAGAAGCCAGCAAAAGTACTGTGCTTGATAGCCTTTACAAATCAAATGGGTCAGCAACTGAGAGCATTTCAAAGCCTTCGCAAAATAGAGTTGACACATCATAATCTTTTAATGGCATAAATTCCCATTAGCATCAACTGCTGCATAGATAATGTTCATGATGGTGATTAGAAATGTTAATTTCTTAGAGCAATCATAATTTTCTTTAATCTTCTGTGGCAGTGTTTTTTTAAACTGCAGGTTATGACTCATTAGTAGGTTGTGAAATCAATTTAGTGGGATATAATCAGCATTTAAAAGAAAAGAATAGATTGAATAGAAAATACCCAATTTCATTGCATATTGCAATTGCATATTGTCAATGTAAATATTATTTCATCTACATTAATTTCAATTTTCCAAATACATATGTGTAACTATTTGGTTATAATATAAAATGTATTTCATATGGTATGTCATACTCAAAAATGTTGGAAAACAACTATTCTATAATGCAATGAATAAATTCTAAGACTGAGCTGAAAGTGAATCACAACTTAAATTCTCACAAATTCATGAGAGAGGAAGAAAGTATTTTCAGTAGAAGATATTATAATGGCCAATATGTTTTTATCAATAATTGGATCACTTCCCCATTTGCTGTGAGTTTTGTTCAGGGTTGTAAATGTGGTGCTTCATTTCTTATCAGTGGGAAAGGGATGCGTTTTTTATCTCCATACATAAGTGAGGGCTATGGGGTCAGACTGTCTCTACCATTTAATGGTCAACTTATCTTGAGCATGTTACTGAATTGCTCTATGCCCCAATTTCCTTATTTATAAAATAGAGCCTGTAAAATCTGGTAATTGAACTATTGTAAAGAATAAACAAATGTATACATGGAATGCATCCAACACAGTGTTTGGCACATAGTAAGTTCTCAATAAATGTCAGTTACTGACATTATTACTTTAAAATATCTTTATTTGAGAATGGCAAATATAGGGTAACTTGCCTCAAATTTTTATTTTTGTCTCTGATAAGGGGAGAGTGGGGCCTGCAGTATGCTTTGTGGTTCAGTTCATGCCTGGTCCCTGGTCCCGTGATTCTTCTGCAAAGCCTTTGTATTTCTTAGTTCATTGGGATAAAATGCTTTAGAGCAGCGGTTCTCAAGCTGGACACATGATATGATTCATGGGATTGCAAAACTTCTAAGTCGCAATCAGGATTTTGAATGAATGTGCATATATACACTTGGAGAGTGGGTGAAGAGAACTGACAAATTAGTATTGTCAGAGGGGTCACATGGTATAGTGAAGAGTTAGACATACTTGGACCTAAGGCCAAGCTTGCTAATTAGCATTTTAACCTTTAGCGAATTACTTAACTTCCTGTAGCTCAACTTACTCCATCTGTAAAATGGGAATTAAAAATAGCTCCTATATCATTTGGTTGTTGAAATAAATAACGTTTACAGTATTTGTAAAGAGTTGAGCATGGTAGCACATGATGGGTCCTCAAGAGAATATTAATAGTAGAAGAAGAGTAGATACACTGGAAAATGAATGAAATAGTTGGTATTCTGAGTTTTCATTTTGGAATGCTGAATCTATCACTGAATCATTGAGTAGCCCACTTGTCCCTTCATTTATTAAACAAAACTTGATTGAATGTTGCCATGTGTTAAGGATTGTGTGAGGTGTTAAGAAGGTAGTAATGAACCAGACACATTCTCTGCCCTATCTAGGGAGATGACAAACAGGTAGTGACCAACCATGACTCTACAGCAGGCAAACAAACTATGGGGCTAAGAGAGAATGTAGGAGACATTTCTAACTCAGAACCACATTCAACAAGTCTGTGGTTTTGTTTTGTCTTATAGTTCTAGTTTGAATTTCAGCACTGAACAGGAGAAACTTCCTTCTGTTTAACACTGCAAATTAGTAGTGAAGTGTAATGTACTTAGTAAAGCACAGGAAGGATTGGATTTAATCCACAGAACCTAAAGGAAACTGCTCTTCATATGGCTCCAAGGATGAGGACAGATAGATGAGGACTTTGTAGTATTGGGACTAGAGAATAGGACAAATACCCACTTTCAAAACAAGTTACAACGCAGAGTATTACCATTTTTGCCTTGACTTCCAGGAAGCTTAAATTTAATGCTATATTATAACAAGTACAGTACCATAATTTTTTTCCTTCTCCTTCTTCTCAATGGTTTTTGATTTTCCATTTTAATATACTATTGTGTGTGTTAAGGTATTTATTATTGTGTGTATATATATCACACACACATATACTCACACATATGCCATATCAAATGGTTTTTGAAAGTAGATAGGGTAAAAATTACTATTAAATAACCTCAGATAACACTGCATCTTACATATTATGTCAGCCTTTTTCTTTATATACGTTTATAATTCATGGACATAACTAAACTGTAGTATATTTAAATCTTATAAAATTGAGTCACACTATAATATCTATTCTAGGAGAATTTAATAGCAGTAACTGTCTTACAGGAGAGACCCCTATGTTATCAATAATTTATTGTGTCATAGTATCATTTGGGATTATATCTATTATTAGGAGACATAAGGTCACTGTATTAATTCGTTTAAATTATTTTCACACTCTCTGGACACAGACTCTTTTACCTTTGAGTAAAGCTGTCAGGATAGCCAAATCAATGTCCTGGTGTCCTTCTGATCCCATCCGAAATACCGTAATCTGCAATTTGAGACAAGGTGATCATTAGCAAAGCATTTTTCCCCCAAGAGAAATTAAATCAATGAGACCACATCTGAGCAGAGACTATCTCTATATCTACAAAGTAGATTCTTAACCACAGGGTAAGCACACATAACAAGAATCCGATGAGAGAGCTCTGCAATTTATTAAGAGGGAGATGCCTCAGTAGTTTCCAAACACAGACCACTTATAGTTGCACTGTTTTGGTCATAACCATATACACCCCACTATGGTCTAATGGTCGTGTTCCCCCAAAGTGCATATGTTGAAACCTACTCACCAATGTGATAGCTTTAGGAGGTGGGTCTTTGGGAGGTCATTAGGTGATGATTAATAGTCATTATAAAATTAGTGCCATTATGAAAGGCCTCTCCCTTCCACCTCCCACCACGTGAGGACACAGCTAGAACTGCTGTTTATGAACCATTTGAATCTGTGCTGCCTTGATTTTGGACTTCTCAGCCTCCAGAACTGTATGAAATAAATTTCTGTTGTTTGTAAGCTACCCATTTTATAGTATTTTGTTTTAGCAGCCTGAATAGACTAAGACAGCCTGCTCCCCCAATAAAAAAATAAAACTATGATTTTGGGGCCCTTGCTATGAGTCAGGCATAGCAATGCATATTTAAAAATATGTTACCTTCCATTCTTTCTGGTTTTATGTAAATACATAAAATAAATATATGTATTACATGAGGAAAGATATATATGACTATGTAATCAAAACATCACTAATGCAAACATTTATATTAGATATAGATGGAGAAATTAATACAACTAAGCAATCCAGTTCCATAACTCCTAAATTGTACAGGACAGCTGGTCACAGACCCATTTAATAGAGTAGAGGATAACTTCAAGCAGAGTAAGTGGGTAAAGTCCATTACAGTGTTGGTGGAGTACATCTGACTTTGTATTTCACCCTAGAACAATGAGATTGTCACAGAGTCCATAGATCACTGATGTGGACAGAGAGTGGCTGACATAATGGAGTATCATTTTGTACATAAACAACATAGTTATGTGGCCTCAGGCATAACTCTCAACTTCTGGGGCAGTGATAACTAATGGCAGAGAAAGAGGGAAAGAAAAATTTCCAAACAATGCTTAACAATAATGAAGCATTTGTTTTCCAAGTCAGAGGAGGCTATAGAAAAAAAGCCAAAATATTGCTTGAATATCCACATTTGAGTTATTATAGTACTCAACTGTTTCATGCCTCGAGCTTATCTCTAGAATGGGATAATAATGGTGCTTATGTATTTCCAACTACATAGGAAGTAAACAATCAGATTTGCTAATCTATAAGTCTAGGTTTTATCACTATGGTAGTGAGAATAGACACACAGAACCACAGACTGTTAATTAGTTGCCTTAGAAAACTTCCAGTCCACCACCTAAAGACAAGGTAGTTTGTTTAAGGTCACACAATGAGCTAGAAGAACAGCTGTGATTGGAATTGAATAACTCTCACCTTTATAACTTGGGAAAAAATAAGGAGAGGGAAGAATAAGATAATACGAACACTTGACTCTTGTACCTGTTTACGTCCTAAGGTCAGAGACTGGGATGAGGGTAAGGCAGAAATTGCAAATTGAAATGCCTTCACAGATATTTGAACTGAAAACAATTTTTTTTGAGACAAGGTCTTTTTCTGTCACTCAGGCTGGAGTACAGTGGTATGATCATAGCTCACTGCAGCCTCAATCTCCTGGGTTCAAACAATCCTTCCACTTCAGCCTCCTGAGTAGCTGAGACTATAGGCATGTGCCACCATGCCCAGCTTCCTTCCTTCCTTTCCTTCCTTTTCTCTCTTTCTCTCTCTCTCCTTTTTTTTTTTTTTTTTTTTTTTTTTTTTTGTAGAGATGGGGTTTCATTATGTTGCCCAGGCTGGTCCTGAACTCCTGGTCTTGGCCTCCCAAAGTGCTGGGATTACAGATGTGAGCCACCATGTATGGCCCTGATCTAAAAAACTTAAAATATGAAGAGCCAAACAAACTCCATCTATCTGCTGTATTTGGATCATAGGTTATAGTTGTGATCTCTGGTAAGGGCCGTCAGGTAGAGGTGTGTCCCAATTCAATTAAATTTTCCAGAAATCTGCTTCTGCATAACTACAGGTTTGGCCAAGATGCCATCTGGACATTATCCCAAACAGCTATTTAATGCCCCCAAAGTTTCCACTTGGAAGTTGAGAGGGAACTATTCTATCCTCTGAACTCAGGAAGGGATTCCTGAATTAAGGGGAAAATTTGGGGTCCACTGGAGAAAGAACCAGGGGACAGAGGTGAAATTTTGGCTGGCCCTTTAAGTCAACTCTTTACGCCAGGGCTGGCTATGGTCTGAAAGATATTATCATGTATCATGTACTTAGCTGGCAGCAAGCTGAGGACACTCAGGATAACATCAGAGTTCATTGTTTAGAATTAAGAAATTAGGCATCAAATGGAATTCCTTAACCATCTGACTTGTTCTGCTGATGACTAAAATTTTGCTTCATAAAGATCACATTTCAGATGGAAATTCTTCCGAGGCAGCAAATAGATAAGATTAAATTTACCCTGAAATACAAGATTATCAGGTTTTCCTAGCAACACATTTAGGTTTGAGGTTGAGGAAAGGAAGATGGGTAAATGCAGTGTTTCCATAGGGTTTCTGAGGAAAGGGCCTTGGAATATTTTGGTACAACAGGGCTTCACAGTTTTTCTGGAAAACCGATGTGGGGGCAATGACTGCTCACCTGTTCATGCCCCATCCTTGTGCTGGTTTCAGAACCCAAGGACCCGGGAGTGACCCAGGGTGTGGGAGGAAGGATGCCTTAAAAAGAGGAAAAGGGAGGACCAAGGGGAGGCTGGAGGCTCCAAAGAGAAAGTTACATTATAATCTTGCCTGGACTAACCTGAGATATTATGTATTCATCACCACTCCATTTTTATTTTATTTGAAATTTGAATGTTTAAAAATATTAATTATATATTTTTCATATCTGCTTCAGAAAAAAAAAGTCAAAGAAAAACTAAGGCCTTCCTTTCCTATCACCCATCAATGTTGGCAGAGATGGAAAAAACAGGTATTCTTAAATATTCTTGGAGGGAATGTGAATTAAAATAGTAGTTTTGGGAGATGGTATGTCGACATAAAATTCCTTGATTTTGATGCATTATTCTTAGCAACACTGAATCTTATTTGCTAATACTTTATTTAGGATTTTTGCAATGATGTTTGTGAGTGAGGTTGGTACCTGTCACCAGTCTTATCTGGTTTGGGTATTAGAGTTACGCTAACCTTCTGAGTTGGGAACGTTTTCCCCTTCATGTTGCAGATAGTCCCTATAACAAAGGAATTCACCTGCTTCTGGCAGAGTTAGCAGGATGTTTATATGCTGTTTGGTGCCGGACCATTTTTATGGATAGATTGCTGATTATCTTTATAATTTCTTCAACAGTTATTGATCAGTTGAGATTTTCTGCCTCTCATTGACTCAAGTTCATGTTTTTCTAGATAATCGAGCATTTCATCAACATTTTGCTAATATTTTATTTCATCCTAAATAAAATATTAGCAAATAAGACCCAGTGTTGTTAAGAATATCAAAATCAAGAAATTTTATGTCAACGTATCAAATCCCAAAATTTCAAATTTTCACATTTATTGTTATTTAGTTGTACATAGAATTCTCTTACTGTTTTAAAATCTCTTTTATATCCAGAATTATATGGCAATGTTTTCATTCCTCTCTCTGTTTCACTATATCAAAATCATGGTCATTTCAAAGAATCAGTTTTTCATTGTATTGATCAATATTATTATTATTGTTATTTTCTGAGACAAGGTCTCACTCTGTTGCCCAGGCTGGAGTGCAATGGCATGAGCATAGCTCAGTATAACCTTGAACTCCCAGGCTCAAGTGACCCTCCCACCTCAGCCTCCTGAGTACCTGGGACTACAGTCATGCACCACCACTCTCTGATAAATTTTTAACTTTTTGTAGAGATGGGGGTCTCACTATGTTGCCCAGAGCGATCTCAAACTCTTGGACTTAAGCCATCCTCACACCTTGGCCTCTCAAAGTGTTGGGATTACAGGCATGAGACACCATGCCTGGCCCAATATTATTACATACAGTTTAAAGTATTATCTTTTATCATTATCCATTCATTTCTTCTACTTTTGCTTCCTTAGGTGTTCTTTTCATAGAATCTTAAGTTGACTTCCTAGTCAATTTATTTTTATTCTTTCTTGTTTTCTAATTAATGCATTTAAAATTATGTATCTCACATTTTTTATATGCACTGTCATTTTCGTTCATTTTTAAATGTAATTTATTTCCTTTTACTAAAAATTGTGTTTTTAATATTACAGTGGATTTATATATATCCTATAAATTACCTAATCATATACATATATATGTTTATATGGTTAGGTATATGTGTATATATATGGGTATATATGTGTGTATATACATATTAATACATATATACATGTATTAATATATGTAATATATACACATGTGTATATATACACACACATATGTAAAACCACACATGTATATACACACATACGTATGTAAAACCACATATATGTACATATACATATATACAAATAATGATATATGTGTATATATACATAGATATCATAATTTGTTGGCTGTAGAATATTTTATTATATGCATGTACCATGACTTATTTAGCCAGTCTTCCGCTAATGAACATTTGGATCAATTTTCAATCTTTTGCTATTACAAACGCCATTGCAGTGAATATCTGTATATGCACATGGGTGAGTATATCAGTAAAATAAACTTTGTAGATATGGAATTTCTTGGCCTATTAGCTACTCTGAGGGGAGTTCTTTAATTTATTATTCTGATTTTACTCTCAGGGCCCTTTCCTGTTCCCTGCCTTTATTTTGATCCTGTATGGTAACTGAAATAACTGTTCATAGTGTATACTTTTCTCCTAGAATAATTTGGAAACCCCTCCCTCCCTCCCTCCCTCCCTCCCTCCCTCCCGCCCTTCCTGGAAACTCCTTCCTCCCTCACTCCCTCTCTCCCTTCCTGCCTTCCTTCCTGGAAACTCCTTCCTTCTTTCCTTCCTTCCTTCCTTCCTTCCTTCCTTCCTTCCTTCCTTCCTTCCTTCCTTCCCTTCCTCCTTCTCTCCCTCCCTCCCTCCATCTTTCCCTCCTTTTCTCTCTCCCTCCCTCCCTCTTTCTTTTCTTTTCTTTTTCTTTTTTTTTTTCTTTTTTGAGACAGGGTCTCACTCTGTCTCCCAGGCTGGAGTGCATGATCTTGGCTCACTGCAGCCTCAACCTCCCAAGGCTCAGGTGATCCTTCTGCTTCAGCCTCCTGAATAGCTGGGGCTACAGGTGCACACCACCATGCCCGGCTAATTTTTGTATGTTTTTTAGAGACAGGGTTTCACCCCGGGCTCAAGTGATCTGCCCGTCTTGGCCTCCCAACGTGTTGGGATCACGGGTGTCAGCCACTGCGCTGGATCTGAAACACTAGTTTCTATACCTCCTTTAACATTCCAGAAATTGCTAAAAATTTCTTGTCTCATAATGTGGTATACTTTTCCCTCTCCCTTCATGATGAGCACTTATAGAATCTGCTGAGGAGATATACATATTTGTGATTTTGTCTTTTTTGTGTTATTTGAGGATGAGGAGCAGGAAGGGAGATAGGCATATATGCTCATTCTATCAAATCTCACCAATATGAATTTTAATAGAAAAAGATTTTAAATTGGGTAGAAGTAAAAGTTATTAACTTAATCATTTTGTAGGTGATTTAGTAAAGTCTGATATTTATTTACTATAAAATTGGTATTTTCAACATGCACCCTAAAACTTTTGGATGTTTGCAACTGGGTAGTTGATCTTATCAAAGCACTATGGAATACAGTGAGATTCTTCTTGAAAATCCCAAAAAACTCAACATCAAAACATTTTGTTAAAAAAACACTTTTCCTCCGAATTCAGTTTGATGGATTATATCTTCTGCTCTCTTGTGGACAGATTACCTTAGGCTAGATGGAATTTTGATTCTCACGTTGAAGAGAAGCAAAATCTTTCAAACTGATATGGTCCCCTTTTCTCCATCCCACCAACCCGCCTGCCAACCAGCTTTCCTGTGTATGTGCTTGCTCTTATTTTGTGCCCCCTTAAAAGTCAGAAATCTGCACATTGCACTTGTCACTCTCACCCTCTTGCATGTAGTTGATTTGTTATTGGGCATATTAATTGAGTATCTCTTCTGTGCCAGGCACCGTTTAGGTGCTGGGAATGGAGCAGTGAACCACACTGACAACAACTCCCTGCCTTCATAGAACCTGCCTTCTAGAAAGGGAAGACAGAGCAAAAGTAAGTAAAACATATGATCTGCCAGACAGTGAAAAGTTCTCTGCCACATGGGTTCTTCCTCCTATCTACTTCTCTTTCTCTGTCCTCATTGTCAGCCTTTGTTCAGTCTGTGGCATCTACTATTACACTCCTTTTTTTGCTAGTCTTCTTGATTCTGGTCCTGTCCATCCCTCCTTTCATTCTAGTCTCTGTGCAGCTGTTCAGGCCATCTTCCATGCCTGATTATATCACTCTCCATATTAGGACGTTTAAAGTGGCCTTCATTCCCTATGACATAAAGCTAAAAATTCTTAGCAGGGCATTCAAAGACTGCTGATGTCACACTCCCAAAACTTTAAAAAAATTATTTTTATTTCAATAGTTTTTGGAGTACAGGTGGCCTTTGGTTACATGGATAAGTTCTATAGTGGTGATTTCTGAGATTTTAGTGCACCTGTCATCCGAGCAGTGTACATTGTACCCAATATTGTACCCAACCATCCTCCCAACCTTCCCCCACAAATCCCCTTAGTCCATTATATCATACTTATGCCTTTGCATCCTCATAGCTTAGCTCCTACTTATTAGTGAAAACATACCAGACTTGGTTTTCCATCAATCCTTTCTTTGGTCTTATCTCTTGCTGACTGCACTCCCACCATCACAGCATGACCCAATCCCACGTACCTGATGCCCTAGCTGGGCTGAGCATCTTGCTCCTCTCAGGATCCTTTACGTTGTTTCTAGCCTATCTGCCTTTTTGTTCATTCAGTTCCTTGCTGAAATACCCTTCCCTCTGCTTGGTGAACAAACTAGAAGACTTTCAGTAGACATGTGCATTTAAGAAGCTCTCTTCTATAATGTAACTAGGATCCAACCCTTGCTTTCTCTTCATGCCCCTATGATTCTCTAAGCTTAAGGCATTCCAGGATGCCACTTCCAATCTCTATTTGCACACATCTCTCTGCACTGAAGAGCAGTTTATTTGCAGTCAGGAGTCCTAGTCCTTGCTCAGTAAGCATTTGTTGAGTAGATGAATTATTACCAAGTGGTTATGTTTAGGAGACTGGTTTGAAAGAAGCAAACATTAAAAAGGAGTACATTCAACACAAGAATGGTAACATAGCAAAGTGAATGTGGTGTATTAAGCCACAGACCAAGAGTTTGTCACAAGTGTCAAGAGCCAATTTTAACACAAGAGTCTACTGAACACTCTATTATTGTTCAGGGGTCAATCACCCAGTCAAGCATTATGGGATAGAAAGTGGGCTGCCTCAGGTTAGGCATTATTTAAAACATTTTTGGGGGGTGGTAATTGCATGGGTAAATGTATATTTTGCTATTATTTAAAACTATTTAAAAGACAACTGACTTTTATAACAATAATAATACATTGTAGAATTTATAACATATATAAGTAAAATATATTATAGCATTAGCATAAAGGCAGGGAAAGGCAATAGAAGGGCACAGTTTTAAGGTTTTTACACTATCGATGAATACTGAAAAGTAGACTGTGAAAAGTTAGTGTTATGCTGTAGGTCCCAAAGCAACAACTACAGTAACCATCACTAAATTACTTTAAAAAAAAAACAACAAGAGAGATGAAGTGAAGTAATAATAATCCAAAAGAAGACAGGGAAAAAGAAGTAACAAAGCACAGACGGAACCAATAAGAGAATGATAGGCTATTTTTTTGAGACTTGATATGAGTGTGACATTTTTGAGCCATAGGCAGCACCAATTTACCCTAAAGCATGTTTCACTAATACATATGAAACTTTGGTTCTATATAGTTTAAACTTGAAGACTCAAAGCAGGAATATATTATAGAAAAACCAAGCAGAAACATGGAAATAATTTTATGTTTGAAAAGAGTTTGGTTCATTTTCTGGGAAAAAAATAGGCATATTCACCACCTAAATAACAAGACATAGTATATGTGGCTGAGTTAGTCACAGACTTTCCATTTCTAAAACTCAGCAGGTCTTACAGTTAAATAAGATAAGGATATAAAAAATATTGGGACAATGAAATTGACTCACTTTCAAGGTATCTATTAATTAGCTTAATTTGTGATTTATATGTATGCCACGGTGAGCAATGAATCCATGAAAATAGAGATGAAGATGTAGTAGAGCTTTTGAAAATGAAAATAAACATGATATTAGAGTGAAAAGCATCTATAAGCTGCAAGGACAGTTTGGTTCAATCTATCAAAAAATATAAAGGAACACTCTACAATCATTTCATGCTGTGTTAGATATGTAAGAAATGATATCTGAGTTTGACAAATGGTTTGTAACATGTCTGAGAATTTTAGAAATATTCTCATAGCTATACGATAGATAATCAACAAAGAAAGTTCTTATCATCTAAGAATTTAGAACAGTCTGCCTATAATCATGTTAACAATAGGCTTGAGCACACTAAAAATGGTACATCTTCGGCTTTCATAAACTAATCTCTGAAATATTTCCTATTTTCCTACTCAGTTTTTTCATAGAATCTGGCAATGTGTTTACCAAGGATAGAAGCAGGGAAACAGGAAGAGAATTAGACTCAGTAAGCAATTCAGTCGCTACAATGAAATAACTTTTTATTTATTTATTTATATTTATTTATATTTATTTATTTTTAACCCCACCTCCAGGGCTAGGGAGAAGCTAATGCAGTGACTTTTAAAAGCCGCCAGCTTAGCATAATGTTTCCTGGATGAATCATCAGTATTTAAAATAATTTGAAATAATGCAGCAATTAATAGAAAACACAAAAATCTATGTTCATCAAGATACGAAATGATACAAGACTCTTGATAGGGATCCAAACAGGATTCCTGATCAGCAACGAAATGCCTGTAAGCACATATTAGCTTCTGTTTTCTCTTTGGCGTAATTAAAGTTGACTTGGTACAGGGAAGAGAACAATGCCAACTTGATGAATAGAATACTATGCATCTAAAACATATTCGTATTCGATTTTCAGTCTTTGAGAAAAACTGTCTTTGGTTGATAAAATTCTTAATGTTAACATTTTGCCAAAGAGACTGACTTCTAGAAATGAACATGATGATTTATATGGAGGAGGGAAGGAAATTGGAGAAAATTAGGAAATGCAAACACACCTGGAACTGAGCAAACAAAAGATCAGTGGAAAGTGAAATGCAAAATTTCTACTAGAAAATTAATATCAGATAAGTTCAATTATTTGTCACCAAGTTCCATATAAATTAAATATTGATTTTTCGTGTAATATTTTTGAACAAGTCTCAAAGTTTTAGGTCGAAGTGGGTGACTTAAAAGTGATGCTAGGGAGCTAGAAATTGGGTGAAATTGATATGATTCTAGTATGTCTTATAAGACTTTCATGTATGAATTTATACATTAGAAAAAATAAGCGATTATTTGACTTTCAAAAGGATATTTTATTTTACAATGGACTTGTCAGTTTATTTTAAAGGTGCATTATGTCTAACTTTAGAAAACATAGTCTGATTTAGGTTACTTTAAGTAGGAGATTGTCTTATAGATTCAAGCACACTCACAGCACCACTCAACTCCATACTCTCCCAAGGGATCATCGTGGATGAACAACTTGGCAATTAGTGAAGAGTGCCAGAGAACGACAGAGGTTTTGCTTTTGACTCTAATCCCTCATTCCTTTTTTCCCTTATTCCTCCCACCGTCATTTAAGAACCCTGGAGTTTGTTTCTCCTCCCAAGAAATGCAATTCAGAGGCTAGAGGTCTACAGGTTCCAACACAGAAAATCATTTCTTTTTTCTTATTATAAAAGCAATGCATACTTATCATTAAAAATTATAGAAAGTTTAGAAAAAGATCAATGAAAAATAATTCCCCAAACCTCAAGTCCTACTCAAAGACACTACTGAGACTACTGAGGATATTTTGGTATGCTTCCTTTTGCATGTCCCAGGGAGAGTATACAGTCATGGGTTCTTAGTTCCTGTTTCTGGTTGGGCCAGTAAAGCCCCCTTCCTCATCCCTCTTTTCCTCTTATCACTAGAGACAGAAACTAAAATCCATGGCTTTAGGCTGCTAAAAGTCTAAAACAAAACAAAACAGAACAACAAAAACAAAATAAGGTGGGTTGGACACGCTTGCGGGGCTTTCTTTTTTCCCCCCTGCCATAGGCAGAGTTTGTGGGGGGAAGGGGAGAGCATATTTGTGAAATACTAGTTTGTAGTCTCATTTTATTCTCCATTAACATTATCACCAAGCACTTTTCTGTATTCTTGGGAATTCTTCAAAACATAATTTTTAATGTTTGCAGAGTATTTTGTCCAATAGATGTGTTGTAGTTCACTTAATACCCCCATTGCTGGACACTTACAAAGTTTCTAAATGTTTCATATAAATAATAGTGTGATGAACATCTTTATGTATGAGTCCTGTTCTATATTTAGCATTTAGTTTTAAAAATAACCCCTAGAAGTTTGGGGCTTTTGTCATAAATTGCCTCGTAGCTAGAAATGAGTATTTTAGCAAATAAAAGCAAGTTACAGTAAAAGGAAGCTTGTGTTGTCCTTGAACCAGATTTGCTGTGATGGCACTCCAGTCCCATTGATGAAAGTCCTAGGGAGAGGTGATTGCTCTAAAATGGCACTGCAAAACACAGGCATGTGCATATGTTGAGAATGTAGCCTTTATACTTCGAGGCGGAGGAGCCATGCGCAGAATCAGCTCTTATTCCTCTCTATTTGCACTACTACCAACTGCCAGAATGAGTTTAAGCTCTCGCTTCTTGGAAAAGGGGTCCTGAAAAAACATATTGACTTTGTCACTCTCTCCTATTTTCACTTTCCTGATTTTTGCTTTAGCACTTTGAATGCTGCATATGGCTTATGCAGTGCAGTGCTGGCTTATATTACTGGAGGAGCAAATGAAATCATTCAGTGAACATGAGGTTTGGGGTTTTTTAAAGCACATATGACATATCACAGTGAGAAAATTTTAAAATATGGGTCAGTCACTCAACCAAGCCTCCCTGGACCTATGATTGACATATCTTTCATCCTTGAGAGAGCAGTCTTTGATCCTAAGGTGACATGTCAGGAGGACAGGAGAAAGCAGCTCTGCTGATTTTGTGATGAGGGCAAAAAATGGAAACAAGTGAAAATTCTTCATCTAGTAATTCTACAGGAAAAGTTCATTGAGGTTCTCTAGGGGGTTGGAACTAGATGACAACGTGTCGTCTACTCTTCCCTGCTTTCAATCCTTTTCCTGGCAATTGATGTTACCTCTTTCATTGATCATAAAACTGTGTAATGTACCTCACTAGAGGCTAATGTGACAGATGCCACAGGTCCAGCAATAATATTTCCAGAAGCTTCTTTATATATCTCATGGCCTTGGCTAGCAGAATTCAGAATATTTGTTACCTTCCATCTTGTCAGCCAACCAGATGGTTGAAAAAATTAGTAGACATCCCTCTGAGAAGGAACACCCAGAACCAGAGACAGTTCTTCCAGGCCAACACCATATGGATTTCTTATGGGGTTGTAAACATTTTTAGCGCTTTTTTTTTGACATTTTGTCATATTTTTTCATCATTACAAGATGGAACTATATTTTCTGTACTTCCCTTTCATGTTTGTCAGGACATCAAATACTTCTGCAGCCTGAGCCCTTTTTTAAGAAACTATCACCAGGCGAGAGAGTGTCATGAAGGTATCATAAAGTGCTATAGACAGAGAAGTTTTCTTGCCTCCCTACTCAAACTAGTCCAGTTCCCCTGGTGACAATCTTGACACGTTCCAGTTGGTAGACCAGATGCCCTTGGTTTACCTCTCTGGGGACCTGCCCACCAGGAGGTCATACCACTTGTTACTGGGCCAATCTTACCCTTATCTAACTTGGGTGGGGCAACCCTGAATCAGAACCAGCGAAAGGGACCTTTGAGGGTACAAAAAATAGCAGTTCGGATTTTCTGATTACTTTAGGAAAAGATACATTTTACTTCTTCTTCCCTTCCTGCTTAACTATGAAGAACACTAGAGACCAACATCCTAATGGCAGGGTGTATAAGCTCGCTGAGGCTGAGGGATCTGCCTTCTTGCCCCTTTGGCACCTTGCCTGGTGGAGCAGTGGGAGAGAGCTGCTCAAATAACACTCACTTTAGAGACTCTGAGAGACTCTGCCATGGAGGTCAGGGGAAATGTTTTGGAAGAAAACATCCATTTCAGCCTGTGTCACTGGTCACTGCCTTTAGTTTCCTGGGTTTTTTTTGTGAGACTGACCGTATGAGGTCCTTTTAGTATGGCAGATGTCCTGTGTTGAAAGGATCTTGGCCTAATCACGTCCCTTTTCTAAACCTTGGTTTTACCATCTGCAAAAAAAATAAGTTTGACTAGCTGGTGACTGGAGATCTTTTAAGCTCTAGAAGCCATAGATTTTCTTTCCTCAGGCTCAGAATGGTAGAAAATCAGCATTAGGGCATCTAATAGGCCCTGTCTCCTACTTCATACATTAATTCCTTAACAACATCCATAGGAAGAGACGTTGGTTTTCATGGATGGTACCATATGAAAATCTTTTTTTTTGAGACGGAGTCTTGCTCTTTCACCCAGGCTGGAGCACAGTGGCGCGATCTCGGCTCACTGCAAGCTCCGCCTCCTGGGTTCACGCCATTCTCCTGCCTCAGCCTCCCGAGTAGCTGGGACTACAGGCACCCGCCACCACGCCCGGCTAATTTTTTGTATTTTTAGTAGAGATGGGGTTTCACCATGTTAGCCCGGATGGTCTCAATCTCCTGACCTCGTGATCCACCCGCCTCGGCCTCCCAAAGTGCTGGGATTACAGGCGTAAGCCACCATGCCATTTGCTGTTTTAGGGAATCTGTTCATTAGCTTAGGGCAAATTACCATTTTAAAAATGTTGTTCATATGTTTTTCGGCTGGACCATGGCACCATGATCTCTATTCTACACCACAAATACCACACTGTTGATGCTTAGCCAGTTAGACTCACCCAGTTCTTATGCCTACAAAGTAAGCTAAGTGTCACGTGACAACCCTCCCCCTATTCGGGAAAACCCGTTATTCCTAGGCTGATAATATCCCATCAATGCCCATGACCCAGAGCAATGCTCAAGCCTTTTACTGCAGACACTGGCACTTTCTTGGCCTAGCTCCTGGGTTATCATTTTCCACAGCTCCCATGCCCCTCACAACAACTGGATGTATTTTATACTCTGGCTCAGAGAGGACAGATTGTGTACGGAGCATGGACTTTTGAATCATACAGATGCAAAACTGAATCTTGCCAGTTAGTAGCAGTATAACCTTAGGCCATCTACTGCACCTCTCTGAGCTTTGGGGTTTCTTCCTCAAATAAGTGAAATAAGGATGACTCTATCTCAGGATTATTGCAAATCTTTGTGTGGGATCATCTTTTTAAGTCACACAGCACAATTTCTAGTAGCTAGCATGGGCTCAGTAACTGCTAATTCCCTTTCCATTGCTGTCCCTGGCGTGTTTCCTGGTCATGCTCTCTCTCCCTTTGTGGCAGCTTTGCCCAGTCTGTTCTCTCTGCTGGTCTGTCTTGTCCCTGAAGCTCTGTCTGGCTATCTGTTCCTTGTGCTCTGAGGCACAGTTATCTTCTGCAAGCTTATCTTGGTGCTAATTACGCCTTGCCTGGGTTAGACACCTAGCCTCCGTGCTGCCTCTGAACTATGTGAATATGCCTCTATCACAGCACAAACGATACCAACATTGGTGACAACATTACTAATGGTCACTTATTGTGTACTTACGACATGCTAAACACTGGGCAAGCACTTCACAAACATGACTTCATCCAATCCCACAAAAGGATACTCCTTAGTTACTGTTACTCTTCCCATTTCTCAGCTGATGACCTTGACGCCGGAGAGGTTAGATACCACATGGAGAACCATGCAGGCGGAAAGGCTGAGATACACTCGAGCCCAGACAGCCTGGCTTGAAGGCCCATTCTCCTACTGCTTATCTGCATCCTTTAATGGCCTTTGATTTCTTGGAGGGCAAGGGAAAGAACTTGCTCAAGGGCAGGTACAGCTACTAAGAGACCAGACAGAGACTCACGTACAAGCAAATTGACTCCAGACACTGCTTGCTTCAAAACTCTGCTGTTACTTGGACAATCAGCTTGAAGAAGGGGCAAGGATCTTCCCCTCCGTTCTATTCTATCTCTACATCCCCTTAACCCAGTAGTATGGCTGGCGCATTTTGGGCACCCAATGAATGTTTGTGGAATAATTCCTCCAATCTCAGTCCAAGTCTAGCCTGTACTTTTTAGATGGGGAATATATCCAATACTGACCACTCCCGATTAGGTTCAGGTTAGTCACGGAAGGAGTATTAGTTGCCCAATGTCTGGGCTGTGGTGCCAGTATGTTTCTGCATTATTTCCCATCCGGAGACCGATCAGGTTTCCTCCTAATACACATCCTCAGTCTTACCAGTAAAGGCCAAACAGGCTCAGTGCTGTCCTGGGACACTCAGATCTTAAAGAGTTAGGACTCACTTTGCTTGTAGCCTTGTAGGATAATCATAGGCAAAAGAGATACTATCATTTGGTCAGGAACATTCCCATGTGCTCATAAGAGCCAATATTAAAATAAATTCATGGCCTGAGACAGGGTAAAGAAAGAAAAGTTTCTGGGTTGCTCTGTGGATGTGTGCGCAAACCCGTGTTTGAAGGACACGCAGGGCCAATGCCAGGACATTCTGGAGTTTGTGCTTGACCCAAGATAATCCTAAATTTTGTTTAATATATCTGAAAGCATTTGTAAACAGATACGAGATTATATTTTAACATGATGATTATTGTCATAAACAATGACAAATAAAGAAGAAAATCACAAAGGTCATTTATCAGAAATCTAATCCCCCCAGACCCTTCTCTGCCTGTAAGTCTACCTGCCTGCCAGGTGCTGGGCGCTGTTCTTCTCTCCTTGCTCCTGTGTGTCTGTCCTCAGTCCCACGGGCAGAGAAAATCCCTTGTTTATTTACACAATGCAGGGCCTGGAGAAGCTGCTTTTTTTTCTGTTCCTTTTTTCAGTTTTCAATTTCAATTTGTGCTTTCCTCATGGCATTTTTCTAGGGCCACTCGAGAAGAAGAAGCAAAGCAGCGTCCTTTGTCTTATGACAAGAATGGAAATACAAAGGGAAACAAAAAGCAGCCCCAGTAGGTTTACCCTGCAAACCAGCTTGACAAATTAAAACTAAAGCTGGTGGGAGAATGCAAGTCCTCACGTAAAACTTCATTTTCTGATCTGACAATGGAAAAACATGACTTTTCTTTTTAATGGTAAAAGGGACTATTAGCCTAAGGCCCTGTCATATTATCCCCATCTACAATGAACCTTATTTTGAAAAGTGTTCTATTATTTCAAGCTCAGATGGAATTCAATCAAAGAAAAAACATTTCTGTTTATCAGCTTTATTATCACTTTGGGTTCCTAAACCCAAGTAATCTCTCTCTCTTCCTTGAGCCAATATGGACATAGAAACGTACATACATTCTATCACTGAATAGTTGAGTTTATTCTCATTATTATTATGCCCATTGCACAAGTCATAGTTGCTAACTACTCCAGGGTCAAAACTCTGCATAAAAATTATAGGCTACGATTTTCAGACTATTAACTTTTTTTTTAGAATGACTGTTTAGGAGTGACAGCTTTTCTCCCAAGAGGAGTAATTCTTTCCTCTCTGTTTCTCTTAAGATTGTTTTTACTGTTGCATGTCACATGTAAAAAATTAAGTGGACCTCTCTGACTACTTGTGAGGAAGTTTCAAGAAGAGTAATTATCAGTATAATTGTCATTATCAGTAGTTAATACCACTAATGGTATATGGTTCTCCAGCAAATTCTTTTGTCTCCTCCTTTACATTAAATCCACAATTTAGCCACTTCTCACCATTCCAGGTCTGGGCTACTATCCCCTCTCCTAGGTTACCGCTATAGCCCCATTAAGAAGTTTCCTTGTGGCTGGGCTGGCTCACATCTGTAATCCCAGCACTTCGGGAGGCCGAGGAGGGTAGATCACCTGAGGTCAGGAGTTCGAGACCAGCCTAGCCAACATGGTGAAACCCCGACTCTACTAAAAATACAAAAATTAGCCAGGTGTGGTGGCATCAGCTTGTAGTCCCAGCTACTCAGGAGGCTGGGGCAGGAGGATCACTTGAACCCGGGAGACGGAGGTTGCAGTGAGCTGAGATCGCATCACCGCACTCCAGCTTGGGTGACAGAGCGAGACTCTGTCTCAAAAAAAAAAAAAAAAGAATTTTTCTTGCTTATATCCTTGCCCCTTCTTCAAGCCGATTCTCCATGTAACAGCAGAGTTTTGGAGCAAGCAGCCTCTGGAGTCAATTTGCTTGTATGTGAGTTTCCGTCCTGTCTCTTACTAGCTGTGTCTGCCCTTGAACAAGTTCTTTGCCACCTCTAAACTTCAAGTTCCTTATCTGAAAAGTGGGAGTAATTATACTTCCCATTGGAATTGTTTTCTGTTGAAAGTTAAGTGAGATAATGTACACTAAGTACTTAGCATATAGCCCTGAGACACGCATGCTAACATTATTATTACTGAATTATACAGTAAAAGCGGGTGAGTTTTAATTTGACACTAGGTCTGCAGCAAGAGAAAGTATAGGTGTTAAACATAGTGATATGGTTTGGATCAGTGTCCCCACCAAAATCTCATGTTCAATTGTAATCCCCGGTGTTGGAGGTGGGCCTGGTGGGAGGTGATTGGATCGTGGGGGCAGAGTTCTCATGAATGGTTTAGCACCATCCCCCCTTGGTACTGTATAGTGAGTGAGTTCTCATGAGATCTTTTGTTTAAAAGTGTGTGGCACTGCCCGCTTCTCTCTCGGTTCTGCTCCTTCCATGTAAGACTCCTTCTCCCACTTTGTCTTCTGCCATGAGTAAAAGCTCCCTGAGGCCTCCCCAGAAGCAGATGCTGATATGCTTCCTGTACAGCCTGTGGAACCATGAGCCAATTAAACCTCTGTTCTTTATAAATTACCCAGTCTCAGGTATTTCTTTAAAGCAATGCAAGAACGAACTAATACACACAGAAAACACACATCCTCAGCAAAATGATACAATTTGTTTTGTTTCTTTCTCACAGTTAAGGCCTTGTTAAATGACAAATAGTCTATGTAAATCCCCATGTATATTCAGCCTCTATCATTAGCAGCCTAAAAACTGCTTTTGGGGAGAAATAGAGATTCAAATATCACCAAAATCAAGAAGCTGTGATAAAAGTGACAAGAAAATTTTTTCTAGGAAAGAATTTAAGGGCTAAGGAGACAAAGGTCATTTCTGGCTGGGATGACACAGTAAGACGTCATGGAGAAGATGAGGATTTGGCCTGGACTTTGTGGACTATATTAATTTCAATAGCAAAGTTTGGTGGTGGGGAGGTGCAGGAAGAAGAAAATGGTAAGAGAAAATAAGAGAAAAGTGAACATTAAAATCAGAGTGTGCAAATAGTCAATTTGCTGGAGGGTTGGGTAAAGAAAAGGCAACTTATAAAAAATCAAGCTAGAAAGCAAGTCTGGGACAAGCTACGGATGATCTTCAATGATTCACTAAACACTAGGCCTTGAGCCAGGCACTTTATATACATTACCTGGTTTAATCCTCACACCAATCCTGTGAGGCTCAGAGATTGAAGTAGTTACTCAAGATCACTAAGCTGATAAGTGACAGAATCAAGATTTGACCTCAGATCTGGAGCCTCTCTAGGCTTTCTTGCTAAAGTAAAACACTGTTAGAGGTAACTAAATCTTGGAGTGAGGATTGGAGGTGGGGCCCAGCTTCAGGGAAGCTGCACCAGGCTTGAGATGAGATAATAAGGGCCTGGAATAGGGGTGGAGTGTGGTTGTGATGCAGGGGCAAAGCCGTGTGTGAGGGACTTCTAAGAAGAATCATAAGGCATGTTGACTTACAAGAATAAAGGGCAGGGAGGCATCAAAGATGACTCCAAGTTCTTTGGCCACAGTGCTGCGAGCATGGGGCTGCTCTTTTTTGTTTGTTTGTTTGTTTGTTTTCGTGAGACAGAGTCTCGCTGTGTTGCCCAGGCTGGAGTGTAATGGTGTGATCTTGGTTCACTGCAGTCTCCGCCTCCCGGGTTCAAGCGATTCTCCTGCCTCAGACACCCGAGTAGCTTAGACTACAGGCATGTGCCACCATGCCCGGCTAATTTTTGTATTTTTAGTAGAGAAGGGCTTTCACTATGTTGGCCAGGCTGGTCTTGAACTCCTGACTTCAGGTGATGCACCTGCCCCAGCCTCCCAAAGTGCGGGGATTATAGGCGTGAGCCACCACATCTGGCCAAGGGCTGCTCTTAACAGAAACAGGAAAGCCAGGATGATTTGGGGGAAAGTGACAGGTTTATCAAGAGCTTCCATCCTTTTTGACTCAAAGGTTGAGTATAAGCCCAGGGCAGGACCCTGGAAGATGGTGGAGGCCGGGATAGGGGGGCGATGAATCAGACAAAGTTCTACTCTGCAGTGGAATCAGAATTAGAGTCTCTACTGCCCCCCTGCCCTGGAAACCTTGCTTTTGTTCTGGTTAGCAAAAAGACTGTGCTCTTTGTTAAAATGCTTTTGAACAGAGCTATATCGCAGCCTGGAGGAGATTCTAAATAGTGAGAAAAGAAACGGATTTGGCAAAACTTATAGGCTGTCAACAGCTTTTTAGACGATAACTGCCATAGAACAATGTGTGTGTATACCAGATGAAAAAAATAGAAACTTTCATCAGATTGATCTCTTTGGAGAGTGAAACTGGAGAGAAGTTTTATCCACATCCACTTGCCTATCATAGCAATAAGGAACTATGTAGACGTGCACACATGTATGTACATACAATGGTTTTGTGAATCACATGACTGGGCAATGTTAAACGTGCTAAATATGCTAAACGTTGTCCCAGAAAGCAACTCTGGTATGATTTTACTGTAGAGGGCAGGTTGTCCATTTCCCCAGCAATGACTTTTCCACAAAGAACACTTGGAAAAATGTTCAAATCACATTTACCACTTCAGTCAGATGCTGGCATTTTTTTTCACATCTCCCCATTATAATGATTGTAGTTCTAGAATGATGCCTATTTTATGTAGAAATATTGAAGAATGAAGTGCTCTATAAATTTTCTAGTCAAGTATGGGTTATCCATTAATGCCAAATAAAAACAAGTGAATTCTCTTGGATGAAAACGTTTCTAAAAAGGAATAGACACATCTATCTTCCTAGACAACATTAAGTAGGATGAAAATCCATTATTATCTTTTGTTGTGACTTAGCGATGTTCTCATTGACTGTCAGGGATGATAGGCTATTTGGGCCTCTCTCAATGGCCCCGGACTGCTCACAGGGAGAGTTCACGTGTCTGCTATTTATAGTTTTCTGTCTCAATGGTGTGACTAACTGTCCTCACCACTCTCACTGACTGTGCCTCCCTGATTTCTAATTGCATTGGGCAGGAGCACCCGATCAAAACCAAGCACAGAAGCGGTGGTTTCTGTGGCATTTAATGCCTGTGACTGTGGGGAATTTAGTGATTGTCTCATATCAATGTCAGGCTTCAAATTAGTCTTTTTTTCCTTTAATTTTCTTATTTTCTGATTCTTGCATATATTCTGGGGTAGTTAAGGGATCTGTATTAGGGACCATTTGATAAATTAGGGATTGCCATATTCTTAGCAGGAACATTTTCTAATTATTTTTATTTGATCTCTTTCTGCTAATCTCTACTAGGAAGTTAAGAATTGAACATATCTAGATTCTTAAGGAGAACAGTTGCTAAGTGAAATAAATATAACTGCTTAAGGTAGGAATAGAAGTGAGCTCTTAACAGTAATGAAAGCAACTGCAGTGTCCACCGCTCCTCTAAGCATTGTACATGTGTGAGTCTACATCTTCCCAGTGATGTTCAGTATTATCATTCTTATTCCAGTAGGGATAACACAGATTTAAAAAGGTAGACTATCTACTGAAAGTCACATGGCTAGAATTCCCATGCTGTGTAGTCTGTGGCAGGCCTCTCCACTCATTTGGATTTTGTGGAGGGACAGAAGGGGAATGAGTGAAAGCCTCAATGAGGTCAGAGGTAGTATTCCATATTAATTTCAATGGTCACTATTTTTGAGCAAGTAAAGAACCTACTGAGAGAACAACAGGTTGAGCAGCAACAGAGCCTGTGTGGTCATCAGAGAGGCCTGCTGGCCCTTGGGGCCACATTAAGCAGCTGCTTTGTCACTGGAGCCACACTTCCCCTTATTTTGTATAGTTCATTCCTCTACTCAATGGACCCTTGAAAGAAAAGCCCACTACCGGTGGGAAGAAAAGAACCATGACAGTTTGTCAACTTCCTCTTTGTTCTCTAAAGTACAGAATTCAATCTCCTCTTATTTCCTGGAAAACCATCAATTTACAGGACAGGGTAAAAAGAATCTTAGTTATAAAGAAAGAGCCAGGCCTACACTACAGACTTGAACTTGCTCTCTAATCCTTTGGCAAGAGCACCTACTGACTGGTCACATTATTCAAATGTATTTTATCACTGATCATCATCTCTTTTAAACTTTGCCTTTTCAGTAGAGAATTCTCTAAATGCCCACAAGTAGAACTAGCATGGAATAAAGCAAGCTGTTAAAGAAAGTCGAATTCCAAAAAGTTGGCTTGGTAAAATAGCATGAAAAGGTGTATATTTTTAGCTAGAAATTACAAACCTGCTGCATTTAAGTGAGGCAACAGTTGCACAAAGTACAACGTAATTATTTTCTGTCCCGTGCCTGTCTTTGAGTCTGTCACTTTGCTATTCACTTATGGACATCAGTGAGAGATGTTTCTTTCCTTTTTAACCTCTCCCTTGTCAGTCCATTGCAGGAAAGTACTCCTTAGCTTGAAAGTTATGTACAGGTAGAGGCATACAAACATTCGAGAAACATTCAAATGCTTAGTCCCTGTCTCATACAAACCCTGCACTTCAGCTGGTTATGTTTTCTCCTTCTTTATTTCTTCCCGCCCTTTCAAATGTATTAACGAAGAGCCTTTAAAGTGTCAGGCATTGTGTGAAGGCCTGGGGAGACTGTGTGTGTGTGTGTGTGTGTGTTTGTATACACTGTGCCTGTCTTTAGGATCACTTGTGCCCTTTATCTCAAATTTTGGATGACTGGGTAGATACTGGGTAGATGAAATTTAATCATCCCTTTTTTACTAAACTTTAAGGACACCATGATTTTTTGTTTCTACACAGTAGAAACTATAGGTAGGTGAAGCTCAAAGTTTATAACCTCAAAAATTTCATTATTACAGCAATTTTATTAGCTAAAAGAGCAAATATAATTTTTAGGTGATGAGTAAGATGTACCTAATAGAGACATTTTTGGAGCCATGGTTATTTCAAATAAAAAAATAGGATTTTTTAGTAGCTAAATTTAGCAGTGAGGACAATTACAAAATTAAGTACTACTCAATAGGTCCCTAAAATTCTGAATGAAAAGAAAATTCATGGGTTTATACCAGGTATAATAGACAATTCTAATTCCTTGAAAATAAATGAGGTTTCGTTTTTATTCACTCTTTAGAAAAGAAAAACCTAGCTTTTATTAGGCAGTAGGGTCTGTTTGAGAAAATACCATTTTAGTGGCTCTTCATAATTATGGTGTCAGTCTAAAAAGCAGCTAATGCCACGTTCTAGCCAAATATGAGAACTCCATGGGCTTAAGGCTTGAGACAAGTAAGGCAGTCCCTAAAATAAATTGGGTAACTGGAAGAAGAATTCTTTTTCAGAAGGAGAAATATGTGAATGGTAAGCCCTATAATTGCTGAGGACATTAACTTATCAATTATCTCATCATCTTTTAAAAACATATATAATTAATTTTTTAAAAAAGTAGAGATGGGGTGTCACTATGTTGCTCAGGTTGGTTTTGAACTCCTGGGCTCAAGCGTTCTGCCCTCCTTGGCCTCCCAAAGTGCTGGGATTTCAGGTGAGAGCTGCCGCGCAGGCCCATCTCCTCCTCTTTAAACGAAAGGCTACCCAAAGCATAACTACCATGCTGCCAGGGACTAACAAGGAAAACAACCCACAGCCACAAGCATCCTGGATGCTTTGAAAGAGGGGCAGGCTTGGGGACATTTTCCAAGTTGCTTGGTGTTTAGAACCTATCCATCAGGCTAGTTCAGTTCCTCCAAAAATTCCCAGAGGTGAGAGGCAGTCAACAGCTTTGCTGGGCATGACAAGTTTCATTTCAAGGAGCCCAGCTTGTAATTTCAAGCAGACTGCTGTTGTAGGCCCAATCAACTCAGAGTTTCAATTGTTTTTCAAGCATTGCTTCATTGAACACACTCAGCAATCACAGAACCACCCGTGTCAACGTGGCAAGGACTGGGAAAGAACTCACAAGTCACTTAACAGAAAAGCATATTTTAGCAGTT
The DNA here is from genome assembly GCF_000001405.40 of Homo sapiens. Lineage (NCBI taxonomy): Eukaryota > Metazoa > Chordata > Mammalia > Primates > Hominidae > Homo > Homo sapiens. The sequence goes on from NC_000009.12 coordinate 70,704,393, forward strand.
TTCTGAAACAATTGTCCTAAACATACCTTTTTACAGTGACTGATCCTAACTTTCTGATATGGACTTGGAAAAAAGACATTTCTGGAACTGGCATACAATCAGGGAGGAGCTGGTAATGTACAAATACTGCCTTGTGAAAGAATATTGGATGCTCTTGTTCTCACTCCTACTCCAAATTGTTATTGGGCTTTACCTATGGTTTCTAAAATCATCAGGTTTTAAGAAGTCATTTTACATTTACATTCACACACACTTAAACACACATCAAATACATTTATCACATATACACATTAAACACACACACACACACACACACACACACTGATGATAAAAATGGAATTTCCCGGAATAATCCCCGCTTCAAATATTCTCTCCAGTTTTTAGCTCACATCCAAGACCATCTATTTTAAATTTTTAGCTTCCAAAATATGGTCACTGAATCAAGATGATCCATATTATGACTCTAAGACTGAAATTCAGATTTTGATTCAACAGATATTTTCTTAACACTTTCTTCAGATGTGGGGATGATATTTCAATGCAATATCTTATGAAATCAGAGGATCTTTATTACATGGAATATAGCATATTTTGTCCTTGATTTTCCTCAGTAACATATAATGGACCTATTGCGATACTCTTGAATGAAACAGACAATGCATAGAAGCTTTTAGAAAAATGGATTTCTGTAAAAATAAAAAATAAACATCATATGTTGAAACTTATGTTTCAACATATAATATTTATTATTTCTTATATAACAATATAATTTTATTATAATATATATTTAATATAATTTAATATAAATAACAATATAAATAATATAATAATGTATAACAATATAATATATCAGGCCACTTAAGTGGCTCTTGCCTTGAGCAAGTCATCTAACTTCTTGTTTTCCTTTCTTTTTGAGACAGGGTCTTGCTCTGTCATCCAGGGTGGAGTGCAGTGGTGCAATCATAGCTCACTGTAACCTTGAACTCCTGGGCTTAAGCGATCCTCTTGCCTCAGCCTCCCTAGTAGCTGGGACCATAGGCATGCACCTCCCTGCCCGACTAATTAAAACAAAATTATTTGTAGACATGGGGTCTCACTCTGTGGCCCAGGCTGATCTTGAACTCCTGGCCTCAAGTGATCCTCCAGCCTTGGCCTCCCACAGTGCTGGGATTATAGGTGTGAGCCATGGTGCCTGGCTGTAACTTCTTGTTTTACAGATGAAAACACTATCTCCTTCATAAATTGTGAGAAAAATAAATTAATATGCACAAAAACAGTTTAAAAAGACCCTGGTATATACTTGGAGAAATTGGACTAACTTAATAGATGGGCTTAAAAAGTAACCTGGATAATGAAAGTGTTCAGTAAATGTTGTTGCTATTGTTGTCATTATTTAAAGTCCCAGTTTCCTCATCTGTAACTGAAGGGGTAGATTTAATCTTAATGATCTCTACAGTTTCTTTCCTTTGGTGATGCTCTGTTGCCTGTCCTTTAAGTTTCTATGAAGTGACCAATACAGAATATGAGTTGGTCAGGTTAACATTTAATATAAATAAAAATTTACCGTGAGGTGTTAAGAGCTGATAGCAGAAACAGGAGCATAAGAGTAACTGTTTTGTCTTGTTTTATGCAAATAACTTCCCTGTGTTTGCTTTTTTATAATGACAAAATGATGAAATGGTAATAAGCAGGCAATTTCCACCAGGGGCTTAAAAACTTGGCCTAGTTTTGAATGTTTTAGGGTCCAGAAGGAGAGAAACCTAGCTCAGCCTTAACAGGAAGCAGAACAGCTTGTCAATCGGTTGTTTTAGCTCCCTGGAGTCTCATTCTGATATGGTAATTTTGTGTTATAAATCTGGGAGAATGTTGGACAGGCTGAGGTCCAGTTATTCCAACAACTGCTACTGTAAATCCTTCATTCCCTCAGTAGTTGCCCTCTTCCTCAAATATCTTTCCATGCAGAGTAAATGCTAGTTATGGGGGCTATAAACTGCTTAAAATTAGGCTTTGGGCTAGAGAGTGTGTCTTCTCCTGTAAAAACAAGCTTTTCCTTATATTTTCCAGTATTTTGGCTCCAACAAAATCCAAGGGCTATATTTCTTGCTCCCAAATGCATAGAAAAAGTAATTTAAAAAATTTTTAAAAATGTAAATACTAATGAGAGGCAAAGCAGTCAAGAAGATACCATTTCTCTAGGTACCAACAGTTCAAACAATAAAAATATACTTATTTATCAATAATTTGATTTCAATAATATTTTACAAAATGAACCACTTCTGATCAGATATAGATTTATTGGTAATACTGCTTGCAAAACAATTCAAAAGGAAAAGAAAGACAAAGTGAAATAGAGCTTGTATGAGAGAGAGAATGAAAGATTATCTTTGGTGGTTCTAATTGATTTCTGACATTGTCCCCAACATAGCTTTTGTTGCATGTAAAGAATACTCTGTACAGTGGCCCAAGGCTACTTCAATAATAGTTCACTGTTTTGTTAGTCAACAGCTGGCTTGTATGTGACCTTGATGTTTGTATTATACCCAGGAAACAGGAGACTTACGATGGGACTTTGACCAGGGCCAGCATTATAACCACATTAATGGAGAATGCAAATTCAAATTGAGGTGGGGCTGGCAGGAGTTCATCATTGAAAGGCTGCATTCATCACAGATGTCAAGTACAGGCTGGGTCTTCATATTTCTTTTTCTCATACAATGACTTCTTCTCCTGTGGCTCTTTCACATGGACTGTGTATTCAGGGGACAAAGCTTCTGCAGTAGGCTTTGAGTAAGGTCAAACTCCATGGTGCCTAAGAGTCTAGGACACTCACTAAAATTGCCCAGTAAAATGTCTGGACATTAAATAAATTGTATTATATGAAATTCATGAGTGGGAAGGGCAAGCACTAAGGGTCATTTCTGTATTATGGTATTTAACAATTGCTTCCATTCAAATGCTACAATATTATGCAGTCTGTAGTAGATGTCCATGCACAGCATTCACATTCAACTTTAATATTTAGGAAAGCTTTTGTTAGGCAGACGTGGGAGTGGTATGCTAATCAATATGAACTTTTCTCAAGTGTTCTTAATAGGGTAATAACACTGATGCCAGGATAACCTTGAAGTTTATATTTGCCGAGGTAGATATCCTGCAGAAAGAAGTTTTGAGAACTATAGTAGAAATGGAAGAAAAATATATTAATAGCATAGACTTGGGTATCCTTATAACCAGATACGTACTCTTTTCTAAAACCATCGCTAAAAGGGCTTAGGTGCTATTGGTAACTTCCTCCTAGTTTAAAACTCAGCCTAATGTTTTCAGTGGTGGGGAGGGATCTGACTCTATGAAATAATGAATTGTTCAGCCTTAAAAATATGTTTATAAACAGCATGAAAAAATGTAAATATTTTATGGCTAAATGAAAACTTTCACTGTATAGATATATGCAACATGATTACCACTGTGTTCAAAACAACGTAAAATAAACCTAAAACCTTATACACAGAAAAAAATACCTTAGAAGAAAATTCAGCAAAAGTCATTGGTGTTGTGGGGCTGTGGAAGATCTTTTTCCTCTGTTTATATTTTGATAGTTTTAAAATTTTCTATAATAAGCATATTTCTAATTAGTATATATTACTTTCACAATAGAAAAAATAAACTGGATCAAAGCTATACTCAACTTCAAGATGACTGTTCACTGAGAAATGTGAAATTAATATGAAATATGAAAGAAAACTCTTACTATGTAAATGAATCACAGAATCCAAGAAAGATGTGCCGGATGGGAACTAGAGGTCATCTAGATTGCATTCTGTCTAATCAGATCATATGAAGGTAAGATTTCTGGGCTGAAGAGTTAAAAGTGTATCCTTCTCACATTAGAAGAGAGAAATGGAAAGAATCCAAGCTTTTTATTCAAACAAGGCTGGATTTAAATTTTGATGCTGCTTCTTAACTTTCTGTGTCCTTTGGGCAAATTATTTAACCTCTCTAAGATTTAGAAAAGAAAGATGGCAATAGTGCCTACTTCTTAAAATGGTTTTTAGATTTAAATGAGAATGGGGAAGATAGATACGTAGGTAGGTAGATAGATGTAGATACATACGTACACATATTGCCGAATACCTAATATGCAGCTTTTTAGCATTATTATTATCAAAGCCTCTTTTATTCCTCAGTGGCCATTGGCTAGAAATATTTTGATATCATTTCTTTTGGGTTTAAAAGAGAAGGAAGATAACCACTGAAATCTCTTTGTCCTTTTTTAAAAAAAAGCATGGTAAGCACATTTAACATGAGATCTACCCTTTCAACAGACTTTTAACTGTGAAATACAGTATTTTTAACTACAGGACAAATGTGCAATGGATCTCTATAACTTACTTATTTTGTGTAAGTTCCTGTTAACTAGCAACTCACCATTTCCCCCTCTCTGCAGCCCCTGGCAACCACCACTGTGCTGTCTGCTTCTACAGGTTTGACTATTTCAGATTCCCCAGAGTCGTGTGTCTTCCAATACTGATAGAATAGTATTGAAGACCATGGTATATTTTTTTATGGACAAGAGTATTGTGATATCATCTCTTGCTGTCTATTCTCCTTCAGCTTCTTCCCTTAGTTTTTCTTTTCCTATAGCGCAGAATCTCTTCTGTGTCCTTTCTCCAGTCTCATTTTCTGTTGAATGGCCTCTATTCAGGATTTGTTTCCGTAACACTACTGAAACCGTACTTCTCAGGGTCATCAGTGAACTCCATCTTGCTAAATCTGGTGGCAAATTTTTATTCCTTTTAGTATGTGATATATTAGCACAAGATGGTTTCCTTCTCCTGGAAGTTCTTTTTTCACTTAGCTTCTAGGACATCACATCTTTCTGGTCTTCTTTCCATCTCACTGGCTGCTTCTTTTCAGGTCTCCTTTGTGGGGCCCTCCTTCTCTCTCCCATCTATAAATGTCACAGTGCTTGGGTTTCAGCTCTTGTTCCTTGCTCCACCCACATTCCCTCCTCAGTAAGCGCATTATCTTCCATGGTGGGAATACAGTCTATATGCTAATTGGTCTCAAATTCGTATCTCCTACTCCGATTTCTCCCTGAAGTTCAGGTCATAAATCCAACCGCCTCCTTTATTACTATCTGGATGTCCAGTAGGCATCTAAAAATTATCATGTCCAAAACAAAACTCTTGTTTCCACTTCCTCAAAAATCCACCCCTTCCCCATGCTTCCCTGGTTTATTAGAAGGCAACTCCATTTTCCCCAATCACCCTTGAAATAATCCAGAACTCTTCTCTTTACCTCATACCCATCATCTACAGCAAGTCCTGTTGCCTCCACCTTCAAACTTGATTTCCAGTCCAACCACTTCTCACCATCTCTTAGCTCAGCCCACAGCACCTACACTGGACTGGAGTGTAATGCCTGCATTACTTTGTAGTCTCCTAAATGATCTCCTAGTTTATATATTTGGCAGGTGCCAGAATGATCCTTTAAAACTCTAAATTAGATCATATTATTACTCTGCTCAAAACCATCTAATGGCTTCTCATCCCACTCAGAATAAAACCTAAACTATTTATCATGTTCTGCTTCTCCAGCATCATCTCCTATCACTGCCGGCCTTACTTGCTTTTCTCCAGGCACACCAGCCTTCTTGCTGTGTCTCAGACACGACAGGCATGTTCCTGCCTCAGAGCCTTTGCACCCACTCCTCCGTCTCCCTGGAATATTTTGCCGTCAGATCTTTGCTTGGCAGCTGGCTCCCTCACTTAGTACTAGGTTCTCATCTTTAAGTATCACATCTTCAGGGAGGGCTTCTCCAATCCCCCTTTTTATACTCTCACTCACTCTGAGCTAGGTGCTGTTCTAGGTGTTGGGGGAACAGCAGTGAATAGAGAGCTCCTCCTCTCTGAGGTTTACCCCACCTCGTCCTATCCCATCCCATCTCATTGCTCTGCACCTATTAAGTTCTTCTTTTAATTTTTTTTCTCATTGTACATATTATTGCCTGGTACCTTTCCATATATTTATTTTCTTCTTTATTTACAATCTCTTCTCTGTTAGAATGTAGGCTGAATGAGGACAGGTACTGTTGTATCCCTAGCCCCTAGAATAGTGCTTGGCAGGTGGCAGGCACTCTATAAGTGTTTCTGGAATGAATGATTGTAGAAGTAGTTTGATAAATAGAAGTCTATTGCAGGCAATAGGCAGAGACTTCATCTTGCCATATGTGACTTAGAAGGGATGTGAGTAGAATATGAATGAATGTTTCAAGCTGAAGCCTACTTCATGGATGTCACTAGCAGTTCCTGAGTACATCCTAGATGTCCATTCAGTGTTCTATACTTTATAGCTTTGAATGATGATTTGGCTTTCAAAAGATATACATGTCCATCTTGAATTTTTCGCAGTGAGTTTCGGTTGCATATGCCCCGGTTTATTTGTGTATGATATGTGCTGTGCCTGGCATCTGCTCTGCTTTCTGGCCCTCTGTGTGCCTGTGCCCAGAGGACATCTGAGAGTTAGTTGGCATATTATAAGGTAGTATCAGAAAACCTTTGCTCTGAGCCCTCTGACTGATCCTATTGGGGTTGAGAAACCTATCAAGTACTGCTAAGCTGGCAGAATGACAAAATCAACTCACACAAGGAAATAAATCAGGCGCGGTGGGCATGGAGAGCCTTGAGGACCAATGGCAGAGGAAGACAGAGATTATGGCTCATGGATGGTAGATGATTGAGGACTGGATAGAAACTGGGTTGTCCAGAAACACTATGTCTTAGCCAGAGCTGGAACATTGGCATTTGAAGCTGAAGACTAGTCCTGGCACTTTCAAGCTCTATCTGTGTTAGGATTGGGGTCCTCTCCTCCAGTCACTTTTCTTTTTGTCCATAATGGAAGTTGCAAGTTGACACTTATAAGCCCAGAGTTTTGAGATGCTGGTGGGTGTGTTTTCTGGGCAGAGTACCTTTCCCCCAGTGCTCTCAGCCAGTCCAGAGGCATCTCTCTGATGATGCAGGGTTGGGTATGATGTGCCTACACCTGCAATGAGGCACCGGAAATATAGGCATTAAGAGAGGAGATTTCCATGAGAGTCATAGAAAAGAAACTTGCCATTCAAAGTGGCTTTTTGACTTCACTGTTTCCAGGAAGTGCTATCTCTGACAGGAATTATTTCCTTGCTTTCTGCCAGTGATCGTGCATGTTTTTGGCAATGTGAAATGTGGGTGCTTGGAGGAGAAATGCACAAATAAAAGGAGAGGAAGGGAGATAAAGTAAAGGCATCATTGTTGTTCAGTTCTTCAGAAAGATTATCCATCCTCTCTAACAGTGTCTTTTTTTCCTTAGTGTCACAGAGTGAAAAGAGCAAAAACTTTGGAATTAGACACATTTGTGCTTAAATCCTGGATATTTCAGTTATGGTGTTGGCTTAGGCAAAAAATCTTAATTTCTCAAATCTTAGGTTATTAATCTGTAAAACTGGATAAATAATATCTATGATATAGGGTTGTTTTGAGTCTTAAGTGAAATAGGTGCAAAGTACAAAGCATAGGGCCCGAAAGATTCCTCTATAAATAGTAACTTTAAAAAGGGGAGTCAGGAGAGAAAATACCGCATCAGATATGAACGACCTGGGCTTCACTTATTAATTTATTGAGCAAATTGTTAAACTGAGCATCTTCTTTGAATCTAGAAACGGGTGATATGATGGGCAAGATAGATATGCCTCCTTAGAGGCAAAAGGTGCAGACAGGTAAAAACACATGCAAATGTAAAAATATAAGAGAAGTGCTAAGCATGATAAGTGTCACTATGAAAGGAAGAGAAGAAGGAAAGGGGAAACTGCTTTATATAGAGTGATCAGGGAAGGCTTCCTGGAGGAGGTGATGTACAAGCTGAGAAAGAAGAATATGAAGGAGCCAGACATGTGAAGGCTGGAGGGAAGGGTTCCAGGTAGAAGAAAGGATGTTAGCAAATGTTTGAGGCCAAACAAAACTTGGTGTGTTTGAGGTACTGAATACCAGAGTGGCTGAGATGAGAGACCAGTGCCAGAACACGAGAGACACATAGGATGAAAGGACTGGCAGTTATTCCTGGGGAAAGTCTCTCTTGAGAACCTGTCACAAGAACATGCCATGTTGTAAGAAGGTTTCTCCCTTTGGTTATTAGTCTTCCCCCAACAGTCTTGGAAGTAAAATGAAGCTATTTTGTTGTAATGCAATAGTTTGCCTATATTGGAATCATTAGCATTCGATCATATCTTAGTGTTGCTCTGTGAGAGGATGGTGCATTATGGTGAATTATCTGCTGTTCTCCACAGGAGCCAAAGCTGTCTTCCTGTTAGCTCCAGAGTAAAAGTAGCCTGCAGCCCACACCCTGGGGTCTGATGAAAGGACTCACACTCCAGTCTGCATTCCTGCTGCACCTGCCAGACCCTGCTGACAAAATTTCTGTTTCTCCATTGACCAAATAAAACTGCAGTGTGGCCCCTTGGAGGGTTCCAGGAAAACTGAAGCTCCACTTCTCGTTTTTTAAGTTAGCCTGCTGCCACCTGGAGCTGAAAGCTGTAATCCCCACTCACCCTGGTGGGGACCTGACCTCTCTCCCACTGGAACCAGGTTGGTGGGAAGTAGCAAGAGAACTTGATTTCACTCCTATTTAGAGAGTCTATGTTCTCTGCTTCTGGTCTCACCTTCAAAATTAGGGCAGTGGTCTTTGATAGGATGATAACAGCAAGACAGGAGAGGTAGGCATCGGCCAAACCATGCCACTGAATGACATAACAGCTGAATGACCTCTAGCAAATTATTTATCTTCTCCAGACACTTTTTTTTGTCCCTAAAAATAGGAACAACATTATCTATCTCTTAGTGTTGTGGGGGAAGATATGAGTACAAAAAGCAATTGGCATGCTAGGTGTTAATTTATTCTTTCTTCCCTTTTTCTCTTCCCTTCCCTTCTCTGGTCAGTGAGTGCTTCTCCCTCTTTTCTGTCTCTTATTATTGAATATCTCATCTTTCGTATGTGATGTGGTGGTGAATCCCAGGTGGGCATTCTCACCACTTGTTATATCATGGCCAAGTGCTTGGAGAAAGATGTGATCACAATATTGAAAATTAAGTCATTTAGAGTCAATTTCACTTAATTATGCTCTCTCTCTCTGCCCCAACATCCACCAGGCCTGCTCTCAATGTGCAATGTTGCTTCATTTGGTAGTATCCTTGGAAAATGAGGGGTTTCATATAAATGAGTTTTTAGAGCTTTTTCAAGAAAAATTAAGCCCATCTTTTTGTGGCAAATTGTAGCAGGCCTTCTCTTAGGCCCAAAGGCACAGTAGCAAATACAATGTGTAAGTGGTAATGGTGCTGATGCAAGAATTTTCTTAGATCAGAAAGTCCCACCTGGGGAGATTTTAACATCTTTCACACTCAGGCCATACCTCGGGCCAATTACATCAGAATCTCTAGGGGTGGGATCCAGGCATCAGTATTTTTTAAAGCTTCCAGGTGATTCGAATGTGCAACCAAAGATGCGGAACCACTGCTATTCAGTTTCTTAACGCTCGAAACCTCTGAATGTGTCTATGTTTCTATGAATTAAAAAAGAACACTATAATCATGTGTTTGCTGCAGGGCAACATTATGGCCCACAGGGATGGGGGTGAATGAAGCCTCAGTCAGAAGCAGACACATCTTTATGGAAATGACCATGAGAGGCCAGCTCTGGCAAGGCATGAGTATTGGCCACCACAGCTGATAGCCATGTGCCCATAACAAACAGTGGAATTGTGCCAGTTTTCAAAGGGAATTCTTACAACCATTGTGGAAGACAGTGTGGTGATTCCTCAAGGATCTAGAACTAGAAATACCATTTGACCCAGCCATCCCATTACTGAGTATATACCCAAAGGATTATAAATCATGTTGCTATAAAGACACATGCACACGTATGTTTATTGTGGCACTATTCACAATAGCAAAGACTTGGAACCAACCCAAATGCCCATCAATGATAGACTGGATTAAGAAAATGTGGCACATATACACCATGGAATACTATGCAACCATAAAAAAGGATGAGTTCATGTCCTTTGTAGGGACATGGATGAAGCTGGAAACCGTCATTCTGAGCAAACTATTGCAAGGACAAAAAACCAAATACTGCATGTTCTCACTCATAGGTGGGAATTGAACAATGAGAACACCTGGACACAGGAAGGGGAACATCACACACTGGGGCCTGTCGTGGGGTGGGGGGGAGGAGGGAGGGATAGCATTAGGAGATATACCTAATGTAAATGACGAGTTAACGGGTGCAGCACACCAACATGGCACATGTATACATATGTAACAAACCTGCACATTGTGCGCATGTACCCTAGAACTTAAAGTATAATAATAATAGAAAAAAAAAGCCAGTGGAATTGGGCAGTAGAATAAAGGAAACACAGAAAGTCAGATGAGAAGGTGAAAGAAGAGAAATGGTATTTAATATAAAGGAGAGGTTAGCTGGTAAAACATTTAAATACCCTTCAAGGGAGAAGATGGTTAAGTAAAACAGATAAAAAGCCAAAGATAAATGATAAAGTGATTGATAGTCTTTAGGCAGTATACATATATCTTCCCCAATTAGGATAATTTTCTCAGATCAAGGTTTGGGTTTGATGAAGGTAGGTAATATATTGAGAGACTGATATATTGAGCTCTACATCAGGCCAACGCACTTGGCTGAAACCTTGAAATCTGATGAATGTATTCATTTACTAAGCATCACCTCTAACAAGATGAAGCATAAATATTGATATAGAAGAAAGTGTAGATGAATGTATTCAAATAATAGGAGGTATTTTATGTCAACTGATTAGCAAGGAAGAGAAAGCACAAAGTATCTGGTTTTCAGACACCTGGCTTACAAGTAATCTATGCATATAGATAGTTTCCCTAGCTCCTTCCTGTCTATTTTCTTCTCAACCCTCTACTAAAATACAACGGGTGAAAAATGCAACAAAACTTATAGGTTTGAACAAATATTGTGGAATCAGAAGTGGAGAAAGGGAATAAGCTGGAAAATATCTGTTTATTTTGGAGCAGTGATTTCCAAACTTTAGTTTTGTGTCCTTTAGTCAAATTAGTTTTACTGGGAAGGGTTAGAGAACTAAAATAAATTTAAAACAGAAGAAGAGTGGCCCAGGGTCCTTTATGTTCAGTCTCCATTATTCTCCTTACCCTTACCCACACTGGAGATGCTGAAGGAAGCAGAGTTTGGGAATGATTGGAATATGAGTTGCATAGAAGGAGATTGCTAAGAAGATTCGGCATTTTATGTGGCATTCCCACCCCTTCCTAACCCCTCTGACCTGTATTTCCCCTTGACTTTGTCATACTGCCTTGACCCCCAATCAGTCATTCCTTTGGATCAATATGTGTCCTCTGCTGAAAGTACAAGCACATTATGAGGTCAAAGAGCCATCAGTCCCACATACATGAGTGTGAACTTAATAATGCCACTAGCCTCCAGATTCCTAGGTGAGTTCGTTTGTGGTGAGGAAATGGAGCTGCAGGACGTGGGAGACGGGTAATGCTGGGGAAGGATGATGGGGAAGTCCTGTTAGTGTGTCTCTAGGGATTTTGGGGGTACCCTGGGAGCAATGCTGCAGAAGAGGGAACAGGTTCTGAAAAGAAACATTGCCTATTATTTTTTATTTTCTGGAATCAATCCTGTCCCGAGGAAGGGGGTGGCAATCTCTTTCTTCTTCCTACCACATTTCTTGGTTTCTTGTTCCCAGTGTCTTTATAGCAAATGAGACTTTTGCTTAATTATTTACATTGCTTGATGAGAAAATTGATTCCGGTTTGTAAATAGATCCCTGGATCACAGCCCATTTATAAGCTGATGACTTCCTAAAATGCACAATTGACTGTTTTGTGTGGAAGAGATTACCTCTAAAAAAACTGTTAATGAGAAATGTGTACGTTTGAACACTTAAAACATGCTTAAAGAACATTAAATATTTATCCAAATGTGGCACCTCTGAGGACTATGAGGAGTTTATGGCTTCTGTGATTTTAACTTAGTTGCTACCACGGAGAGGACCCCAGAGCAGTGGTTCTTAACTCTTGAGAGTTATTGATACCTTGGGGAATCTGAGGACTGTATTCATCTTCCTATGATATGCAAGCACACTCCAAATCTTGCATGCATTTTCAGAGGTTTCACAGAACTCCCTAAAGACTTTTGAGTTTTCAGGGTCTTTGAGCTAAGAATTGTTACTCAATTGACTGGAGGAGTAACACTGGCCTGTGTATATGAGAAAAATCCCTATTTGGGAATAGGTTGTCACTTAGGATAAGAGAGTCTATCCCTATCCTATAGGGTCTACTGTATTTAACAACTGAAAAAGGAGTCAAGGGCTTGTATATCTCCCAAACAAATACATTGGGGAGTCTGTGTTCTGCCCCTTATACCTGGGAAATTCACCAAGAATCTATAGTGCTATAAAGATTGAAGATGGGACATCCCTACAATATTCTTTCCTAATGGAGGATTTAGGAAAGACTTATTTATTCTCATTCATTCTTACTACATCTATTGAACACCAATTTTGTGGAAAGTCACTGTGCTAGGTGTAGTAAGGGGACACAAAAATGTATAAGGCCTGCTCTTTTTTTAAGTTGCATGCCATTTTGTAGCAGACATAAACTTTGTATCCTAATAGTATAGGGCTCAGGAGAGCATGCTCTGAAACTTACTGTCCCTTTCAGCTGTGTTCCTTGGGGATGTTACTGTGCCTTGGTTTCCTCATCTGTAAAATGCAGATAATAGCAGGATGACCATATAATTTATAATTTAAGTCAGGATACCTTTGTAAGTGGAGGGCTGCTATTAATAGTTACGCTGGGCCACAAGCACAAACTGGGCTATCTCAGGAAAATGAGGACCATGATCACTCTAGTGTGGAAAGATTATCCTAGGGATTGAAGAAGGCAATGCATAGGACATTATCACATCATGTCTGTGGCTGGGCAAATGTTATCTGCTGTGATTGGTGTTATGGGTACCTAAAAGAAAAAGTGATATTTGAATTTATAGGGGAGACGGATGATTATTTCTTAAGACCAACATTTATTATATACTCTTTATGGGCTATTGGCTCAAACCAGTGAAAGAAAACAATAAAATTAGAACTCCTTCTGCAAAACAGTCCTTTCATGGGCATGATAAGTATCTCCACTAGCTGCAACATGTTTCTATTCTGGTCCTGCTTTCCTGTGCATTACAGTCCCATCCCTTTACCTGTCTATCAAAAGTTTTCTTCAGTTCCTCATAGTGATCTTTGATTCAATATATATCTGACTGAAACAAATGGTGGATAGGAGGCAGGACAAACTTGCAGCTCCTGTCAGACAGATAGAGAAGTGTGTGGAGACTCACACTGTGAGCTTTTGCTCCAAGAACTACCACAAAAACACATCAGGAAAGCTGACAGCATCCACAGACCCTTTGAAGGAAGCAGATTGCTGCTGCAGGCCCATAGAGACAGCTGAAAAACTCGAAGACAAAGGGCATAATCTCTTGGGAACTCTATGGGCCTGCCCACCACCTGATCTTACCTATACTACCGCAGCTGATGCTCTCTTGAAAGCACCACCTCCTGGCTGGAGGCCAACCAACACAAAACTAGCACAATAAACAAAACTACAGCCAAGGACCCTCACAGAGTTTACTTCACTCCGTTGCCACCCCACCTGGAGCAGGTGCTGGTATCCATGACCAAGAGATCTGAAGACGGTTTACATCACAGGACTCTGTGCAAACACTCCCCAGTACCTGAAGCCCCATAGCTCTGCTGGGCGGCTAGATCCAGAAGAGAAATAACAATGACTGCAGTTAAGTTCTCTGGAAGCCCCTTTCCTAGAGGAAGGGAGAGAATACTATATCACGGGAGCACGCTGCGGGACAAAAGAATCTGAACAGCAGCCCTTGAGCCCCAGATCTTCCCTCTGCAATAGTCTACCCAAATGAGAAGGAACAAGAAAAACAATTGTGGTAATATGACAAAACAAAACAAGTTCATTAACACCCCCAAAAGATCAGCAATGGATCCAAACCGAGAAGAAATCTGAATTGCCAGAAAGAGAATTCAAAAATGTCAATTATTATGCTAATCAGGTAGTCACCAGAGAAAGGTAAAGTCCAACTCAAAGAAATTTGAAAAATGATATAAGATGTGAAGGGAAAACTCTTCAGTGAAATAGATAGCATAAATAAAAAACAAAAGCAACTTCTGGAAAGGAAGGACACACTTAGAGAAATGCAAAATGCACTGGAAAGTCTCAGCAACAGAATCAAACAAGTAGAAGAAAGAACTTCAGAGCTCAAAGACAGGCTATCGAATTACCTTAGTCCATTCAAAGACAAAGAGGAAAGAATTTTTAAAAAATGAACAAAGCCTCCAAGAAGTTTGGGATTATGTTAAATGACGAAACCTAAGAATAATTGGCGTTCCTGAGGAAAACGAGAAATCTGAAAGTTTGGAAATCACATTGGAGGAAATAATTGAGGAAAACATCTCCAGCTTTGCTAGAGATCTAGACATCCAAATATAAGAAGTTCAAAGAACACATGAAAAATTAATCACAAGAAGATCATCACCTAGGCACATCGTCATCAGGTTATCTAAAGTCAAGATGCAGGAAATAATCTTATGAGCTGTGAGGCAAAAGCATCAGGTAACCTATAAAGGAAAACCTATCAGATTAACAGCAGATCTCTCAGCAGAAATCCTGCAAGCTAGAAGAAATTGGGGCCCTATATCTAGCCTCCTTAAATAAAATAATTATCAGCTAAGAATTTTGCATCTAGCGAAACTAAGATTCATAAATGAAGGAAAGATACAGTCTTTTCCAGACAAACAAATGCTGAGAGAACTCACCACTACCAAGCCAGCACTGCAAGAACAGCTAAAAGGAGCTCTAAATCTTGAAACAAATTCTGGAAAATACACCAAAAGAGAACTCCTTTAAAGCATAAATCTCAAAGGACCTATAAAACAAAAACACACTGAAAACAACAAGAACAACAATAACAACAACAAGGTATTCAGGCAACAAACAGCATGATGAATATAATAGTACCTCACATCTCAATACTAATGTTGAATGTAAATGGTCTAAATGCTCCAATTAAAAGACACAGAATGGATAAGAATTCACCAACCAAGTATTTGTTATCTTCAAGAGACTCACCTAACACATAAGGACTCACATAAACTTAAGGTAAAGGAGTGGAAAAAAATATTCCATGCAAATGGACACCAAAAGCGACAAGGAATAGCTATTCTTATATCAGACAAAACAAACTTTAAAGCAACAGCAGTTAAAAAATTCAAAGAGGGACATTAAATAACAGTAATGAAAGCAACTGCAGTGTCCACCGCTCCTCTAAGCATTGTACATGTGTGAGTCTACATCTTCCCAGTGATGTTCAGTATTATCATTCTTATTCCAGTAGGGATAACACAGATTTAAAAAGGTAGACTATCTACTGAAAGTCACATGGCTAGAATTCCCATGCTGTGTAGTCTGTGGCAGGCCTCTCCACTCATTTGGATTTTGTGGAGGGACAGAAGGGGAATGAGTGAAAGCCTCAATGAGGTCAGAGGTAGTATTCCATATTAATTTCAATGGTCACTATTTTTGAGCAAGTAAAGAACCTACTGAGAGAACAACAGGTTGAGCAGCAACAGAGCCTGTGTGGTCATCAGAGAGGCCTGCTGGCCCTTGGGGCCACATTAAGCAGCTGCTTTGTCACTGGAGCCACACTTCCCCTTATTTTGTATAGTTCATTCCTCTACTCAATGGACCCTTGAAAGAAAAGCCCACTACCGGTGGGAAGAAAAGAACCATGACAGTTTGTCAACTTCCTCTTTGTTCTCTAAAGTACAGAATTCAATCTCCTCTTATTTCCTGGAAAACCATCAATTTACAGGACAGGGTAAAAAGAATCTTAGTTATAAAGAAAGAGCCAGGCCTACACTACAGACTTGAACTTGCTCTCTAATCCTTTGGCAAGAGCACCTACTGACTGGTCACATTATTCAAATGTATTTTATCACTGATCATCATCTCTTTTAAACTTTGCCTTTTCAGTAGAGAATTCTC